>NC_000023.11:2762488-3387488 GCF_000001405.40 Homo sapiens | reverse complement strand
ACACACATACATACACACACATATATATACACACATACACAATACATATATACACACATACATACACACACACATATAGATGCTAAAGGGGCAGACATTTGGAGTCATAGGAATCCACGTATCTTTTACTTCTCAAAATGAAAATGCTCTGTATTAGGATTGTCAGGTCTAGCAAATGAAAATACAAAATGTCCAATTAAAAGTGAGTTTCAGATTAATGATGGATCATTTTTAGTATGACTTATTAAATATGTAGGATATACTTACAATATATATTTTAAAATAATTGTTTATCTTCAAACCCAAGTTAAATCGAAGTCTTATATTTAATCCTGCAACCCTAATACATACAGGGAATGGTGCATCTTCAATGCCTCAGAAGGCAGGTGTGGGCCGACGTGGTGGCTCATGCCTGTAATTCCAGTACTTTGGGAGGCCTGGATGGGTGGATCACCCGAGGTCAGGAGTTCAAGACCAGCCTGGCCAACATGGTGAAACTCTGTCTCTATTAAAACTCCCCCCCAAAAATTAGCCTGGTGTGGTGGCGCGCACCTGTAATCCCAGCTACTCAGGGGGCTGAGGCAGGAGAATCGCTTGAATCCGGATGGCAGAGGCCACAGTGAGTCAAGATCGTACCACTGCACTCCAGCCTGATGACACAGCTAGACTCTGTCTCAAAAAGAAAAAAGAAAGACAGCAGGTGTGTATAGCATGACACGTGCCTGGGAGGAGAGATGAATGGCTACTTAGAGACTTAGAACTGCAAGAATAGGTTTGGCGTGGAGGAACCAGCTGTCCCCAAAAAGGACGAGGTAGACATTCTGGGAACTTTTGCCCAACTGGTAACTTGGCCCAGAGCTGACCTTGCTACTGGGGCCATGTTCAGGGGATCAGATTACTGTCTCTCCACTTGCTGGAGAAACAGTCGCCATGGAATGAATTAATGAGTGTTTCTTGGTTCCTAAGGACAAGTACATCTTGACCAGTTTATCTCTGGGTGTCCTGCAGCCCCCCTTTTTTTCTGTCTACCTTTTCTTTCTGAGCAGGCCACCGTTTCCTTCTGTCACCTGCCTTCCCTCAGCAACCTATGCTCTTCATGCATTCACTTATTTAGTAAAATAAAGTAAAAAATTACTTATAAATGGCATCCACTGTTGCAAACATGCTCTCATTGAGTTTTCTTGGGCTTACCATTGCTGTCTTCTTCCCTTTTCCCTTGTCTCACATATCTAAATGGCTGATAGATAGACAGAATAGAAACCTAATGGCTAGACGAATGGTGGATGATAGAGAGTAGATAGATAAATAGATAGATGATAAGTAGTTAGGTGATAGGCAGATAGGTAGATGAATTTGAGTGGAGAGTTGGAGGCATCAGCGTATGAGGAGTTAATATGAAATTGAGTCACCTCCTCCCATAATTTAGAGAATCTCTGATATACACAGAGCCCAGAAGTCCAATAAGAAGATGCTTTTGTCTCCTTCACTGCTTTGCATTAAGTATTTGGCACATGACATTGCATTTTATTTTAATGGATATCTATCTATCATCTATCTATCTATGTCTCATCTATTATTTATCTATCTACCTTTTATCATCCATTCATCTATTATCTATCTGTCTATCTTTCTAGGTATTATTCATTCATCTATCTATCCATTAATCTATTCTCTACCTAACTGCCTATCGTCTATCTATCTGCTTACTTATCATTTATTTATGTATCTGCTATCTATCATCCATCCATCTAGCTATTATGTTACTGTTCTATCATCCATTCGTTCATCTATTATCTACCATTTATCTATCATCTATCTATCTACCTATCATCTATCTACCTATTATCATTCATCTATCAAGCTATTATATATTTATTCTATCTACCTATCCGTCTTTCATCCATCCATTCATCTGCTATCTTTCTATGTATCATCTATTCATCTATCCATCCATTTATCTATTCTCTTCTTATCTGCCTATTATATAACTATTTACCAATCATCTATTTATCTATCTACTATCTATCATCTATCCATCTAGCTATTGTGTATCTCTTCTATCATGTATTTCTTTATCTATTATCTATCCACTTATCATCTATCTATGTATCTATCTACCTCATCCATCTATCAAGCTATCTGTTATATATTTATTCCATCTATTCATCTATCTTCCATCCACCCATTCATCTATTATCTATCTTTCTATCTATATATTATCCATCACCTATCTATCCATTCATCTATCTATTCTCTACCTATCTACCTAGCTATCATCTGTTTATCTATCATGCATTCATATAGGTATTATGTATCTATTATATCATCAGTCTATCAATCACCTATTATTCATTTATCTATCTATTATCTATGTACCTATTACTTATCTATCATCTATCTGTGATGTATGTGCATGCATTTATGCCTGTCTAGATGTAGATGCATGTATGTATGTGTGTGTGTATGTATGGCTATATGTAGATGTAGATATTCATCAAGGATTTGAACTGCCTTATAGAAGTGTGTGAACTAACTTATGTGAATAATAAAATTGGATAAGGTAGGGTCACAATATTTGAACATGACTTTGTAGGAGGAGAACAATATTTCTGCCCAGTATATGAGAAGATGAATTTTGCCTCAAGGAGTAAGGTAGAGATACACATGCTAATTCATATTTATACATATATATATATACACACACACACATATACACGTATGTGCATATATACACTAATACACATACATACACACACATACACCCCACGATCCAAAACCCTCTACCTATTCTGACCCTACAGTATTATGAATTTTATTTCCATATAAGCTGCAAACACCCTCTGTTGAGTGCAGGCCACAGGCTCCAATATTTCACACTCATGTCATGGCTGGTCTCACAGCTAAGACCTTACTTTGGATCTCGCATTCTTCACTGTGCAAGTCATTGCATTCTTTCATTCTTAATTGTTTTGGCTTATCAGATGCTCACTCAAGGGTATCATTGCCTGGGCAGGGCTGTGTGCAGGAAGTTTCCTTGCCAAGTGGTTTATGGGTCAAGTGTGAAACTGGAAAGAGAGAAAGGCAAACAAGATTGGGTTGTGGTCTTCATCCCTGTTACAGACAACGGGGGTCTTATCTAACCTGGACTTGAGAAATGTGTCTCAGAACTGTCCTCCCAAGGGCTGCAAGCAAAGGCATTTGTCCAGCAGCCTGCAATTCTCAAGGTGCAGAGGCTGCATCATCTTGTTTTGGAGCTGAACTGAGGTCTGCTCACCCAGTGCAGTAAGACCAGATGTCTACAGTGAGGTTTGCAGTGGGAGAAAGGAAGGTGTTTATTTGCAGGGAACCAAACAAGGAGAATTGGGCAGCTCATGGTTAAACCCTGGCCTTCATGATGGCTTCTTGGTATGAATTCTTTAATTCATGGAGGCAGAGGTTACAGGCAAAGTCATAAATCAATGCATGGAGGTTATACATTGGTTTGACCTAAAACAGCGAGAAATCCCAAAGCAGAGGCCTACGGGTCTAGGTGGATTCAAAGTCCCTCTGATTTGTAATCAGCGAAGCAGGCAAAGCTTTGTCTTAAAATTTGGGATCAGCAGGAAAGAAGGTTCATTCTGACCCAGGGCCGTGACATCCAGGCCCCTTGGAAAGAAATTGAGAACAAGGAATGGTGCTCAGAGTGTAACCCCCAGTCCCCCTTATCTGTGGTCAGGGGAGAGGGTAGTAGATTTATTGGGTGGAGGTCTGAGTTTCTGCAAACACATGTAGGGGAGCCAAGCATCTCGTGACTCTAACTTCTTCCTTGGCAATTGTTTTAAGCTACGATTACCTTCTTGCTTATCAGGCTGCTCATTGACTTCTTAGAGCCAGCTAGATGCCTGGAATTTCCCTCCAAGGAACTCAAGATTTTCCTTTATTTCCACGTGTGGGGAATCCCACAGGCTCCAAAGAGGGGAGTCCTTGCTCCATCTCAGGCTCTTCTCTCCTGTGTCTTGCTTGCTTGGTTGCAAAAGTCAAACTATTTGCAGAGAAGGAAGGTGGCAGGAGGGGAAGGTGCCACCACACAATTGAGACAAGCCAGCCACGAGACACCTGGGGAACATGGCAAAAGCTGCAGGCAACTGGCCATGATGGCATTGACTGGAGTAAGAGGTGCAGTTGGCAGGATTGACTGTGGAGCACAAGTGTCCTACATAGAGGGGTGTGTACAAGCAAAGAAATTGCAAGTTTGCAATACAAAACATTTTAAAATTTAGAGCAAGGGTCAAATTGATGTGACAGCTTGGTGAGCTCATGGAACCCAAGTATTTGGTCAAGCACTAGCCTAGGCATTGTCGTGCAGGTATTTTCTAGATGAGATTAATGCCGAAATCCATAGACTTTGAGTAAAGCAGATTGCCCGCCATGAGGTACATGGGCCTTGTCCAATCAGCTGAAGACTGTAAGAGAACAAAAGACTGTGGGCCCTGGAGGAGGAAGAAATTCTGCCTCCACACAGAGGACTTTGGGCTTGAGCTGCAGCATCAGCTCTTCCCTGGGTCTCCAGCCTTCTGGTCTACCCTGGAGATATCGGGCTTGCCAAGTCTCTTCAATCACATAAGCCAATTTCTTCAAAACTCTGTGTATGTGTGTATGTAAAGAAATATATATGTGTGTGTGTATAAAAAATATATATATGTGTGCATTTGTGTGAGTGTATATAAAGTATATGTATTTATATATTATATATAGTGTATATGTGTATGTATATATAAATGTATGTAAGTGTATGTATATGTAAATAAATATATGTATATATACATATATTTATATTTACATGCATGTGTATTTATTCATATACACAAAGACATATATACTTATTTATATACATATATACACAATACATATATATTTATATATGTAACTGGTTATATAGTAACACATATAAACATATACATATGTAAAATATGTATATAAATATAAACATGTTGGCATATGTATATGTGTACCTATATAAAAGTATATATAACTATATATACAGTTGATCTTTGAACAACACAGAGGTTAGAGGCACTGACTCCCCCCAACACAGTAAAAAATCCACCTATAACTCAGTCGGGCATGGTGGCTCACGCCTGTAATCCCAGCACTTTGGGAGGCTGAGGCGGGCAGATCTCTTGAGCTCAGCAATTCAAAACCAGCTAGGGCAAACTTTGGTGAAACTTTGTCTTTACTAAAAGTACAAAATTAGCCGGATGTGGTGGTGCACATCCGTGATGCCAGCTACTCGGGAGGCTGAGGCAGGAGAATCGCTTGAGCTGGGGAGGCAGAGGCTGCAGTGAGCTGAGATCAGGCCACTGCATTCCAGCCTGGGTCACACAGTGAGAACCTGTCTCAAAAAAAGAAAGAATCCACTTATAACTTTTGACTTCTCCACAACTTAACTACTAACAGCCTACTGTTCACCAGATGCTTTACTGGTAATATAAACAGTTGATTAACACAAATGTTGTGCATTATATGTATTCAATACTGTGTTCTTTTTTTTTTTTTTTTTTTGAGATGGAGTCTTGCCCTGTCACCTAGGCTGGAGTGGCATGACCTTGGCTCAGTGCAACCTCCACCTCCCAGGTTCAAGTGATTCTTCTGCCTTAGCCTCCCAAGTAGCTGGGATTAAAGGCACACGCCACCATGCCCAGCTAATTTTGTATTTTTAGTGGAGATGGAGTTTCGCCATGTTGGCCAGGCTGCTCTCGAATTCCTGACGTCAAGTGATCCACCTGCCTTGGCCTCCCAAAGTGCTGGGATTACAGGCATGAGCTCCCACGCCCGGCCTCAATACTGTATTCTTACAATACAGTAAGCTAGAGAAAAGAAAATGTCATGAAAGAAAATCATAAGGAAGAAAAAATAGATTTGCTATTTATTTATTTATTTATGATGTTAGCAAATATGTTCTTTTTTTTTTTTTGAGACGGAGTCTTACTCTGTCACCCAGGCTGGAGTGCAGTGGCATGATCTCAGCTTGCTGCAAGCTCTGCCTCCTAGGTTCACGCCACTCTCCTGCCTCAGCCTCCTGAGTAGCTGGGACTACAGGCGCTCATCACCATGCCTGGCTAAATTTTTTTGTATTTTTAGTAGAGACGGGGTTTCACCGTGTTAGCCAGGATGGTCTCGATCTCCTGACCTCGTGATCCGCCTGCCTCGGCCTCCCAAAGTGCTGGGATTACAGGCGTGAGCCACCATGCCCAGCCAATATATTCTTTTTTTAAACTTTCATTTTCAATGGATCATCCTAAAGGTCTCCATTCTCACTGTCTTCACGTTGAGGAGCAGGAGGAGGAAAAGGAGGGGTTGGTCTTGCTGTCTCAGGGATGGCAAAGGTAGAAGAAAATTCACGTATAAGTTGAAAGCTGTGTTCTTCAAGGGTCAACTACATGCACACACAAACACATTCTATTAGTTCTCTTTTATCCTGACTAATACATCAGGCAACAGGTGTAATGTACATCAACGTTATAAATTCAGTTTTCCACTCACTTAGTATCCTTGCAAATGGTGAAATTATACATTGCACAATTGTTGAACATGCTACATAGGACATGAACATTTATGTCTGTTGTAAAACCTACGAGCGGAGAGTGCAAACCAGAAAAGGAAACCATTTTCAGACCTCTGAGAAGCTGTGCTGTGTATGTGTATGGGAAACCTCACACCCTCAAAGTCATTAGAAACCAGGGTATTTAACCACATGGTCTGAGCCACCAGAACTGCTCCAAATTGGAGGGCAGTTTGTAATTGTAGTGATTCTTTTGTTGGTTGTCAACTTACAGGCCATGCCTTGTCCTTTATTCTTTCTTTCTTTGGAGACAGGGTCTTGCTCTGTCTCCCAGGCTGGAGTGCAGTGGTGCAATCATAGCTCACTACCGCCTTGACCTCCTGGGATCAAGTGATTCTCCCACCTCCCACTCCCAGGTAGCTGGGAATACAGGTGTGCACCACCATGTTGGGCTAATTTTTTTATTTTTTATAGACAAGGTCTTGCCATGTTGCCCAGACTAATCTTTAACTCCTGGGCTCAAGTGATCCCCCCACCCCAGCCTCCCAAAATGCTAGAACTACAGGCATGAGCAATCATGTCTGGCCTTGCCTTGTCCTTTGAAAAGAAGGAGGACGCTTCAGGAAAGAAGAAACAGAATAATATAAGATATACAAAATGCAACTAAAAATAGGATATAAAGAATACAGATTATAAATGAGTGATAGAAAACCAGGGTGATATGACAGTGAGGGCTGACAATGAAACCACGAGGATGAACACAGATGATGATGTGTCTGTACTTTCTGGCAGTCTAAATAAAGAAAGAACATAGTCCTTGACAGTTTTCAATATTAAATAGAAGAAAGTGTGGTGCTATTTAAGAAGCAAATCCTTTTTTGATACTGGACTCCCATTTTCTTGGGACTTCCTATATATAGAGGAGAGATACATAAAGTGGACACAGTCTTTCCAGATATTTCAGGAGCTGACTCAGTGATCAATTTCACAGGGATGTTTATAAATGCATCCTTTAATAGCAGTTGCTGGCAGCTCTTGAAACACAAATACCAAGGCATGGCAGTAATAATCAAATTATCTACAGCCTGGGTGACGGAGTGGGACTCTGTCTCAAAAAAAAATAGCTAGTCTGATTGAAATAAGAATATATCTCATTATGGTTTCAATTTGCTTTTCTCTGATGATTGGTCATGTTGAGCAATTTTTCATATGCTTTTTGGCCATTGATATGTCTTCTTTTGAAGACTGTGTGTTCATGTTCTTTAACCACATTTTAATAGGGTTATACGGATTTTTTTCGTTATTGTTGAGTTCCCTGTAGATTCTGAATATTAGTTGGATGCAGAGTTTGCAAATATTTTGTCCCATTTTGCAGGTTATCTCTTCCTGATTGAACCTGATATACTAGAGATTCTGCATATGTTGCCAACATAGGAAAGCTCACTCTAAGAGAAACTTCAAGAACCCCCCACTCCTGGCATTCATTCCCTTGTATAATCATTTTCCCTGAGTGTAGGCAGGATGCACGACTTGCTTCTAATGAACACAATGTGTTGACTGCAATGGAATGCAATTACCAAAATTAGGTTACACAAAGGCTGTGGCTTCCATATTCCTCATCCCCCTCACTGGCTTGATTGGGTGCTTGCTATGAGGGAAGTCAGCCTGTGCGTCGTAAGCTTCCCAATGGAGAAGTCCACGTGACTCAGAATGAAAGGAACCTTCTGGACAACAGCCAGTGAGGAACTGAATCCCACCAACAGCAATGTGAGTGAGCTTGGAAGCAAATCCCTCTGCAGTCAAGCCCTGAGATGCTGTAGCCCCCACCTCCACCTCAACTGCAAACTCCTAAGAGACCCTCAGCTGTGAGACCCAGCTAACCATGCCGGCTCATCCTCAGATCCCAAGCCCACAGAAACCAAGACAATACATGTGTGTTGTGTGTGGCTTTAAATGGCTCAGTGTTGGGGTTAATTTGTTACACAGCCATAACTAACAGGGTTATGAGTCACTACCAAGGATAACATATATTTAACCTTTCTAAAGTGTGTTTTATCATTGAATCTGTTTTGAATGAACCATCCTGTGAGGTTAGGATTCTGTGGACTACCTACTCGTGAAGCGAAATTCTCTCCTAGAATGTGGAGGAAGTTTTTTCATCCTGGAAAAAATATACATAGGCAGTAACGACAAACCTGCAGCATTATTGCTAATAATAATGATAATTATTATTAGTATTACCACTATTTTATGTTACAGGATATCTATTCATGAGGTACTGGTTGTCTACCAAGTCAAACCTTCTCAATCTTTGTTCTTACCCCAGTCAGGCTTCACCAGAATTCCAGGGAATCCAGGCTGGCTGAACTCACTCAATTCTCAGAAGAATTTCTTGAGCTTTCCAGCACTCAGGATCAGAAGAGAGAAGGAGCCATCCTTCACCCATAGAGGACGGAAGGAGATGGAGAAATAGCTTCCTCTTTCATCTCCCCAGTGCAGCCTTACAGTTATCCTAAAAAACTGTAGTTGCAACTTTGGCAGCAAATCCAGTCATAAATCCTCAAATGGGCTTTTCCTCTTTTCCTGTTTCACGTCCTTCCCTCCACTTCCTGAGCTCCTGCTCCAGGAAGGGAATGGGCTCCATTTCCAAATAAATAATTGCACAGAAACCTCGGTCTCCTCTTCTGCCCTGAGTGCTTCTGTGAGGATAGGTTACCTACAAGATAAATTATTGGAGACACTAAAAACAAACAAAAAAGAGTGCACGGTGTTCTTGGAAATCAATTCATTGTATTTTTGTAACATCTACAAAATAACATTGTCTTTATTCTTAAAATAATAATTCATAGGACCTTTCTGGCTATCTGGTTCTTAATTAGTCCCAGATGAAAGTTATGGAAAGAAAAATAGCAACTAGAGGTATTCTGGTTAAGTATTTGAATTGTGAGAAGAAAGAAAAATATTTTAGAAATACCTCACAGAAAAGTGCTCACACACACTCACATACACACACACACACGCAACACACACACGCACACATACACACACATAAACACACACATGCACATACACACGTGCACATACACACATGCACATACATGCACATACACACATGTGCACACGCATGCATGCACACACATGCAGACACGTGCACACATGCACACATACAGTACACACATACACACGCACATACACACACATGCACATACACACACACGCACACATACACACATACACACATGCACATACGCACACACACTTACACATGCACACACGTGCACACACACATGCACATACACACGTGCACACACATACACACACGCACACACACGCGCATACACACATGCACATACACACACACAGTGTCAAACTGATGAGGGGCTAATACCTAAACTATACAAAGTACGCCTATTATTATTATTTTTTAAAAATAATCTTTCTACTTTTTTTTTTTTTTGAGACAGAGCCTCACTCTGTCACTTAGGCTGGAGTTCAGTGGTGCTATCTCGGCCCACTGCAACCTCCGCCTCCTGGGTTCAAGCGATTCTTGTGCCTCAGCCTCCTGAGTAGCTGGGATTACAGGCGTGCACCACCACGCCCAGCTAATTTTTTGTATTTTTAGCAGAGATGGGGTTTCGCCATGTTGGCCAGGCTGGTCTCAAACTCCTGGGCTCAAGCGATCCTCCTACCTCAGCCTCCCAAAGTGCTGGGATTACAGGCATGAGGCACTGCTCCTGGCCAGTATGCCTATTAAGATGAAAATAAAACCCACGAGGAAAGGCAAAATGGGTAGCAATGATAATTCTTACAAGAAGAAACTCGAATAGTTTGAATGCATATAGCAGACAGGGTGATCTCTCCCATCCCAAAGATGTCATGTCCTACTTCCCAGAGCCTATACAAGTGTTATGCACCATGGCAGTAGGAAATTCAGGTTGTATATGGAATTAAGTTTTCTCTCATCAGTTGATCTTAAAATAAGGGGAGTATCCTGAGTAACACAGGTGGTCCCTTGTGACCACTAAGGTCCTTAAAATGTTGCGGGGAGGGAGAACTAGAGAGGTGGCAACTTGAGAAAGACTAGACCTGGTGGCTATGGCTGGCTTTGCAGATGGAGAAAGGGGCCATGAGTCAAGAAACATTGGTAGCTCCCATTAAACCAAAAGTAACTGAGACAGATTTCAATCAGTTTAGAAAGTCTATTTTGCCAAGGTTAAGGGTGTGCCCTTGACACAGCCTCAGGAGGTCCTGATGACATCTGCCTAAGCTGGCTGGAGTACAGCTTGGTTTTATGTATTTTAGGGAGACATGACACATCAATCAATACATGTAGGATGTATATTTGTTTGGTCCAGAAAAGCAGGACAACTCAAAGTGGCAGGAAGAGGGGCTTCCAATTGGTTGAAAAAGTTATTATCAGTAGAAAGGAATGTCTGGGTTATGATAAGGGGTTGTAGAGACCAAGGTTTTATGATGAAGATGAAGCCTCCAGGTAGCAGGCTCCAGAGAGAATAGATTATAAAGGTTTCTTATCAGAGTTAGAGAGTCTGTTCTATCAGTGATTCCAAAAGGGAGGAGGGCATGATGAGGCATGTCCAGCTTCCACTTCCCATCATGGCCTGAACCAGTTTTTCAGGTTAACTTTGGAGTGCCCTTGGCTGAGAGGAGGGATCAGTTCAGATAACCAGGGAGCAGGGGTGCAGGGGTGGGGAGGGGGTGTTAGGATTTTATTTTTAGTTGACACTCCTAAAAGCTAGAAATGGCAAGAAAATAGATCCTCCCTGTGTAGAGCCTCCAGAAGGAACGGGGTCCTGCCAATATGTCAATTTTATCCCAGGGAGACTCATTTTGGACTCTGACTTTCAGAACTGGAAGATACTCAATGTGTGTTGTTTTAAGCCACTGAACTTGTGGGAATGCATTGCAACATCCCTAGAAAACTCATTCAATGAGTACGAGGAGATGCCAAAATCAAAATGTAATGAGAAATAAAAATGAAGATAATAAGATATCACTTTATACAATTAGAGGAGAGGGAGGAGGAATAAGAAGAGAGGGAGAAAGAGGAAAAACATATTTTGTTGCATTTTTTTTCAGGCAGTGTTATTGAGTCAGCGTTTTTCCTATCCTACAGGAGTACATGTTAATAAGGCAGCCTGTTATTGAAACATGGTACAGACAAGGCCAGTTTCAGTCTTGCAAATGGATGAGAGAAAGCCTGGAATATTCCTGGCTGGTTTATCAACCTACTGTCCTCAAACTGGGCACTGAAATATTTGACTAAAATGTTCTCATTTTATCACCCTACAGACCCATGTAACAGCAACCACAGGAGACTCACACACTCATCATCCTGCTGTTCAAATTTCCCACAAGACAAATGCACCCCAGGCCTTTTGCACCTGCTGGCCCCTCTTCTTGGAATCTTCTTTCTCCAAAAACTGAATTATTTATTCCAACACCACCTCCTCAGAATAGCTTTTCACCTGTCCCTTTCCAAAATTACCTTCTCCTTCCTCTTTGCCCTGATTCACTTTTGGAAACAGTTCCTATGTGAGGTTAGTGTTTATTGTACTGTGTCTGACTCTTTGTCTAGAATGTGAACTCAATGGAAACGTCAGTGTTCTCACTCATGGCCCTGTCTAGGGTTAGGGGTAGGGGTAGGGTTAGGGTTAGCAGTAGGGTTAGGTTAGGGTTAGGCATCCTGGAGCCATCAATAGCTATTGAAAGAATGAATGAGCATGGCCAGGTCTATGTTTAGAGGGTCGACTTCTGGACAGGGACATAATATCTTCTTAAGCAGTGAGGAGGACAGCAAGAGCCATCAGGCTGTCATAGGGAAAGAGTAGAAGTGCACCTATTGCCAGTGGAAATCAGAGTTAGGGGACACTGCATGGGTCTCTCTGATTCTGAGACACCCAACCACATTGTGAGCCTCCTTCCTTGAGTGGTCTGGGCCCCAGTTACCTGTGATGGCCTTTAAGTTTACTTTGGAAGTCACCTGTGAGCATCCAGAAACACCTGCACCAATGGTTCTGCCTATAGGGATTGGACTTCATTGGTCCTGGGTGTAGTCTGGATTCTGGGAGTACAAATGTTCCATTGCCAAAGGTCCATGGCCAAATCTACATCCTATATGTCTGTGGTCTTGGGACACTTAGAAGTTTTCTATACACATTTTTCAAAGAGTTGTTCCAATAGAGAGGCAACATATCTCTAGCCTTCTCTTTCTCCTTCCCCCCATACTATTTCTCAGTAGAAGAGTTGTTGTCTACTGCCAATTGGAAAACACTCACTTGGCACACTGCACATCTTTTCCCTTACGTGATTCTATTGTGAGACACAATGTCCCTCCTTTTATCCCTTCAAATTCTCCCTGGTCTTCAAATTGCATCATACATCACGTGCTGACACTAGCTACCTTTGTTTTGGGTCTACACTTTTGTTCTCATGGCATCTCTTGAGGTAGCCCATGAATTCCTACATTGCTTCTGAGAATAAATGACAGGCATTCCTTAGGGTTGAAAAATATTGGCCATTCTCTTTGGGAGCTAAAAGGAAAATATTGCCCACTCAATCACTTTCTCTTTATTACTTTCCATTTCTATTCTTTATGATACTCGTGGAAAATTAAAAGTCAGCCAGTTCCACTTATGGCTGAACACATGGCCAAAAAACAGAGTTGGCCTCAAATAAAAGAAAATTACAGCATTTTTCTCCCTGTAGAGAACTATATGTCATAAATATAGATGGATAGTACAACAACTCTTACATCCTTAAGGGATAGACACCCATGTGCAGACACATGTTTTGTCTAAATCAAGTTTAAAATTGGGTTTGATTTACTCTTCTGAGGAAAATATAACCTTCTTTATAAGAAAGATTGGCAAATTCAGGATCTCCCATTTTCCCTGACCCATGGCATCCTCTGCCTCCCACATCCCAAACCAGTTTGATGCTCACTATACATTTGTTTCTGTCTTGGGATCTAGGCATTATCATATCCATTTAGAGGTTGTTAGACTCACAAGAAGAACATTTGCACTCCCAGAATTCAGACTACATCCAGGTCCAGTGAAGTCAAATCTATGTAGTTAGAACCATAGGCGCAGGTGTTTTTGGAAGCTCACAGGTGACTTCCAAAGTCAGCTTAATGGTCATCACAGGTGACTTCACTGTGTGTCTGGAGCCAAAACCACTTATGGAAGAAGTCTGATATGGTTTGGTTGTGTCCCCACCCAAATCTCATCTTGAATTCCCACGTGTTGTGGGAGGGGCCTGGTGGGAGGTAATTGAATCATGGGGGCAGGTCTTTCTTATGCTGTTCTTGTGATAGTGAATAAATCTCATAAGATCTGATGGTTTTATAAAGGGGAGTTTCCCTGCACAAGCTCTCGCTTTGCCTGCTGCCATCCATGTAAGACGTGACTTGCTCTTCCTTGCTTTCTGCCATGATTCTGAGGCCTCCCCAGCCAAGTGGAACTGTAAGTCCATTAAACCTCTTTCTTTTATAAATTTCCCAGTCTCAGGTATGTCTTTATCAGCAGTGTGAAAATGGACTAATACAATATCTCACCATGCAGTCGGGTGTCTCAGAATCAGAGAGACCCATGGAGTGTCCCCTAACTCTGATTTCCACTTGCAATATGTGTGCTTCTACTCTTTCCCTATGGCAGATATATGGCTCTTGCTGACTTCCTCGCTGCTTAAGAAGATATTATGTCCCTGTCCAGAAGTTGACCCTCTAAACATAGACCTGGCCATGCTTGTTCATTCAATAGCTATTGATGGCTCCAGATTGCCTAACCCTAACCCTAACCCTAGACAGGGTCATGGGTGAGAACGCTGAAGCTTCCATTGAGCTCACATTCTAGTGAGAGAATCAAATGCAGTAAAATAAACTCTAAACTCACATAGGAACTGTTTCCAAAAGTGAATCAGGGCAAAAGGAAAGGAGAAGATTATTTTGGAAAGGGACAGATGAAAAGCCACTCGGAGGAGGTGGTGTTGGAATAAATCATTCAGCATTTGGAGAAAGAAGCTTCCAAGCAGAGGGGCCAGCAGGTGCAAAGGACCTGGGGTGCATTTCTCTTGTAGGGAAGGTTGACCAGCAGGACGATGAGTGTGCAAGTCTGTGGCTGCTGTCACAAATTATCACCCATGTCATTGCTTAAAACAACACCCATTTATTCTGTTACACTTTTGGACATCAGAATAAAATAAAGATGTCTGCAGAGCTGTGTTTTGAGTATTTTAGGAGAAAAACGATTTCTTTCTGTTTCCAGCTTCTAGAGGCTGTCTACATTCCTTGGCTCATGACTGCTTCCTATATCTTCAAATTATATCAAGCCAACCTGCAGCCTGCAGCCTGTGTCTTTTCTGTAGCTTTGACTCTCCCACTTCCCTTTTGTAAGGATCCCTGTGATGATAGCAGACCCACCTGGATAAGGCAGGTGTTCTGAACCTCTCCACACCATACCTGATGAGCAGAGATGAAAGAGTGGCTTGAAAAACTTTTAGGAATGTCTACAACTGGTTGAATGTAAACCAAGACTGACAAATACCTGTCTAAATCAAACAATGTGCTGTGATATTCAGCTCCAATCAGCTGAAGTGTAGGCACCAACAGTCATCCCAACCTGGTCTCCCTGGATACCCACAGTGCTGAGTGCTCCATTTTGAAGGCATATAGTAGAGTGAATGCTGCTATAAGAAACTGTATCCCAGTCAATTCAGACTTCTGTAACAAAATACCTTAGATTGCATGGCTTATAAACAGCAGACATTGATTTCCCATAGTCCTGGGGCTGGGAGTCTAATATCAAGGAATGGCAGATTCAGTGTCTAGTAAGGATTCGCAACCTGGTCTCATCCAGATACTCCTGGCACTGAGTGCTTGAATTTGAGGAAATATAGAAAAGCGAAAGTTGGTGTAAGGAACGTATTCTAGTCTACTCAGACTTCTCTAGCAAAATACCATAGCCTGGGGGGCTCACAAACAGCAGACATTTCCTGCTCACATTTCTGGAGGCTGGGAGTCCAAGGTCAAGGCGGGGCAGATTCAGTGTCTTGTTAGGACCTGCTTCCTGGATTAAGATGGAGCCTTCTCGCTGTGTCCTTACATGGTGGAAGGGGCGAGAGAACTTTCTGGGGCCCTTTTTCTAAGGGCACTGATTCCACTCATGAGGCTCTACCTTATGACCTCATCACCTCCCAAAGGCCATGCCTCCCAATACCATCACCTTTTGGTGAGGATTTCAGTATATGAATTTGGGGTGGGACATAGACATGCAGACCATAGCAGACTCTTAACCTCAACAATGCATGAGTGCATATTTATTCTAAACCAAATTAAGACACAGGAAGCATGATTATTTTTGTGCGTGTGCCATTTAAGATTTGAAGGGCTGCTGTGTAGTCGAAGTATCACAGACATTCTACAGGGTCCCTAGCGGTGTACCTGTGATCCATGAAACTTACCTAGAGGTGGATTTTTGTCTCCCTAAAAGGAAAACCCACACAATAGAGCTGGTGGAATGTGGAACAGACCTACCCCTAAACGAATTGAAATATCACTGCCTATCGCTGGAGGCTGGGCAGGCCTTGGCAAGGGTGTTGTGGGTTTAACTTAGTCATCAATTGGGTGATACAACTACATGGGAATTATATAACCAGATAGGAAACTGCAGCCATTGAATTTTATTTCTTTTGAAAACACACTGATACCTGTTACTTCAATTACTCTTTAAACATGAATTAAGCACATTAGCTACTGTTTCCTGCTTTTTGTAGGCTTCCTAATGAATAAAGGTGGATGCAACTTCAGATCTTCTGACCTATTGTGGATCTGTTCATTCTCCTTTCTATCAGGGTTACACTCTATTATTGCTACTGTATCTTTGTTTGCAACTAATTTGGCCACCCAGGTTATATACTCAGACTATGGTTTCCATATGTGGACAATATGCAGTGTATCTGTCTTCCCACAAAACAAAACAAAATGACATCATTTTCCAAGTGTCTCATAGGTGTTCATAGCCAGGGGCAACGTTTCTGTAGGAACACCTTACTTGCATTTTGTTCCCTTAACAATCCTGAAATGTTTAGTCTCTCTAGCAAGCTGTTACATAACAGCAACAGGCTATGAGTCACTTAGGGATATAGGGGATTCTGCTAAGTAAACAAAATCCGGGCATTTTAGTTACTTCTTCACAACAGGTGTGGAGATTGTGGGTGGTTCATTTAGAACAAAGGTCTCATATTTTAAGATTCGAATTCAAGGGCACCTAGTGCTTTTTTCTAGGATGGACACAGGGCAGGAGATCAAATTACGTTGTTCAATTCATATTTTATTTTATTTTATTTTACTTTATTTTATTTTGAGGCAGGGTCTTGCTCTATTGCCCAGGCTGGAATGCAGTTGTCTGATTATAGCTCACTGCAGCCTCCACCTCCTGAGCTCAAGTGATCCTCCCACCTTAGCCTCCTGAGTAGCTGGAACTACAGGTGCGTGCTACCACACCAGCTAATTTTTTTGTATTTTTTGTAGAGACAGGGGTCTCATCATGTTGCCCACCTGGTCTTGAAATCCTGGGCTCAAGTGCTCCTCCTGCCTTGGCCTCCCCAAGTGTTGGGATCACAGGCGTCAGCCACCGCGCCCAACCTGAAAAGCTCTCATATTTTAAGACTCTAATTCATGTGTACTTACTGCTTTTTTCTAGGACAAACAGAGAGTAGGAGGTCAAATTATGTTGTTCAATTCAGTTATTTTTAAAATGTATCCACTTACATAGTCTAACTTGCAGTAAGCACCTTAATAAACCATTTTAATGAAAGGATGGTGGAAGGTAAAGTCCCTAAACTGGGGATGATGATCATGAGATATACGTTGTGATAATTGTGGTGATACAATTAGACGGGGAATACATAACCCAATCAGAGCCAGTCAGGGCAGGGGGTTGGGGTAGCTCCCTGCAGGCAAGATTCCAGGTAATGGCTAGATGTGAGAGACCAGGATCCCACTGGCTAGGAGAAAACAGCGGGAGCCAGAGGATGCGGGGAACACAACAGGTATTCTGTGTCTTCTCCCCACCTTCCCCACTAAAAAAAATTCCATGTCTGCTCGAAATTTTGAAATAGGACCTTATTTGGAAATTGAGTCTTTGTAAATGTAATTAGTACGGGATGTCAAGATGAAGTCATGCTGGATTCAGTACCCTAAATGCAATGACAGGTGTACTTGTAAGAGACAGAAGAGGAGATACAGATACAGAGGTGAAGGCCATGTGGAGACAGAGGCAGAGACTGGATTGATGCAGCCACAAGCCCAGGGATGCCTGGAGCCCCCAGGAGCTGGGAGAGGCAGGAAGGACCCTCCCCTAGAGCCTCCAGAGGGAACTAAGGACACCTGTAGTGGCTTAAACTGTGGTCTTGGAAAGATATATCTATGTCCTAATGCCCGGATCCTGTGAATGGGACCTCATTTGCAAATAGGGTCTTTGCAGATATACCTAAGTCAAGGATCTCAAAATGAGATCATCCTGGATTAGGTTGGGCCCTAAATGCAATGGCAGGTGTCCTTCTAGGAGACGGAAGAGGATACACAGACACAGAGGAGAAGGCCACATGGAGATGGAGACAGGGACTGCAGTGATGCAGCCACAGGTCCAGGAATGCCAAGGATTGCCAGTGGCTACTGGAAGCTAGGGAGAGGCCAAGAAGAGAACTAGGAGATCAAAAATGACTTACTTTTACATTTAAAAATAACTAAAAGAGTATAATTGGATTATTGGCAACACAAAGGGTAAATGCTTGAGAGGCTGGATACCCCATTCTCTGTGATGTGATTGTTATGTATTGCATGCCTGTATCAAAACATTGCAGATATCCCATAAACATATACACCTCCTATGTACCCACAAAAATTAACGAATTTTGAAAAAAACAGAACTGGGAGATAATACATTTATGTTGCTTTCAGCCACCCAGTAGGAGGTCATTTTTTTTTTAATCTTCTTTTAATTGTCATTTCTGGCCAGGTGTGTTGACTTACGCCTGTAAGGCCAGTACTCTGGGAGGCCGAGGTGGGCAGATCACCTGAGGTCAGGAGTTCGTGACCAGCCTGGCCAACATGGTGAAAGCTGGCCTCTACTAAAAATACAAAAATTAGCCAGGCATGGTGGTGTGCACCTGTAATCCCAGCTACTGAGGGATGAGAATGAGAATGAGGGATGAGGGATGAGAATCACTTGAACCCGGGAGGTGAAGGTTGCAGTGAGCCGAGATCGAGCCACTGCACTCCAGCCTGGGTGACAGAGTCAGAACCTGTCTCAAAAAAAAAATGTCATTTTATAGCTCCCCACTGCAGCTGCCCCCCACCCTTCCCTTTGATGACTATTTTTGCAGGCTTCAGGGGGACCAGGGAACAAAGCTAGGGCCTGGCAGGCCCACTACGCTGCCAGCTGGGAAAACAAGTCACAATTACAAATTATCACAACAATTAGTGCCTGTACTTGGGGGATCTGCAAAGTGAGGAGGCCCCAGCTCCCACTTGTATAGGGGTCCATTTGGCAGTGACGTTGCTCTGGAGATGATGATATTCCTTCAGCCTAAGGGAACTGATGGTGATGAACCCGGTGGCATCAACTGGCTCCTAATCGCCCTGCACACTCATGCTCACCAGCTCCTCGTTGTAGAGAGGCAGTGGGGACTCCTGTCCGAGGATGTATACCTGGCCCTTGAAGACGGACACCTGCACTTTCCCTTCCACTAGCTCCTGGGACTTGACGATGTAGTGGCGGACAAATTCACACTCAGGGCTGTGCCAGAAACCGGTGTACAGCAGCTCAGCAAATTTCAAGCCCAGGCCTTATTTGATTTTGCGCACTTCCCGATCCATGGTGAAGGCCTGGATGTGTGAATGAGCATGGTAAAGGATGGTGCCTGCTGGGGTCTCATAGATGCCTCAGGACTTCATTGTAATGAAATGGTTCTCCACGATGTCAATATGGCCCAGGCCATGCTTGCTTGCAGCTTGGTTCAGGTACATGAAGAGCTCCTAGGAGGTCTGGTGGGTGGCGCCATCCTTGACGTTGGTCACCTTCACAGGGACCCCTTTTTTGGACTCAATCTCGAGAATGTCAGTGGTGTTGGGGGCTTTGGTGAGGTCCTTAGTCTTCATGTAGAGACCTGGAGGTGCTTATGGTACTTGGGTTTCTCCAGAATTCCAGCCTCGTAGCTGATATGCATGAGGTTCTCGTCTATGCTCCACGGGTTCTTGAGAGTGACTGGGATGGGAATCCGATGTTGCTTTGCGTATTCCATGAGATCATTAAGGCCCTTGAACCAGCTGTAAAACTCGGGCATCCTCCAGGAAGCAATGACCTTAATCTGAGGGCCAGTGAGCAGGTGAGCTCAAACAGGACATGATCGTTCCCCTTTCCCATGACGCCGTAGGATACATACTTGGTCCCCTCCTGCTGGGTGATTTCCACTTGTTTGTGGGCGATGCAGGGCCTAGCCAGAGAGGTGCCCAGGAGGTAGTAGTCCTCATACAGGATGCTGGACTGGATGGCTGGCCAGATGAACTCCTCCACAAAGTCCCTGCTGACATCATCAATGAACACCTTTTTGGCCCCAAGCTTCCATGCCTTCTTCCTGTCATCCTCGAAGTCTTCCTTCTGGCTGATTTTGGCCAGGTAGGCAATGACATCATGGCCTTGTTCCTTCAGCCACATGAGGATGCAGGAGGTGTCCAGGCCACCACTGTGGGCCAGAACCATGGAGCCTTTGCTGGACACAGCGTCTGGGATTGGAGGTGTGAGTTCCCTGCATCTGGAATCTGTCTTCACAGTGCAGTGAACCACTAGGACCCCGGGCACCTGAGGCAGGTGATAGAGCAAGAGGAGGTAATTTTTTACAGCAAGTGTACCAAACTAATACCCTTCAGGTTAGAGGCAACATCAAAATCAATGAGAAATATCAGGTGGGTTAGCACACTGACCAAGAGTTTGGGTCAACACGGGCCCCAGGCCCGTGAGCCATGCTCAGACACTGGGTGGAGAGTGTGGTAGTGTACACTGAAAGAGCTTTGAATGCTCCTTTGGAGCACCATGGCCTTGGTGTGGCTGTCAGATGTGCTTGGATTCAGTGCCTATCAGCTGAGGAGCTGAGCCTATTGAGAACTCTGTGTGTCAAAATTGGTCAGCATTTGGGGCAGTTCTGGGCTATCAGGGGGAGACAAGATTCCATGGCAGACATGAGCCAGAGTCGAAGAGAGATGAGTATGGTGGTCTCTGGAAGCTGGAAATGATGTTCAGTTTATAGCCAGCCAGAAAGGGAGACCTCGATTCTACAACCACAAGAAACAATTCTGCCACCATCCTTGAAAAGCAAGGAAATGAATTCTGCCCAACATCTTCTCTAATAGAATGCAGCCCTACTGACACCTTTTTGCTATTGTTTTTTTTTTCACTTTTATAATTATAACCACTTTAAGGAATGATTTAATGTAAAAATTAGGAAAAAAATCAACATTTGTACCAGACCAAAGATCAGGTTTAAAAAATGAATACACCATACATCTGTTCAAAAGAGATTCCAGAAGGAAATTCACAAGGATTTTTCATTCTTGGTGAAGGTTTTTATTTTTTAAAATAACTGCCAACTTGTACTTGTGATTAAGGGTTACATGTGCAGGTTTATTACATTGTTACATTGCGTGACGCTGAGCCTACCGACATCTTGATTTTAGCCCAATGAAGCTCTTGTTGAACTTCTCACCTCCAGAATTACTGAACTGTAGAAGTGTAAGAAAATAAATTTGCATCATTTAAGCAACTAAGTTTATAGCAATTTGTGACAACAGCCACAGAAAATTAATAAGTTGGCAAATGGGTGAGGGCCTGTGAACTCTCTATCTTCCCAGGAGGCAGCCATTTATCCAGTAATAATGCACTGTACATCAGGAATTACTGGGCCACAACGTGAGTCATTTCTAGTGGTAGGAATTGACTGCCGACCCCCCCCCGCTGTACCTTGGTCTTCTCACCTGTGAGCCATTGGGCACCCTTGTGAGTAACTAGGAAGGTTAACAAAAGAGCCAGTGTCCCTGAACTACTCTTTCTCAAGGTGAAATTGACCTGTCATGGGCCCCGTCAGGGTTATCACTCAAAAAAGCCAATGAGCCAGTGTAAACAGGAGATTCCTTCAAATCAGAGTATCCTCTGGGAGATGCACGATCCGTATTCTACTTGCTTCAGAAACAACTCGGGTGTTCGCCAAAAATGTGCAGCCCCAGGTCAAACGCTCGGATTAGCTCAATGAAGGTTTCTGGAATGGGGCCTCCACTGTCTCATTTTCTGGTTCTCCGATGGGTCCTTCCTGGTATCACCGCCCCATAAACACCTTACCCTCAAATCCTAGTCTCTGCTTGTGCTTCTAGGGGGAACTCAGTTTCCTACATTTAATTCTGCTTAAACCCCTACCCCAATAAACCTACCATAACCCTACCAATAACTCTTTCAAGCAATCCATGTAAGTCGTATGAGCCATAGACAGATAAACTAAGTGTAAGAAATGTTGGAATAAACAGATCAAACATTTAGATTTTAACTCAAGTTTATTTATGCTTTTTCCAGTTGAAAAAGAAGGAAAGCTTATACAGAATAATGAACTCCCTAAAGGCAAAGGGAAAATATGTTTGCATGCTTATCTAATTAATATTGAAATCTGCATAAGATATTCATACATATTTAAGTGCATAACTTAAATGTATACATGTTTGAATAAATATGAATTTATTGTAATACATAAATATTTCATAATACACTATATATTGATGCTGATACATTTAAATGTATTGCTATAATACTATAAAATATAAATTTTATTTAGATGTTTTTAAGTTAGATAATTAGATAACTTGATTAGATAAACATTAGATATATTTAAATGAATGTATAATATATAATATACAAATATATAAATATAATATATGAATATATTATATAATAGAATGAATATATCATCAATAACATAGATATTACATATTACAGAAAGATATTTATGTTATGATGCAAGTTATATATTCATATGTAACTTTTTTTTTTGAGACAGAGTCTCACTGCGTCGCCCAGGCTGGAGTGCAGTGGCGAGATCTCAGCTTACTGCAACCTCCGCCTCCTGAGTTCAAGCAATTCTCTTGCCTCTGGTTCCCGAGTAGCCGCACCACGCCCGGCTAATTTTTGTATTTTTAGTAGAGATGGGGTTTCATCATGTTGACCAGGATGGTTTCGATCTCCTGACCTTATGATCCACCTGCGTTGGCCTCCCAAAGTGCTGGGATTACAGGCATGAGCCACCACGTGTAACTTATATGCAATATATTATATATAATATAATATAGTGTGTATTTCATGAATATGATATAATTTTATAATATATCTTATACACCTATATAACTTATAAAATATACTTAAAGACACATATACTTATATAATATATATTATTTGCATTTTTAACAATAAATATTATAATAATTACAATATTAAATCATTTGTGATACAATTATTAACAAATATACACAAGACAAAATTGCTCTAATAAATTTTGAAGAAACCAGTGATAGAACACGATGTGCCTGGAAATCAAGTGATCTCTTCTAGGCGTTATAAGATGTTAAAAATGGAGGCTAGGCGTAGTGGCTCACGCCTGTAATCCCAGAACTTTAGTAGGCCAAGGCAGGAGGATCGCTCGAGTCCAGGAGTTTGAGACCAGCCTGGGCAACACAATGAGACCTCGTCTCTACAAAAAATATAAATGTTAGCTGGGCATGGTGGTGCACACCTGCAGCCCCAGCTACTCAGGAGGTTGAGGCAGGAGGATTACCTGAGCCCAGGAGGTCAAGGCTACAGTGAGCCACAATCGCACCACTGCACTCCAGCCTGGGTGACAGATTGAGACCCTATCTCAAAAACGAAACAAAACAAAACAACAACAACAAACAGACGCTCACTTTCCTTTGAAGTTTCCATATTGCATAATTAGGAGATATTTACAAACAAATCTATTATCTTCGTTTCAGTAAATAAACTGGTATAAATCTTTTTTCCCCAAAAAAGCTGTTAGAAAAATCTTTAAAAATTGAAATGAGATAGTCTATGTTAAAATTAGGTTTTAGTAGGCTGGAGAAGCACATTCCTAAAACTACACAGGCAAGCATGTTACCAATGTGATATGGTTTGGCTGTGTCCCCACCCAAATCTCATCTTGAATTGTACTCTTGTAATTCCCATGTGTTGTGGGAGGGACCCAGTGGGAGATAATTTGAATCATGGGGGCGGTTTCCCCCATACTGTTCTCATGGTAGTGGGTGGGTCTCATGAGATCTGATGGTTTTATGAGGGGTTTCCGCTTTTGCATCTTCCTCATTTTCTCTTGCTGTCGCCATGTAAGAAGTGCCTTTCACCTGCTGCCATGATTCTGAGGCCTCTCCAGCAATATGGAACTGTAAGTCCAATGAAACCTCTTTTTCTTCCCAGTCTCAGATATGTCTTTATCAGCAGCGTGAAATGGACTAAGACACAATGCAATAAAAGTTTGCACTGAAATAGCATTCGGACTGATGAGGGCAGGTGTGCCAATTGAATGCCCCGGTGTCCTCCTTTCTCCCAGCCCTTGGCAGACATCAGTGATTTCTCGAAGTGATTTTCTCTGCTTAGCCCAGACACATCCCCAGACTGGTTCTCTATTTGCACTTCAGACAGGTTGCTACTGATCTGCAGGAGCAGACAGGCAAGACGGCACATGCTGTTCCCTGCTGAGATGTGGAGTGTAGCCAGGAGTTCCCATTCTGACCTCCCTGCCTGAGTAAAGAATTCAGCAAGTGGGATTAACACAATTTAGGCCCATGTGGAGTTCAATCTACATCAATACACTAGACATTGTGTGATTTATTAACTAGACAAATGATTAAATCAACAAATGCATTTTCTATCGCTTGACTTTTTAAATTATGACTTTTAGAAGCAGTGTAATTGGTTTTTAAAAAAATTTGTATTAATTTATGGGGTATAAGTGTGATTTTGTAACCTAGATAGATTGTGCAGTGGTGAAGTGTCCATCACTGGCATAATGAATATTGTGCCCATTAAGTAACTTCTTATCCCTCAGCCCCCTCCTACCCTTCCCGGTCAGCAATGTCTATTATTCCACACTCTACGCCTATTTGGAAACATTATTTAGCTCCCACTTATAAGTGAGAACACGTAGTATTTGTCTTTTTGTTTCTGAGTTGTTTTACTTAAGAAAATGACCACCACTTCCATTCATGTTGCTGCAAAAGACATGGTTGCATTCCTTTTTGTGGCTGAATAGTGTTCCAGTATGTACATATACCACATTTTCTTTATCCCATCATCCATTGATGGACACTTAGGTTGATTCCATATCTTTGCTATTGTAAATAGGGCTTCCAGTACAGGTATCTTTTCTTTTCATTTTGAGGTGGAGTCTCGCTCTGTCTTCCAGGCTGCAGTGCAGAGGTGCCATCTTGGCTCACTGCAACCTCTGCCTCCCAGGTTCAAGCAATTCTCCTGCCTCAGCCTCCTGAGTAGCTGGGGATACAGGCGTGCGCCACCACGACTGGCTAGTTTTTGTATTTTTATTAGAGACAGTGTTTCACCATGTTGGCCAGGCTGGTCTCGAACTCCTGACCTCTAGTGATCCACCTGCCTCAGCCTCCCAAAGTGCTGGGATTACAGGCATGAGCCACCCCGCCCAGCCAGTGCAAGTATCTTTTTGATATAATGATTTCTTTTCCTTTGGGTAGATATCCAGTAGTGGGTTGCTGGATTGAATGATAGTTCTATTTTTGGTCCTTTGAGAAATCTCCACACCCTTTTTCATCAAATTGTACTAATCTACATTCCCATGAACAGTGTGTAAGTGTTCCCTTTTCTCTGCATCCTCACCAACATCTGTTTGTTTGTTTTTTTAATAGTAGTCATTCTGACTGGTGTAGGATGAAATCTCATGGTATGTGAATAGTTATCTTGCTACAGCGTGTTTAAATGTACTTTGCTGTGTGGCTCACTTTACCATGAAACAAAATCACAGCCCATCATATCTTTTAGTGGCAATTAAAATGCTCACATGAGGCCAGGCGGGGTGGCTCACACCTGTAATCCCAGCACTTTGGCAGACTGAGGCAAGCGGATCACCTGAGGTCAGGAGTTCAAGACCAGCCTGGTCAACATGGCAAAACCCCATAGCCAGGTGTGGTGGTGCACGCCTGTAATCCCAGGTACTTGGGAGGCTGAGGCAGAAGAACCACTTGAACCCGGGAGGCGGAGGTTGCAGTGAGCCGAGATCATGCCACCGCACTGCAGCCTGGGCGACAGAGCGAGATTCTGTCTCAAAAACAAACCAACGAAAGTGCTTACATGTTAAGATCTACCATAAAATTTGGTATGCACAAAGAGATTACAGATAGGTCTAGGCTGAGTGTACTTGTAGCTCCATGAATCTACATAAAAATCAGTCATCTACTTTTTCATTTACAGCACTATTCATATGGAAGGGGGGCAGGGAAGTGCTGGGTAGAGGAGGGTGTGGTCCCTGGCTAGGGCTCCACCTGTGGGCCTGTGCCCACGGACCTAAGTGAGGACAGGCACTCCTGTTTTCCTGCCCAAATGTTGCATTTCCCAAGACCACTCTGGCCTGCTATGCCCCCAATCTGTGCTTATAAAAACCTCGAGACCTAGCAGGCAGACACACAAGTGCCTGGACATTGAGAGGAACACATCAGCAGAAGAAGACACAAGCAGCCGGACCTGGAGGGGAGCACGCCAGCGGAAGAGTGCAGCGGCGGACGGCAGCGGGCCGGCGGGCCATTGACCAGCAGAACTACACGGATTTTGGCGGGGAAGGTCAGAGGAAAGCCTGGATTGCTGAGCGGCCGGCAACTCCAGGGGAAAACCATCTCCCTTCTGGCTCCCCCATCTGCTGAGAGCTACCTCCACTCAATAAAACCTTGTACTCATTCTCCAAGCCCATGTGTGATCTGATTCTTCCGGTACACAAAGACAAGAAACCAGGGATACAGAAAGCCCTCCATCTTTGTGATAAGGTAGGGGGTCTAATTGAGCTGAGTAACACAAGCCGCTTATGGGTGGCTAAACTAAAAGAGCACTCTGTAACACACGCCCACTGGGGCTTCAGGAGCTATAAACATTCACCCCTAGATGCTGCCGAGGGGTCGGAGCCCCACAACCTCCCGGTCTGCCTGCACCTCCGAGGGGTTTGCGCAGTGGGGCACTGAAGGAGTGAGCCACACCCCCATCGCACGTCCTGTGAGGGAGATGAGGGAACTTTTCCCCTTTCACTGTGGCTGAGATAGTCAGATACCTACGTGACACTCATTTTCCCTTACTTCTTCACTGAGTGTAACAGGCTGCATACAGGTGCCCAGAGATGTCCACATCCTAATCCCTGGAGCCCATCAATATGTTATTTCATGTGGAAACAAATGACTTTGCAGATGTATTAGGTTGGTGCAAAAATAATGGCAAAAACCACGATTACTTTGGCACCAACCTAATATTAACGGCAAAAACTGCAATTACTTTTGCAGCAAGCTTATAATTAAGTTAAACATCCTGAGATGGGGAGATGAGCCTGGGTTGTCCAGGTGCACCCTGATGTAATCACAGGGTCCGTAGAAGAGGGAAGGAGGAGGGTCAGAAAGAGAAAGATTGGAAGACACTAGGCAGCTGGCTTTGAACATACAGAAAGGGACCACGGATTTCACCCAAGAGCCTCCAGAAGGAACACAGTCTTGCCAGCACCTTAATTTTGGACTTCTGAGCTCCAGAACTATAAGATAATACATTTGTGTTGTTATAATCCACTAAATGTGTGGTAATTGGTTACAGCAGCTGTAGGGGAAAAACACTCACATACCCACACACTATGCAATATGCTCAACAGAAAAATCTATTCTTTTCTAAAGATTCTTCCAATTGACACTTTGTAAGTTCAGTGGTGCTGGGAGCTCCTGGAGGGGGTCTTGTTTTGTTTGTTTTTCTTCCTTCCTCCTGTTCTCCTGATTTATGTCTGGAATACAGATGGGGTGGCTGAAGAGTCAGCAGCTTTTGTCTTTTTTTTTTTTTTTGAGATGGAGTCTGGCTCTGTCCAGGCTGGAGTGCAGTGGCACGATCTGGGCTCACTGCAACCGCCACCTCTTGGGTTCAAGCAATTCTTCTGCCTCAGCCTCCTGACTAGCTGGGATTATAGGCATGTGCCACCATGCCTGGCTAATTTTTGTATTTTTAGTAGAGATGGAATTTCGCCATGTTGGCCAGGCTGGTCTCGAACTCCTGACCTCAACTGATCTGCCTGTGTTGGCTTCCTGAAGTGCTGGGATGACAGGCGTGAGTCACCGCTCCTGGTCAGCAGCTTTTGTTAAACGTGGGAGTCCACATGCTAAGGGAAGAAGGTGCCGGCATCCCAGAACTTCATCCCTGGGTTTTCCATCTCGAGAATTCCTATAAATGAGGGAGAAACAAATGGTGCTCTTGTTAAAACACTATTTCTGCCAAACAAACACAGTATTTAAATTGTACAAGCACTTTCAAGTCAAGTTTTTTATTTTTCTTAACACCCTGCCCCTTAGGAAACAGGAGAATGTACGGACTTTGAAGGATTGACTAAAAGAAAGAGCTGGAAATCACCATTTTTCTAGACATCTCCAATATGTCACTCATCAATTAAGTCCCAAGAATTATATAAAGCCTGCATGATGAGAATGAAACAAATATTTTTGTTCTTTGATTAGCCACACTGCAGCACAAACAACAACAATAACAAAAACCAGACATACGTACATGCAAAAAGTTTATATAGTGTTTTAGGAAAATCTTACACACTTGCCAAGGGAAAAAAAATAAACGAAAGGATTACAATAAAGTCACTTTTTAAAGAATTTAGACTGTATTTTATTACAACTGCATTTTATTCTATGGAAGGAAAAAAATGATCAAACATGATTCTAAGCTAACCTTTGAAGAAGGCTATATTTTTAATGAAACTAATAAAAAATGAATGTTTAAACTTATCTCAAGTATAGGTAGGTGGATATAAAGATAGAAAATAGATAGAAAGATAGACAATAGAGATGGTAGATGATGGATAGACCAGCAGTCCTCAACCTTTTTGGCATGAGGAACCAGTTTCACGGAAGACAATTTTTCCATGGACTTGGTGGGAAGGTGGTTTTAGGATGATTCAAGGGCATCGCATTTATTGTATACTTTATTTCTATTATGATTACATTATAATACATAATGAGATAATTATACAACTCACCATCTTGTAGAATCAGTGGAGCCCTGAGCTTGTTTTCCTGCAACTAGATGGTCCCATCTGGGGGTGATGGGAGACAGTGACAGATCATCAGGCATTAGATTCTCATAAGGAGCACGCAGCAAACTCTAGATCCCTCACATGTACAGTTCACAATAGGGTTCTTTCTCCTGTGAGAATCTAATGGGGCCGCTAATCTGACAGGAGGTGGAGCTCAAGCAGTAATGCAAGCGATGGGGAGCAGCTGTCAATACAGATGAAGCTTCGCTCTCTCACCTGCTGCTCACTTCCTGCTGTGTATGCCAGTTCCCAACAGGCCACCGACTGGTACCAGTCCATGGCCTGGGGGTTGGGGACCCCTAAGATATAGGATAAACAATCAATAGGTGATAAATTAGACAACTGACAGAGGTTAGACACATAGGTATACATAGACAATCTATAGGTTGATAGAAATATAGATGGATATATGGAGGATGGATAGATAAGTTTACTCATTAAGAAAAAAATAGAGTATGCTGAGAGTTCGTAAATAAGAAGTCTGTGCTTGCCTTGCAAATATTGTCTATATAAGGTTTCTATCATAACACCCCTGGAGAAACATGGGAAGTGTAGTTTCACGGTGGCTTTCAGATGTTCTGCACGTCATATTAATGGGTGCTCATTTCATGATGTGCAGATTCTGTGCCTATTTCACTAGATCGAAAATGAATGCTGATGTATTTGGTTCTTTTCTAAAAAGCATTACAGGCTGGGTGTGGTGGCTCATGCCTGTAATCCCAGCACTTTGGGAGGCTGAGATGGGAGGATCACTTGAGGTCATGAGTTCAAGACCAGCCTGGCCAACATGGTGAAACCCCGTCTCTACTAAAAATACAAAAAATTAGCCAGGTATGGTGGCAGGCACCTATAGTCCCAGCTACTCAGGAGGCTGACGCAGGAGAATCGCTTGAGCCTGGGAGGTGGAGGTTGCAGTGAGCCGAGATGGCACCATTGCACTCCAGCCTGGGCAACAGAGTGAGACTCTGTCTCAAAAAAAAAAAAAAAAGCGTTACATATAATTACATATAATTTTACCTATCCATCCAAGGATCAAGGAATAAACAAAATATGTTCAATATGTTCAATTCCTACAGTCTAATATGATTCATTCATGAAATGGAATGAAGGTCTAATACAGACTACTATATATGTGAACCTTGAAAACACCATGCTCAGTAAAAGAAGCCAGGCACAAAAGACCACTTATATCATTCCATTTATATTAAATTTCAAGAATAGCTAAATCTATGGACAGAAAACAGAAAATAAGCAGTTTCCAGGAACTAGGAGAAAAGGAGAATGGAGAGTGACTGCTTAATGGATATAGGGTTTCCTTTTGGGATGTTTAAAATGTTTAGGAACTAGATAGTGATGATAATTGCACAATATTGTGAATGCACTATATCAGGGGTTTTTAACCCCTAGGCCATGGACTGGCTCCTGTCCATGGCTTATTAGGAACCAGGCCACACAGCAGGAGGTGAGAGGCAGGTGAGTGAGCGAAGCTTCATGCGTATTTACAGCTGCTCCCCGTGGCTCACACTACCACCTGAGCCCCACCTCCTGTCAGATCAGCAGCAGCATTAGATTCTTACTGGAGCAGAAACCCTATCGTGAACTGCACATACGAGGGATCTAGGCTGCAGACTCCTTATGAGAATCTAATGCTTGATGATCTGTCACTGTCTCCCATCACCCCCAGATGGGACTGTCTAGTTGCAGGAAAACAAGCTCAGGGCTCCCACCTATTCCACATTATGGTGAGTTGTAGAATTATTTCCTTATATATTACAATGGAATAATAATAGGAATAAAGTGCATAGTAAATGTAATGTACTCGAATTATCCTGGAACCAACCTCCTCAACCCCACCACCACCATCCGTGGAACAATTGTCTTCCACTAAACCAGTCCCTGGTGACAAAAAGGTTGGGGACCACTGCACCAAATGCCACTGAATCATACTTTAAAATGATTAAAATAGTCCATTTTATGTTATATGAGAGTTTTACCCCAAAATAGAAAGCGAAACTCATGGAATTACTAAACTTCAGACACATTTTATTTAAATGAGTAATATTTCTTTTTAAAAGATTATTTTGACCAGGCGCGGTCACTCACGCCTGTAATCCCAGCACTTTGGGAGGCCGAGGCGGACGGATCATGAGGTCAGGAGTTCAAGACCAGCCTGACCAATATGGTGAAATCCCGTCTCTAATAAAAATACAAAAATTAGCCAGGCATGGTGATGTGTGCCTATAATCCTAGCTACTTGGGAGGCTGAGGCAGGAGAATAGCTTGCACCCGGGAGGCGGAGGTTGCAGTGAGCCAAGATCGCACCACTGCACTCCAGCCTGGGCAATAGAGCAAGACTCCATCCCCTGCCAAAAAAAGATTATTTCAGAGTAAAAGAAGAAAAAAAGAAAAACCAGGAGATGAAAAGCACTACGTGACTTGGGTCTTTTAGGAGTTTAACTAGGTTAACCTCATATTCCTTAATGGCTTTAAGTTTAAATGTCAAGGCAATAAAACATCCAGTGGTCCTTTTAAACATAAAAATCAGAAGACATTCTTTCTAAACCAAACAAATCCCCCTTTTGGGTATAAAACCAAAAATGCGTAGAGTAAAAAAAAAAGAAAAAAAATTCAATACTAAGTCTTTTTGTCTACCCCCAATCTCTTCTTCCAGAGTCTTAAAAACACAAAGTGGTCTTTAGGAATTTCTTTTAACTTCTCTGAATTTTTATATATAGTGAATCGTGTATTAATACATATGGATGTGTGCCATTTAAAATATTTTACATAATGAATGAATAACATTCATACTTATGCCTATCTTTACAATGGTTATGCCTGAGAAATAAATGAGGAAAGACTGATCATAAACAATTATCTTATAATAATTTAGTCTTATCTAATATCATTAGATAAGATAATATTATATTATTAGATATTAATAATTAATAATTATAATATTATTAAAGATGATATTAATAATTAATAATTATAATATTATTAAAGATGATATTAATAATTATTAAAGATGATATTAATAATTAATCATATCTAATAATTTTCAAAATAAAAGCCCATGGGTAAAATACTCTCCCTTGTAATAAAAATACAATATAACATAATAATAAAAACAAAGCAAAACTTACCTTCATGTGTTGGTTCTTGCTTCTTTCCTCTAGTTCCTTACCAGAGGAGTAGTGGATTTGGTAATTTAAGAAGTGTCAAATCTTCCCTTCAGCAACCACATGCCTGTCCAGGGAGTCAGCTCACAAATCACGCATCAATTATAAGAACAGATGGTAGACCCTGTGCAAGAGCTCTGTATGAGTTTCCTGTGGCTGCTAAAACAAATACCAAAAATGCTGGGTGAAAACAACACACATTTATTCGTCTGCAGTTCTAGAAATCAGAAGTCCTAAATGAGTCTCCTGGGGCTAAAATCAAAGTGTCGGCCAGGTTGGTTCCTTCTGGAGGATGCAGGAAAGAATCCATTTCCTTGCAATTTTTACCTCCCAGAGGCTGCCTGCATTCCTCGGCATGTGGTTTCTTCCTTCATCTTCAAAACCAGCAACAACCAGCAGAGACCGTCTCACATCTCATCATTCTAACCTCCATTTCTTCCTCCCTCTTCTACTTTTAAGAGCCCTTGCAATTACATGGGGTCCACTTGGATAACCCAGAATAATCTCCTCATTTTAGGATCAGCTGATGGGCAAACTTCATTTTCCCTCCAACTTTGATTCCCCTATTGCCCTATAAGGTAAAATTTTCATAGCTTCTGGGAAAGAGGATGTAAAAACATTTAGTTAAGGATCTTGAGATGAGATCATCCTGGAGTAGAGTCAACCGTAAATGCAATTACAGGTGTCCTTCTAAGAGACGGAAGAGGAGATGGTACACACACAAAGGAGAAGGCCACGTGGAGACAGAGGCAGAGACTGGAGTGATGCGGCCACAAGCTCAGGAATGCCTGGAGCCCCCAGGAGCTGGGAGAGGCAGGAAGGACCCTCCCCTAGAGCCTCCAGAGAGAGTGCAGCCCTGCCCACACCTTGATCTCAGACTTCTGGCCTCCAGAACTGGGAGAGCATAAATTTCTGTTGTTTTAAGACACTCAGTTAGTGGCGATTTGTGCGGCAGTCCTGGGAAATGCATACAGATTGTGCCCACGTTTGAAGGCTAATTAGGAATCATTACAAAACCACAGTTTCTGTTTAAGCTAGATATTTTCTTTGCCTTTTTCTTCTTTGTAAGGTATTCAGGGCAACATTTAGAAGCCGAATTTTCTCATCCAGGCTTTCTAACGGCTTTGAGTTATTTGTTTCTTTCACTTTATTCATAAGAGAGTTATATTTATATCTTTAAAGAGCGTGTTCCAAAGTGTTTTGATACTTCTTTAAAATACATTAGTGCTCCTTTGAATTTAGTTTGAGTTTTAGTGAATCTCTAAGCTTGTCCACTTACAAACACACACCTATATTTATAATCGAGTAAATCTCAGTATGTTTCAATCTCATGATTATGCAGGGAATCAAAGGTCACTGTGTTTAAGTACTAATTTCCTCTTCTGTATTTTAAGAATAACTTAAAACTTGTTCCATGAGTCACCCCGGGTCTGTTAACTAAGGCGGCTTCTTCTAATTCATGAAAGAGACATCTTACCCAAAGGGAAAGCACTTCACGTGGTGTCCTATAGAATTTTGAGTATTCATCACCTATAGGAGGTCTTTCTGAAATTAATAGTTTCATGCTGAAGGAGAGACCATTTGCCATTTTTATTTTGAAAAGTGAGATGGATCTTGGAATCCATCCACATGTAAGAACAATGTCGTAGGACAGGGGTTTGCAACCTCATGGGCCATGGACTGCTACCAGCCTGTTAGAAACCAGGTTGCACAGCAGGAGGTGAGCAGCAGGCCAGTGAGTGAGGCTTCATCTGTATTTACAGCTGCTTCCCATCCTGAGCTCTACCTCCTGTCAGATCAGCAGCAGCATTAGATTCTTACTGGAGCAGAAACCCTATTGTGAGCTGCACATACGAGGGATCTAGGCTGCAGGCTCCTTATGAGAATCTAATGCCTGATGATTTGTCACTGTCTCTCCCATCACCCCCAGATGGGACTGTCTAGCTGCACAGAACAAGCATGGGGCTCCCATAGATTCTACATCATGGTGAGTTGTAGAATTATTTCATTATATATTACAGTAGAATAATAATATAAATAAAGTGCACAATAAATGTAATGTGCTTGAATCATCCCAAAACCATATGTCCCACCCCCATCCTGCTCTACGGAAAAACTGTCTTCCATGAAATTGGTCCCTGGTGCCAAAAAGATCAGGGACCGCTGCCCTAGGAGATTTCTAGACCATGCCACTTGAGGGCAAGGTCTCCACCAGCCAGTAGTGCTCAGAACTAGTTTCAGTGACATTCTTTCCTTCTTCCTCACAAGCTTCTAGGGCAGCTTCCATGTGGAATCCCCTAGAAGCCATTTGGTTTTTATTCCAAGAGGCCGCTTGTCTGAAAGAAGACAAGTCAGCAAAAATGTAAGCCAAAACAGATGGGAGGAAAAAAAAGAGTCTTGACTCTTTAAATATAGAATTTTTAAAACTAGACTTTATTTTTAGAGCAGTCTGAGCTGCAAAATTGAGCAGAAGGCACAGAAATTTTTATATATCCCTTTCCTACACACACACACACCCCCTCTTCCATGATCAATAGCTCTCAGCAGAGTGAGACATTTGTTACAACAGATGAACTCACACGGAGACATCGAAGTCACCCAAAGTCCGTAGTTTTCATTAGGGTTCCCTCTTGATGTGAACTCCAGAATCGTGAGTATTCATCATTTATAGAACATCTTTCTGAAATGAATAGTTTCATGTTGAAAATGTGCCATTTTTATTTTGAAAAGTGAGATGGGCCGAGTGTGGTGGCTCATGCCTATAACCCCAGCACTTTGGGAGGGCGAGATGGATGGATGACCTGAGGTCAGGAATTTGAGATCAGCCTGGCCAACATGGTGAAACCCCATCTCTACTAAAAATACAAAAATTAGCAAGGCGTGGTGGTGCGCACCTGCAGTGCCAGCTACTCGGGAGTCTGAGGCAGGAGAATCGCTTGAACCCGGGAGGTGGAGGCTGCAGCGTGCCAGGATTCCATCACTGCACTCCAGCCTGGACAACAGAGTGAGACTTCATCCCCCCACAAAAAAGTGAGCTAGGTCTCGATTTCTGCGATTTCTGCTGAATGACCCATCCAGGATTGAGGTCTTTGAAGGGATTCATTAATAATTGCTGACATTCCCTTGCCTTTCCCTGTCTGCAATTCACTGGCCTGTGTGGTCTGGGTTGGGGAGGAAGGGGATAACCTTCCATGATCTCATCTTCTGCAGCTGTTTTCTACCGACTGAAATTTTAGGGATCCAGAGCGGAGAAGCCTGTGTCTGTGAGTTCCACCGTTCTAGGTGCCGCTGGTCCCGGTAAGACACAGTAGTAGATAAACAGCTTTCATTTTGCCGAGAAATCCCCATCAGCACATCTGCCCAAGCTGGGTCAGGCTAGTTCACTTCTCCACGATGTGTTTTCTCTGTAGGTTGATATGCACCATGCTAAGCAGAATTTTCTCCAGCCTAATCTGCAGAGATAACTCAACTGTGCTCAGGAGAGCTAGAGGGTTTCTCTGACGTGTTCTTTGTATTTATTTACTTATTTTCCACGCTGCTGTTCTATTTTAAAGTATGCTGTTGAGAAAATTTGGAAGCATTTTAGTACATGCAAGAGAACAGAGTATTCCTACCGACTGTGCTATGAGGATAAGAAGCAAAACAAAAATACCCCCTCATTTTCATTGAGGTGGCCAGTAGCCCGTATTTTCATTGAAGGTTTACCCTACACAGATGAGGGCAAGTTCCCATGGAAAATTCCTAAAAGTCTGTTTCTGCTCAAATAAAGATACAACCCCACTAGCTATTAGTCTGCCCCTGAGATTTCTGAGCTATGCAAGCCCATGAGTTTGAAGTAGAGATTTCCTGTGTCGATTTTTTTTTTTCCCTCCAGTCATCCAAGGGTATTCACTAGGTCAGCCCTTCTCGTGATTACAGAGTTTGGGAAGCAGTGGGGTTTGCAGTCATGTGACTAAGAAAGTTACTTTTACAACCCTTGTTAAGAAAATTACATAGTGATCCACAGAGTCCTTTAGAATATTAGACTTTCACATTGAAATCAGAATCGCCAGGAACTGCAGTTCATACACAAAACAGCCAGTGCACCTCCAGAGACTCTGCGCTGGGGTAAAACCTGGATAGGAAGATAAAAGACACAGCAATAAAGCTGAAAAAAATGACTGTAGATTCGCTGGATCCTATATATAAATATTAACTACAGATGTGGTGCAGGTAGTATGTTCAGTTCTCTCTATACAGCATTGCATTCTGTCTTTACGCCACCTCCAAGAGGTAAAATTACCCTTATTGTACCCTTGAGAAATCTGGTTTTAGGAAGGGAGAATAGTGTGTTCTAGGCCCTCTGGCCAAGAAATAGCGAGTAGTAGGAGGAGGTGGTTTGAGCTCTACTATCTGTCTGACTCGATCACCTATGGCTCTGCTGTTGGTTAAAGCCTTGCAAGAAAAGTGGATTTTAAAGATCTTATGACGGAGGCAGAGGGATGATGGCTCCCCAGTGGTAAGGGCCTCCTGGGTCTCCTGGGCTGCAAGTTTCCCTACCTCCACATTTCTAGAGGAAAGGGGGTCTCGATGGAGGATCAGGGTTGCGTGATGGGAAGTGAGCTAGCAAACCTGTTTGGATTTCCTTCTGAATGCTCTATTTTATATATATATATATATATATATATATATATATATTCACAGATGTCTTTTGTAGATCAAAGACAAAACAGGCAAATGTTGATAATAAGGACATGTTGTCAAAATGCTGGTTCAGGAAGAGAAATGCTGCTAACCAGAGGAACAGTGAAAAGCAGTGGCTGGTAAAAGTCACTGGTGCATCCTGCAACAAGCTGCAATCCTTCAGGTTCCATGGCATCTGGCGATTAGGAGGGCTCCGGCCTTTTGTTAATCACTGAGCTTTTGCTTGAAGTACATTCTGTAGCTACAAGGACTGACCTGCCCTTCATTTGATCATCCCTCCTCACCCTCCACATGGTGGAATTATTAGCAAGCAGATGAATTTAATTTAACCGACATGTACTCCAAACCTCTTGTATTTAAGGAACTCTCTTGGCACTTCAAGGGATTCAACAATTAATCAAACATGGTCCCTGCTCTGGGAACACATCACCAAGCAAGCAGGCAACATTAGCAGGACAAACATCAAAACAAAAAAGACTAAATGCAGCAAACTATGCATTTTATTTAAAAAAAGTACAGAATGACGAGATTCCATAATGCTTTATTTGTGGATTTATTGTACAAGTTACGCCCTGGGACTTTTCTAATCTAGGCATTTATTTTTATTAGTATGTGTGTTATTAAAAATAATTTATTGAGGTGAAATTCACATCGTAAAGTAAACCATGTTAAAGTAACAATGTCATGGCATTTCGTACATCCTCAATATTGTGCAACCATCACCTACATGTAGTTCCAAAACGTTTCTGTCACCCTAAGCTAAAACCCTGCTCCCATTCAGCGGTCTCTTTCCGCTGCTCACTCCCCTTCATCCCATGCATGAAATTTGCAAAGCAGAATTGAATTAGTTGACTTGATATTTTATTTACTTCACACTTGTAAGGAATTAAAGCCATTATGTTTGAGTTAACCATCTCATTTCCGTAAACCTGTGCCTTTAACTAGACTTCGATAAATCATTTTTGGGGTGCAGATTGTACAGGTAACACAAGTATTTAGAGGTATTGATAGATATTATCTATTAAATGTGCCAATAATAATCCCCCTGGATAAGGTAGTATAAACAGATTTCCTTACTGCAGAGAAATCCAGACTTTTTTAAATGTTTTTTTTTTTTGAGGCAGGGTCTTGCTCTGTCACTGTGGCTGGAGTGCAGTGGTGCGAACTTGGCTCACTGCAAACTCTGCCTCTCAGGCTCAAGCAATTCTCCCATGTCAGCCCCCAGTATGTAGCTGGAACTACAGGCATATGCCACTATGCCTGGCTAATTTTTTTTTTTTTTTTTTGTAGAGATAGGGTTTTGCCAGGTTGCCTAGGCTGGTCTCAAACTCCTGGACTCAAGCAATCCTCCCGCCTTGGCCTCCCAAAGTGCTGGGATTACAGGCGTGAGCCACTGCGCCTGGCCAAATCTAGACATTTCTTAATAGAATTCAACGTCAGTCATGCGCACATTCATTCATTCATTCATTCAATTGAACGCTTAGTGTATGCTAAGCTCTGTGCTATACTCCAGGTGTCAAGAAGCTATGACGGCATAAAAAGAAGGTGAGTGATTGTCCACAATGCAGGAAAAAAGCCCACTTTAGCAATGGGCATGGAGGTAAGGAAATACTATACAATGGAGATTGAGGAGAACTTTGTCAAAACAGTGGCGTGAACCAACAACAACAAAAATCAGGGATGTGCTACTTGTTCTTGACAAGCCAGATCTATCACCAAAAGGAAGATCCCAGGGACAGGCTGGGAAGCACAGGGCATGGCACAGGCCACCCATGGAAAACTTCAGCCTTGGGTTTGAGGATGATGGCATCCCTCTAAGTCTCAGTGATGGGCTGGAAGGGATGAATGAGAAGGAGTTGGTGGAGGAAGAAGTTGTCAAAATCTAAGACATATCCATGCAACCGCAGTGAGAGAGGTGGAGAGAAGAACACGTTGGGCCAAGAGATTCTTAGGCATCAGGATCTAAACTTGGCAACCAGTTGACTATGAGGAAGACATGAAGGAGAGGCAGAAGGCAAGGATGGCTTGAGTTTCTAGTTTAGCTGACGAGATGGGTGGCAACATCATTAACAAGGGTAAAGAGATGTTCAAGAGACAGTTGTTTTTTGTTTTGTTTTGTTTCGTGATTTAATCAATGGGTTTGGGGCATGCCCAGAAAGAGGCTACCTAAGGGCATTATTTGACTAATCCCTGGAACTATGTCAACACACACTGAAAACTAAAGCTAGAGAAGGAATGAATTCCCATTTATGAACCAGTATTTCCTGACTATCAACTCTGTGGAAGCCACCCTAGGCGCAGGAGGCAGGTGGTGAGGAATTCCTAGACGCTGTGTTTCTTAGGAGGAGCTAAGATGAACCACGCTTCATGCAGGGGAAGCAACTTGTTTCTTAGGCTTAGTCCTTCCTTCCTCCTGAAAGCCCCCTGACAGAGTGCTGGACGTAGGGCAGGACTTCTGAATCTAAAGAGCAGGCACTTCTCAATTATACTTTCTCCATGCATTGCCTTTTAAAAGCTGCATGCCTGCTGGGCTGGGTGGCTCACGCCTGTAATCCCAGCACTTTGGGAGTCCGAGGTGGATGGATCACTTGAGGCTAGGAATTCGAGTCCAGCCTGAGCAACATAGTGAGACCCTGTCCGCACCAAAAAAAAAAAATTAGCCCAGCGTGGTGGCGCAAGCCTCTAGTACCAGCTGCATGGGGGACGGAGGTGGAGAATCGCTTGCGCCTCGGAGGCAGAGGTTACAGTAAGCCGAGATCGCACCACTGGCACTCCAGCCTGGGCAACAGAGCGAGACTCTGTCTCAAATACATAGATACATATATACATACATACACACATACATAAATGCCGCACGCCATCAGCCTGCTTCAGGGGCATCTCAGCAGACAGGATTCGTTGTACAAGTACATGGTACCACTGGGCTTGTAAAAAAAATTTTTTTTATACTCACAGATGTCTTTTGTAGATCAAAGAACACAACAGGCAAACACTGACCCTAAGGACATGTCAAAATGCTGGTTCAGGGAGAGGAATACGGCTAACCAGAGGTATAGCGAAAAGCAGTCGCTGGTGCACCCTACAACAAGCTGGTGCAATGGTGCCTTTCCGGGCCCTACACACCTGTCTGAGCTCCATGTTTTTACCCCAGGTTGGCTCTGCTGACTGAAGATACTCGCCTGACCTCTCCCCACCATTCCAGGTCTGACTTATCCAGGAAGCCAGGCAGCCGCCGCCTCCTCTTCCTCTGCCTCCTGGAATAGGGACCTACCCTCTGCACCCTCTACTTTTTGCCTTGTCGCCAGGTCGCTCCCACCCTCCCACCGCCCCCTCCCCAGACAATACCATCAGACTCTCCGAACGTCCCAACCCTCGCCTTGCCCCTCGAATGCTCCCCAAGCCGGAGGGGAGCCGTTCCACCTTTCTGGCAGGAAGACTCTGGCAAGGGGAGGGAGGCGGGCGCCGGGGAGTCCTGGAGAGGCGGGAGGGCGTGGCGGCGGCTCTCACGTTGCAGCCCTGCCTGCAGCTAGTGGGATGCCGGCGGGGCCAGCCCGCTCCTGCTTGCACACGGTCTGGGAAGAGCTGCCGAGAAAACACCGTCTGGCCCGGAGAAGCGCAAACCCTGCTCCTTCTCTCTCTCCTGAAAGGAACGGAAACGTTCCCAGCGCTGCTTAGGCGCTCTCCAAGCGCGGACTCTACTGCGGCTCCCACCGCGCTCCCTGCATCTCGCCCTTCCCTCCTGGGGTCCTGGACTTCTCTCTGACAAAGAGCCCTCCTTCCCCGAGCCGCCTGCGGTTCTTGCAGCTGGAGTGGGCGAGGCATGCCCACCCGGGCCCAGGCGCAATGAAGACGCGAGAGGAAGGCTGAGCGCAGAGCGGCGCGGCCAGGGTCCCTTGGCTCGGGCCCGCGCCCCGTCTCCCCGGGGTGGGGCAGGGTGGGGGTGTGCCGAGGCGTGGACTTGGGGAAGCCTCGCAGCGCCGGGAATAAAAGGGCGCCGGCTTGCTGTGCCGCGCTGGGAAGCCGAGCTGCCTCACCCCCGGCCCCGGGAAGGGCATGGCCCCGGCAAACTCCCGGCCGTGACTCGCGCGCCCCGGCTCGGTGGATGCTCCCGGCGCACCGCTCCCGTGTGCGGCGGCTTCCCAAGGACAGGTGAGGACCCAGGGTGGCCAGGGCGCCCCAGGGCTGCCGTGTCTGCCTGCAGGGGGTGAAGGGATTTGAGACACCCAAGGGAAACACTGGGGGTAAAGGGCCTGCATGCAGGCAGATTGCACCGTTCCCCAGCACTGTTTGAAGTTGCTAAGAAATCAGGATACCTGAATTCCTGCAATTTTAAGTAGCTAAGGATCAGATAGGGAGGAGAGCCGGATCTTGAAGGAGGATGCACTGAATAGGTCTAATTAAGCCCAGACATCCCATGCCTCCTTTCCTCCCTCTCCCCAAAGCGCTCCCCATCCCTGGCTCTCTCTGGAGACCTTCAACCCCGCCATCCCGCGTTTCTAGGAAGCTGCCAACGGAATTCCTAAGTGAAGCCCACTCTGCTCTTGCAATCGGTGGGGGAAAGGACGCTTGAGGAGCCTCTTTCCAAGTTGCTCAGGCTGTGGCTACTTCAAGTCTCCTCTCCCTCCTCTCTTCCCCCTCTCCTTCCCCGCCTCTTTCCTCCTACTCTTACCCAGGCTTTCCCTGGAAAGGGGACAGCCCAACGCCTAGAGTGATCCGAGCCATGCAAAAAAACCGGGACAGTCATCACGCAGACAAAAGGGGTTTGGTGTCCGAGTCCCGGGCGGCGGGGACTCGCAGGGCCACCCCAGCCGCGTTCCGGGAAAGCTCGTAATTCATCCCGCAGCCAGCTCGACGCGACCCAGCGGACTCTGGAAGCCGGCCAGGGGCTCAGGGCTGCCCGCCCGGCCACTCCAGGTTGTCTGCCCAGGGCCAAGACGAAAGCAGACGGCCTCACGCCCCCACCCCTGCTTCCCGGCGGGGTTCGCAGACCGTCTCTGGCGGCCTAGCTGGCGCCAGGCCGCTTTCTCCGCGGCGGAGAGACCCGACCCCGAGTCCCCGGGATTAGGGTTGTCTGGGGGCGAGTTTCCTGGGTCTCCCGGGAGGTTGGTGCCGGGGTGGGAGGCCGGACAGGGAGTTGGGGCTGAAGAGTCCTATGGAACGCCCGGGCCAAGTCCGCCCGCAGGCACAGGACGCTGGGGACTGGCGCGGCTGCCCTTGGAACCAGCCCAGCGCCGAGGTCAGGCGCGCAGGCAGGGGCGGGGAAAGCCCGGGCTCTGGCGAGAGAGAAAACTCCGAGGACTTTTGCAGAGCTGCAGGAGCCGGTTTGTTCCAGCGCCCAGAGGCGGAGCCCGGACTTGCTTTTTTGCAAAACTACCTGTGCGCCATCAGTTCTTTATGGGCAGCTGAAGGGAGACGCGCCCCCGGGCTTAAGAGAATAACCTTTTCTAGGTCACTTAAAGGCAGGAAAAGCTACAGGTTTGGGATGTTCCTCTCTTATAGGAAGGATTTTAGAATTTTATTTTTATTTTTTGAGACGGAGTTTCGCTCTTGTTGCCCAGGCTGGGGTGCAATGGCTCGATCTCGGTTCACCGGAACCTCTGCCTCCCGGATTCAAGCGAATCTCCTGCCTCAGCCTCCCGAGCAGCTGAGATTATAGGCATGCGCCACCACGCCCAGCTAATTTTGTTTTGTTTGTTTGTTTGTTTGTATTTTTAGTAGAGACGGGGTTTTTCCATGTTGGTCAGGCTGGTCTCGAACTCCTGACCTCAGGTGATCCGCCCGCCTCGGCCTCCCAAAGTGTTGGATGACAGACGTGAGCCACCGAGTCCGGCCTGGGTTTTAGAATTTTAATCAGCAGTTCGCGCTCGTTCAGAACCCGGGCGAATGGGCAGGCGCGTGTTTGTTGTGTATCCCTATTTACTTTCCATGTGTGTCACTATTTTTAAGTGAACGCCATTCAAGAGATGACAAAAATGTTAGATGACATAGGCATTGCCAGGACAAGAAGAAAATGATCACCGCCATTCTAAATGAAGTAGCTGATGCAATCTAGCTTTACCCGAGCTTTTCCATTTTTTAGTGACTCCATTTTTTTCTGTTTGCCTGAATATATTTCATAAGCAGTCCCTTCCTGTTTATTGAATGATCAGAGGTTCCCCCAAACTTCCTCCCCGATTAACAGCAACTCTATATCATCAAAAAAACTCTCTGGCTTTTCCAAGACAAAAACATAAGGATAGTAAATAAACCCAGAAATAACAGGATGAATATCCTTCTAGCAAATACCTCTTTAAGCTCTTCAAGAAGCTAGAATTAAAGGTTTGAAAAATATCATTAAAGGAAAGAATACGAATAAACACTTCTTGGGAAGTTTTAAATTCAAATATATGCAATATATAATGGCTCAGTCTTGTTGGAGGCAGAAACACAATATTTTATTATTTTTTAATTATGGATACATAAATATAAACCTCTTTCTTCTCTCTCTCTCTCTCTCTCTCTCTCTCGTCTCTCTCTGTTTCATAGCCGCAATTACAGAGTGCAAGATAGATTTCCAAATCATAGTATCGAAGCCAAGAATCAAGACTATATTCTATAGTCATGATTAAAGTGAATGGTGAAAAGTTTAGAAAAAAAACCATGTTTCATCTTTCTCAATTCCCATGGTTTAAGCGTCACTACAACACATCGTGTGAAGTCCTGGGAAGCTTGAAACCCTGATGCACAATTCAAATTTAAAAATTGCCCACAGTTCGTCGGTGCTACCTGTGAATAAGCTCATCTCTTCGTTGTTCTACCTCAGGTATCCGAGAATCAGGCACCCCGACAAGATGCCCAAGCGCGCGCACTGGGGGGCCCTCTCCGTGGTGCTGATCCTGCTTTGGGGCCATCCGCGAGTGGCGCTGGCCTGCCCGCATCCTTGTGCCTGCTACGTCCCCAGCGAGGTCCACTGCACGTTCCGATCCCTGGCTTCCGTGCCCGCTGGCATTGCTAAACACGTGGAAAGAATCAATTTGGGGTTTGTACCACTTTCTTCCCGAACCTTCCCACTGTCAGTGCGTGCGTCTTGATCTGGTTTTGCGTGTGTGTATGTGCATTTACTTAACTTCATATGTGCATTTCCTCTGTGTAGCTCTGTCGAGAATTATGGAGCTGCAGATGGGCAGAATAGAGAGAAAAAGTTTTAGTTATGCTAAACGCAGCTTTTTCGATGATTATCTCAATATATCCATCAGCTGCCACTGCTGTAAGGTCTATTAACGAGCAGCATGAACAACTTTAGAGTTTGTTGAGAAATTCCCTTGATAGCATTTCTTTAATACATTGTTGAGGTGAATGCATGAGACACACACTTAAACATATGAAGATGATTTAAGTAGACTTCAGCAACGATTTAAGAATAATAAAAATAAGCAGAACATCTGTGCCATTTTATAAGTCATGTAGATGATAGAATTGCGACTTTGAGGCAATAAAAGAGTTCCTGCAGATTTTGCCTGTTAAAAATATCAACGTCTTTTTAAAAACCTATTTTGATGTGGCTTGCCAGACAGACTTTTAATATACTGGTTTCATTTTATACACACGAGGGTTGTGTGGACCGAAGTGTTAGTTGCTATGAACTACAGGTGCTCAACTGCAATTTTAATAGTCAACAATCATTTGGAGTTCGTCAACAAAATATAATAGCTACTTTTTAGCATCCATCCCCAGAACAACTGATTAAATTAGTGTTTGTGAAATATCCACCATGGAGATGTTTTAGTAAAAATAAAATGGCCAGATTTGAGCCAATGCAAAATAACTGTAAATGTACCTGGACATCTTATAGAACAAAGTTAAAAGAAAAAACTCTCCTCCATTGACAGTGGTAGAAGAAGAGAATGAAACATTGAGATAATAAGATGGAAATTTCTCTATCGACAGTGGTAGAGTCAGGGAATGAAGTGTTGAGGGAGTAAGATGGAAACTTCCCTGTTGACAGTGGTAGAATAAGAGAATGAAACGTTGAGGGAATAAGATGATAATTTCCCTAACCCATGGCAACAGACCATTAAATAGGTTTCTCAATGAAATGCTGTTAGACTTTATGAGTTGACCATCTGAACATCCAACCACAACAATGATAGCTCATTGGGGAAAACAGCTTGGCGTTGGCAGAGGAGGGAATAGTAACACATAAGCCAGCTTCCCTTTTTACAATCTTGTAATTTATCGGACACATTTCTTGTGTAATGGAAGTAAGAAAAAGGGAAGAGGTGCTAAAGCCCATTAGTTTTGTTTATTTATTTATTTACTTAACTTTAAGTTCCAAGATACATGTGCAGAGTGTACAAGTTTGTTACATAGGTATATGTGTGCCCTGGTGGTTTGCTGCACCTATTGACCTATCCTCTATGTTCCCTCCCCTCAACCCCCACCCCCCAGCAGGCCCTGGTGTGCGTTGTTCCCCTCCCTGTGCCCATGTGTTCTCAATGTTCAACTCCCATTTATGAGTGAGAACATGCAGCGTTTGGTTTTCTCTTTCCCTTGTTAGTTCGCTGAGGATGATGGCTTCCAGCTTCATCTATATCTCTGGAAAGGACACGATTTCCTTCCTTTTTATGGCTGCATAGTATTCCATGGTGTATATGTACCACATTTTCTTGGGCATATGGGTTGGTTCCATGTCTGCTAAAGCCCATTTGAATCCTGGGGGAAGGTGCGTGTGATATTTGCAGAACAGAAAGTGGGGCTTTAACTGTAACTTCTTTTTCCTCCACCCTTGGTGTGCAAAATGGCTCTGTCTAGGAATTGTTTTTTATACATGAACCATTTTAACACATGGTCTAACTTGCTGGGATTAGCCACCTCATCTCTCAAACCCAGCACCTTGGCAGGTCCCATGCTGGGGGTACCATCAGCCAGGCCTTGGTGGAGCCCTCTAAAAAGCTTGGGGTTGATGCAGAATGTATATATTTTATATATATTATCTTTATAATATATATAATATATAATGTAAATATACATATTATATAATATATAATATATGTATACTATATTATATATTATATATATTATATATAATAATAATATATATTATATATATTATATATAATAATAATATATATTATATATATTATATATAATAATAATATATATTATATATATTATATATAATAATAATATATATTACATATATTATATATAATAATAATATATATTACATATATTATATATAATAATAATATATATTACATATATTATATATAATAATAATATATATTATATATATTATATATAATAATAATATATATTATATATACATAATATATAGTAATAATATATATAATGTAAATATACATGTTATATATAATATAATATGTATATTATATATATTAATTATATATTATATATAATTCTATTATATATTATATATATAATTATATAATTATATACATTATATATATTATTATATATTATATATAATAATTATATATTATATATATTATGTATATAATATATAATATATAATATATGTATAATATATAATATATTATGTATAATATATTATATTATATTATGTATAACATATTATGTATAATATAATATATTATATAATATATAATATATATTATACACAATATATATTATACATTATATATATCATGTATAATATATATTATACATGATATATAATATATATCTATTATACATAATATATATCTATTTGCGGTGCTTCTTGCACAGCAGGTTTGTGTGTTTGTGTTGTGTGTTGGGAAGGGGGATATCAGGCTGGAAATGAGGGTGGAGACAGTCCCTGCATGCACCCTCCCCAAAGAGGTGATTTGTTTAATGGCTTGAGACTTACAGCACCAACAAGACTATTACTTCTGAAGTTGTTTGCATCTCATTTACAGTTTCTGGGATGCTTTTCTTCCCGTTCATTTTTAAACTGAAGTACTTTGTAAGTGCAAAACATAACTAACCTCTAAATTACAACACCATTTCTGATGGTTTCATTTTAAACAACTCACGATAAAGATTGACTTTAACGTAGGAATAAAACAGACATACCAACATGTTAAAGTTTCTTTTTCCTATTGCTGCCAGTAATATCTAGAGATAGTTTTCTGTAATATTAAAAAGAAAAGAAAAAGTTTAAAACCCTAGAGAATCACTTCACTGCATCAACATCTATTACTTCCATCTGGTTTAATTTGTAACAGGAACTAATATACTACTTGAAAAAAATCACTAATAATATCATAATAGCATTGTTTCAGAAAAATCAATCTCAAATTAGGTAATGAGTCTGGCATCTTGCATTTTGTTGGGGAAAAAACTGAAACAAGAGCAATGTCTAACAGATAAAACTCAGAGATTGATTTGTGTTTTAACAGTCTGGAGAAAATATAAGACTCTCAAGGAATGAGGAATTGTTGGCCAAGTGCTAATGAAACCTTCTATTCCCACACAGCTGTTTTTAGGGTTCTTTGTCAGCATTGCTGTTTCCTGCTTGGACAAACTAAAAGCGTTTCTGAAAATTGCTTTCCAAATATTTTTTTTCAGGAACCAACAACATAGCATCCACCTAGAGATGGATTTACAGACTCTTAAGTATTTTTTTCCCTCTATTAAAAGACTGGTTTTGATGATGCCTTTCTGCAACTTCAACAATGCCCATACTTGCCTATTTTATTTTAAGTTCTGCCTTGTGATATTAACCGGAACCGAAGACATAATTTTGCAAATATTGTCTGCCATAAACATTTCACAGAGTTGGTTATACATTCAGTGATTGCCAATCAATAGGCGATGAAGATAGTCTGGAATGTAAGCCAAGGGGCTAATAAGCCATAGAACTGCACTTTATGCAGGGTCATCCCAGTCTCCAGTTAGATTCTGTTCCCTGAGTGTCGTGCTAATTTCCCAGACTCTGCTGATTTTTAGAAGGATGCAAGAAGGGGACATGTATACCCTTGGGTTCTGAGAGGGGGTACTCAAGTGATTCCCTGGGCTTCTGTATGTTCCAGAATATCCGCCCCATTCTCACATCTGGCACCCTTGGCATCTGCATCTGCAAGCTCTCTAATGCCCCTTAAAAACAAGCAGGGGGGTCCGGGCACGGTGGCTCATGCCTGTAATCCCAGCACTTTGGGAGGCTGAGGCGGGTGGATCACGAGGTCAGGAGATCGAGACCATCCTGGCTAACACGGTGAAAGCCCGTCTCTACTAAAAAATTCAAAAACATTAACTGGGCGTGGTGGTGGGCTCCTGTAGTCCCATCTACTTGGGAGGCTGAGGCAGGAGAATGGCGTGAACCTGGGAGGCAGAGCTTGCAGTGAGCCAAGATCGCGCCACTGCACTCCAGCTTGGGTGACAGAGCGAGACGCCATCTCAAAAAACAAAAAAATAAAACAACAACAACAACAACAAAACAAGCAGGGGCAAGATGACAGGGTCAGGCAGGTTTCTGAGCTGATGTGGAGCCCGTCCCAGACTTTGGGTGCCTTCCTGAAAGGGGAATTTATTCAGATGTGAAGGGAAATCAACCAGTATTATCCTTTGTTCCTATTTTCCCTTCTTCTCCACCTTGATAGTTGTGATCAAAATTCTCAGGTTAAATTTGACATTCAGCTATCCATGGCTTTAGTATGAGCCATTCTGTTTTTCTCAATATCTATCTATCTATCTATCTATCTATCTATCTATCTATCTATCTAACTATCTATCTATTATCTATAGTCTGCCTATTACTTGTCTACCTACCTATCATCTATCTCTATCATCAATCAACAAATCTATCTCTCTACCTGTCTATATCTATCTACCTACCTATCTATGTATCTATCTATCATCTATCTGTCATGCATCTGCCTATCACCTATCTACCTACCTATCATCATCAATCAGCCAATCTATCTCTCTACCTACCTATCATCTATCTATCAATCTATCTATGTATCATCTGTCTGCCTATCACCTACCTATCATTGATCTCTATCATTATCTATTGATGTATCTATTCTATCTATCTATCTGTCTATCATCTATTAATCTACCTATCTATTCTCTATCATCTATTTATCAATAATCTATCTACCTACCTATCATCTCTATCAATCAATCTATCTCTATCATGTATTCTATCTATCTACCTATCATCTATCATCTATCTATCACCTATGTACCTGTCATCTATCTTTATCATCTGTCTAGCTATATATTATCTATCTATCTATGTACCTATCTATCATCTGTCTGGCTGTCTATCTATCTATCTATCTATCTGTCTATCTATCTATCTATTTATCATCTGTCTGCCTATCTATCTATCTATCATCTATCTATGACAATAGTTATCAACAATGGATGAGTTTGCCCCTGGAAAACATTTGGCAACATCTGGAGACCTTTTTGGTGACCACAACTATGGAAGGAGAACATATCACACCCTTGAAGTAAAATGTGCTGAGGAACATCCAGCTGTTTCTGACCCATTTCAGAGACAGAGCCTCAGAGCCCTATCTCCTCTGTCTGAAGATCTGCCTCCTTCTTCTGGGCTCCGTTCAGGTGATATTATTTACTCCCAGGGCTCTATTCCATTGGTCGGTTGGCCAGTCTCCCCTGAACGTGCATCATGGGTCTCCATCTTGGTCTTGAGCCCTATTCTCCCCTTAGATTCTTACAAAATTCTCAAACATCCCATGGCAAATACAGCTTTGAATTCTTTCCCCAACACCTGTCTCTCCCAGCCTTTGCTGTCCAGCAAATGATAGAATCCACCCACTTACTCCCCTCCAAGTAGAAGTCCTTCCCCCAAGTTTGTCCTCATTCCCACTCCCACCACTCAGCAATGCCTGCTGGCTCTTCCTCTAAATACATTCGGAAATGTTCTGTGTGCCTTCATGCTTACTGCCACACCTGGTCATGGATCCAACATCCCTCAATATCTCTGCAGGATTCACCTCATTTCTGCCTCCCTCCCTTGCCCAGCTCTGACACGTTCTCCAGGAAGTGGCCAACATTGCTGTTTTAACACATACTTCAGTTCATGGATGAATAGATATATAATTGATATATAGATTATAACAGATAGATGCTTGATAGATGATAGGATGATAGATGGATTGATAGAGAGGATTATAGATAGATTGATGGATGATAGGTAGGTATAGGGTAGGTAGATAGATAGATAGATAGATACAGACAGAGGGACAGATAGACAAATTTGCACGTGCTAAGGCAAAGTTACCAAATTTCTGCAATCTTGATGTTTAGGACTGAATCAATGTGGGTTGTAGGGGCCATCGTGTGCATTACAGGATGTTGAGCATCATCTCTATAGAGAACAAATCAATGGCCGTGCCATAAAGTGGGCAAGCTTGGTGAGTCTAAGGAACAGAAAGATGGCCAATAACTCTGAACTTTATGGCCAACAGCAAAATACCAGAGAGCTAACTAGTTGTCCACCACGGAATATTCTTCTAAAATGATGAGGCCATGCCCAAACGTCCCTTTGTTTCTTAAGCCCTACTTCAAATCTCAGCTCCCCAGAGAGCCCTGCCGTAGACATCGGCCAACCAAACCCCTTCTACTCTCCTTCCTGTGCTTTAATTATTTCCTTATGAAATTTACAACTATCTGAAATGATCTTTTTCATTATTTTTACCTTTCTAGTCATGCTTCTTGCTAAGAGAGCTGAGCCCTTGCCTATTTGGTTGACCCACCCAGAATAGTAACTTGCAGACACACAAAGCTCAAATTATAGCTGTGACTGCGTTGCAGAATGAATCCATGCATGTAGAATCTGTAGCAGACATCGTTTCATATTGAGCGAAGTTCAAACAGCACCTGCCTTATTTTCCTTTTGATTTCTCCATCTCTAAAAGCATTAGAACTTGTTTTCAGAGCCCACTACATCCTGAAGGCACATACGAAGCTGATCTGTACAAAGTTTTTGCAATTTTTTAAAGTAAAATTCAAATGACATGGCATTCACCCTTGTAGCCTCTACAATTCAGTGCCATTTAGTACATTCAAACTATTGTGTATCCATCATCTCTATCTTGTTCCAAACATTTTCACCACCCCAAAAGGAGACCTCATATCCATGAAGCAGTCATTCTCTACTCCCTCTCCTCCTCCAGCCTTTGGGAACCACTGCTTTGTTTTCTGTCCCTATGAATTTGACTATTCTGAACATTTCATATACATAGAATCATACAATAGATCAGCGGTCCCCAGCCTTTTTGGCACCAGGGACCAGTTTTCATGGAAGACAATTTTTCCACAGACAGGATTGTGGAGGGAGTAGTTTTGGGATGACTCAAGCATATCACATTTTTGTGCACTTTATTTCTATTATTATTACATTGTAATAATATAATGAAATAATTCTACAACTCACCATAATGTAGAATCAGTGGGAGCCCTGAGCTTATTTTCCTTCAACTAGACAGTTCCATCTGGGGGTGACAGGAGACAGTGACAGATCATCAGGCATTAGATTCTCATAAGGAGTGCGCAACCTAGATCCCTTGCACACACAGTTCAGAATAGGATTTGTGCTCCAATGAGAATCTAATGCCGTCACTCATCTGACAGGAAGTGGAGCTCAGGCAGTAATGCCAGCAATGGGGAATGGCTGTAAATACAGATGAAACTTTGCTGGCTCACCCACCACTCACCTCCTGCTGTGCAGCTTGGTTCCTAACTGGTCCGGTACTGCTCTGTGGCCTGGGGTTTGAGGACCACTGCAGTACGTGACCTGTAGGGCTTCTTGCAGTGAACAACATGGTTCAAGGGTCACCCACATGGTAGCCTGTGTCAGAGCTTCATTCCTTTTTGTAGTGTGCATCTTGAGCAATGATTACTGCCACTGCATAGTGATTTTGCAGAAAATCAATTTAAAGAGTGAATGAGAATATGTGCCATGTAGACTTCTACTCTGTCGTCGGCATTTCTGAAATGTACATTTAGACTCTCTTTGCTTCTCACTCACGTGCATTGCATTTTTCCTCATGGCTGTTATTTCAGTCAAACAAAAACCTCTGAACAATTCTGAGGATGCCATCCGCAAACATACCCTGTAAGACCTTCTTGGCCCTCTCTTGTGTGCTAAATCATCTGTGCTTGTGTTTAAATAAGAAGAAATAAGGTATTCTTTTAAAAATAAAAATGGCGGCCAGGCGCAGTGACTCACGCCCGTAATCCCAGCACTTTGGGAGGCCGAGGCGGGCAGATCACCTGAGGTCAGGAGTTTGAGACCAGCCTGGCCAACATGGTGAAACCCTGTCTCTACTAAAAATACAAAAATTAGCCAGGCGGGGTAGCACACGCCTGTAGTCCCAGCTACTCGGGAGGCTGAGGCCAGAGAATTGCTTGAATCCGGGAGGCAGAGGTTGCAGTGAGCCGAGATGGCGCCACTGCACTTCAGCCTGGGCGACAGAGGGAGACTCTATCTCAAATGAATAAATAAGTAAAATAAAAATAAAAAAATAAAAAATAAAAAATGGCAACTTAGTATGGTCATTATCCATGATTGACACTTCATTTACCCACAAGATGGGAACTTAAAAACCCTGCAAACACAGCAACAACAACAATAATGTCCCCATTATAGAGGAGAGGAGACTCTGAACGACGCTGAATGCATCCAAGAATACACAGTCACTATGGTAAAACACAAGGATCTTGAGACCAAAGCTTTACCTTGCATTCAGGGACGATTAACTGAGGCGGGAGAGGCTATCAATATCTACTTGACACTTTATTTTATTTAGTGAGTTGAAACATATGGAATCAGGGTGCAAAGTTCCTGGAAAGATAACGTAGCAAAGAATGAATTAGAAATGTATCAGGTAGATTTCTACTCTGGAGTCAGCTGAAATCAGGTCTGAAATTGGTCATTTGAGTGTCTCTGAGAAGAATCATTGAATGGACATGTTTACGAATATTATGATTCCTGTATGATTTTTACATTATTCATATTATGTATAAATTTTTGAACATCTGAATATGTTTTCATTGAATGTCTTTATTCATATAACATATTGCTCATTATTCCCCTGCCTAACTACATTTTAGTTGCCATTTTTAACTCACGAATTCTTAGCATGTCTCTTTTTGTGTCTTGCTTGGCTGTGACTTTCCCTTTGATCTCCCTGGTATCAGCCTTGGTGTACCTATTCCCTCCAGAAACTCTGTAGCAGTCCTTGACACAGAGCAATGTCTGAGTGGCTACAGACATTATGTCCTTTAACCCACACAGGGCTCTCTGAAAAAAGAATCCTCAGTAGCATTACTAATGAAGAGTTTGAGCTTCCAAAAAGCTTGGTAACTTCTCTGGGATAGCCAGCGGGCAACGTGAAGTGTGCCTGACCTCAAAACATGAGGCCTAGAGGGTGTGGTGGCTGACATCTGTAATCCCAGCCCTTTGGGAGGCCGAGGCGGGTAGATCACTTGAGCTCAGAAGGTCAAGACCAGCTCGGGCAACATGGTGAAACCCCATCTCTACTAAAAATACAAAAATTAGCCAGGTGTGGTGGTGTGTGCTTGTAGTCACAGCTACTTAGAAGGCTGAAGTAGGAGGATGGCTTGAGCCCAGGACACAGAGGTTGCAGTGAGCCAAGATTGTGCCACCACACTCTGGCCTGGACAACAGAGCCAGACCCTGTCTTGAGAGAGAGAGAGAGAGACCTTTCTATGCTTCTATCTCACCTCTAAGGATCTCACGTCTACACACTGGGACCTCCTTTCCCCACCCAGCTTGCAGTAGTCAACACCTTCCTTCCCCTTTATTATACTCTGCAGGAAACTGCTGAGCTCATGATTGGAAAAAATGCACCTCTTTCTTCTCTTACTTGGAATTTTACCCACTGAGGAGGTTCATGGTCCTTAACATGAAATAAAGCTTCATGCCCTTGAATTTCACTTATCTTTGCAGCATTATATTTCGGGGAGTTTTGCACCATGATTCCATGAATTTGAACTCACTAAATAAAATAATGTCAAGTAGATATTGACAGCTTCTCCCACCTCAGTTAACAGTGTCTGAATGCAGGTTGAAGCTTTGGTCTCAAGATACCTGGATTTTACTCTCACTGACTGTATTCTTGAATGCATTCAATGTCTTCTGTGAGTCTCCTCTTCTTTGTAAAGGGGACATTATTGTTGTTGTCACTGTGTTTGCTTGTGGAATATTTAAGTTCCCATCTTGTTTTAATAAGACCAAAGTACCACTAGGTAATAGGAAAAAAACTTTGGAATGGAACATTGCATGGTTTATCCTCTTTTTTCCTATTCCTTGAAAATTTTGGAAAGTTTCTTTTTTTCTTTCTTTCTTACTTTTTTTTTTTTTTTTTTTTTTTTTTTTTTGATATGGGGTATTGCTCTGTTGCCCAGGCTGGAGTACAGTGGCACAATCACAGCTCTCTGCAGCCTCAACCTCCTGGGTTCAAGTGGTCTTCCCTGCTTAGCCTCCTGAGTAGCTGGGACCACAGGCATGCACCATCACACCCAACTAATTTTTGTATTTTTTGTAGAGATTAGGTCTCACTATGTTGCCCAGGCTGGTCTTGAACTCCTGGGCTCAAGTGATCCTCTCGCCTCACCCTCCCAAAGTGCTGGGATTATAGGCATGAGCTGCCATGCCCAGCCTGGAAACTTTCTTGAAACTCAGTTTCTGCTGTGGAAAGTTGGCCTGCTTCATGGGGTTTAGGTGATAAAGGGCAAAAAGTAATACAAAGAGGACAAGGCTCAATTCCAGCTAAGTTTCCCACCTTCTATGGAATCCAAAGCATGTTCATAAGGTACACACATAGCTATGAGCCCAATTCTTTTAATATTTTACCTCTCACCAGTGTTAAATAAAGCAGAGCTTAGCTGACAAGACACTGGAGTAATGCACTAAAAAGAAGAGTGAAAAATATCATGTAATCAAGAAGAGAGAACCACTATATATGATTGTTCATTGACTACATGAGTCAAAATGATGAACAGGAAATAGGATCATCTTCTACTATATTTTCCCCATACACCATATTGAATCTATACAACATTATTTCAATAAGGTGGGATGCATTTAATTCCATCTGATGTTTTCTTTGCATAAATTTATCTTAAAAAGAAGAATGTGGCCGGGCGCGGTGGCTCACGCCTGTAATCCCAGCACTTTGGGAGGCCGAGTGGGGCGGATCAGGAGGTCAGGAGATCGAGACCATCCTGGCTAACACGATGAAACCCCATCTCTACTAAAAATACAAAAAATTAGCCGGGCGCGGTGGCGGGCGCCTGTGGTCCCAGCTACTCGGGAGGCTGAGGCAGGAGAATGGCGTGAACCTGGGAGGCGGAGCTTACAGTGAGCCGAGATGGGCCACTGCACTCCAGACTGGGCGACAGAGCGAGACTCCGTCTCAAAAAAAAAAAAAGAAGAAGAATGCAATTATGAAAGGAGGTCTTTGAAAAGTTTGATGCAATCAAGGTGAATGGTTTTTGAGGGTAGAGCTTATAAATTTCCTGCACTCAAAAATTTGTAGCTGAAAGGTGCTTCCTAAGGCTGGGTCTTAGGGGAGTCACACCTAACCTGGTGTTTCTGTTGACTTTGGAATTGTAGTCCAGGTTTGAGCACATATGAGTATGAGAAAATTGGACCATGCTAGTATCTGCTGCATTTAGCTATGAGCTGTTCACTTATGTTCCCTGCTAATTGATTTCCTTTTATGTAAGTGATAAGAAGAAGCAATCAGTGATATCAGGCTAGATGTGTTATGTCTCAGCAGAAACAGTGATTTATGGTAACAGCGTGCAGGCTTCTCTATTCCTTTTTCAAATTGCTTATCCAGGGATCAAGTTTAAGCATTGTTGTATGCTATTACCAATATGGCAATGAGAAATTTCTAAATTGGTCAAGAAAGCATCTTGACAATTATATACACAACAACAAAAAACCAAAAATTTAAAACAAAAAGAACTTATCTTGAGGACAGGTTACAGGAAGAAACAAAACAAACAAGAAACCTAGCATGTCTACGAGTAACTTTGATCATCCGTCAGACATGGCAGCCTGTCCATGGGAAATAAGAGTGTTGGTGTCTGTGGTCAACATTTCTATTTGGCCTTTAGCATGGAGCTGTCTCCTTTCTTACCATATGCAAAGCAAATTCCAATGCCGTGGATTTTCCCGGCCCTGCTAGCCACGTGTCCCTCTTTATTACTGTCACTTCAGCACAGAGTTTCCAAGAAAGAGACACGTGGAACAGCCTCATGTTGAATTCTAAATCCTACTGATGGACACACCAAATAGCCTCCTGACCACAACAGCATATTCCAAGTCAAAGTTCTCCATGAATGTTCCTTAGCAGACTGAAGACAAATAAATACATGTCACTTTCTTCTTGACCCCAGAGATAGGGACACGAAGGGATAAACGTCTTTGGGAATGGCACCCCTGTAACCTCAGAATCACTACTTCATGACCAGGTGCAGTGACTCTTGCTTGTAATCCCAGCACTTTGGGAGCCCAGGCAGGAGGGTCATATGAGGCCAGGAGTTCCAGATCAGCCTGGGCACATATGAAGACCCTGTCTCTACAAAAATGAAAAATAAAAAATTAGCCAGGGATAGTGGCCTGTGCCTGTAGTTCCAGCTACTTGGGAGGCTGATGTGGGAGGATTGCTGGAGCCTGGGAGGTGGAGGCTGCACTGAGCTACGATTGCACCGCTGCACTCCAGCCTGGGTGACGGAGTAAGATTGTCTCTAATAAATAAATAAATAGACAAAAAGACTCACCATTTTACTAATTTGCTCTTGGGCAGGCTAGGGAATGTTTCCCATATGGGAGTTAAGTATTCGCTATTTATTTTCTTAATTATTATTATTGTTATTATTATTATTACCATTCTTTAGGTTTAATAGCATACAGGCCCTGTCAGAAACCTCATTTGCAGGACTGACCAAGTTGGAGCTACTTATGATTCACGGCAATGAGATCCCAAGCATCCCCGATGGAGCTTTAAGAGACCTCAGCTCTCTTCAGGTAAACCCACGGCATTTATAAGCGTCACTAAATTGCATCCTCTAAGACCAGTAATAAAGAATAGAAATTATGTCATTCTCCTTAATGATCAATAAAACGGCTATTGTTTGACATGAAAGACAAGCTTCATGTCATTACTCTCCAGCCCTTTGTACTGGTTTCTGTTTGTGGTTGTGGCTTTTTAAACTATAAACAGGATCCTTTTGTTTTGTTTTGTTTTCCCCTGTCCTTGCAGGTTTTCAAGTTCAGCTACAACAAGCTGAGAGTGATCACAGGACAGACCCTCCAGGGTCTCTCTAACTTAATGAGGCTGCACATTGACCACAACAAGATCGAGTTTATCCACCCTCAAGCTTTCAACGGCTTAACGTCTCTGAGGCTACTCCATTTGGAAGGAAATCTCCTCCACCAGCTGCACCCCAGCACCTTCTCCACGTTCACATTTTTGGATTATTTCAGACTCTCCACCATAAGGCACCTCTACTTAGCAGAGAACATGGTTAGAACTCTTCCTGCCAGCATGCTTCGGAACATGCCGCTTCTGGAGAATCTTTACTTGCAGGGAAATCCGTGGACCTGCGATTGTGAGATGAGATGGTTTTTGGAATGGGATGCAAAATCCAGAGGTAAGAAGAGAGGAGAGCAGACCACTCCTAGCTGCACATTCTTTTATCTTTTTGGAGACGTTCCATTCTCCAAGGTTCTTATATTGACTTATTCAATGAAATCTGAGCTTCGATGAAATCTGAGCACCCAATCAGCTAGACAGGAACTCAGACTTTAAACGTTACCACTTAAATGTTAAGACATCTCCATTCCCCAACGCAAAGGCAGTTATCCCTTAGTGAAATGTAGTGCTCATGTAATCAGTTACATACAGGTGATGTGGGTTGCCATGGAATGGGTATCTGGAGGATCATGCCAGCCTTGGACTGCAGCTTAATGTGGGAAACTGGGACTGGGAAGGGGCTGTGAATCCATGTTCCATGAGAAATTCACAAAGGATGCTTGGAAAAGAGCAGGCTGGTGAGAGGAGTGGCTACAAGGTCATTATTTTACGGACACGGAAGCGATTCTCACTATTGATCTAGAGAGCTATGACAACAACCAGGACTTATGTGTTGCAGTTGCAACAAAGTAGATTGTGATTCCTTTCTGCCTTCCTTCCTTCTCTCCCCTTCCTTCATCTTCCTTCCTTCCCTCCTTCCTTCCTTCCCTCCTTCCTTCCTTTTCTCTCCTTCCTTCCTTCCTTCTTCTCTCCTTCCTTCCCTCCTTCTTTCCTTCCCTCCTTCTTTCCTTTCTTCCTTCTCTCCTTCCTTCCTTCTTTTTTCCTTCCTTCCTTCCTTCTTTTTTCCTTGCTTCCTTCCTTCTCTCCTTCCTTCCCTGCTTCCCACCTTCCCTCCTTTACTCCTTCCTGCTCTCCTTCCTTCCCTCCTTCTCACCTTCCTTCTTTCATTTTTTCCTTCCTTCCTTCCTTCCTTCCTTCCTTCTCTCCTTCCTTCTCTGGTTCCCACCTTCCCTCCTTTACTCCTTCCTTGTCTCCTTCCTTCATTCCCTCCTCCTCTCCTTCCTTCCTTCCTTCGTTCTCTCCTTCCTTCCTTCTTTCCTTCCTTCCTTCATTCCCTCCTTCCCTCCCTGCTTCCCACCTTCCCTCCCTCGCTCCTTCTTTCCTTCCTTCGTTCCTTCCTTCCTTCCCTCCCTCGCTCCTTCCTTCGTTTCCTTCCTTCCCTCCCTCCCTTCCTTCATTCCTTCCTTCTTCCTTCCTTCCTCCTGCCTTCTCTCCTGCCTTCCTTTCTTCCTTCTGTCCTTCCTTTCATCCCTCTCTTCCTTCCTCCATTCCTCCCCCCTTCACTCTCCCTCCCTCCCTATCTTCCCTTCCTTCCTTCCTTTCTCCCCCTTCTCTAAGCCCTACCTTGCAACCTATCCCCATCCTTAGATTGCATTGTGTTTACCATATCCTGGATCTATTTCCTCAACTCCATCCTCACAGCTGCTGGCCTGGATCAAGCTCCTTTCCTCTCTCTGGTAGAAAGGGGGAGCATTCTAAACAAGTGTCCCCATGTCCTTGTCAGCCCTGTTTTCCATTCACTCTCTACAAAGCAGTGAGAACATTTTTACAGGATGTGCACCCATTCAGGCCACACCTCTGCGTAACTGATTTCCATTGCTTTTAGGATAAGATACACATTTGCACATTCCCTCCAAGAAGTCTCCACACAATGGTCGCTCCACCTGTCCCCACTATCCTCTAGCATGGTGGTCCCATTGCTCTTCTTATTCGTTTATTTCTAGCCACACAGTCTTCCCGTCTGTTCCTTGCAGCTTCTAAACTTATTTCCAACTCAACATCATTGGATTTGCTCAGTTGCCTACTTGGGAGTCTTTACTGCTAGACATTCAAGAGGCTTGCTTTTTCTTAGCTTTTAGAGCTTCATTCCAAGAGGCCATCAAGCAATGGATGTGGGAAAGACAGAGGTACACCCACTTGTGAATGGTCTTAACCAGAAAAGACACACGCCTCCTCCACTCATATTTCATTGGTGGGAACCAGTCCTCACACCCCAGTGGATGTAAGGGGGCCTGAAAATGCATTTGGATGGCTATTTTGTAGCAGCAACACTATATTATGGATGTGGACCCACAAAACTTTGCTGGGCAAAGAACCATCTCTGCTACTGTCTGGAGATACGCATGCATGTCTTTGTGTGTGCATGTCTATGCATGTATTTGTGCACATGTGTGTACATCTGTGTATGTGTAGATTTGCATGTATGTGAAAGAAACTCAAGATTGTAAAGTATTAAGGTTAGTTTTATATAGTGAGCATTTCTGAAGATTGCAATCCCAGGATCTTTCAGAGAGTTTCTGTTAGACTGCTGCATAGCAAGGTTTCAGCCCACAGCTTATACACAGATGGTGGAGTTTCTGCAGGTGCTCAGAAGTCACACCAAATGTGGTCAGAATTCACATCAGTTGTGCTCAGAAGTTATATTAGAGCTGATTCTCATCAAAGTTTGGGTGCCAGGGGACATCTGGTTATAGATTACAGAGGCATAGTCCTTAATCCTGCCAGACATTATCTTATGTGTAGAAAGAGGCAGGGGCTAGGAGCATTGAACTCATCTTTTCTAAAAGTGCAGTGATTCAGGCAAGAGACATGTGGACCTGTGCTCCATCCTGCTCATCATCTTCAGGGCATTCATGTAGAGGCTGCGCTCATTCGCTGAGCCATGAAATTCAGCTGGCCAAGGGATTTTGTGAAATGCTCCTGCTTGTGCTTGCTGCCTTGTCTCACAGCATGTATGTGTGTGGGTATGAGTGTGAGTGTGAGTATGTGTATGTGTGTTGGGGGGAGATGTGCAAAACAATCCTATTCGCATGTTGAGGTGTTTGCTTTGAAAGTCACACAGAAAACCATGGTCAGGAGGGCAAAAGGAAAGATGGCAAAGCCAGTTAGGAGCTTTATAATTCTCCAAGTCATAGATGAAGCAGTATGACTGGCTTCTTCCCAATGGGAACGGGCAGAAGTAGGCAGAGGACTGCCATGAAAAACTCCTAGTCTTCCAGTTTCCCCAGGCAGAGAGAGTATGGCATCACTTACTGAGATAGAACAGGCACGAGATTCTACATTTAGGTCAGGGAGAGAATATAAATTTGTTTCATAGATGTCAGTTTGAGGACTCTTCTTGCTATCTAAATAGACATGTCAAAGAGGCAATGGGGTGTGGAACTCACGGAATGTGTTTGGACTAGAGAAGCACATATGGTAGTCATCACTGGCGGGTGGATGGTAATTGGAACCACACATATGCGAGAGGCCATTGACGCTGAAGCCGACCAGAAAGGAAAGGGGCTTAGGCTCAAGTCAAGGAGGACCCAGTCAGCAAAGATTCAGGCAGAGGAGGAGGAGGAAGCAGTGACTGAGACCCAGTTGTGGCCAGAAAGGACGGAGAAAATTCCAGAGGATTTCATATCCAGGAGACCAAGAGGACAACGTGAACTCAAAAGCAAACACTCTGTGAAGTGTTTACTACAAATATAGAGAGAGTTATAAATATAGATATAGTTACCTAGATACATACGTATTGATTATATATACATTATATATTATAAATGTATAAATATAGTTATAAATATAGATATAGTTACCTAGATACATACATATTGATTATATATAAATTATATATTACAAATTTATAAATATGCAGAGAGTTATAAATATATAGTCCCTAGATACATATTGATTATATATAAATTATATATTACAAATTATAAATATACAGAGTTATAAATATATAGTTCCTAGATAGATACATATTGATTATATACAAATTATATATTATAAATGTATAAATATATAGAGAGTTATAAATATAGATATAGTTACCCAGATACATACATATTGACTATATATATTTATATATAAATATATAAATTATATATTATAACTTATAATTATAAATTATATATTATAAATTATAATTATAAATTATATATTACATATAATTTATATATATAAATATATATAAATGTATTTATGTATAAATATATATAAATATATATAAATGTATTTATGTATAAATATATATAAATATATTTATATATAAATTTATATATAAAATACATATAAATATATATAATATATAATATATAAATTATATATTATAAATTTATAATTATAAATTATATATTATAAATTACAATTATAAATTATATATTATAAATTTATGATTTAAAATTATACATTATAAATTATAATTATAAATTATATATTATAAATTATAATTATAAATTATTTATGAATAAATATATTATTATATATTTATTTATAAATATATGTACATCTATAAATTTATATATTGTTATATCATGACTTAAAAAAGTAAATATGATGTGATACATGCCAAAGATTCTTCCTTTTACCTGAAAATACTTTCAAGGGGTTTATATATTTATATCCATATTTAATTTACATATTATTTATATATACTTAGATATAAATATACATTGATTATATGTCAATATATCTACATATTAATATATATTTATTAATATATCAATATATGTTTATATATCATGATAGATATATATTATATAAATATATATGTATTATATATCTATATGTTATCTATCTATATATCTATTAAGATAGATACATATTTGTATATATTGAGATAGATATCTATCAAGATTTTTTAATATATATTGGTATATATATCAAGATGAAAAACAACAAAAATTAGATATGATGTGATACGTGCAAAGATTCATCCTTTTACCAAGAAATGCTTCCCCAGTTTGCAGTATATTTATATAGATTCTCCTAAACTTTCACAGAAGTTACATTGTAAAATGTATGTGAATGAAGTTGTTTTCTTTAACTTAGAAATGTTTTTTAAATACCCGTTAGTAAGTATTTTAAGACATTTTTAAGTAAAAATTATTATTAATGGTTAAGCAGTTATAAAGCACCCGTTAGTTACCACACAGTGTGCTAAAACTGTGGTTTAACATGAAGCCTCAAAGGCAACTCATGTATAGGATTCCTTGTTTATGGGATTACAGCTGGGTGATAAAGATGCAAACATAGGCTTTATCCTCTGGCCATGTGCAAGGCATGCCATTCTTTGGCTCCTTACCCTATTGTCTATTTGCTTATTTGTTTTAGGAATTCTGAAGTGTAAAAAGGACAAAGCTTATGAAGGCGGTCAGTTGTGTGCAATGTGCTTCAGTCCAAAGAAGTTGTACAAACATGAGATACACAAGCTGAAGGACATGACTTGTCTGAAGCCTTCAATAGAGTCCCCTCTGAGACAGAACAGGAGCAGGAGTATTGAGGAGGAGCAAGAACAGGAAGAGGATGGTGGCAGCCAGCTCATCCTGGAGAAATTCCAACTGCCCCAGTGGAGCATCTCTTTGAATATGACCGACGAGCACGGGAACATGGTGAACTTGGTCTGTGACATCAAGAAACCAATGGATGTGTACAAGATTCACTTGAACCAAACGGATCCTCCAGATATTGACATAAATGCAACAGTTGCCTTGGACTTTGAGTGTCCAATGACCCGAGAAAACTATGAAAAGCTATGGAAATTGATAGCATACTACAGTGAAGTTCCCGTGAAGCTACACAGAGAGCTCATGCTCAGCAAAGACCCCAGAGTCAGCTACCAGTACAGGCAGGATGCTGATGAGGAAGCTCTTTACTACACAGGTGTGAGAGCCCAGATTCTTGCAGAACCAGAATGGGTCATGCAGCCATCCATAGATATCCAGCTGAACCGACGTCAGAGTACGGCCAAGAAGGTGCTACTTTCCTACTACACCCAGTATTCTCAAACAATATCCACCAAAGATACAAGGCAGGCTCGGGGCAGAAGCTGGGTAATGATTGAGCCTAGTGGAGCTGTGCAAAGAGATCAGACTGTCCTGGAAGGGGGTCCATGCCAGTTGAGCTGCAACGTGAAAGCTTCTGAGAGTCCATCTATCTTCTGGGTGCTTCCAGATGGCTCCATCCTGAAAGCGCCCATGGATGACCCAGACAGCAAGTTCTCCATTCTCAGCAGTGGCTGGCTGAGGATCAAGTCCATGGAGCCATCTGACTCAGGCTTGTACCAGTGCATTGCTCAAGTGAGGGATGAAATGGACCGCATGGTATATAGGGTACTTGTGCAGTCTCCCTCCACTCAGCCAGCCGAGAAAGACACAGTGACAATTGGCAAGAACCCAGGGGAGTCGGTGACATTGCCTTGCAATGCTTTAGCAATACCCGAAGCCCACCTTAGCTGGATTCTTCCAAACAGAAGGATAATTAATGATTTGGCTAACACATCACATGTATACATGTTGCCAAATGGAACTCTTTCCATCCCAAAGGTCCAAGTCAGTGACAGTGGTTACTACAGATGTGTGGCTGTCAACCAGCAAGGGGCAGACCATTTTACGGTGGGAATCACAGTGACCAAGAAAGGGTCTGGCTTGCCATCCAAAAGAGGCAGACGCCCAGGTGCAAAGGCTCTTTCCAGAGTCAGAGAAGACATCGTGGAGGATGAAGGGGGCTCGGGCATGGGAGATGAAGAGAACACTTCAAGGAGACTTCTGCATCCAAAGGACCAAGAGGTGTTCCTCAAAACAAAGGATGATGCCATCAATGGAGACAAGAAAGCCAAGAAAGGGAGAAGAAAGCTGAAACTCTGGAAGCATTCGGAAAAAGAACCAGAGACCAATGTTGCAGAAGGTCGCAGAGTGTTTGAATCTAGACGAAGGATAAACATGGCAAACAAACAGATTAATCCGGAGCGCTGGGCTGATATTTTAGCCAAAGTCCGTGGGAAAAATCTCCCTAAGGGCACAGAAGTACCCCCATTGATTAAAACCACAAGTCCTCCATCCTTGAGTCTAGAAGTCACACCACCTTTTCCTGCTATTTCTCCCCCCTCAGCATCTCCTGTGCAGACAGTAACCAGTGCTGAAGAATCCTCAGCAGATGTACCTCTACTTGGTGAAGAAGAGCACGTTTTGGGTACCATTTCCTCAGCCAGCATGGGGCTAGAACACAACCACAATGGAGTTATTCTTGTTGAACCTGAAGTAACAAGCACACCTCTGGAGGAAGTTGTTGATGACCTTTCCGAGAAGACTGAGGAGATAACTTCCACTGAAGGAGACCTGAAGGGGACAGCAGCCCCTACACTTATATCTGAGCCTTATGAACCATCTCCTACTCTGCACACATTAGACACAGTCTATGAAAAGCCCACCCATGAAGAGACGGCAACAGAGGGTTGGTCTGCAGCAGATGTTGGATCGTCACCAGAGCCCACATCCAGTGAGTATGAGCCTCCATTGGATGCTGTCTCCTTGGCTGAGTCTGAGCCCATGCAATACTTTGACCCAGATTTGGAGACTAAGTCACAACCAGATGAGGATAAGATGAAAGAAGACACCTTTGCACACCTTACTCCAACCCCCACCATCTGGGTTAATGACTCCAGTACATCACAGTTATTTGAGGATTCTACTATAGGGGAACCAGGTGTCCCAGGCCAATCACATCTACAAGGACTGACAGACAACATCCACCTTGTGAAAAGTAGTCTAAGCACTCAAGACACCTTACTGATTAAAAAGGGTATGAAAGAGATGTCTCAGACACTACAGGGAGGAAATATGCTAGAGGGAGACCCCACACACTCCAGAAGTTCTGAGAGTGAGGGCCAAGAGAGCAAATCCATCACTTTGCCTGACTCCACACTGGGTATAATGAGCAGTATGTCTCCAGTTAAGAAGCCTGCGGAAACCACAGTTGGTACCCTCCTAGACAAAGACACCACAACAGCAACAACAACACCAAGGCAAAAAGTTGCTCCGTCATCCACCATGAGCACTCACCCTTCTCGAAGGAGACCCAACGGGAGAAGGAGATTACGCCCCAACAAATTCCGCCACCGGCACAAGCAAACCCCACCCACAACTTTTGCCCCATCAGAGACTTTTTCTACTCAACCAACTCAAGCACCTGACATTAAGATTTCAAGTCAAGTGGAGAGTTCTCTGGTTCCTACAGCTTGGGTGGATAACACAGTTAATACCCCCAAACAGTTGGAAATGGAGAAGAATGCAGAACCCACATCCAAGGGAACACCACGGAGAAAACACGGGAAGAGGCCAAACAAACATCGATATACCCCTTCTACAGTGAGCTCAAGAGCGTCCGGATCCAAGCCCAGCCCTTCTCCAGAAAATAAACATAGAAACATTGTTACTCCCAGTTCAGAAACTATACTTTTGCCTAGAACTGTTTCTCTGAAAACTGAGGGCCCTTATGATTCCTTAGATTACATGACAACCACCAGAAAAATATATTCATCTTACCCTAAAGTCCAAGAGACACTTCCAGTCACATATAAACCCACATCAGATGGAAAAGAAATTAAGGATGATGTTGCCACAAATGTTGACAAACATAAAAGTGACATTTTAGTCACTGGTGAATCAATTACTAATGCCATACCAACTTCTCGCTCCTTGGTCTCCACTATGGGAGAATTTAAGGAAGAATCCTCTCCTGTAGGCTTTCCAGGAACTCCAACCTGGAATCCCTCAAGGACGGCCCAGCCTGGGAGGCTACAGACAGGCATACCTGTTACCACTTCTGGGGAAAATCTTACAGACCCTCCCCTTCTTAAAGAGCTTGAGGATGTGGATTTCACTTCCGAGTTTTTGTCCTCTTTGACAGTCTCCACACCATTTCACCAGGAAGAAGCTGGTTCTTCCACAACTCTCTCAAGCATAAAAGTGGAGGTGGCTTCAAGTCAGGCAGAAACCACCACCCTTGATCAAGATCATCTTGAAACCACTGTGGCTATTCTCCTTTCTGAAACTAGACCACAGAATCACACCCCTACTGCTGCCCGGATGAAGGAGCCAGCATCCTCGTCCCCATCCACAATTCTCATGTCTTTGGGACAAACCACCACCACTAAGCCAGCACTTCCCAGTCCAAGAATATCTCAAGCATCTAGAGATTCCAAGGAAAATGTTTTCTTGAATTATGTGGGGAATCCAGAAACAGAAGCAACCCCAGTGAACAATGAAGGAACACAGCATATGTCAGGGCCAAATGAATTATCAACACCCTCTTCCGACCAGGATGCATTTAACTTGTCTACAAAGCTGGAATTGGAAAAGCAAGTATTTGGTAGTAGGAGTCTACCACGTGGCCCAGATAGCCAACGCCAGGATGGAAGAGTTCATGCTTCTCATCAACTAACCAGAGTCCCTGCCAAACCCATCCTACCAACAGCAACAGTGAGGCTGCCTGAAATGTCCACACAAAGCGCTTCCAGATACTTTGTAACTTCCCAGTCACCTCGTCACTGGACCAACAAACCGGAAATAACTACATATCCTTCTGGGGCTTTGCCAGAGAACAAACAGTTTACAACTCCAAGATTATCAAGTACAACAATTCCTCTCCCATTGCACATGTCCAAACCCAGCATTCCTAGTAAGTTTACTGACCGAAGAACTGACCAATTCAATGGCTACTCCAAAGTGTTTGGAAATAACAACATCCCTGAGGCAAGAAACCCAGTTGGAAAGCCTCCCAGTCCAAGAATTCCTCATTATTCCAATGGAAGACTCCCTTTCTTTACCAACAAGACTCTTTCTTTTCCACAGTTGGGAGTCACCCGGAGACCCCAGATACCCACTTCTCCTGCCCCAGTAATGAGAGAGAGAAAAGTTATTCCAGGTTCCTACAACAGGATACATTCCCATAGCACCTTCCATCTGGACTTTGGCCCTCCGGCACCTCCGTTGTTGCACACTCCGCAGACCACGGGATCACCCTCAACTAACTTACAGAATATCCCTATGGTCTCTTCCACCCAGAGTTCTATCTCCTTTATAACATCTTCTGTCCAGTCCTCAGGAAGCTTCCACCAGAGCAGCTCAAAGTTCTTTGCAGGAGGACCTCCTGCATCCAAATTCTGGTCTCTTGGGGAAAAGCCACAAATCCTCACCAAGTCCCCACAGACTGTGTCCGTCACCGCTGAGACAGACACTGTGTTCCCCTGTGAGGCAACAGGAAAACCAAAGCCTTTCGTTACTTGGACAAAGGTTTCCACAGGTAAGATGTTTAAGCATCTACTTTTTTTTTTTTTGGTCAATTTTTATTTTATTGGCTAGCAATATAATACATTAAAACAGTATATGGTGAACAACATAAACACATTAGGAGAAATTTTTATAACACATTTGGGGAAATTTTTTACTCGAATAAGTGTTTATTTTTATTTTTATAACTTCAGCTTTTATTTTAGACACAGGGGGAACATGTGCAGGCTTGTCACACGGGTATATTGTGTGATGCTGAGGTCTGGGGCACAAATGATCCCATTACCCAGGTAGCCAGCGTAGCATCCAATAGGTACATTTTTCAACCCTTGCCACCCCTCCCTCTCTCCTCTACTAGTCCCAAGTGTCTATTTGTCCTATCTTTATGTCCATATGTACCCAATCTACACTTCAACCAGAGTTTGTGTAGGAGAAAGTTACTGGAGTCTTACTTTAGGATTAATTTACCTTTCTTATGGACTCAAGGGCCTCTCTGGGCAGGGGTGGCTGGCCACTGCAAGCCTGGGATGCCCATGCAGCCAGCTAGCCCGAGGAGTTCAGGAGAACAGCATGAGCATAAATAAATAAGGGAGAGGCTGTGTCTCTAGTAATTGAGCTTGTGGCATCTTAGCTCACCTTGGAAGTGGCTGGGACTCATGCCTGCTTCCAGAATTCTCTATTAAACCCACATTTGCTGTCCTTTGCCTGAAGATGGCCCTGTTTCTGGGATTAGTGTAAAGATGAAAAAGAGAAACAAAACATTCTTTTTCTCTATCCTTTTTTTACAGCATACTTATTTCGTATGTGTGTGATGACAACACAAAATCTACTCTCAACAATTTTCAAGTATAAGCTAAATTGTTATTAACTATAGTTGCCATGAGTATAATATCACTTAAGCATATTCCTCCTAACTGAACTTCATACTCTTTAATTAATATCTTCCCTTTACTCCCATCCCCAGCCCCTGGTAACCACCATTCCACTATCTGCTTCAGCTTCTATGAGTTCAACTTTCTTACGCTGCACATATAAGTGAGATCATGCAGTGTTTGTCTGTCTGTGCCTGGTTTATTTCACTTAATCTAATGTCCTCCAGGTTCATTTATGTTGTGGCAAATGACAGAATTTCGTTTTTTGTTTGTTTTTTTTTTAAAGAAAAAGAAAAGACAGAATGGCATTTCATTGTGCATATATACCACATTCCCTTTATCCATTCATTCATTGATGGACACTTAGCTGAATTCCATATCTTGGCTATTGTGAATAGCACTGTGGTAAACATGGGAGTGCAGATGTCTTGTCAACATACTGACGTCATTTCCTTTGGATAAATACCCAGTAGTGGGATTGCTAGACCATAGGCAGCTCTATTGTTAGTTTTATGAGGAATCTCCATACTGTTTTCCACAGTGGTTGTACCAAATTACATTCCCACCAACAGTGTACGAGGGTGCCCTTTTCTCCACATCTTCACCAGTGTCTGTGTTTTTGGTCTTTTTGATAATAACCATTCCAGCAGGCATGAGATGATATCTCAGTTTTACATTTCTTTCATGGTTAGGACCAAAACAGGCTGGGTGTGGTGGCTCACACTTGTAATCCTAGCACTGTGGGTAGCCAAGACAAGAGAATCACTTGAGGTCAGGAGTTCAAGACCAGCCTGGGCAACACAGCAAGACCATGTCTCTACAAAAAACAAAAATTTAAATTATCCAGGAGTGGTGGCCTGCACCTGTAGCCCCAGCTACTTAGAAGGCTGAGTCCAGGAGGTTGAGACTGCAGTGAGCTATGATTGTACCACTGCACTCTCGCCTGGGAGACAGCAAGACCCTATCTCTAACGAATAAAATAAATATAAAAAAAACTTTTAAAAACACTAAAACATTCTACCTACTACATTTGCTTTTGCTGCCTGGGTGTTAAAGTGGAGAATTAGATTAACTAATACTGCTCGTTTGAGCATTATCAAAAGGGCACAGTTTATGCCAAAGCTGACTGTGTTAATTTTCTCCAGGAGCTCTTATGACTCCGAATACCAGGATACAACGGTTTGAGGTTCTCAAGAACGGTACCTTAGTGATACGGAAGGTTCAAGTACAAGATCGAGGCCAGTATATGTGCACCGCCAGCAACCTGCACGGCCTGGACAGGATGGTGGTCTTGCTTTCGGTCACCGTGCAGCAACCTCAAATCCTAGCCTCCCACTACCAGGACGTCACTGTCTACCTGGGAGACACCATTGCAATGGAGTGTCTGGCCAAAGGGACCCCAGCCCCCCAAATTTCCTGGATCTTCCCTGACAGGAGGGTGTGGCAAACTGTGTCCCCCGTGGAGGGCCGCATCACCCTGCACGAAAACCGGACCCTTTCCATCAAGGAGGCGTCCTTCTCAGACAGAGGCGTCTATAAGTGCGTGGCCAGCAATGCAGCCGGGGCGGACAGCCTGGCCATCCGCCTGCACGTGGCGGCACTGCCCCCCGTTATCCACCAGGAGAAGCTGGAGAACATCTCGCTGCCCCCGGGGCTCAGCATTCACATTCACTGCACTGCCAAGGCTGCGCCCCTGCCCAGCGTGCGCTGGGTGCTCGGGGACGGTACCCAGATCCGCCCCTCGCAGTTCCTCCACGGGAACTTGTTTGTTTTCCCCAACGGGACGCTCTACATCCGCAACCTCGCGCCCAAGGACAGCGGGCGCTATGAGTGCGTGGCCGCCAACCTGGTAGGCTCCGCGCGCAGGACGGTGCAGCTGAACGTGCAGCGTGCAGCAGCCAACGCGCGCATCACGGGCACCTCCCCGCGGAGGACGGACGTCAGGTACGGAGGAACCCTCAAGCTGGACTGCAGCGCCTCGGGGGACCCCTGGCCGCGCATCCTCTGGAGGCTGCCGTCCAAGAGGATGATCGACGCGCTCTTCAGGTAGGCAGCTCTGCGTGGCTTCCTGTAAATCGCTGGGCTGGTGGCCCCAACGAATATGAGTCCTTTTTCAGGATGAATATGCACACACGTTGCTCCCTGCGTCCGATAAAATTAAATGAAATTAATTAGCAGGGCACGGTGGCTCACGCCTGTAATCCCAGCACTTTGGGAGGACGAGGCGGGCGGATCACTTGAGGTCAGGAGTTCGAGACCAGCCTGGCCGACATGGTGAAACACTGTCTCTAATAAACATACAAAAATTTGCGGGCATTGTGGCGAGCGTCTGTAGTCCCAGCTACTCTGGAGGCTGAGGCAGGAGAATTGCTTGAACCCGGGAGGTGGAGGTTGCAGTGAGCCAAGATCATGCCACTTCACTCCACCCTGGACGACAGAGTGACATTCCATCTCAAATAATAATAATAATAAATTCATTAGAGACAGGGTGTCACTCTGTTGCCCAGGCTGGAGTGCAGTGGTGCGATCATAGCTCACTGCAGCCTCAAACTTCTGGGTTCAAGCGATCGTCCAGCCTCAGCCTCCTGAAGTAGCTGGGACTACAGGTGTGCACCATGAGGCACGGCTTGTTATTATTATTATTATTATTAACTTTTTGTAGAGATGGGTTCTGCTGTGTTCCCAAGGATGATCTCGAACACTTCACCTCAAGCAATCTTCCCGCCCTGACCTCCCAAAGTGCTGGGATGACAGGCTTGAGCTCCTGTGCCTGGCCCGGTGTGTGATTTATTTATTTATTTATTTATTTATTTATTTATTTATTTATTTATTTTTGAGACGGAATCTCGCTCTGTGGCCCAGGCTGGAGTGCAGTGGCACTATCTTGGCTCACTGCAAGCTCCGCCTCCCGGGTTCACGCCATTCTCCTGCCTCAGCCTCCCGTGTAGCTGGGACTACAGGCGCCCGCCACCACGCCTGGCTAATTTTTTGTATTTTTAGTAGAGACGGGGTTTCACCGTGTTAGCCAGGATGGTCTCGATCTCCTGACCTCCTGATCCGCCGCGCCCGGCCCCAGTGTGTGCTTTTTCTGCAATGAAATTTTGTCCCTCTAAACTCGGATCCAGAACAAATACTCAACTTCTTAACAAATACTTAACTTCCTCCTCTCTTGCCCCATAAAAAAAAAAAGGAAAAAAGGATAAATGAACCAAGAAATTCTTGTTTTAATGATTATATGTTTAACTATAATGTTAGGACAAACAATTCAGCTTGCCTCTATTTCCATTATTGATTTCAACAAAATACATAGACGTGTTAGGCTTTATTTTAATATGACATTATTGATAGAGTCAAAGTGTATACATTGTTTTAAAAGCATCATTACCACACCAACATAGTGCACTTGAAATGATAAAAATGTACTTGGGCTATGAAGAAAGCCAAGCCACCTTCTAATCAAGTGCCATCTGTTCCCAGATATACAGGTTTATGGCAGTGCTTTTCAACCAAGGGTGATTTTGCCCCAAGACAACACTTGGCAATATCTGAAGACACCTTTGATTATCACAAATGGGGCAGTGGGTGCTTCTGGTATCTGGTGGGTGGAGGCCAGGGACGGTGCTCAACACCCTGCAGTGCACAGGATGGCCCATCACAGATTGTCATCCATCCTACCTTCAATGTCCATAGTGCCAAGGTCAGGTAACTCTGTCTTAGCATGAAAGGTTCTATCTATCTATCTATCTATCTATCTATCATCTATCTATCTATCTATTCTATCTATCTATCTATCTATCTATCATCTATCTATCTATATCTATCTATCTATCATCTGTCTGTCTTTCTGTCTATCCATCCATCATCTATGGCAGTGGTTTGCAACCAGGCATCAGGTGTTCCTTAGTCCCCAAGGGACAGTTGGTGATGTATGGAGACATTTTAGGTCATGATGACTCTGGGGTGGAGGGTGTGCTTCTGGTATATGGTGGCTGCAGCCCCGGGATGCTGCTCAACACCCTACAGTGCACAGGACACCCCACCCCAGATTAGCATTCATCTTGCCTTAAATGTTACTACGGCTGAGGTCAAGTAACCCTGTCTTAGCATGTAAGATTTTGCCTATCCATTTACCTATCTATTTATCCATTCATTCATTCCTGTATACTTAACCTATCCATCCATCTTTATCTCTTATGTATCTATTCATTCATGCATCCACCCATATCTATCTATCTATCTATCTATCTATCTATCTATCTATCTATCTGCCTACCTACCTGTCTATGGCAGTTGTTTACAACCAAGGAGATTTTATTCCAAGGAGATATTTGGCTATGTCTGGCAACATTTTTTTGGTTGTCACAAATGGGATGAATGTTACTGGCATCTGGTGGGTGGAGCCCGGAGATGCTGCTCAACACCCTACAGTGCACAGGACAGACCCACCACAGAGAATCCTCCATCCAGCCTTAAATGTCCCTAGTACTGAAGCCAAGAAACCCTATCTTAGTATGAAAATGTTGGTCTATCTATATACCTGCTTATCCATCCATCCATGTCTATCTACCTAACCTATCCATCCATTCATTCTTATCTCTTACGTATCCATCTATTCATCCATCCATCCATCTATCCATCCATTTATCCATCCGTATCTATCTGTCTATCTGTCTACTCATCTATCTAGCTAGCTAGCTATGGCAGTTGTTTGCAACCAAGGAGATTTTACTCCCAGGAGACATTTGGCTGTGTCTGGCAACATTTTGTGGTTATCACAGATGGGATGGATGCTACTGGCACCTGGTGGGTGGAGTCCGGGGACACTGCTCAACACCCTACAGTTCACAGGATGGCCCCATCACAGAGAATCTTCTAGCCCCAAATGTCCCTAGTGCCAAGATTGAGAAACCCTGAGCTAGATACAAAAAAAGAGCTAATATCTCTTTAATAAGCGTTTCAAAAAATAGAGGACCCAGATAGTAGAGGAAAGGTAAAATGGAGTCCAACTAAATTCACAGTGCAATGGTGGAGAACCCCTGGATTGTGCTGTCTTCAGCACTCAGTAGCTCGAGCAGGAAAGCCTCTTACCGTGGGTCCCTCCCCAGGGTAGGAGCAAAATCAGCGTCCAAGGTTTTCTTCTGCACAGTTGTGTCTGGCCTCCCAGGACTCTTTTCAATTCAGGAAAAGGGCTGAGATGCCTTTTCCCTGCCTGTATTTTATACTTTAGATGGCTGGGTGGTGCCCTGAAGAGCTTGCACAATCAATCCAGAAGAGCCATGTACCCAATTTACCCAGGAATGCCTTCCAGCTTAGCAGATGTGCTGCCACATAGAGAACTGCTTTCCATTGAATTTGGCATGGTGGAGGCAATTTTGAATGGATAACAGTATAAGAATGCAGTTCCAGTAAGATTTTTGGGTCATTCCATTAATGTCTCCATATAAATCCTAAATAAATTATAAACCATTATTTCTGTCACTTCATTCTTAGTAAATTCTGACTATATTCTTAGTAAAGTGTAATTGAACAAACCATGTGCATTTTGTCAAAGAGCAGGCTCTGCCCTGCTATTTAAAAATACAAATATTGAGCCAGGCGCAGTGGCTCACACCTGTAATCCCAGCACTTTGGGAGGCCGAGGTGGGTGGATTGCTTGAGGTCAGGAGTTCAAGACCAGCCTGACCAATATGGTGAAACCCCGTCTCTACTCAAAATACAAAAATTAGCAGGGCGTGGTGGCCTATGCCTGTAGACCCAGCTACTCGGAAGGCTGAGGCAGGAGAATCATTTGAACCTGGGAGGCGGAGGTTGCAGTGAGCGGAGATCAGGCCGCTGCACTCCAGCCTGGGTGACAGAGCGAGACTCCATCTCAAAAAACAAAAACAAAAACAAATATCAGAGCTTCGTTTCTTGAAGCTGAATCTCTCACGATGCACAGGCATCTGTGGCTTTGAGATTTGCTCAGTTGATTCTGATGACAACTGGGCTAGGGGTCACTGTTAATGGAAGCCTCAGAATGTTTACAGACACATGCTACCATACTCATTTTTGGATTCAAATTCCAAGGCACATTTAAATGTCCTTGCCTGTCCCACACCTGTTAAATTCCTTACCAAGTTACATTGACTTGATTCTCACTCATGGCCCACAAAACAGTGTATATGGTCATTGTTAATCATTGCTTTTATTACAATGATTAGGTTGAATGTAATCACAACTGGGCTTATTTTAAAAGATCTATGACAGTGTCTTAGACATGCCATTAGAAAAATGGAGTCTTGCCAGGTATGGTGGCTCATGCCTGTAATCCCAGCACTTTGGGAGACCAAGGCAGAAGGATCACTTAAGTCCAGGAGTTCAAACTCAGTCTGGACAACATAGCAAGATCCCTTCTCTACAAAATAAAAAATAAAAAAAACTCCATCCAGGCATATTGGTGTATTGTTGTAGTCCAAGCTACTCAGGAGGCTGAGATGGAAGTGTCCCTTGAGTCCAAGAGATCGAGACTACAGTTAGCTATGATTGCACCACTGCACTCCAGCCTGGGTGACAAACAAGATCTCAGTTCTTAAAAAAAAAAAAAAAAAAGAAAGTGTGGTATTTAGGAAATATTAAGGCTCCCATTATAATGTATGTGTAATTGAGAATTCAATAGGGACAACTTTAAAAGTGAGAACTTTCTCAATCTTTTCACTGGATTATTCAACATATTAGTTCCGAATAACTAAAGGATACTTCAGTATTTATAAAACTCTTACATACATAATGAAGATTTTCCTATCATCCTTTCTAGTTTGCCTCTGTTAAACCTTTTTGTAATTATTAACTCGGCAGTGCTTGGACTTCATGGGGAAGAATGACACACCAGCCTTGAGGTTTTAGCTAGTGAGTGTTATTCAGCTTTAATTACAAATTCTAGAAAACCTGTTACACCAATAGGGCCAGCTTCTGAAGATCCCAATTTTAGCCTTAAAACTCACCTTGAAACTCTGGGCATAACCATAATTACATGACCTTATTAGAGTTGCTTTTCTGACTCTTGCCCAAAACTGGGATACAACAGCTTTAAAAAAAGAAATTGCCAAGAGTAGAAACCGTGTCTAAAGCATTTTCTCCAGGAAGAATTTAACATCTTTATAAGGTTGACCCAGATTCTTCACCATCTCCATGACTGTAGCATTTTATCTGATTTTGTTGTTACAATGACCTCTGTAATGACCACCATGCAAATACTTGATCCACACACACTTGCAGGAATGGGATTGACGTCTTTGACTACATTTCATGTCCTTGAACCCATGGTCAGGCCAGCCTAACATCAGATTCAACAGGGAGTTCTTATTTGCAGTCAATCACTTTCCACAACCTTCTCCAGGCTGTAAAAACCACTGGGCATTCTGCAATAGCAGCCACCTGAGCTGATGCATCACAGAAACACCTATTTTTGTGTTATTCCAGCGACCTAATGCCACACTAGAGCATTTGGGAAACTGACATCTTACTCCTTTTTCTTTTTTTCTGTAGTTTTGATAGCAGAATCAAGGTGTTTGCCAATGGGACCCTGGTGGTGAAATCAGTGACGGACAAAGATGCCGGAGATTACCTGTGCGTAGCTCGAAATAAGGTTGGTGATGACTACGTGGTGCTCAAAGTGGATGTGGTGATGAAACCGGCCAAGATTGAACACAAGGAGGAGAACGACCACAAAGTCTTCTACGGGGGTGACCTGAAAGTGGACTGTGTGGCCACCGGGCTTCCCAATCCCGAGATCTCCTGGAGCCTCCCAGACGGGAGTCTGGTGAACTCCTTCATGCAGTCGGATGACAGCGGTGGACGCACCAAGCGCTATGTCGTCTTCAACAATGGGACACTCTACTTTAACGAAGTGGGGATGAGGGAGGAAGGAGACTACACCTGCTTTGCTGAAAATCAGGTCGGGAAGGACGAGATGAGAGTCAGAGTCAAGGTGGTGACAGCGCCCGCCACCATCCGGAACAAGACTTACTTGGCGGTTCAGGTGCCCTATGGAGACGTGGTCACTGTAGCCTGTGAGGCCAAAGGAGAACCCATGCCCAAGGTGACTTGGTTGTCCCCAACCAACAAGGTGATCCCCACCTCCTCTGAGAAGTATCAGATATACCAAGATGGCACTCTCCTTATTCAGAAAGCCCAGCGTTCTGACAGCGGCAACTACACCTGCTTGGTCAGGAACAGCGCGGGAGAGGATAGGAAGACGGTGTGGATTCACGTCAACGTCCAGCCACCCAAGATCAACGGTAACCCCAACCCCATCACCACTGTGCGGGAGATAGCAGCCGGGGGCAGTCGGAAACTGATTGACTGCAAAGCTGAAGGCATCCCCACCCCGAGGGTGTTATGGGCTTTTCCCGAGGGTGTGGTTCTGCCAGCTCCATACTATGGAAACCGGATCACTGTCCATGGCAACGGTTCCCTGGACATCAGGAGTTTGAGGAAGAGCGACTCCGTCCAGCTGGTATGCATGGCACGCAACGAGGGAGGGGAGGCCAGGTTGATCCTGCAGCTCACTGTCCTGGAGCCCATGGAGAAACCCATCTTCCACGACCCGATCAGCGAGAAGATCACGGCCATGGCGGGCCACACCATCAGCCTCAACTGCTCTGCCGCGGGGACCCCGACACCCAGCCTGGTGTGGGTCCTTCCCAATGGCACCGATCTGCAGAGTGGACAGCAGCTGCAGCGCTTCTACCACAAGGCTGACGGCATGCTACACATTAGCGGTCTCTCCTCGGTGGACGCCGGGGCCTACCGCTGCGTGGCCCGCAATGCCGCTGGCCACACGGAGAGGCTGGTCTCCCTGAAGGTGGGACTGAAGCCAGAAGCAAACAAGCAGTATCATAACCTGGTCAGCATCATCAATGGTGAGACCCTGAAGCTCCCCTGCACCCCTCCCGGGGCTGGGCAGGGACGTTTCTCCTGGACGCTCCCCAATGGCATGCATCTGGAGGGCCCCCAAACCCTGGGACGCGTTTCTCTTCTGGACAATGGCACCCTCACGGTTCGTGAGGCCTCGGTGTTTGACAGGGGTACCTATGTATGCAGGATGGAGACGGAGTACGGCCCTTCGGTCACCAGCATCCCCGTGATTGTGATCGCCTATCCTCCCCGGATCACCAGCGAGCCCACCCCGGTCATCTACACCCGGCCCGGGAACACCGTGAAACTGAACTGCATGGCTATGGGGATTCCCAAAGCTGACATCACGTGGGAGTTACCGGATAAGTCGCATCTGAAGGCAGGGGTTCAGGCTCGTCTGTATGGAAACAGATTTCTTCACCCCCAGGGATCACTGACCATCCAGCATGCCACACAGAGAGATGCCGGCTTCTACAAGTGCATGGCAAAAAACATTCTCGGCAGTGACTCCAAAACAACTTACATCCACGTCTTCTGAAATGTGGATTCCAGAATGATTGCTTAGGAACTGACAACAAAGCGGGGTTTGTAAGGGAAGCCAGGTTGGGGAATAGGAGCTCTTAAATAATGTGTCACAGTGCATGGTGGCCTCTGGTGGGTTTCAAGTTGAGGTTGATCTTGATCTACAATTGTTGGGAAAAGGAAGCAATGCAGACACGAGAAGGAGGGCTCAGCCTTGCTGAGACACTTTCTTTTGTGTTTACATCATGCCAGGGGCTTCATTCAGGGTGTCTGTGCTCTGACTGCAATTTTTCTTTTTTTGCAAATGCCACTCGACTGCCTTCATAAGCGTCCATAGGATATCTGAGGAACATTCATCAAAAATAAGCCATAGACATGAACAACACCTCACTACCCCATTGAAGACGCATCACCTAGTTAACCTGCTGCAGTTTTTACATGATAGACTTTGTTCCAGATTGACAAGTCATCTTTCAGTTATTTCCTCTGTCACTTCAAAACTCCAGCTTGCCCAATAAGGATTTAGAACCAGAGTGACTGATATATATATATATTTTAATTCAGAGTTACATACATACAGCTACCATTTTATATGAAAAAAGAAAAACATTTCTTCCTGGAACTCACTTTTTATATAATGTTTTATATATATATTTTTTCCTTTCAAATCAGACGATGAGACTAGAAGGAGAAATACTTTCTGTCTTATTAAAATTAATAAATTATTGGTCTTTACAAGACTTGGATACATTACAGCAGACATGGAAATATAATTTTAAAAAATTTCTCTCCAACCTCCTTCAAATTCAGTCACCACTGTTATATTACCTTCTCCAGGAACCCTCCAGTGGGGAAGGCTGCGATATTAGATTTCCTTGTATGCAAAGTTTTTGTTGAAAGCTGTGCTCAGAGGAGGTGAGAGGAGAGGAAGGAGAAAACTGCATCATAACTTTACAGAATTGAATCTAGAGTCTTCCCCGAAAAGCCCAGAAACTTCTCTGCAGTATCTGGCTTGTCCATCTGGTCTAAGGTGGCTGCTTCTTCCCCAGCCATGAGTCAGTTTGTGCCCATGAATAATACACGACCTGTTATTTCCATGACTGCTTTACTGTATTTTTAAGGTCAATATACTGTACATTTGATAATAAAATAATATTCTCCCAAAAACCGGGCAGTGATGACAATGCTATTTTCAAGGACAAAAGAGGGTCTCATGAATCTGGGTTTCCATCAGAGCAGTTGAAAAAACTGCTTTCATTCACTTTCTCTCAATGATTAGCTTCTCTACACATTTTTAACAGGCAAGGAAACTGAGTCAAAGGCAATGCTTCTGATGACAGATTTGGCAGGCAGGGTTTGAGTGTCACTTGCATGTAGTGACAATTTCAGTATGCAGCAAGACAGTGTGGGGACTGAGAAGCAGTGCTCTAGGAAATCCTTCAGGATTTTTCTTTTTTAATTTTTGTCAAAGTGACATCTGGAAATACATGTACTGGTGTTCCACAAATATGCAAAACTGTCCTTCTTTTGCTTCCCCTGAGAGGAAGGAAAAAGGCAAACAAGATAAACATTTGGGAAAAATATGACTGTCAGCATTTCAAGAAATGCACTGTCGCCAATTGTTAAAGAATGTTGGTCATTGAAACTAAAGAATGCAGTTTTTTTTTTAACTCTGTGGGAGGCATAGAGCCTGTCTCTCATTCATGAATCCACTTATTTGCTTAAATATGTCTGCACAGCCCTTACTGTGTGCTGGATATCAAGAGAGGCCTGTGGAGGCAAAGAGGTGGAGGAGGAGGTGGTGCTTGGAGTGTTTATCCTCAATAGACAGGCTCTTCAGATGGTGCAGGGTCTCTCAAAATGCACATGAATGACATTTGGGGCTGGATGATTCTCTGGGCTGGGGTGTCCTGTGTAGGGTGTTGAGTAGCATCCCTGGGCTCTACCCGCCAGATACTAGTACCCTCCCACCCCCTCAAAATTGTGATGACCAAAAATGTCTCTGGACATTGCCAAATGCCCCTTTAGGGGGTGCAAACTTGCTCCTAGCTGAGAGCCACTGACATAAACGATAAATTAGATTGGTAGATAGATAACTGACAGATGATTGATATAGATAGATAAGTGATAGATAGATGGTAGATAGATGACAGATAGATAAATGATTGATAGATATAAAGTGATAGATGATAGGTTGATAATAGATATGGATAGGAGACATAAATAGATAAGGATTGATACAGATAGATGATTTATAGATATAAATAGATAATAGATATGGAAAGGAGTAAGATAGGTAGATAGATAATAGATGGTTGGATGGATGATAGATAGATAAATGATGGATGGTTGGATGGATGATAGATACACAGATAGATAAAGGATGGATAGTTGGGTGGATGATACATAGGTATATAGATAAATAGATGATGGATGTTTGGATGAATTATAGATAGATGACAGATAATAAATGGTTGAATGGATGATCAATAGATGGATAGATACGTAGACTGATGATAGATGATTGGGTGAATTAGATAGGTAATTGGGTAGATGACAGAGGGGTAGATAGAAAAATAGATGATGGCTGGTTGGATGGGTGATAGATGGATGGATAATAGATAGATAGATAGATAGATAGATAGATAGATAGATAGATAGATAGATACATAGATACATAGATACATAGATAGATACATAGATAGATAGATACATAGATAGATACATAGATATAGATAGATGATAGATAGATAGATAGATAGATAGATACATAGATAGATAGATGATAGATAGATGATAGATAGATATAGATAGATGATAGATAGATAGATAGATATAGATGATAGATAGATAGATAGATAGATAGATAGATAGATAGATAGATAGATAGATGATAGATAGATAGATAGATGATGGATGACTGGATGGGTAATAGAGTTTCTCATGCTGAGGATTTCTCAGCCTCAGCACTATGGACATCTGGGGCTGGAGAATTCTCTGTGGTGGGACCGTCCTGTGCACTGTAGGGTGTTGAGCAGCATCCCTGGGCTCCACCCACCAGATGCCAGGAGCATCCACCACCCCAGTGTGATAATCAAAAATGTCTCTAGACATAGCCACATTCTCCCCATGAGGCTGTACCGTCCCTGGTTGGAAAACACCGTGCTAGATAAATACATGCAGCAAAGGGTTTTAGAAACACGTTCATTTGGACAGCCTGCTTCAGCGCATGATGTGGAAACTGAGATCTGGGGAGGTAAATTCTCCTAGGTGTAGATAATGTTTCTGCAGGACATACCTTGGTGCAATTTTACCTGGAAAAAAATGGTAACATCCTCTCAACACAAACTTCTGCGTTCACATGACGTGATGGGCTGAAGAGGCGTTTGAAAACATTAAAAGTGGTTCAGAGGGCATTCAGATTCTAGAGGATTAAAAAACCAGGTGGGATTGTAGTCCCATTAAGAAAGAGCTACATTTTGATGACTGAGATAACATTTTTACGGAGTCAAGAATAGAAGAATGGCTGGGCAGAATGATATGGACAAATGGGAGGACGTGTTCTCCCGGCGGCAAAAACATCATGAAGAAAGTTTGAGCCTCAAGCAAGGAGACCTTGGATCTAGTGATAGATAAAACGTAATAGTGGTGCAGGCCCATAGTCACAGCTACTCAAGAGGCTGAGGTAGGAGGATCACTTGAGCCCAAGAGTTTGAGGCTGCTGTGAGCTATGATCACACCACTGCACTACAGCCTGGGTGATAAAGAGACCCTGTTTCTGAACATTAAAAAGTAATAATTTTTTAAAAATAATAGACATATTTGGACTAGAGTCTAAAATGTGTTTCATTTGGGGTTGAACGTGGTAGGATATTGTAATTGGTTGGATAACATTCTGCAAAAGAATCATCTCTACCTGGAACCTGTCAGTGCAACCTTATTTGGAAAAAGAGTCTGCAGATGTGATCACGTGAAGGATCTGGAAATGAGATTATTCTGGATAAGGATGGGTCCTAAATGCAATAAGTGTCACTATAAGAGACAGATAAGGGGACACAGACACAGAGGGGGAGGTCACGTGGAGACAGAGGCAGAGACTGGAGTAACATGGCCACAAGCCCAGGGATTCTTGGAGTCCCCAGGAGCTGGAAGAGGCAGGAAGGATCCTCCCCTAGAACATCCAGAGGGAACTGCATACAATTGTAGTGTATTGAGCAGTGGCCCCCAAAATATATGCCCATATTCTGACTCCCAGAACTGGGAAATGGGACCTTATTTGGGAAATAGGGTCTTTGCAGGTGTAATTAAGGTAAAGCTCTTGAGATGAGATCATCCTGGATTAGATGGGCCTTAAATCCAATGACAGGTGTCTGTTTAAGAGACAAAAGAGGAGGCACAGACACAGGAGAAGGCCACGTGGAGATGGAGGCAGAGACTACAGTGATGCCCAGGGATGCCTGGAGCCACCAGGAGCTGGGAGAGGCAGGAAGGAGCCTCCTCTAGAGCCTCCAGAGGGAGCATGGCCCTGAGACACCTTGATCTCAGACTTCTGGTCTCCAGAGCTGGGAGAGAGTTCATTTCTTTTAAGCCCCTATTTTGAGGTGATTGGTTACAGACGCCCTAAGAAATAAATGCAAATATTTAAAATTTTCTTGTAGGGATGGTTATAATGAGAGGTACTTAGCACCTCATGACTTAGGTAAAATAAGAGCCATTTAAACCAGTTTGTCCAGAACACGAAGGTGTGTGATTTGAGCGGATCATTAAACAGAATCACATATGGCTGTATCATTATTTGTAAATACTATAATAACTAGAAGATAGTTGTTGTTTTTCTCCCTAAATGGATAAGTTCTAACATCTGGTATATGTGCTTGTAAATCTGTGGACACAAGCAAAATCCCTAGCTAACAGTCCATTGTCACCATTTAATTACTCTCAGGCCCTCACAGAAAAACAAAACTTCAACCAGGCTCTAGTCCTTGAAGTCTGGTTTGTAATTGTAAAGGCAGCTCTTGTTTCAATGAAGCTTGGCTGAATGTGGGACAAGGTGAGGAAGACCCCAACCCTGCTGCTGAATTCAATCTGCAAGACACTGAACCCCACAAGATCCTTTTCTGCACTTTTGTCATTTAAGACTCAAGTCTCACCTGTAATCCCAGAACCTTGGGAGACCAAGGCCTGCAGATCGCTTGAGTCCAGGAGTTCAAGACCAGCCTGGGAAAAATAGCAAGATCCCATCTCTACAGAGAATACAGAAATTAGCTGGGCATGGTGGTGCACACCTGTAGTCCCAACTACTCTGGAGACTGAGGTAGGAGAATCACTTGAGCCTGAGAGGTTGAGGCTGTAGTAAGCCAAGATCGCACCACTGCACTCCAGCCTGGGTGACAGAGCAAGACGGTCTCCAAAAATAAGAAAAGGATCCAAGTCTTTTGGAGGTGGAAGTTCAGTAACAGATTAATGATGAAACTAAGAGGAGTAGTGTTAGTGAGTTCCTGGATGGCCAGCACAAACTGACTCTGTTTTGGAAAAAAAAACAAACGTTGGTTTACCTTCATCCTGAGAGGCTGTTCAGCTTCCTTTTTAGCAGCATTTTTTGTGTGTGTGTTCTAACCTTGTTAGAACACAAGAAACCTTTGGCTCTTGTTGGCTTTATGTTATCATCTCCTGGATTGATTTAAACATCCTCATGTCCAAGTGTCTTCATTTCCTGGGACTGAGATTGCAAATGACCACAGAACTGGTGGCTTAAAACAACAGGAATTGATTATCTCACAGTTCTGGAGACCAGCAGTCTGAGGTCAAAGTGTGGGCAGAGCTGCACTCCTTCTGAAGGTTCTAGGGGAGGATCCTTCCTGCCTCTCCCAGCTCCTGGAGGCTCCAGGAATCCCTAGGCTTGAGGCCGCATCAATTCACTGTCTGCCTCCATCTCCGTGTGGCCTACTCCTCTCCGTGTCTCCTGTTCTGTATCTTAGAAGGACACCTGTCATTTGATCTAGGGCCACACTAATCCAGGATGATCTCTTCTTGAGATCCTTGATTTAAGTATACCTGCAAAGCCTTTATTTCCAAATAAGGTTCCATTGACAGGTTCTGGGGTTAGGATGTGGACATATCTTTTTGGGAGACTATGGTTCAATCCATTTGTATCCAGTTCCTTCTGGAGGCTTTAAGGGAGGATCCTTCCTGCCTCTCCCAGCTCCTGTGGGCTCCAAGCATCCTTGGGCTTGTAGCCACATCACTCCAGTCTCTGCCTCCATCTCCATGTGGCCTTCTCCTCTATGTCTCTTCTTCTGTCTCTCTCTCTCTCTCTTTTTTTTTTTTTTTTTTTTTTGAGACGGAGTTTCGCTCTGGTTGCCCAGGCTGCAGTGCAGTGGCGCAATTTCTGTTCACTACAACCTCCACCTCCCAGGTTCAGGCGATTCTCCTGCCTCAGCCTCCCAGTCCTCTGTCTCTTATAAGGACATGTGTCCATAGATTTAGGGCTCATCTAATCCAGGATGATCTCATTTTGAGATACTTAAGTCAGTTATATCTTATCTAAATAAGTTCACATTTATAAGTTCCAGAGGTTATGACATAGACATGTCTTTGGGGGCCACCATTCCACCTGTTACACCAGACTCTGACCTACAAATCAGAATCTCTCAGTGAGAAGCCTGGGTGAGTACAAAGTGCAGCAAGAATGTGATGAGGAAGTGGCATCTTTAGCACTGGAACTCATTTGTTCCTGAAGTGGTCTGGCAAAACTATACTGTGATCCATCACATATTTCTTATAATTTAACCCTCTATGGGGCAACCTATTGTGCTAATTTGTGCCACATTGTGTGGTGCCTCCCCCCATGAAGACATTAGAACCTTGGTGTGGTGTTGAAATTCTGCATGCTTCTGTTTTCAAATTTGTGGAAAAGAGGAAACTTATAGGACACTTACCTCATAAGGTCATTGTGAAAATAGAAGATGAGATTCTTAGAACAAATCCTGTCCAATCACAAGTACTCAGTATATGTTGGTTATTTTCATATTTATTGCTGTCATTTCTCCAGTACTTTGAAGAGCAATGGTTTCCAAAGTGCGTTCAAGTTAAGCATCACAAGCACTCTTGGGAGAGTTGAATTCTGAAGAAGCATGCTTAGATATGACCACTGTAATAGTGTAGGATAGGAGCACTGGTATAGGTCCAATCCTACACCATCCAACTTCAGCTGCAGCTTATGCATCCTAAGCCATGTAGCAGAACCAAAACTAGAAACCAAAACTAGAACCAACGTGTGTGCTGTGCTGTGTTGTGCCTAACCACGGAGCTTTGGGAAAACATGGCCGATCAAACAAGGTTTTGAGTGGATGGGACACTTGGGAAAACATGGCCAACTAAACAAGGCTTTGAGTGGATGAGGAGCCTTGGAAAAGCATGGCCGATCAACAAGGCTTTGGGTGGATGGAAAGTCTTGGGAAAACATAGCTGATCAAACAAGGCTTTGGGTGGATGGGAGCCTTGGGAAAACATGGTTAATCAAACAAGGCTTTGAGAGGATGAAAAGCCTTGGGAAAACATGGCCAATCAAACAAAGCTTTGAGTGGATTAGGAGCCTTGGAAAAACACGGTCCCTGAAACAAAGCTTTGAGTGAATGAAGAGCCTTGGGAAAACATGGCCAATCAAACAAGGCTTTGGGTGGATAGGGAGCTTTGGGAAAACATGGCTGACCAAATAAGATTTCAAGTGAATGAGACACAAGCTTGAATTTAGGTCCTGTTCTGTAATAGCTGTGGTAGTGTAGATGTCATCTACTTAAACTTCTGTTTCTTTGTGTGTGTCAAATGGGGATGACACCACTCACTTTACTGGGTCATTGGGAAAACCACTGCATATAGCTGGTGGGACAAAACTTGAAAGTTCCATTAAAAAAAAAGAAGAAAAACACTGAAGCTGTGTCCACTCCCTGGTAGGGTAGCATAAATTACCTGAAAGAAAAACGCACCTTTTTTGATTTAGCTAACACTCTATGATGCTTTCTAATTAGGTAAATAGAAAAAACTTCAGGGGCTAAATAGTCAGAGTATTTTCAGTCAAGGGGAATTACCATATGGTGTTGTCTGCAGAGGGAAAGGAAGGGCTGAGGAGCCCAACTAGAGCAGTAGGCACCCCAGAGAGTGAGTTGCAGAGTGAAGATATATCAGTTGTGGCTGCAACGTTGCTGCCCAAGGCTGAAACAGAGGAGATGCACCCACCTTCCATTCCTCCCACTTCTCCTCCAAACTCCTGCTAACCTGTCCCATTGCTGACTTCAGTAACAAGCCAGCTAATAGAAGCTCTGTTGGGGATGTCCTCCTTGCCATGCAGAGCTGAAGATATACAGGAAGTAGACCAGGGAAATGGGTGACAGGAAAGCTGGTGTAGAAGAGAACCACTACTCACAATGCCTAGTTGAAGACATTTGTCTAGTTTCTTCAGTGATGTGTGCACATTGACCTGGCCAGTGCCTGGAACATTGTAGGTACTAAAAAATGTCTTGAGTGGCTATAATAAAGGTATTTGAATTTTCTCTTTGGCTGGGAGATGATTATGAAGTTGACTTTATTTTGTCTTCCTCTGGGGAAAGCCTTGAATTCTGAGATTTATGGCAGTAATAAGGATCACGTGGACTGTTATAATTCCTTCTTAATTTGTTCCCACTTATGCACAATTTTCATTCTCCAATATTTGCATAACTTTGGTAAAGTTCTGTGACACAAAGCAACCTTGGGTTGGTGGTGTGTTGGGACATGAAGAAAGATGGCTGCTTTCTCTTCTGTTGATGAAGACTTTGAGAGGGAAAAACAACAACCTGAATAAACGTAATATAAAGATCTGAGAGATTATCAAAATCCAGAAGAAGAAGGTAAACAGTGCCTGTGGACTATTTGAAGTACTGGGAAAGACGCAAATCTGCTTGACACTCAACTTGACTCAATATATGCCATCATTTAATTAAGGATAGTCCCTGGAAGGCTGGTAAAACTGGAAATCCTTAGATTGGGGTACAAAACTCTTATCTCACGTCTGCCACATCATGGGTTCTCAAAAATAAGGATGCTCCTTTCCCACTATCATCTTTTCTTTGATTCCAGGAAGGCATCCACTGCCATTTAACCCAATGTTATGCTTATCTGCTGGGTATCTTCAGGGATACAATTTTTTAGGTTTTTGTGATGCTTGTAGAATGCCATAAGGATAGGAAATGATTCCTGCCCTTATTATCTCTCCCTTCCCACCTGAAACCCACACTAGGTTTTTGTGATGGTTGTAGAATGCCATAAGGATAGGAAATGATTCCTGCCCTTATTATCTCTCCCTTCCCACCTGAAACCCACTAAAATGAACTACAGCATGTAAGAAAAGCAAGGGTGATCTTCATACGAGCTTTTCATAGTAGCTCAATTCTGTGCACATGTGGGCAAGTGAGTAGAACCATGATGCAAACATCCATGATATTGTCTAAGCTTTTTACAACCAAGGGACCTTTGAGAACAATGTGGAAATTCTACATATTCCTTTACTCTTTATATCTGTTCTATGGTAGGGTCCCACCATAACTGTCACTGTTGATTTTCTTTATACTCCAATGTCTTTTTTCTTCCTCAACTTTTATTTACCCAATTTTCTTCTTTTTCTATCTTCAGTCCAGTCTTTTCTCTCTTCCTTCATGAATCTCACTAGCTTCAACCATAACTTTTGTATATTAAGGGATTTTACTTATGTTTCTAACTTTTTCCTGAGTTCCATTTCTCCTTGTTTTTCTGCAACTTGCTGCCTCTCTCTCTCTCTCTCTCTCTCCTCACTAGAATCTTCCACTGTGTTCCAAACTGCATTCACCATCTGGGACAAATTAGATCATGTTCCCAATGAGCTGCTTCCTCAGATAAGAAGGAAATTATACAGATTCACTCATGACCATATGACATGTTTAGACCAGTGAAATGTAAGTGGATATGATGTAAATTTTATCCAAGCGGAGGACTCAAGACATTCCTTAACCCTGTACCTCCTGCCTTCCACCATGAGGGCAGCAGGAAATGTTTATTTTGGTTCCAAAATAGGAAGCCAGCATGGCTGAACCCAGCAGAGCCCAACTGAGCTGTAACTGACCTGCAGCCTTCCTATCACACAAACACATTTATTTTTGAATTGGAGTATTTGTTACTGCAGCAGAAGCTGACGTATACACCATCTTTCTTCCAAATTTAGCTTTTCCTCCTTTGCTATTTCTGTTAATGCCACCACCTCTTTCAGTTCATAAACCTAGAATGTTTTATGACACTTATTCTCTCTTGCTTTCCTTTCAATCACTCACCAAGCTATGTTGAGATACCTTTGTAACATAGATCTTATCCTTCTATTTCTCCCTATTCCTGGTCTATCACTGCTCTGGTGCTGATACCAAATTTGAGATCTCACTTGGATTATTGCTGATGTTGCCTACTAAAGTCTTCACCTTAATGCATTCAACACACAATACCACTAAGCTAGTCTTCTGCTCTAGAGTTCCAGTCATGCTACTTCAGTCAAAAATCCTCAGATTGGATCTTCACATTTACATAATAAACTCCTTCACTTTGGATTAGTAAACAAGGGCTTCAGCTACCTTTCAAGTCTTCCATTTCATTTTTTACTCCATCTTTTAACACAAGAAGGATTCTTACTGTCACCCAAACATTTGTGACCTTCTATCAAAGACTTTTCTCACCATCACTATCATCATCATCATCATCATCACAACCATCACAACCATCACTATCATCGCCATCATCATTGATATCATCATCATCATCCTGTTTATCAACTGCAAGGCCACTCCTCTTACTCCTCTCTCCCTTTGGCCGTTGCACTTTCAGACCATGCAGGCTTAGACTGGACATCAGCAGAGGTAAAATTTTGCAAAACCTTCCCTTTGGAAATAAAGCTTTGCCTTTTTGAAACATGCTTGGTAAACTAGAAATGAAAATCATACACCTTGTAAAAGATTTCTTTGTCTTTCTTACTCTCACCGTGCCCTCAGAATTCAGTCAACATTTACTGAGACATAGCATGGGAAAAGCACTGAGTCAGACAGTGAAATGAAAAGTGAATTGCATGGGATTCCTGTATCCCAGTGAACTTACAACACAAGTTGTAGATTCAGACATTAATTGTAACATGATAAGATAAGCATCAAATGATGTATGTACAAAGGACAAAGATTATGAAAACAATTAGATGAGAATTATCAGTTGTTGATAAATGTAAAAATAATGGTACTGGTTAATTTTCTTTTTTTGAAAGTTTATTTTATTAATATATTTTTTTCAGAAGCTGGGTATGGGGAGGGTCTTCCAGGCTCGGTGAGCAGCTATGTGTATAACTCTCAGGTGTATCATTTTCTATCTCCTGTCTTTATCCCTTCACACATTTATGGCCTTTGACTTTTCTATGATGGTGATGTAAAAACTAATATTCCCTGTTATACCACTTTCTCCTACATTCCTAACTTTTACTGCCTCTAGAATTCTCAAAAACTGCCTTTGTTCGTTATATATGTCACCCAAATGACTCAGGTCCTCCCTCTGCCCTTCACTTAAACATGCCGGTAGAATGATTTTGGTACTCTCCCAAAGACTACGGAAAGCCCATAGTTACTTCTTATTCTGAGGTGCTTCAGCGGGAGAAAGGTGAATAATTGTTCTCATAGCGACTGGGTTGCAATGTGCCTCCTCTTGCTTCAATCTCCAGCTTCCAGCAAAATTCTCCATCAACTCTACCTGCCAACGTATGACCTTGGAAGCCTTCTGTTTCAATGACTGGCTAAATTTGTCCCAATCTCAAATTCATCTTCTCTCCTTCATCTTCCAAATTCAATACTGATGATAATAATTGGTATCTATGTAGAGTCTTGACAGTCTTGGCCAGTTTCCATATATTACTTATTTGATTATCACAACCACCCTGCAAAGTTGGTGCCAATACCACTGCTCCCATTTTACATAGTAGGAAGTTGAGGCACAGTGAGTTTGAACAGCTTGCCTTTGGTCATTCAGTTCTAAGATGGTACAATTACTATTCCATCTTCCTACCTTCTTAATGAGAAGTTTAAATCTAGAAAGTCTGTGCTTTATATTCATGTTACTCTTCTGTTCTATGAGAACTTCAGAACCTAGGAAGTTTCTGCTCTACATTCCATCATCTTAACCTCTGTACAACCTTGTCACATGAACATGGGATAGAAGATAATGAAAGGCAATATCATACAGGATGGGGCATATGGGGACAATAAAACTTCAAATATCACCACTCCTTAAAGCAAAGGAAATGTCAAATCCTGATAAATCTCCTCATCAGTGGTTCTTAATTTTCGATGCACTTTGAAATCATCGTAAGAGTTGAATAAATCTGATGTCTGATGACATCTCTCTCTTCCCCTTACCCCACTGTTAGCAATTCAGATTTAATTAGTTTAGGGAATGTTTTGGGTGTTGGTATTTGTGCAAGCTCCCTGTGATTCTAATGATCAGCCAAGATTGAGAACTTCTGTTCTAGCTTGCGTCTCTGTAGGCTTCACTCTACCTCCTTACTTTCATTCTAAGAACTTTAAATCCAATCTTGCTTGAAGCTCCAAAATTTTGTTCCCCCAAATGGTAGCAGTAAACCTTCAAATTCCAATCACTATGCTGAGCTGAGCCATCAACATCCTTACTTTGCCTGAAGCTGCTCCGTGCACACCAGCACTGGGACACACTCCAACCTTTGCAAAGTCAAAAAGTCTCATTGACATTTTAGTTTACTCCCCTAAAAGAACAAATTTCTTTCCAAATGGAATTATTTGGCACCTTAGTGCACTGGTTTAAATAGTATTTTTTCCTTCTAAAGAGAAACTAGCCTCAGAATATATGTTATTTGAGCCATTTTAAAAATAATTATTAGTCTGGGATAAGTAGATAGAATATATAGTATATAATATAAAACATATATAAATATAAAATATAAGTATAAAATTATATGTATGTGTATGAGTATATGTGTGTATGAATAGATTCAAGATTGAGGGACTCATTTTTGAGACTACTATTAAATCAATTTAAAAATAACCTGCTAACTCCTTTATTACACAAAACACTTACCCAAATCTCACACTGTAATTACTGCTGCCTGTTTTAGTCCACACCATAAAACTAGCATACCTTGCACCTTTAGGATTCATTAAACCCAGTTAAAGAATTTCATTTGAGCATGTCTGTAATCTGTTTATAAAAAGCTTCCTATGTGTAAAAGATAATATTCACACTCGTGAATATTATCCAACTTCTTGGACACATCTTAATGTGGCCTGAATTGTTCATTCTTATTTTAAAAGTCTTTCTATTTCTCTTTGGAAGTTATGGAATAACGGATGGAGAAATGAAGAGATGGGATTCCAAGTGGAGAGATGGATAATCCAAACAGTAACATGTAGGAGGGAAAACATAATTTGGGGGACATTTTCAAGCACAAATAATAAATTAAAAAGAAATCTTGGTTATTTTTTGTTTGACACATTCCTCCCTTTTGAGTGCAAAAGAAAACATGTGTTAAAGAAGCAGGTCTGCCATAATGTAGCCTGGACCTACATCTGACTCCCAGTAATTGAATTGCCCAGTTCCTTGACCTGCAACATTGATGGCGATGCAACTGCCCTGAGGCAGAAGTGGCTACCTGTCCACCAAGCGCCACGCACTGCCTGCCTTATTGAATGTAGATCCCGAGGCAAAGACTACATTTCCCATGCTCCCTTGCTCTGAGGTGGAGTCATGTGATGGATTCCCGCCAATGGGGTGATGTGATGAATTCCCATCAATGGTGTGTGTCTTTTCTAGGCTCAGGAGTAAAGAAGCAAGGATGCTCTTCTACCTCTCTGTTCTCATTCCCCACTCAATAAAGGGATTATAAGGCACTAGGGGATGGGGAAGTCAAGGTGGGAAGAACTTGAGTTCTTGAATGAATTCAGAGCACCTTCAGTGGGTGTCCACAAAGGCTATTATCATACTATACCTTATCTTCTTATCCTCACTGCTGTCATACCTCTTGAGAAACACTCTTGCTCTTGACATCAGAAAGCAATACTTATCAAGGTATGCCTCTGTTAGACTGAGGTTTATTTTACCCATAGTATATTTCCACAAAGCCACAAAATGTTGCCATGTTTAAATGAAATAATATTTGTGAAAGGCTCCCCTAGAAATGATACATAAATACCATCTATTCTTGTTTTGAGGATGATGATTATTATTTCTTTGATGCAATGGTATTAATAGCATAACTCCAATTTACACAATGAATTATAATTTTGTAAAAGCATTCCCTTATACTGCCATTTAAAGTGTATAACAATACTGTAGGCTGAACATTATTTCTTTATTCCAGATTAGGGTACTAGGGTTCATGGGATTATGTACCAACTGAAGTTCTCCCCACAAGTAAGTGATAGAGAAATGTCGTCTGCAGCCCAGGCAAGTGTCCCTGATACAATTTAGTTGGATTATTAATCACAGCATACATTACAATTTTCTACAAGTCCCTATTCACAATCTTAAGACTCTTAGCCCTCTTTATCATTTAAGAGATTTCTAAACAAGTATATTTTATGTTTTAAAAAAGCCATAAAGAGGTTGGGGAATAGTGAAGCATTGTTAGTGGAATCTAGCTTCAACTTTCTGTTATGAAAAAGAAATATGGACATGTGGCTTTTGGAAGAAAAAAAGCAAAGCTATTTTTCATTAATGTCCAGCAACGTGAATTTTAAGACAATAAGAAAAAACAAGCAAACGAAAAATCTAAGAGTTTCCATGTGAAACAGAAGGCTCACACAGTCTTTTTTCATTATTTTATGTTATATAAGCTTTTGTGAAATATGTCAACATAATGCAATCATACATTTTCTGGGCCTGGCTGAGGGGCTGAAGTTTATAGTTTTTCCTCAAGATTTGGCTTTGAATCATTATAAAAATAGCTTATGTGTATAAACATTTTCTATCTTCCTTTCTGGATGATGGTAGGAGGTTGAGGTTCATTTTAAGTAACTACTTAAAGGAAGAGATAAAAAATGATTTTCAGATGACTGGATTAAAACCCACTGCAGTTTTATTTTTTTATTGTTGATTCTGGAAAAGTGAGACTTTTATTAGGCAAGTATTTAAACAAATAGGAAAAAAAATAACCACTGATATTTTTCTACAGAAAATACTGCATTTAATACATTCTCAAACAGAGAAAGATAATCTGTCTTGATGTCCTCCTTGCTGAAACAAGAGCAGGCACAAAAATCCACCCTGGAGCCAGGTGGCTGGAGGACAAGGGGGAGTAGGAGGAGGAGGAGGAGGAAGAGGAGGAAAGGAAGAGGAAGAATAGGAGGAGAAGGAGAAGGAGAAAGAAGGAGGAGAAGGAGAGAAGGAGGAAAAGGAAGAAGAAGAGGAGGAGAAGGTGAGGGAAGAGGAAAGGGAAGAGGAGAGGGAGGAGACAGGAAGAGCATATCCCTTTGTGGCTATCAAATTAGGAGTTGTTAAAATGACAGCAATTCTTGGGAAGCGTGGAGGTAAAATGTGCACTCTCATAGGCTGGCATAGTGACAATATAAATTGAAAAAAAAAAACTCTTTTAAGGGCATTTAGGAAGGAGAATCAGCCCCTGTTTGGAGAGGAAAAACAAGTTTCCAGCATTTTCACACACATAGCTGGAACTAGCTTCTGTCTTTGTGAAAAGCCTTTATTTCATAGTGTAACTGTTATAAATAACGAGACATAGAAATATATTAGAATATGATATTCTATATAATATAATATATATTTGAATAGAAAAGAATGAATAAATAAAAATTATTTGCAATCTTATTCCTCAAAGATAAATATTCTGAACATGCCCAGATTTTGGTTAGTGTGTATGCACACTATGTAATTGCAGTTTGGATTATAAATCAGATCATGTGGTTTAAAGTTCACCTCCGCCCCCAAAACCCCAATATTTGATTTGCATAGCTCAACATCAGTCAGCCTCATCCTAGGGATGTATAGATGTGTCACTCAGTATTTAATCCTGTCTTGGGGGACATCTAGACTGTTTCACAACTTTGCCCACCTCTGCAAAGAATCCCCATAGTCTCTGAAATTCTGAGATATGGAATGGCCACAGTAAAGTGTATGAGCATATTTAAGGCTCTTGCAAAACATTTCCAAAATGCCTTTCAAAGAGATTTTTCCAATTTATATTGTCACCATGCCAGCCTATGAGAGTGCACATTTTACCACTACGCTTCCCAAGAATTACTATCATTTTAACAACTTGTAATTTGATAGCCACAAAGCGGTATGCTCTTCCTGTCTCCTCCCTCTCCTCTTCTCTTTCCTCTTCACTCTCCTCATTCTCCTCCTCCTGCCTCATCCTCCTCCTCCTCTTCTTGCAGGAGCACAAATAGTAATTAAAAAGAAATCTTGGTTATTTTTTGTTTGGGTGTTGGTATTTGTGCAAACTCCCTGGCGATTCTAATGTTCCGCCAAGATTGAGAACTGCTGTTCTAGCTTGTGTCTCTGTAGACTTCGCTCTATCTCCTTACTTTTATTACAAGATGAAATCTTAGATTGAATCTTTAGATGCGATCTTACTCCAACCTCTCATTGCCCCAAATGGTAGCAGTAAACCTCCAAGTTCCAATCACTATGCTGAGTTGAGCCATCAACATCCCTACTTCGCCTCAACTTCCTTTATGCACACCAGCACTGAGACACACCCCACCTTTTGCAAAGTCACCTGTCTCAATGGCCTCCTCCTCCTCTTCCTCCTCCTCCTTCTTCTTCCTTCTTCTTCCTTTCTTCTTCTTTCCTTCTCCCCCTCTTCTTTTTACTCCTCCTCCTCCCAACCCCCTTCTTCTTTGCCAAACTACCTAATTTGGCCATCTCTTGGAAGAATTTTATTTTTTGTTTTGTCCTTACATTTCTTTTTTAAAGTTTTAACTGACATAGGATAATTTAGGGGGTACGTAGTGATGTTTTGATACATATGATGAATACTGATCACATTAGGGTAATTAGCATATTCATCATCTCAAACATATATCATTTCTTTGTGTGGGGAACATTCAGTTCCCTCTTTCTAGCTATTGGAAACTATATAATATATTTGTGTTACTATAGTCACCCTACAAGGATATAGAACACTATAACTTATTCTTCCTGTCTGGCTGTAATTTTGCATCCTTTATCTACTGAGCTGCTCAGCCTTGGTTTGCTGAGCAGTAAGAATTAATCTACATAGGGAGCCTTAAATATAGCAAATACATAAGAGGCATTAATATTGCTCTAAATATAAAAAAATACTTTGTTCACAGTTACCATTTTTCTTTCTATTTTGTTTATGGAACTGCATTTTTGGAAGGTACAGTAGTGTTAAATTATTTGTAGCTGTATCTTTCATTTTTTCCTTTGTTATTCACTCTTCTTTGTGTTTAATAGGTCACTCTTCTTTCTGACATAAGATATTGCTCACATACTTTTATAATATTTTTCATCTTTAAATATTAGAATTTGGCCAGGTGCAGTGGCTCACACCTGTAATCCTAGCAGTTTGGGAGGCTAAGGTGGAAGGATTGCTTGAGGCCAAGAGTTCAGACCAGCCTGGACAATACAGTGAAACCGTCTCTACAAAAGCTTTTTTAAAAAATTAGGTGGGTGTGGTGGCACATGCCTGTAGTCCCTGCTACTTGGGAAACAGAGGCAGGAGGATTGCTTGAGTCCAGAAGTTGGAGGCTGCATTGAGTTATGATTGTGCCACTGCACTCTAGCATGGGCGATAAAGCAAGACCTTGCCTCTAAAATATATATAAGTATATATATATATGTATATATATGTGTGTATATATATAAAAATATATATATACGTATATATATACATATATATGTATATATATACATATATAAGTATATATATAAAAATATATATATAAGTATATATATAAATATATATATAAGTATATATATATAAGTATATATATATATAAAAACTTAAAGCATTTGGAACTCACTTGACTATATGGTGTGAAATCAAGATCTAAATTTGTTTTACCTGAATATTAAACCAATTTTTCTAACGTCATGTATTAGTTTGTTCTCATGCTGCTATGAAGAAATACCCAAGACTGGATAATTTATAAAGAAAGGAGGTTTAATTGACTCACAGTTCCACATGGCTGGGGAGGCCTCAGGAAATTTACAATCATGGTGGAAGGCACATCTTCACAGGGTGGGAGGAGAGAGAATGAGAGCCAAGCAAAGGGGTAAAAACTCCTTATAAGACTATCACCCCCAATGATTCAATTACCTCCCACCGGGGCCCTCCCATGATATGTGGAGATTATGGGAACTGCAATTCAAGATGAGATTTGGGTGGGGACACAGCCAAACCATATAGCATCATGTATTAAGTAATTTATTATTTCCTCAGTGACCATAAATGTCACTCACATTAAATACCCATGTGAGTTTCTGTTCTCTGTTTTATTGTAGGGTGTCTTACAACATATTTTAATATGAAAACCCGTGCTTTCTTATATTTTCCACATTGTTATATGTCTTCATACTAATTTTTGTCTTTAGATAAATTTCATTTACTAAATATTTATCACCAAAAGTCATTGAGATTTTAATTGGATTTCTTTTAAAAGATGAATCAAATTTTTAGTATGTATTATTTATAACATTGTGTTTTCTCATGCAAGGACATATATATTTCCAGGTTTTCAGCATATTTGTAGAAGCCTTGAACATTTTTGCTAAACTTTCTTGGGAAGGTCTTGTTTATTTGCATCATTTTCAGCTGAGCTACTTAATTGGTCATATTGCCTGTGGGAAAATATAGCTTTCCCTCTCTTCCCATAGTTATATCTCTGGCTTCTTTTTCTTGTTTTATTTTACTGGCCACTTTCCAAAGCTGTGGTTGGCAATGTTTCTGATTTTTAGAGAAGAAAAATGTCCCTAGGACAGCCTTTTGTAGGTAATGCTCAGAACTCTGGTTCTGATTTTATCAGATTGTCTAAAAAAGGACTTCTCTGTTCAAGAAAATATGCACCCCGTAGCCAAAAGAAAATGTCCATCACATTTAAGAAGAATCTTCCCAAGTCTAGATTACTAAGTGTACTCTGTTTTTGAGAAAGGTTGTTGAAATTGAGCAAAGGCATCCTCACACCTTTATGCATGAGCGATGCTCTGGAATGGGCTCATTCTGACTTTTAGGAGCTAACCATGAAACATCCAGGAATTGTGTGAGCCATCTGTCCAACCGTATGTAGCTTGAAATGAACCGTAGTGGGAGAATTTACACCATGGGAATTGGCAAACACCACTAACAAGTGTGTGTGTGTATTTTGAGAGATGGTTTGCTTAGCACACCACCTATTATGTAGATAATCTCATCCATGCCTTTATTTAATAAGGGGCATATTCTATATGCCAAACAAGGTAAGAAGAGTTTAATAAAAATTTCAGTAATTAAGGCAAAGTTTCAATGAATAATTATCCCAATAACCAATTGATAAAACAGTTATGATCAGTACTATAAATGTCAGATGCTGTCAGAGTTTATAAAACAGATGTGTGGTGAAATCTGATGCAAGATTTCCCCAAGGAAATGATGTGTCGACTTTGACCAGGCCACTTTGCAAGACTCTTGGTCTATCCCATGAATACATAAACAGTTGTTTCCTATCTGGATTTACCTGCATCACATTCAGGGAAAGCATATTTTATTTTAACAGCTTAGCGCAATCAATAGAACTCACTTTTGTGGGTACGTCCAGGCCTCAGGATTGAGTAGTAAAAGACTGATGGGAGGGAGATCTGGGATGGAAAGAACAAGATAGAGCATTGAGAGTAGAATGTGTAGGAGAGTCTCTGCCATCTCTTCTGAAAGGTTTGCCATTTCAAGACTTCCCAGGTTTGCTTTCTCACAAATAAAGTGACCACCAAGTCTGGCCGTTTGGTGTTCAGATATATAATTCTCTGTGTGTGGCAGACTGCTCCCCAGAAAATAAAAAGAATGAATTCCATTGTGTATGTGGACCACATTTGCTTTATCCAATCTGTCATTGATGGGCATTTAGGTTGATTCCATGACTTTGCCATTGTAAATAGTGCTGCAGTGAACATTCACATGCATGTGTTTTTATGTAAGAATGATTTATATTCCTCTGGGTATATACCCAGTAATGGGATTGCTGGGTCAAAGGGAATTTCTGCTTACTATGCAGCCATAAAAAAGAATGAGATCATGTCTTTTGCAGGAACATGGATGGAGCTGGAGGCCATTATCCTTAGCAAACTAACACAGGAACAGAAAACCAAATACTGCATGTTCTCACTTATAAATGGGAGGTAAATGATAAGAAATTATGAACACAAAGAAGGAAACAACAGACACTGGGGTATACTTGAGCGGGGAGGGTGGGAGGAAGGAGATGAGAGAGGGAGGGAGGGAGGGAGAGAGAGAGGGAGAGGAGCAGAAAAGATAACTCTTGGGTACTGGGTTTAATATGTGAGTAATGAAATAATCTGCACAACATGTACCCCTGACACAAGTTTACTATTGCAATAAACCTTCACATGTACCCTCAAACCTAAAATACAAGTTAAAAAAATTAATGAATTTCACATGGTTTGAAAAGAAATGAAATAAAAGTATGACTTGGAGTAATTCATATTCTCTAACTTCCCACCCAAATTCTACATACATATTTAAGTAGATTCTTGGAATTTTCCCCCCTCCACTTCTGCCTTTTTTGCTTTGAGTTTGTCAATAACTCAAGGTGCCAACAGGGTTTACTTTACCAAGCATTATTTATGTTACCTTTAGGCAATAGAAGCACCATTTTTCTATTGTATTTGCTGTTAAGATAGCTGATGAAATATCAGGACAACATGTTTATGAATGAGTTGTTTTTTAATTGAACTCAAACTTTAGTTCTTAGCGACAGAATTCCAAGTATAGTTGACCTTGCATGACAGCTAGAACAAAAAGGAATGTGATAATTCAGTGTTGTTCCATACATTTTAGCTTCAGTCATTTACACTTTTCCATATTGACTGAATACCTACCATTGAACATGATTCACCATTTGATGGAAGAAATGAGACAGACGCCTCAGTGAGTGTTGACAGGCTAGATGACCTCCTATACGCTCATTAGCAGAGGTAGATGAGGGAACTATAAAGGGAATAAATTTGAGTTAGAAACGAGGTCTTAGAAGAAAAGTCAGTCAAGGATGGCTATGATTTGTACAAGCCCCTTTAGCAGAGAATTGTCAGCTTAAGCCAGACCCAGGGATGTGGTTCTTTAGGGTTATTTTGGGAAAGAATGAGTGGTTCAGTTTGGCTTAAAGACGGGTTGTATGGGCTTTGGGGTGGAAGAAAATGCTGGACGTCTTGTGCTGCATTTTATTTACTCTTTTATTTTACTTATTTATTTTTAGAGACAGACTCTCGCTCTCACTCAGGCTGGAGTTCAGTGGCGTGATCATAGCTCACTGCATCCTTGACCTCCTTGGCTCTAGTGATCCTCCAATCTCAGCCTCCCAAGTAGTTGGGACTACAGGTGCACACCACCATGCTTGGCTAACTTTTAAAATTTTTTGTAGATACAGGGTTTTACTATGTTGCCCAGACTGGTCTCAAACTCCTAGCCTCAAGAGATTCTCCCACCTTGGCTTCCCAAAGCGCTGGCATTATAGCTGTCAGCCACTGTTCCCAGCCCCTGTACTGCATTTTAAAGCATGTTCCATATTGGAGTGAATTGGATAGTCAATATGGAACAGTTGTGGGGTTTTTGTTTGGTTTAGCGAGATACTTTGGAGTATGTAATCAGTAAGGAATTTAAACAACATTAAAAGAGGCATGGCGACTCAGGTTGATTTGCATTAGAAAAAATTAATTGGCTTCCTCGTAAAAATTAGTTAGGCTGTGATTGTCAGATCAGTGAGAAATTTCAGGAAAATTAATAGGAGATTGCATTGGATTGATTTCCATTAGGCAAAATTAATTGACCACCTGGTCAAAATTAGTTAGGAGGTGATTATCATGATTTAGACAAGGATTAATGAAAGTTTGATATAAAGTGGTTCTAGAGAAAACAGAAATTAGGAAAAATAGTTGCAAAATATAAGCGAGCTTCTCTAGAGTTTGGTGATTGTCTGCATGTAAAAAAGGAAATATAAGTTTCAAAAAAATGTTTGAACCTGAGTGACTATGAGTAACATGTCTCATTCAACCAGGGTGGGGAGATTGAAAGGGGGACTGTTTTTCTAGATAATGAATTGAGGGTATCATGCAAATAATTAAAAATAACAAAAGACAGATATCCATTCAATATCACCAGATCCAGAAACAATCACATTAAGAGGTTTTTGCTTTTCCATTATTTTAAAGTTCAGTTTCTTTGACTGTTCAATATTTATTAGTATGTTTGAAGCCAAAGACACAAAGAGAAGAAAGCTTAGGCTACGAGGACAAAAATGAAACTGTAGCCAGGTACAAAAAGGATTTGGAGACACAGAGCAAAGTGTTGAAGGAAGTACACTGGGAATTTTTATTTGGGTTTTGAGATCCAATTATTATAATCCCAAGTGTGAACTGATTGCAGATTGCTGAAAGGTTTATTAGCTTCCTATAAAACCTTCCTTAATTAGCCCCAACTGAGGCAATGCAGCTTCAAACAAGAAAATCTGCCTTTGTCAAAAAGTGCACTCAAATCAGCTTAGAGAACCACAGGCTGGAGGAACAGTCCCAGCTGGTCTGCAGAACTGCACACTTTACTGCTGAGACCCCACTGTGATTCATGGGCCATGGGGTCATCCAGCAGGAATTGGGGGCACCACAGCCCACTGCAAGGAAAGCCCAGAAATCATGGCTCCCTGCGGGTATTCACGACAAAGACTCACAAAGAGATGGAGACAACCTCAGGGTGCAGCTTTTGCTGAGTCCATGGACATGACTCAGACTCTGCTTCTCCCGCTGTCAGCCACAAAATCAGCATGAGAAAAATTAGGAAGGGTTAAAGAAAATCACGTTTGCTTTGCAAGAGAGGGGAGACTCAATGCGTTCAGTTTTCATCATCACAAATGGTATACGTTCAATGAGATGAAGGAAATTCTCATTAGTTGAAAGGTTTAATTGATCTTGGTGCAGCCTTATGCCCACAAAACAACCGCCCACTGCCAGTTAATTTGCCAGGATAAATAAAGCACGCTGGGCTCGTTCAAGCCTGGTGCATGGCTTCAGTGTTAAGGGTGGAGCTCACAAAAGCTTGCACGTCTCCCACATCTCTTTAAAGCTCTTTCCACATGCCTATAGAATGAATCACGCTGGAGCTGAAATCTCTAGTAAGTGCACTAGTAAAGTAAGAGGTCGAGATGAATTATATACTTGTATGCCGTTGCAGTCCCTCAGATTTTTTATTTTATTTTTCGGTAACTGTAACCATGGGAGCACAAAGGAAGGTCAGGCAGAACAAGAAGTACTGCCATAAGATTTGAAAAACCCTTCATTATAATTTTCTCACTTTATTAGAAGATGCGTAATAACGGAAGCCACGTAGACCAAGGATACTAAAAGATTTAACAAAAGTCATGCAACAACACAGGACCAGATGAAGCCTAGATAAGAAAACATTCAGACAGACAGAAGGGAATCCTATGATGGAAGTGATAATAGAGCATTATTAAGGCAAAAAATAATCAAAATAATATATATAAACACTTACCAATATTGTTGCAGTGTACAGTGTTGATGTCAAAGAAATGTTGGACAACAACATTAAAAAATGGGCAAACAGCCAGGCACAGTGGCTCATGCCTGTAATCCCAGCACTTTGGGAGGCTGAGGCAGGCAGATCACTTGAGGCCAGCAGTTTGAGACCAGCCTGGCCAACATGGCGAGACCCTGTCTCTATTAAAAATACAAAAATTAGCCGGGCATGGTGACACATGCCTGTAATCCCAGCTACATGGGAGGCTAAGGCAGGAGAATTGCTTGAATCCGGGAGGCAGAGGTTCCAGTGAGCTAATATCATGCCTCTGCACTCCAGACTGGGTAACAGAGCAAGATACTGTTTCCGAAAAAAAAAGAAAAAAAAGAAAAAAGAAAAAATGGGCAAAGGATATGAACAGACACATCTACAAAAAAGACATAACACACAGCCAACAAACTTGAAAAAATACTCCATATTACTAATCATCAGAGAAATGCAAATTAAAATCACAATGAGATACCATCTCACACCAGTCAGAATGGCTATGATTAAAAAGTCAAAAACAACAGATGCTCCCAAGATTGCAGAGAAAAGGGAACACTTATACACGGTTAGTGGAAATGTAAATTAGCCCAGCTACTGTGGAAAGCAGTTTGGAGATTTCTCAAAAAACAAAAACAGAACTACCATTCGACCCATCAATCCCATTACTCAGTATATGCTCGAAGGAATATACATTGTTCTACCATAAAGACACATGCACGTGTATGTTCATGGCAGCACTATTCACAATAGCAAAGGTAAGGAATCAACTTAGATGCCTATTAAGAGCAGACTGAATAAAGAAAATGTGGTGCATATACACCATGGAATACTATGAAGCCATAAAAAGAATGAGATTATGTTCTTTGCGGCTACATGGATGGAGCTGGAAGCCATTATTCTAAGTGAATTAACAGAGGAACGGAACAGAAAACAAAATACCACAAGTTCTCACTTATCAGTGGGAGCTAAGCATTGAGTACACATGGACACAAAGGTGAGAACAATATACACCAACGCCTACTTGAGGGTGGAGGGTGGGGATCAAAAAACTACCTGTGGGATACTACACTTATTATCTGGGTGATGAAATAATCTGTACACCAAACCCCCGTGACTTGCAATTTATCTATTTAACAAACCTGTACATGAACTCTCTGAACATAAAATAGAAGTTGGAGAGAAAAAGTAAATAAAAATAAATAAATAAATGTATGAGACTTAGCTGAATGCTATAATATTTTATAACAAATGAAATATATATTCTTTGAGCAATGCAGAAATAAAGTTTTTGTTTAATTGTATATCAAACAATTTATAAGGCGATTTCTGTGAAAGACAAGGCTACAAAATACATTGCTTTTACTGAGAGGTCACTGAAAAACTACTAAGATAATTGGCAAAAAGAGCAAGGTTCTTGAATTAAGAAAATGGAAAGATAACTCCGGTATGCTAAGTGAATGATATTGGCTAGTGCTTCCTCTAGGTTCCCAGGAATACCGATGAAGCAGATAATATTTGCCCATTTTCCACGTGAGGACTGGGACACACAGAAACCAAATGGTGAATAGCTGTCAATAGCTGGTCCCTTGGAGTCAGACGTGGGTGCAGCTCAGCTGTGCCACTTTCCTTGGTGGTGACGTTGGTTCATTCTTGTGCCTATTGTGCAGCCATGGGCTGCAAATCTAGAATTAGAGCCGAGGTCTTGGCAGCTGCAGATATTCTGCTCTTTTTATTACTCCTTGATCCTCCTGCAGAGAGTCTGACACAGAAACAGGAGAATTAGTATATGTACTTCAGCATTTAACCGGGATCTAACATCAACTTGTAGCTGCTTTCCCAATAGTTCATGCAAACAGAAGCCTTCTAAACATGCCATGTCTCTGTTGGGTCAAATAAAGTGGCTCCATTCTGGAATTTTCCTTAATAACCATATTTTAATGTGTATTTTCTGATATCTTCCTTAACATTACTTACAATATTAATAACTCTTGACTGAGTATCTTGAGCTAGGCACTGGGCTGGGCGTTTTGCACTGAAGTCTACAGTCTTTCAGAAATCCCCAGAGGTGTGCATGCACTACATGGCCTCAAGCCCAAGTTGAGGGAGAGAAGAGAACTAGTTTTATGTGGCACTTCTAGGAAGAGATGAAGCTGAGTTTTGCACTCTTGCCTGTAAACAACAAATCTCAACGATGTTTTGGGTTTGTTGCATAGTGAATGATAATTATTATCACCTTTAGGATTTCTGGTGTGGTTCCTGGCATGTCAGTCATAATGAAAAGCAACAACATGATGGCCTTCCAGACAATGTACTCTGCACAATTTTAACTGGCTCAATATATACATATATATATTGAGCAATGCAGAAATAAAGTTTTTGTTTAATTGTGCATTGAAAAATTTATGAGGTGATTTCTGCAAAATATAGAGCCACAAAATGTATTGCTTTTGCTGAGAGGGCATTGAAAATCTGCTAGAATAATCAGCAGGAAAAGTGAGGTCCTTGAATTGAGAAAATGGAAAGATAGGGAACATTTCTTCATGGCTGAAAGTGTCATTTTGCCTGGCTGGAAAAGAGGAGAACCATGATTAAGGGGTATGTCAACCAAGAGATAACATTTTTGTCTGTTCTGTGTTGCTATAACAGAATACCACAGACTGGATAATTGAAAATGAACAGAAATTTATTTCAGTCATGGTTCTGGAGTCTGGGAAGTCCAAAATCAAGGGGCTGCATCTGGTGAGGGCCTTCTTGCTGTCTCCTCACATGGGGAAGGCATCACATGGTGAGAGAGAACAAGAGATCAAACTCACAATCTCAAAGCCTTTTATAATCCATTCATGAGAGTAGGGTTCTCATCACCTAAACACCTCCCAAAAGACTCCACCTCCCAACACTGTTGTATTAAGAATTAAGTTTCCAACACATGCTTTTTAGGAGACACATTCAAACCATATCAGATACTCATAACAAACTTTTTAAACCTATATTCATGTATTCCATTAGGCAAATATAGGTTATATATATATATATATATATATATTTATATGATATTCATATTTAGTAAGTAAATATACAAAATATATAAATATAGGTTATATATGATATTTATATAAATTTATATATTATATGTAAATATATATTTATGTAAATATTTATATGCGTATATTTTATATATTTATATATAAATATATAGAAAATATTTCATTCCAATATATATTCCATTCTAATATTATATATATAACTTCAACATATTTCTAGATATGTTTCATATGTTTCAAGATAGATATAGATACTGGTACAACAAAGATACATAACTTTTCATGGCTCAATAGTTCATTTATTTTTAGCACTGAATAATATTCCACTGTTGATAAATTGATGTTGAGGAAGGCTATACATTTATAGGGACAGGAGGTCTGGGGAACTCTCTGTACCTCGTGTTCAGTTTTGCTATGAACTTAAAACTGCTCTAGAAAATAAAGTCTATTAAAAAATATGCACTGATCAAGCTAAACTATGAAAAACTAAATTTTGTTAAATCCAAAATATTTCCTTTCTTAAAAAAAAAGTATAATGTTATCTCCTTTGCTGAGACAAAGGGGAAACATTAATTATTTCCTAAGAAGTATGGGTATGAAGACTCTCCTCTTTAGGTCTCTAAAACTTCTTTGTCTGTTCCTTCTGTATAAGCAGAACTTTGGGTGTCTGGCTCCCTCCATCAATGGGCCATGTGGCTGGACAAAAGAAAGAGCAAGGTTCTTGAACTGAGTATCAGTTCTTTCTCCTGCTATTGGAGCCACGGTGGAGTGAAAAATGCTTTGTACAGTGGAAAGGTGCAATGTTGAGTCAAACTTTTCTGTTTATTCAGTTGACATCCTCTGAGGAAGCACCATGGCAAGGCTTGTGCTTCTGCAGATCCTGGACTAAAATTAGAATAAATGTGCAGTTCTTGCTGGTGCATGGCCAGCATTAGATGCCTCCCATGGGTAAAATTCCCAGAGAAAAACAGGAATCTGGGTATTCAATACATCCATCTTAAAAGAAAAAGCAAAACCCAATTTTCATCAGTTTTAAATTTCATTCTTTAAAAGAACTAAAAATACAATTACATTTTTTAAAAATACTCAGATTCTCTCTCATTTTATTTGTAAGCCTTGTTATATCCATGTAATTTATGTCTGATTCCTCAGAAGTAGACCCTGAGAGGAAGGGCTCCCAAGAAACCTGTAGGAATGTTGGTGGAACAATCCGGGGCGGGGGAGGGGGGAAACAAAAATCAAGCAAGGTGGGATCTCAGGCCAAGTTGTAGGGAAGGAAAGTTTCATTTAGCATGCTTCAAATCAGTGCCTGCACACTAATTTTTATACATTTTAAACACAGGTTACCATCATTTTAGCTCAGCATTCTGTGTGCAATTAATAGCAATTTTCTCATAATTAACTAATGCGTTCTCTTCATGCGCTCACTCCCAAATTGTTGGCCATATCTGGTCTCTACCCTGGAATCCATCATTTCTGCACATCTCTCTGAAAGATAAAATTTCAGTTTATTTCCAATTTGTTAATATATTACTCCCTTCCTCCCTCCATGAATTTTTGTGCTAAGTTTTCTAAAGCTTGGTCCCTAAATTATGTCCTGGTGATACAAGAACCAAGAACAGGTAATATATCATGTTCCTTAGCCCACATGTGGTTATATGGACCTGTTATATGGTCTTGTCTTGCTGACCACCTAGTTTTATTCTTGAAAGATAACTTCCCTTGAAACTACTTTTCCAAACTTTTACTCATTCTATGATCTTTGTGAGAAAGATTTCTGCACTTTTCATAGTAGGGCAGAGCTACATCTTGAACTATCAACACACATGTGAAATCATCCCTATAAACTTCATAAAATTTAGCAGGGGAAAAACAAAGGGGAGAAATGAAAATAAACCAAGCTCACAGCACACTCAACACTCATCCTGAGGTCAGCTTGCTCCCTGTCCTGCTTTGTCATAGTTGTTTCGTGCCTCTTGTCCTAGAATCACATAGACCCTAGATTAGAGTTCCCTTAACTGCTTTCTAGATAACAACTTCAACATTATGAAACAAGTTTTCCCTTTGAGATATTCTTTCAGGTCCTGCATACTGATGAAACTACTGATGCCAGGTGGTCTGAAGGACACCACAAGAAGCTAACTCACCAAAGAATGCAGTTTCCATATCCTGATGACTTCATCCTCCTTACCCAAAGCAGTCAATGACCCCAATTTTCCAGCCCCTTATCCTCTGCAATCCCTTTAAAAACTACAGCTCAGGACTCCACAGGGAGAGTGGAGTCAGTGTTTTCTCACTCAGTGTGCTGCAATAATTAAGCTCTTTCTCTGCTGCAAACCCTGCTGTCTCAGTGTATTGGTTTGTTACTGCACAGTGGGCATACAGACTCAGTGGTCCTATAACACATAGTCCAAGACAGCTGTTGTTGGGTAAGTCTTTCAGGTCCTGCTTGCCTGCACACAAAGTTTCAAAGGGGAGAAGGCTATAAGATTTCTTCATTGGCTACAAATAAAATGTCTTAGAAAAACTCCCATGTTACTTTCTTCAGTCTTCCCAGTGGTTCTCAAAGTGTGGTACCTGGACCAGCCTCATCACCTGGGAATTTGTTAGAAATGCAAATTCTAGAATCCTTCCCTAGACCCACCAAATGAGAAGGAGTGGGACCTAGCATTCTGTGTTTTGACAAGCCCTCCATAAGCTTCTAATGCTCCCTCGACATTGAGAACCACTGGTTAGGACTGCAATCTCTCTCATCAAATCTCATTCAGATCATGACCTAATTAGCAAACAAGACTGTGAGTCATTCCTGGACCAACCTGCCTTTTTTTCTTTATATATACCAAAACTTTCTGTTTCAGCTGACTAAATGGGTGGAATTCAGAAAGGAGCAGCCAGTTTATGAGGACACTGTGAAGATTTAACATATTATGGTGGGGTTGCAGATTAAATCCACACAGGGACTTAAAAAAATTGAAACATTACAATATAAGACACAGATATCAAACATTTCCAGGCTTTAAGAAAATCTAAGACTGAACACAGTGGCTCATGCCTATAAATCCTAGCACTTTGGGAGGCTAAGGTGGAAGGATTGCATGAGGCCAGGAGTTTGAGGCTAGCCTGGGCAACATAGTGCAACCCTGTGTCTACAAAAAAACTAAAAAATTTAGCTAGGTGTGATGGCATGTGCCTCTAGTCCCAGCTACTTGGGAGGCTGAGGCAGGAGGATGACTTGAGCCCAGGAGTTTGAGGCTGTAGTGAGCCATGATTGCACAACTGCTCTCCAGCCAGAGGAACAGAGCAAGATCCTGTCTCTAAAATAATAATAATAATAATAATAATAATAATAATAATAATAATAATAAAATTTTAAAAAGAACGAAAGAGAAGATCTAAGAAAATTGAAAGAATGGTATCAGAATATAACTTGGGCAAGCTATAACTATATAAAGAAGAGGTAGTAATCCACAGACTACTTTCTAAACCTCTGTATGTCTTCCCATTCAGCAAGCTGCAAATAACAACATACACCTGTAAATCAGAGTCAAGGGAGTTGCATCAATGACTAAAGCAAGGCTCCATTAACCTATTTACAACCAAGATAGCAGCCCACTTTGAGTCTCATGAGTCTCACAGTGGGCCGCCATCTTGGTTGTAAATAGGTTAATGCCTCCAAGGATCATTTTCTCAGACTTGGACTCTCTTTCATGGTGAATGTTTTATAGCATTCCTTTTACAAAAATGTAATGAAAACCACTGATAATGAACACACCTGCACAAATAATTTTCCAACATGTATTTGAGGCTGTAACTGCAATGTAAAACAGAAATGTAACAGGAAAGCAACTCTTATTTTAAAACACCATGGCATTTTAATAGGTAAATGATAAGGTAGGGATGGAACAAAAGACCCACAGGTTTGCTCTAGATGTAATCATTGAGATAGATACCAGAACTGCCAACACTGGTGTGTTGTGTTGGCAACTCAAATAGCAGCAGGAGGATTTCCATAGATGGTGTTTTCCAAAGTGGTGACTAGTTCTTGATCAGGTTCTGATCAAGGCAATTGACTGCAGTCCTGTTTCCACTCTTTTGCTTTCTTGTGAATTTCATGTTGATTAAAACTGTTCAAACATAGATGAAACTGGAGGTCATGATGTTAAGTGAAGTAAGCCAGCCACTGGAAGACAGTGCATATTCTCACTCCTGTGTGGGAACTCAAAAAAGTGGATCTCACGGAGATACAGTGTAGAATGATGGTTACCAGAGGCTGGGGAGAGAAGTCTCACAGTGGGCCACCATCATGAGTCTCACACTGGGCTGCCATCTTGGTTGTAAATAGGTTAATAGAGCCTTGCTTTAGTCATTGATGAAACCCACTTGAATATGTGTTGAATACTTAGAACAATAGACATCCACAGTAGGTATCCATTAATTTCAATAATTAGTATTTGCAACCAAATTTATTCAGATGATCAGTCTTCATGAAAACTAACCTTGGGTAAGTAGGATGAAGCTGTTTATGAGTATAACAGTAAGCCACTGAATGAATATACTCCTACCTAATAGATTATAACTTATGTCTTAGCTTATTGAGGCAAACTATAAAAATATTTTTAAGAGCAACCATTTATCACACAATGTTTGGACTGTTGCAACCTTCTTGTTTCTTGCTGTCAAAATTAAATCTATGGCATGTACTCATTGATCCTTCATGGAGGGAACTCCCTTTACTATTTTTAGTTTTCAATTTATTTTTATTTTTAATTGACAAATAACAATTACATGTATTTATGGGTTAAAACGTGATTTTTATACATTTATACATTGTGGCATTAACAAATCAGGCTAATTAAAATAATCATCACTTCACATATTTGTCATGTCTTTATGGTGAGAACATTTGAAATTCAATTTTTAGAGCAATTTAAAAATATACGATATATTATTAACTACAGTCACTGATATGGTTTGGCTCTGTGTCTCCACCCAAATATCATGTCAAATTGTAATCCCCAGTGTTGGAGGAGGGGCCTGGTGAGAGGTGATTAAATCGTGGGAGTGGACTTCCTTCTTGCTCCTCTTGTGATAGTCAGGGAGTTCTCATGAGATCTGATGGTTTAAAAGTGTGTGGCATCTCCCCACTCACTCCTTCTTTCTCTCCTCCATCACCATGGTAAGATATGCTTGCTTCCCCTTCATCTTCTGTCATGATTGTATGTTTCCTGAGGCCTCCCCAGCCATGCCTCCTGTACAGCCTGCAGAACCATGAGCCAATTACACCTCTTTTCTTTATAAATTACCCAGTCTCACATAGTTCTTTATAGCAATGCCAGAACAAACAAATACACTCACCTTGTTATGCAATAGATCACCAGAACTTATCCTTCCTGTCTAACTGAAACTTTGTACCCTTTGACCAACATACACTGCATGCCCCCATCCTCTGGCACCCACCATTCTACTCTCTATTTCTATGAGTTTGACTTTTTTAGATTCCACGTATGAGGGAGATTATGCAATTTTTGTTTTCCATGCCAACTTCCAGGGCATGGAATGGTGTGGACGGTACACGTGCCCCAAATTGGCTACAGAGCTGTGGGCAGAAAACTTGAAGTCAACTTGAGGGCATTTTGGAATCTGGCTCTGAGGCACACAGCAGGCTTGATGGGTCTTTAATGACAACCATTGGAGAAACAGGATAATATTCCTCCCTGCCTCTGTCCACTTGGGATTCTATAATAAAACAGCATACACTGAGTGGCTAAAGCAATGATCTTCAATTTCTCATGGTTCTGGAGGCTGGAAGTCCAAGATCTGGGTGCCAGCAGATCCAGGGTCTGGAAAGGACTCTCCTTTTGGTTTGCAGGTGGCTACCTTCTTGTGTCTGCAAATGGTGGTGAGAGAGAGAGGGTGGGGAATGAGCTCTCTTGTGTCTCTAATTATAAGGGCACTAATCCCATCATGAGGGCTCCATTCTCATGACCTGTTTTTCAAAATCCCCATCTTCAAATACCATCTGTCTTAGCCTTACAGGCTGCTATAATGAATACACATTAAAATGGGTTGCTTATAAACAACATAAATTTATTCCTTCCAGTTCTGGAGGCTGGAAGTCCAAGATCAAGTTGTGGCAGATTTGGTGTCTGGTGAGGACTGGCTTCCTGGTTCATACATGGTACTATGCCCATCCTGGTTCATAGACGACACTATGTTCTTGCTGTGCCCTCACATGGTAGAAGGGGCAAGGGAGCTCTCTGGGTCCCTTTTTATAAGCGCACTCATCCCATTCATGAGGCTCCACCCTCATGACCTCATTACCTCCCAAAGGCACCACCTCCTAACACCATCACCTTGGAGGTGAACATTTCAACACATGAAATTTGGAAGACACAGACGTTCAGATCATAGCACCATGATAGTAAAGATTGGGATTCCAAAACACATAAATTTTGGGAAGGGGACATAGACATTCATTCCACTGCATCCCTTATCTGCCCTGTGGAAAGAGAATGCATGCCTATTGAATTCAGATGCCTGCCCATTTAACTGGCATTTTCACTTGCTGGGCGTGGACGGTACACGTGCCCCAAATTGGCTACAGAGCTGTGGGCAGAAAGCTTGAAGACAGCTTGAGGGCATTTTGGAATCTGGCTCTGAGGCACACAGCAGACTTGATGGGTCTTTAATGACAACCAGAGACTTGGAGGTGGAGAGTGATCTTCTACACAACAGATGAGAATGAACTTCTCTCCAACATTTCTTTGGATGAAGCAACTCAAACCATCCATGGGACTAAATTCTCTGGCCTGTCAATACCCAGGTGATTGGAAATTCTTCTGGGAAGAAACCTTCTCATTCCCCATTTGGCAGGCTCCTAATGCCACTGCACCATTGCAGATTCCTACAATGCTCATCAACACAATTCACTGGCAGCTCATTTTACCTAGGGATTTGACTCTCGACATCACTGAGTGGGTAGAGAAAAGCTTTCCATCTCTCAGATATTTGGAAAGAAGACCAGAACTGGGCCATGTACACAGGAAGGGGGGAATCCTGCCATCTGTAGCAATGGGACTGCTTTCTTGGGAAAAACTTGGTTTTATTGGGTTTAGAAAGTCTGCTCATCAGAACTACCATCTCGTCCAGCAATCCCACTTACTGGATATCTACCCAAAGGAAAACAAATCATTCTATCAAAAAGATACCTGTACTCAAATGCTTATTGTAGCACTATTCACAACAGCAAAGATATGGAATCAACCTAAGTGTCCATCAGCACATGAATGGTTAAAGAAAATGTGGTATATATACCCACCATGTGTATTAATCTGTTCTCATGCTGCTGATAAAGACAAACCCAAGACTGGGTAATTTATAAAAGAGGTTTTAATGGACTCACAGTTCCATGTGGCTGGGGAGGCCTCACAATCATGGCAGAAGAGCAGGGCACATCTTACATGGTGGCAGACAAGAAGAGAATGAGAACCCAGCAAAAGGTGAAACCCCTTATAAAACCATCAGATCTTGCTGAAGTTGCTTATCAGTTTAAGGAGATTTTGGGCTGAGACGATGGGGTTTTCTAAATATACAATCATGTCATCTGCAAACAGGGACAATTTGACTTCCTCATTTCCTAACTGAATACCCTTTATTTCTTTCTCTTGCCTGATCGCCCTGGCCAGAACTTCCAACACTATGTTGAATAGGAGAGAGGGCATCCTTGTCTTGTGCTGGTTTTCAAAGGGAATGCTTCCAGTTTTTGTCAAAGTCTCAGGATACAAAATCAATTCTGCAAAAATCACAAGCATTCCTATACACCTTTAACAAACAGAGAAGTAAATCACGAGTGAACTCCCATTCACAATTGCTACTAAGAGAATAAAATGCCTAGGAATCCAACTTACAAGGGATGTGAAGGACCTCTTCAAGGAGAACTACAAACCACTGCTCAAGGAAATAAGAGGACACAAACAAATGGAAGAATATTCCATGCTCGTGGATAGGAAGAATCAATATCGTGAAAATGGCCATAGTGCCCAAAGTCATTTATAGATTCAATGCCACCTCCATCAAGCTACCAATGACTTTCTTCACAGAATTGGAAAAAACTACTTTAAAGTTCATATGGAACCAAAAAAGAGCTCACATTGCTAAGACAATCCTAAGCAAAAAGAACAAAGCTGGAGGCATCACGCTACCTGACTTCAAACTATACTACAAGGCTACAGTAACCAAAACAGCATGGTACTGGTACCAAAACAGAGATATAGACCAATGGAACAGAACAGAGGCCCCAGAAATAACACCACACATCTACAACCATCTGATCTTTGACAAACCTGAGAAAAACAAGCAATGGGGAAAGGATTCCCTATTTAATAAATGGTGCTGGGAAAACTGGCTAGCCATATGTAGAAAGCTGAAATTCGATCCCTTCCTTACACCTTATATGAAAATTAATTCAAGATGGATTAAAGACTTAAATGTTAGACCTAAAACCATAAAAACCCTAGAAGAAAACCTAGGCAATACCATTCAGGTCATAGACATGGGCAAGGACTTCAAGACTAAAATACCAAAAGCAGTGGCAACAAAAGCCAAAATAGACAAATGGGATCTAATTAAACTAAAGAGCTTCGGCACGGCAAAAGAAACTACTGTCAGAGTGAACAGGCAACCTACAGAATGGGAGAAAATTTTTGCAATCTACCCATCTGACTAATATCCAGAATTTACAAAGAACTCAAACAAATTTACGAGAAAAAAACAACCCCATCAAAAAGTGGGTGAAGGATATGAACAGACACTTCTCAAAAGAAGACATCTATGCAGCCAACAGACACATGAAAAAATGCTCATCATCACTAGTCATCAGAGAAATGCAAATCAAAACCACAATGAGATACCATCTCATGCCAGTTAGACTGGTAATCATTAAAAAGTCAGGAAACAACAGATGCTGGAGAGGATGTGGAGAAATAGGAATGCTTTTACACTGTTGGTGGGAGTGTAAATTAGTTCAACCATTGTGGAAGGCAGTGTGGTGATTCCTCAAAGATCTAGAACTAGAATAACCATTTGACCCAGCAATCCCATTACTGGGTATATATCCAAAGGATTATAAATCATGCTACTATAAAGACACATGCGCAAGTATGTTTATTGTGGCACTATTCACAACAGCAAAGACTTGGAACCAACCCAGACGTCCATCAGTGATAGACTGGATTAAGAAAATGTGGCACATATACACCATGGAATACTATGCAGCCATAAAAAAGAATGAGTTCATGTCCTTTGCAGGGACATGGATGAAGCTGGAAACCATCATTCTCAGCAAACTATCACAAGGACAGAAAACCAAACAGCACATGTTCTCACTCATAGGTGGGAATTGAACAATGAGAACACTTGGACACAGGGCGGGGAACATCACATACCAGGACCTGTCAGGGGGTGGGGGTCTGGCGGGGGGATAGCATTGGGAGAAATACCTAATGTAAATGATGAGTTGATGGGTGCAGCAAACCAACATGTATACCTATGTATCAAACCTGCACATGTATACCTATGTATCAAACCTGCACGTTGTGTACATGTACCCTAGAACTTAAAGTATAATTTAAAAAAAAATCAGATCTCGTGAGACTTATTCACTACCATGTGAACATTATGACGGAGACTGCTCCCATGATTCAGTTATCTCCCACTGGGTCCCTCCCACAACACGTGGGAATTATGGAAGCTGCAATTCAAGATGAGATTTGTGTGGGGACACAGCCAAACCATGTCACCATGGAATAGTACACAGCCCCCCAAAAGAATGAAATCATGACTTTTGCAGCAACATGGATAGAACTGGAGGACATTATCCTAAGTGAAACAACTCCAAAACAGGAAGACAAACACCCCATGTTCTCACTTATAAGTGGGAGCTAAACACTGTGTAGACATGGACATAGACAGTGGAATAAGAGACATTGGAGACTGGGAAAGGAGGGAGGGGAGAGGAAGGTGAGGGATGAGAAATTACCCAGTGGATACAATGTACACTATTTGAGTGATAGTTACAGTAAAAGCCCAGACTTCAGCACTCTGCAATCTCTCCATGTAACAAAACTGCACTGGTATCCCCTAAATCTATAAAAATAAAAAAACGTTTAAAAATTACAAATAAGAGGCCAGGTGTGGTGGCTCATGCCTGTAATCCCAGCACTTTGGGAGGCTGAGGCTAGTGGATTGCTTGAGTTCAGGAGTTCGAGAGCAGCCCGGGTAACATGGCAAAACCCCATCTCTACAAAAAAATACAAAAAGATTAGCCAGGCAGGTGGTGCATGTCTGTAGTCCCAGCTACTTGGGAGCCTGAGGTGGGAGTATTTCTTGTACCCAGGAGATCGATGCAGTGAGCCAAGATCACACCACTGCACTTCAGCCTGGGCAACAGAGGGAGACCCTGTCTCAAAAAATAAAAATAAAAGTAAAAATACTCAACCTTACCTTATTCTTAAGTATCCATTGCTGTGTGGCTCTGGGGTGGCTGTGCCTCCTGGGGTAAAAATGTACCAGCATTTTTCTGCAAAGAATGGGGAATAAATAGGGTTTGGAGAAATGGAGTCTCTATGAAGGTATTTACTTACAACGCAAGAGGACATGGGGAAAACCACAAGTCATTTTATTTTGGTTTCTTCAACAATGAAGGACTTCCTCTCTTTGAGGAAGATGGTGCTTTCTGTGTGTGTGTGTGTGTGTTTGTGTGTTTGTGTGCGCACACACACACACACACACACACGCTCATTAAGCATTTACAGTCCTGGAATGTTATTCTGACTACTCATAGCAACTCCACTTCCTGCCCACCCAAACAGTCATCCGTTATGGAAAATATGCCTGCCTCTGAAATATTTACCGGTGCCCCGGAGTGCCACACAGGCATTTCTTATAAATACTCAACCTTTTGCTCAAGTCTCCAGGGGTCCCTTTTCTCTCTGGGTAGCAGGGTGAGTGTCCATGATTTGCTGACGCTGCAAGCTCCCCCATGTCCAGCTGCTCTGTGATATTTATTTTCCACCTCCGATAATTAACCTCATCCTCCTCTCAAAATGTAAGCAGCAGGCAGCTTTAGAAAGATGGTGCAGATTTGCAGATTGCAGGCTTCAACATGCAGGACCTTGTCGAGTGCATTCAGAGGCTGGTTTGATTGAAGGAGATTTTTGATGGCACAGTGAGTCAGGGCAGCTACAGAGGTACCACTGGACGGTGGAAAGCCACCGTGGAACGAAAGTCTCTGCGGGAATCAGCTGAGTGGCCTTGAATTAGAAAGGGATGTGGGGCAGATGTAAGGAGTTGACACTGAATTTGCACAATGCTGCCTTGTGTGTTTTCTTGCCTGTCTCCACGACCCCTCTCGAAAGCCACCTGGAAATACTGGACGCATAAACTTGGCATGGATTTAACATCATGCTAGCTGGCAGAACTCAGTGATCCCTGAGCTAAGCCAAAGGGGTAATAAATTAAAGACATGCTATGTTGGAAAGAGCTGCAGGGGGAAGCAGATTTATCAATGCGAGGGATGTCTGTAGGCACAGCGGACATTGTCATCTCCCCCCATTCCCCAGACAGACTGGGACAGGAAGAGGAAGCTCATTATTAGATCTGTAATTCATCTCGGGGGTTTTACTGCTACTCTAGCAAGCTCTAAGTGACAAGGATAATTTCTCTTTCGGCACAAACAGTTCTATTACAAATGTGATCTCTCTGGGCTTCCAGTATAAGCCCACTGCTACTGGCACGAATGAAAGACCTAGTAAAAAGAAAGTTGTCTCTGCAAAATGTTGGCACTGCAGAGACTGGGGGTTAAAAAGTTTGAAAAGGGGCAGCTCACGCACTCTTTCTTTACTGCTCAGAAGGTATTATGGTCATATTTGCGACTGCAGAGTCGATCTACATGTTTATTTGGTGGAAAATAAGACGACTCAATTGATTATTTAATTTATCCATTTGTTTTCATGAAACAGACTCTGTTTGGTACAAAAGCATCACAATGAATAAAAGAAGAAAATATACAGTGTATCCTGAAAGCCTGAGTTCAGGCGCAGAGATGAACTTGGCTGTTACATCTAAAGAGGAATTTCCATCCTAAAAAGGAAAGTGCTCTGATGCAAAGACCCTGTTACTTTAATGCTGTGCTTTTAGACAAGTTGGGAAGGGAACTGTGAGTACGACAGGCCCCACATCTCCCGAAGCTACCATAGAATCTGATATTTTGAATGAGGACAAGGAGACTTTGTTCTTATAGAACTAGTCTGTTTGCAGTTTGCAGGACTCTGCGATGCTAAACAGACATAAAAATCACACAAACTGGCTAGGCACAGTGGTTCGGTTCATGCCTGTAATCCCAATAGTTTTGGAAGCCAAGGTGGGAGGATCCCTTGAACCTAGGAGTTCAAGACCAGCTTGGGCAACATAGCAAGGCCCCATCTCTACAAAAAAAAAAAAATTATCCAGGTGTGGTGGCACATGCCTGTGGTCCTAGCTACTTGGGAGGCTGAGGTGGAAGGATTGCTTGAGCCCAGGAGTTCAAGACCAGCCTGGGCAACATAGTGAGACTTCATCTCTACTTTTTTTATGAAAATGAAAAAAAAAGATATACATTCTATTTGGGAGACTGAGGTGGGAGGATCGCTTTTGTTCAGAAGGTCAACAGTGCAGTGAGCTATCATCTCGCCACTGCACTTCAGCCCGGGTGACAGAGCAAGACCCTGTCTTCAAGAAAGAAGAAGGATGAGGAAGAAGAGGAGGAGGAGGAAGAGGAAGAGGAAGAAGAAGAAGGAGGAGGAATCATGTAAACAGATCCAATTAGTACATCTGCTAAAGTAAAGATTTGTTCTACTGTGCAGAGTCCGCTCTGTGTATCTGTCATATTGGAAAACATACTGCATTGGGAAAAATATTAAAATTTGATCTTCTCAGACTTGTTAGGTAATTATAGGAGCTTCTCAATCCTTCTTATGTTGTTCTTTTTTTACTTTTTCCTTCCTCATCTTCATCATCATTTCGGACCTCCTAAATTATGCACGAAGCACCCTCATGAGTCAGGGTCCAAGTTGAGATGCTCTATCTGCATCTCTCAAAACCCCAAGCGTATGCATCCAAAGCTAATTGACGAGTGCTCTATTTCTTCAGGAATCAGTTCAATTGGTTTCTACCCATTGGTATTAACTACATGACTTTTGGAGAGAAACTATCGAGTCTAGACATGGAAGTGTTGAAGTTAGAGTAACCGTAAGAGAATTATTTATTTCACTAACATTTGTTGAACATATACTATGTGCCAGGCAAGGTGCAAAGCCACATCTCTGCTTTCATGAAGCTAACACTCTTTTGAGGAGAGGCAGACAGTAAATAAAGAATCTATGTAGAAAATCACAGATGTTATGGGAGTTATAAAATAAATAAATGGAGGAATCAGGAAGAGAAACTGTCCTGCCACGTGGGTCCCATAGGAAGGTGTCTCTAAGAAGGTGATATCTGAGCTGATCTTTGAAGGCTGAGAATCAGGTAAACATGACAAGAGCCAGTTGAAATGATTTCCGGGAGAGGAACCTGCAAGAGCAGAGACCCAGAGTTTGAAAAGCAGTTGACCTGTCGGCCAATTACATTACAGGCACAAGGAGCAGCTGCATTTTGGGGGCAGAAGCCCCGAAAATGCAGAAACTCATTGGATATCCAAGGAGTTTGAATTATATTTAAGTGCAGAGGAAGGCCAAAGAAAAATATAAAACATGTTGGGATGACAGTTCTGGAATTCAGAAGATGAGTCAGGCTTGAAAATAGAACGAGTAAGTATTCAACAAATACTTGCACATGCATGTTTATGGCAGCATGATTCACAAAATCTACAATGTGGAAACAATCAAAATGTCCATCAACCAGTGAGAATAAATAAATAAAATGTGGTACATCCATACAATGGGATATTATTCAGCTATAAGGATAAATAGTAATGATGTATGCAATGACAGAGATGAGCCTTGAAAACATTATACTGTAGGTGAAAGAAGCCAGACACAGAAGGTCACATACTCCATGATTTCGTTTATATGAAATGTACAGATAGAGAAATCCACAGAGACAGAAAGCAAATTTTCAGTTGCTTTCCCTGCAGGGATGGGCTGCTGCAGGGAAGCAGGATGAAGCGTAACTGCTTGACAGATTTCCATTTGGAGTGATGAAAATGTTTTGATCTATCGCTTCTAGGCCTTTTGGCTAAGATCAAATGAAAATTTTTCGAACTGAATAGAGATGATGGTTGTACAACCTTGCAAAGGTCTTGAACATAACCAAATCGTACCCTTAAACTGGTGAGCTTTTTGGTGAATTTTGGCTCAGTTAAAGAAATATGTAACCTTAGATGTTCTTAACATCATTCAGCAGGTTCAATAAGTAATTTTGGTTTAAGGAGGAAAAATGCTAATCACAAATAGATTTTATGATTAATGACAAACTCCATGGAAATTAGTGAAAGAGAGAGAGGGAGAGTCAATGGAAATCTATTATGCCTTTGCTGTTTCATATACATTATTTCACTTAATTGTCATTGTCTGCCAGTATGATTTTTATCCATTGTCTGCATAAGATCCTTAAAGAAAACTCTCATATTGACAATGAAAAAACTTTGTGGAGCTATTTATAGTGAAAAAGGTCTTTCCTGACTTTTCAAAGCGTGTTCTACCAGCAGCTGCAAACGCTTCCAATTTATAGGACAGTCCCCAGTGACTTTTTGTTCACCGTATCTCAATATCCTAGCTCCTATACTGACTCTTTCTTATTTATATGGATTGGGAAAAAAATATGAGGATGGAGAGTAATTCTATCATATGAGGTTAGCTTCCCACGTTATAAATGCAGTGGTAAATTAGAAAACATGGAAAAGAGAGAATGCTAGCTTGAATATTTCAGGTTTCCACTCTCAGTGCTCTGATAAAATAGAGTGAGGAAACCTGGGGCCCTCGCTTTGTCCCAAGCTGTGTGACATTGCAAAATTGTATCCGTCTGTGACATTGCAAAATTATTTCAGATTTCAGGAATTGATTTTCTAGCCTTTAAAACAAGGGGGGTGGCTTATCAGCAGTTCCTAGCCTTTAGAAGGTGATAAGCCTCTCTGAGAATCTAATGAAAGCCAGACCCTTCTTCCCAGAAAGTGCACAACACACACACATATGCGTGCGCGCACACACACACACACATGCACACAGGGAGATAGTGCCATTATCATGATCTTTTTAGCGCTATGTTTTTTTGCATTTTTGTGCTTTTTGTCCGTGACTTTTACTGTTTAAAATGGACCCTGGCTCGGTGCGGTGGCTCATGTCTATAATTCCAGCACTTTGGGAGGCTGAGGCAGGAGGATCGCTTGAAGCCAGGAGTTTGAGACCAGCCTGGGCCATGTATTGAGATCTTATCTCCACAAAAAGTTTTTAAAAATGGGCCAGGTGTGGTGGCATGTGCCTGTAGTCTCAGCTACTTGGGAGGCTAAGGAACGAAGATCAATTGAACCTAGGAGTTTGAGGTTCCCAGTAAGCTGAGGTTACAGTCAGCTGAGGTTATAGTGAGCTATGGTCACACCACTGCACTTCAGCCTAGGTGACAGAGTGAGAACCCATCTCTGGAAAAAAATAAATAAATAAACAAAATGAAAATAAAATGGCTTCCAAGCATAGTGCTGAGTGTTGTCCAGTCTTCCTAAGTGCAAGAAAGAAAGCTATGATGTGCCTTACACGGAAAATACTTTTGTTAGGGAAGCTTCATTCAGGCATGAATTGTAGCACTGTTGGCCATGAGTTTCAGGGTTCAATATTCATTAATTCAGTGTTTATGATGATTTTAAGCACCTGAAAATGAGTGTATATTTACAATTGCAAACTATGAAAGCAGCCTAAATACCCATCAAACAATGAATGGATAAAGGAAATGTGAGATATATATGGAATACTACTCAGCAATACTACTCACCCATAAAAAGGAACAAAATAATGTCATTTGCAGCAACCTGGATGGAACTGGAGACCATTATTCTAAGTGAAGTAACTCAGGAATGGAAAACCAAACATTGTATGTTCTCAGTCATAAGTGGGAGCTAAGCTATGAGGATGCAAAGGCATAAGAATGATACAGTGGACTTTGGGGACTGAGGGAAAGGGTGGGAAGGGGTGAGGGATGAAAGATCACAAATTGGATACAGTGTATACTGCTTGGGTGATGGGTGCACCAAACACTAATTTTAAAACAAATGGCACATATGGGTAGAAAGTTTTATTTTTGCAAGACGAAAACGAGTTCTGAAGATGGATGGTGACGGTTGCACAATAATGTGAATGTATTTAACACTACTTCAGGGTACACTTAAAAATGGTGAAGGTGATAACTTTTGTGTTAGGTGTATTTTCACACAATTTTTAAAACATACAGTACCAAAAAAATGGTTATTTCCTCCTCTCAGGGTAACGGTAGACATACGTCAATGCATACATTTTACTCTAAAGTCGCTTGCAAGATGGCTGGCTAAATGATTTCAAGTCCCTCCTGCTGGTTCAATGAGAAGCGAAGAAAATAACCACGTGCCTATATCAAAGTAGAGGAGATGCAGACTGTAGCTGATCGATATCACAGGCCATGCCAAGGAGAAGGCCACACCTCGATCTCATTTACCCATTTACCTGTCACCATGGATGTTCTGTTAAAGAGACGTTAGCAGAAATCCATTCTTTTTTTTTTTTTTTTTTTTTTTTGAGATGGAGTCTTGTTCTGTTGCCCAGGCTGGAGTGCAGTGGCGCGATCTTGGCTCACTGCAAGCTCTGCCTCCCGGGTTCATGCCATTCTCCTGCCTCAGCCTCCCGAGTAGCTGGGACTACAGGTGCCTGCCACCATGCCTGGCTAATTTTTTGTCTTTTTAGTAGAGATAAGGTTTCACCGTGTTAGCCAGGATGGTCTTGATCTCCTGACCTCGTGATCCACCCGCCTCAGCCTCCCAAAGTGCTGGGATTACAGGCATGAGCCACCGTGCCTGGCCAGAAATCCATTCTTAAAAACCATGGTCATTTCTTTTTACCTAGCAGTTTAAGTCGAAGGAACACGCTTTCTCAAAGGGAAGGCTTTAAGATATGTGATCCCAGGCAAGCAAGTCTTGGATATATTACTAACAATTGCATCGGCCAATGTGGGTGGAGCCCTCTGAATGTAGATGGGAGTCTTGGGAGTTTGAGGTCTACGTATTTGTATTTAATCTGCACCATCAGTATTGGTAACTGTCCATTGTTATCTCTGTTTTTCAGCCTAAGTGTCTGGTACTAGCCACTGGTCACCCAGTTAGAAAATGTGCCTGCAGGATTCAAACCCAATTAGCTTTCCACAAGTGCCAAAAAACTCTTGCCAGCTTCCTGGTCTCTGCACAGGTAAAAAACAGCCATTTCTTGGTGTCTTCACAGGATGCATTATTACACTCTTCTTCCTCATGTATTAGATGATTTCACACATGTGCAACCTGGAGTTAAGTATTTTTGAGCCCATCTTATGTATTTCTGTCTTTATCACATTACATTTAAATCAATCCAATACATATGTATTGACTTAAAACACATCATTGTGCATGTCAAGGCTATAGACATATAGACAACACTGTTACTGCCTGCGCGGACTAAACTTTGTGGAGGGAAATGAAGCTACTGTAGACAAAGATACACAGGTAATGGAAACAAAGGGAGTTTGGGAAGTTGTCTTCTTTCATTGGGGCTGCTATAACAAAGCACCATAGACTCGAGGCTTCTCAACAGCAGGCATTTATGTCTCACAGTTCTGGGAGCTGGAAGTCCAAGGTCAAAGCGTGTCAGATGCAATAATCTGGTGATAACCTGCTTCCTGATTCATAGACGGTGCTTTCTTGCTGTGTCCTCACACGGTGGAAGGGGCAAGGGAGCTCTCTGGGGTCCCTTTTATAAGGGCACTGATCCCATTCATGAGGCTACACCTTCACGACCTCATTATCTCTCAAAGGCTCCACCTCCCAACACCATCACCTTGGGTGTTAAGATTTTCACACAGAAATTTTGGAGGAACACAAACATTCACACCATAGCAGAAGAACAATATAAAAAATTAGTGAGGCTGGGTGCAGTGGCTCACACCTGTAATCCCAGCACTTTGGGAGGCTGAAGTGGGCAGATCGCTTGAGGTCAGGAGTTCAAGACCAGCCTCATTAACATGGTGAAACCCCGTCTCTACTAAAAATACAAAACTTGGTCGGGCATGGTGGCACGTGCCTGTTGTCCCAGCTACTCAGGAGGCTGAGCAGGAGAATCACTTGAGCCCAGGAGGCAGAGGTTACAATGAGCCAAGATCCAGCCACTACACTCCAGCCTGAGCAACAAAGCGAGACACCAAAAAAAAAAAAAAAAGGCTGGGCACAGTGGCTCACACCTGTAATCCCAGCACTTTGGGAGGCCGAGGCGGTTGGATCACGAGGTCACGAGATTATTGAGACCATCCTGGCCAACATGGTGAAACCCCATCTATACTAAAAATACAAAAATTAGCCGGGCGTGGTGTCACGCACCTCTAGTCCCAGCTACTCAGGAGGCTGAGGCAGGAAAACCGCTTGAATCCGGGAGGTGGAGATTGCAGTCAGCTGAGATTGTACCACTGCACTCCAGCCTAGGCGACAGAGTGAGATTCCGTCTCAAAAAGAAAAAAAAAAGTGAATAAATCATATAGAAAGAAAAAGGAGAGGAGGTGTTAATTCAGTTGAAGGAACTTGGTGAGGTTTCAGGAACAAAATGACTTTTGAGCTGGGACTTCCAATGTGTGGGCGTTCAGCATATAGAGATGGGGCCAGGGAGGAAAATGAGAGTGAGGTCAGAGAGGATGGGAGGAGATAAGGAAAGCAAAAAGATAGAACCAAAAGGGAAAGCAGAACTGAGTCTAGGGGAGAAGGGAACTTGGAAAAGCAGAGGCCATTGACCTCTCTATAACTTTGTTAATAAATCTTTGTGTTTGTCTGGCCTGGGATCAAGTTCCAGAGCAACCACTTTCAAGCTTGGGCAACTTTCTCAATTCGTCTTAAGTCTCATCTTTTATTTATTTTTGTTGTTTGTTTTTACAGTTGTTTGCACAAAAGTAGCAACTATTCAGAGAAGTGTGCATGGAGTAAACTCAAAAAAAACCATGCTTTAAAAAAAAAATGCTTAGTCCAATGGCTATCATCCAAAATGCTCATTAGAAAATAACCAAATACAACAAAAATTTGAAGGCATGGAGTTGACTAATGGTCTGGAGAGTTAGCCATGTGTAATTATAAAAGTTTACAGACCTGAGATTTATGAATATTCTGTTTGTTTTCTAAGTATAGTTGATTTTCCTTATTTATAAATTTTGTCTTTCTGAACTTGCCTGCTCACTAAAACTTTGTAATCTCGAAATCAATACAGCACTTTTGCAGTCATTTGCAGACACACACACAAAGCTGGAAAAAATATAAATTGCTCAAAGTGCACATTCCCAGCTACAGTGGAACAAGGCCATGCCCTACCTTCTTGTTTCAGCTCTTATACTTTAAACAAGTAGAATTATTGTGGTCCATTGAGTACCATGTGTTTTGCGTGTTTGTGCTTTTTGTTGGTGATTTTGCTGTTTAAAATGGCCTGAAGAACAGAGCTGAAGTGCTGTCTGGGGTCCCTAGTACAAAAGGACTGCAATGTGCCTCACAGAGAAAATCTCTGTGTTAGAGAAGCATTACTCAGGCATGAGTCATGGTGCTGCTGGACATGAGTTCAGTGTGAATGAGTCAAAAATATCTACTCAGAAAGTTTTTCTTAAACAGAAACATGCATAAAACAAGATTATGTATTGACTGGTTGATGAAAATGTTGTGACCAGACATCATAGAATCCTAATCTTGTATTTCCCCTGGGAGCAATAGTTTACAACTTGCTAATTCAGTGTTTATGGTGACTTTATAGAACACAACTATCACAAATACAGAGAATTGAATGTAATTTCAATCTTTATTTCTACTGAAAGATTACCTCAATCAACCCAGGAGCCCGTTGGGTTTTCTCATTGCTTCATTGCTGATGACTGTTCCAATGCTGGGCTAATAACAGGCATTTGATTAACATTAGATTTATACATCAGGTGAGTAAGGAGGAGACTGGCTTCATTAATACCACATAGTCACCATGCAAAAGGTGTCACATTTATTAGGGAAGTGTGACGCTGCCATGGAGAAATAAAATGAATAAAATTCCTGTAGTAAATCATGGCTAAACATAATGTAAAAACAGTCATTGTGGAACAGAAATTATAATTAGTTCTCCAACATCCAGCTCAATGACACTCTAGGAAGGCAATCACATTACTAAAATTGATTTTGACCAATTGTCTGTTCCAGTCATTAAAATGAATGACAACCACAAAACCTAAAATATGCATACACCTCTTGTGTTATTTTTCTGTGGCTGTTGTAACAAATTACTATAATCTGGGTGGATTGTGGAATAATCCCAAATGCCATCAATCAACAGGTTGGTAAAGGAACTATGATATATATGTACACACACACACACACACACACACACACACACACACACCATGGAATACTACTCAGCCATAAAAATGAATAAATTAATGGCATTTGCAGCAACCTAGGTGGGAATGGAGACTATTATTCTAAATGAAGTCACTCAGGAGTGGAAAACTGAACATCATATGTTCTCATTCATAAGTAGGAGCTAAGCTATGAAGATGCAAAGGCATAAGAATGATACAATGGACATTGGGAACTTGTTGGAAAGGGCAGGATGGGGGTGAGGGATAAAAGATTACAAATTGGATTCAGTGGATTGCTCTGGTGATGGGTGAACCAAAATCTCACAAATCACCACTAAAGAATTTATGTAACCAGATACCACCTGTTCCCCCAAAACCTATGGAAATGAAAAAAAAAAAAAAATTTTAAGATAGCAAGAATTTGTTCTCTCAAACTTCTGGAAGCCAGAAGCCCAAAATGAAGGTGTGAGCAGCAACACACCTTCTCTGGAAACTCAAAGAGTGAATCCATTCTTTGCTTCTGGCTTCTGGTGCCTTTTGATGTTCTGTCTTGTGGCCACATCACTCCAACATCTACCTCCATGCTCACATCACCTCCTCTTCTTCTGTCTCTCTTGCCCTTCGTGCATATTTTATTTAAGCCACCCAGTTTATGGCATTTGGTTATAGCATTAGAGGTAGGTTTGCCCAAATAATCCAGGATGACATCCTCATCTCAAGACTTTTAGCTTAATTACATCTACAAAGACCCTAATGCTATAGAAGGTCACATTCATGGTGTCTTAGTTCAGGATCCTATAATAAAATGCCTTAAGCTGGGTGGCTTGAGCAACAAATGTTACTTCCCAAAGTTCTGGAGCCTGGGAAGATGAAGATGCTGGCAGATCTGGTGTCTACTGAGGGCCTCCTTCCTCCTTCCTGGTCTGCAGATGGTGCCATGTCTCTGTACCTTCACATGGAGGAGAGAGGGAGCTCTGAGTCTCTTTCTCTTCTTATAAAGACACTAATCCCATCAAGCAGGCACCACCCTCATTATCTCATCTAAACCTACATACCTCCCACAGGCCCCACCTACTAAGACCATCCCATTGGGGATTAGGGCTTCCACATATGGATTTGGGGAGGATGTGCTGTATTAGTTCATTCTTAAGCTGCTAATAAAGACACTCCTGATACTAGGTCATTTATAAAGTAAAAAGGTTAATTGACTCACAGTTCCACATGGCTGGTGAGGCTCACAATCATGACAGAAGGCAAGGAGGAGCAAAGCCATGTCTTTTTCTTACATGGCGGCAGGCAAGAGGGCTTGTGCAGGGGAGCTCCCATTTATAAAGCCATCAGATCTCTTAGGACTTACTCACTACTATGAGAACAATATGAGGGAAACTGCCCCCATGATTCAATTATCTCCACCTGGCCCCACCCTTGACACGTGATAATTATTACAATTCAAGGTGAGATTTGGGTGGGGACACTGCCAAACCATATCACGTGCATTCCATGACTTAGACCAGGGATTGGAACATGCAGTCCGTAATTTAGGCCAGGGATAAAACACAGACTTTCATTCTGAAGGCCATTTAACTTTCTACACTTCTATATAGAGAACCATAAAATTAGAAGAAAGCAGCAAGTGTCATTGTAATTTTACACAAAAGTAGGGAGAACAGCCACGTAAATGCAAAGTAAAACAAAGTAGATCTGAAATCTTCTGGTTGGCAACTTGGGAGTATTCAGTTTCAGTGACATACCAAATTCCTATCCTTGCATGTTCCCAGAATTGAGATAAAATGACATTAACGCTACAAAAGCTCATATAATGACTGTTTGTGACAGCGAAAACGAATGTGCTAATGTAAAACTTTGCATTAAGTTGAAATGCTATGGAAAACACATGGGGAATTCTTCTTATCTCCTGTGCTGCAGAATTGTGGCTGACAGACAGGGAACATAAATCACGACATTTTATTCAAAGACAATAAATGCACCAACTCAACTAACACAACCTGAAGACAAGCCAGAATAACTCTAGAAGGAGAAAAAGGTAACATCTGAACATGTCCTCAGCTGAGGTAAGTACACTTGGAAAGGGCATATATTTAGCTGTTTCAAATGCTCTATTTCTGGGCAAAGCACATGTTTAAATGTTTGGTTGACATGAATTAAAAGCAAATGCCCAATTTGGTACTCTATAAGGTAGCTTTCTGATGCCCTGAAGAATCTTATTTACATGACGCCAAATGCATTCATTCATTGACCAATTCATTCACTTAACAGATGTTGACAATGTATTCATGATATGCCAGTGGCATTCTGGGCACCGCTGAGAGGTGTGGATAAATAGGACATAGAACCTTCACATCCAAGGCAACTAAATCTAGATGTTGTGCTCCAGCAAAAGTGTAAGGTTCATTTTTCTTCTGTCTCCTAGGAAACGGATGAGGGCAGAATTATTATTAAGAAGTAACATTACAACCCCACCAAAGCTCATGCATACACAAACACATCTGCTCACTGAACATAGTACATCCAGTGAACAGTGTCCATATGAGCCAAAATTTTTCTCTCTTTCTTACCTTGGAAAAAGTTAAGACTCCTAATGTTAACTGGGCAAAGATTTGCTTCTTTCAAGCTCTGAAATTTAGATCCATGGTCTTTGTTTGAACTGTGTTGTACTGTGAGCTCATAGCTGGTACTACCAATGTGTCAATCCTTAGCAAAAACTTTTATTAATAGCTATGCATGCGCTGCCTTAGCCTTCCAGTGGCCATAGGTGATTGACATTGGTAATAGGGGGATGCAAGTGATTTAAGTAGAGCTGGGGGCAATTGTTGCAGTTGCCATTGCTATTGCTGTGTGTGGTTTTAACACAAGGGCATTTGTTTGGGGAAAAAACAGTGTTCATATAATTGAATTTGATACTTCTTGGTGAACTGGCCATGAATTAACAGGCTTTACACTGCAAGAAAAAGAAAAGAAACATGAACCATAACACTCAAGCAGTTTAAGCATGTCTTACAAGAACATAAAAGGAAAGAGCCCAGTAAGAGTTAAGTTCTGTGGAATAGCTAGAGCTCTAGACATGTGGGTTTTCTCCAAACCAAAAGTCAACAGTTCATCAAAGCACCGGGCAGCATATAACTATTGGGAAGTGCATGTATTCTGACATCAGTTAGGAAGTGTCCATATGGTAGTGGGTGGCACAGTGGCCCCCAAAATATATGTCCACATCCTAACACCAGGTATAGAGGGATGGGACCTTATTTGGAAATAGGACTTTTGCAGCTGCAATTAAATTGACAATCTATTGATGAGATTATGGCTAGATTTAGAGGGGTCTCTTAAATCCAATGACAGGTGTTCCTGTAAGAGACAGAAGACGAGACACAGATAAAGAAGAGAAGTCCTCATGGAGATGGAGGCAGGACTGGAGTGATGCGGCCACAAGCCCAGGGAAGCCTGAAGTCCCCCAGAAATGGGAGAGGCAGGAAGGATTCTCCCCTAGAGCCTCCAAAGGGAGCACCACCCGGAGACACCTTGATTTCAGATTTCTGGTGCCCAGAAATGGTAGAGAATAAATTTCTGTTGTTTAAGCCTCCCGGTCTGTGACACTTTTGCTACAGCAGCCCCAGAAAACTCAAACACAACACTCTGTGTGTGTGCTCCTACAGTAACTTCCATATACCTCTCATGGGAGAGGAAGGGGATTATTCTTCCAACAAGATGGAGACTTGCACACATGCCTTGTAGACACAGAGGAAGCAAAAAGCACAGAAAAGTACTCAGAGGCTTCGCAGACACGTGGGAGACCCTCCTCAGTTGGTAAAACGCCACAGCAATACCTTACAATGGGCACAGAACTGTAACATAAGGAGTGATCTTCTTTTCTGAGGAGCCAAGGCTAAGAAAACTGATTCTCGCTGAAAAAGAAAGCATTTCCAATGCACACCAGACATAAATAATTCATGCAAACCAACATGAATTATTTTAGTACGTGGCTTTCATAAAGTAACTTCTTTGTCTTCATTATATAACCCCTAAAACTTCTCAAAGACTACTCTCAGACTTGTTAAAGCTGAAAAAGCTTAACTATACATATAAACACTGTCATATATCAAAGGCATATTTCACCTTACAAAGCATGCTCACTAGGGCTTTGCTCACGAGACACCAAAAACACGTTCAGTTGCACTTCACCCTGAAAGCAGAATCTCTTATCCCTGAATCAGAAGGGACGTAGGCACACGAAGTCCCAGGGAGAAAAGAGGCATATATATCGTGCTGAGTTAACAAGATTTGGCACTTGTCTTTTTCACAGGAAAAGAAGGAACATGAAAGATAAGGATTTTGGCAGTCTCACTAATTTTTATATGGGACGCGGGATGGGAGATGAACCCTACCGGAGATGATTATAAATACCAGTTTGTCTTTGAAACCAGTTTTACGAATTAATGCAATGCCTTATTTCTTTCTTCTGGAGGAGTCTGTGGTCTCCTTTCATCCTCAGATTCTTCGTAGAAGAAAACTGCTCAGATGTCCTGAGCAAAATGATCAAATTCCAAAACCCAGGGTTTAAGAAAGCAGACAGAAAGCCACAGAGAGGGGAAGTGGTTAAAGAGAGGGGACATTCCAAAAAGACAGCCACTTAGCACAAACAATTCAAATTCCAGTGTTGTTGGTGCCAGAATCCTTTTCACTGTTGGTGATGGGATTTTGAGAAAAGTGTTTCAAATAGAAGAATTTGAGGTGTCTTAAAAATGGGTTTCCAAAGAAAGTGGAGGAGGCGTGAAAAGATTCCATTATCCAGTTGAGATCGTCAAGTATCCTGCTGATCTATGTGCGGGTCTGGATACACACAGCCTTCAGGAACTTGGGCACAAACAAAATCTACTGTGATGGTTAACACTGAGTGTCAACTGGACTGATTGAAGGATGCAAAGTACTGTTCCTGGGTGTGCCTGTGAGGGTGTTGCCAAAGGAGGTGAACATTTGAGTCAGTGAACTGGGAGAGGCAGACCCACCCTCAGTCTAAGTGGGCACTGTCTCATCAGCTGCCAGCACAGGTAGGATAAAGCAGGTAGGAGAAGATGGAAAAGCAGACTTGCTTAGTCTTCTGGCCTTTATCTTTCTCCTGTGCTGGATGCTTCCTGCCCTCGAACATCAGACTCCAAGTTCTTGGACTTACACCAGTGGTTTGCCAGAGCCTCTCGGGCCTTCGGCCACAGACAGACAGCTGCACTGTTGGCTTCCCTACTTCTGAGGTTTTGGGACTCAGACTGGTTTCCTTGCTCCTCAGCTTGCAGAAGACCTGTTGTGGGACTTCATTTTGTGATTGTGTAAGTCAATACTCCTTAATAAACTCCCTTTCATATGTATATCTATCCTATTAGTTCTGTCTCTGCAGCAAACCCTGACTAATCCATCTATACAGGGGTCATTGGGCCACATCCAGGAAGAACTACCAGAGAAATCAGCCCAGGCTCAGTCAGCTACAAGTCCCAGGACTGTGGAAGCCAGGGGTCTCCAGAGACAGAGCACCCCACATCTGAAAGGGCTGAGACACACAGCCCTTGGCCGCTCTAGGATTCAGTGATTCCCAACGCGTATCCTGAAACTCTGATAAAACAATGTGCCTCTGTCTCCTGAGTGAAACCGTTTATGGAGTTAAGTTTACCAGCATCTGTTTATTTGGCTACACTGTGAATGTTAAACAGTTTTTAGAGGTTATCTGAATAACTGGCACAGGTGAAATAAAATGAAATAAAATGTTGTGTTTCCCTCCTTGTGTGCTGGGTTAACTCTTTTGGGATATAACAAAGCTTTGATATGCCAGCTTTATAGATGATTGATACTGTGTGCTTGGGTCTTATTAGCAATTAATTACATCATTCATTCATTCATTCATTCATCAATTCACCCATTCAACAGATGCCTACCCAAAGGTCTTCACATGCCCAGAATTTTCCTGGTCACTGGTCATAACAACAGAGACCTTATGGATTTTACAGAGCAGCAAAAGAGAGATTTGTTTAAGAAAACCATAGAAAATTTGTACTTCAAATTTGTATAAGTTCATCAAAGGAAAATAATTGAGTTCTATGAAAAAGAAGAGCTTGGGGAGATTATTGAATAGGCAGGAGAAAGAAAGACCAGAGTGAAGGCGATGGTGGAATTGGCTTCTATTCCGGCTTGGATGGTGCCCAAAGGACATGTCCTCTTAGCCTCATACCATTTACAGAATGCAGTGCAGCCTCTTTAATAGAGTTGCCTAATCTACCCTCCTGAAAAATAATGCTTACCCCATTTGGCATAGCAAGTCGGACACCATCTATCCCAGACACTGCCATTTCAAAGGCGAAAGGAAACAGGAACACTCTGAAGACTTCAACCTAAAGTGGAAGACAATTCGGCCATTAAAGGGAAGGTCATACATTTCCCCCTGTAGGAAATGTACTCCCCGGAGATCTCCTTGGTTCTTTGCACCTTTTATTTTGAGACAGTCTTGCTCTGTCACCCAGGCTGGAGTGCAGTGGTGCGATTTCACCTCCCGGGTTCAAACGATTCTCCTGCCTCACCCTCCTGGGTAGCTGGGAATACAGGCGTGCACCACCATGCCTGGCTAATTTTTGTATTTTTAGTAGAGATGGGGCTTCACCATATTGTCCAGGTTGGTCTCGAACTCCTGACCTCAAGTGATCTTCCCCCATCAGCCTCCCAAAGTGCTGGGATTACAGGTGTGAGCCACCGCACCTGGACAGTTTTTTGCATCTTTGTTCAATTATCTCCGCAACTATCAACGTATAGATCAATATGTATAAAAGCTCCAATCAATGTATAGCCTAGTCATAGAAAATAATGGAGGACATTTAATATAAGTGAAGTCATAGGAGATGCGGTTCTTTTACTGAGCAGGATATTTGCAAGACTCATCTTTATTGTAGCCATGTGAGAACTGCATTTCTTTTTATGGCTGTGATATGCTTTGGATCTGTGTTCCCACCCAAATCTCATGTTGAATTGCAATCCTCAATGGGAGATGGCTGGATCATGGGAGTGAATCTTTCATGAATGGTCTAACACTATCCCCCTCGGTACTGTGTAGTGAATGAGTTCTCACAAGATCTGGTTGTTTAAAAGTGTGTGGCACTACCCTGCTCTCTCTCTTGCTCCTGCCCCAGCCGTGTAAGACGTTCAAGAGTTCCTGCTTCCCCTTCACCTTTTACGACGATTGAAATTTTCCTGGGGCCTCCCCAGAAGCCAAGCAGAAGCCATCATGCTTCCTGTGCAGCCTGCAGAACCGTGAGCCAATTCAACCTCTTTTCTTTATAAATTACCCAGTCTCAGATATTTCTTTATAGCAGTGGGAGAACGGCCTAATATAGGCTGAATAAGATTTCATTCTATAGATGGACCATCTTTTCTTAATTCACTCCTCTGCTGATAGACATCTGGATGGTTTTCACTTTCTGGCTATTGTAAATACAGCAGCTGTGTATTTGAGATGATGAAAAAGTCGGGAACTAGAGAGTGCTGATGCTTGGACAAATTTCTGGATGGACTTAATGCCATTTTAAAATGGTTCCAATAGTAAATTTGATGTTTACGTGTGTAAAAAAAGGTGAGGAAATTGCAGACACTTGCATTTTAGAAGGAGATAGTAAAAGACATAGGAGTGAACAGACAGTGCGGTGGCTCACACCTGTAATCCCAGCACTCTGGGAGGCCGAGGTGGGCAGATTGCCTAAGGCCAGGAGTTTGAGACCAGCCTGGCCAACATGGTGAAACCCCATCTCTACTAAAAATACAAAAATTAGCCAGGTGTGATGGCAGGTGCCTGTAATCCCAGCTACTCGGGAGGCTGAGGCAGGAGAATGGCATGAACCCAGGAGGCAGAGGTTGCAGTGAACAGAGATCACACCACTGCACTCCAGCCTGGGCAACAGACCGAGACTCTGTCTCAAAAAAAATAAAAAGAATGAACAGACAGAGAATTCCCTTACATAATGTCAATCTCATCAATAACATGCTGGTCATTCTGGAAAAATAAAGAAATAATAAATAGCTTGTAATAGCTTCCAGACAGCTAGTGCCCCAGTGCCCTATAACTCCATCTGTCTCTGTTTCTCTCTCTCTCTCTCTCTCTCTCTCTCTCTCTCTGTCTCACATACACACTCACTGTTTCTGTCTTTTTCTCTCTTTTTTCTTTCCCTCTCTCTCTCACTGTTTCTTTCTGTTTTTCTTTCTTTCTCCCTTTCTATTTGTTTTCCTCATTCCTTCTCTGGCACTGACTCTGTCTCTCTCTTTCTCACACACATATGCCTTCTGACTTCTCTCTTTCTTTCTTTCTCTTGCTCTCCCTCTTTTTCTTTCTCTCTTTCTCAGTCTTTCTTTTGTCCTCAGTCTTTCTCTCTCTCTTTCTGTCTTTCTGTGTCTCTCTATCTTTCTCTCTGTCTCTGTCTCTATCGTCTCTATCTTTCTCTCTGTCTCTCTTTCTCTTTCTCTCTTTCTTTCTCTCTCTCTGTCTTTCTCTGTCTCTATCCTCTACATCTGTTACATCATCCACAACATGGAGATGACCTGAAACTCCCATCTCAGCACACCCAGTCAACACCTTCCCACATAGAAACACACCCTAACTCTGAGCCTTCCCTTGATGTCCCACAAAGCTGCTCTGACCCGACATTCATCTCATCAATTTGATCGTCCCCCTACCCACCTCAGCTCCACCATGCTGGCCACCCAGTCTTCACTCTTCTGTCTTAGTGCGGGGACTCGCTTTTCTGTGCTGCTCTTTGTTTCCGCCACCTCCAGTTTGAGGAGTCTCTGGTTTATTTTTTATTATGTAAATTTTTTATCTGACTTTAGAGCCTTAATTAGGACAAGCTCCTCCTAAAATGTCTCTTAATTTCCCTAAATCAGAATTCATCTCTCGCTCCTCTCCACTCCCATGGTGTCTGTTCATGACCCCTCTTACTGACCTTATAGACTTTGATTCCTTATTGGTTGTATAAACACCACTTTTTCCAACTAGATTCTGAAATACTGAAAAATAGAAACACTTTTTTTCTCTTCTTTGTGACCTCAGCTCTTACTATATTTTTTGAGGTTAGGTTTGAATATATGTATTTTCACATACATATATTCTGGCTTTCATGGTCTTTTTCTCGGGGGAGCAAAAAAACAAGACAAAATTCAATTAGAAACTTGATTGAAAATGACATTTCATTGAAACTGGAACCAAAAATAAGCATGATTTCACTTCCATGAACAGCAAAAATGAAGCAACCTCTTAGCTAAATTTATCACACATCAGAGAGGGGAAGTGTCTTCAGCCCTGCTGAGTCAGGCCCTGAGGAGACACAGGCCATCCAGTCTTCCAGTGGGTGCCTCTGAGGGGCTGCTCGGCTCTCAGAAATCCGACAGGCCTATGTCCCTTTACTTGTCTTGAGTCACTGAAAGCATGTGAAGTTTGGATCAGACATTGTGGAAGCAGATAAAACACTAGTGAACAGATCCCAACTTTAGCCTTCGATAAAACCTAAACTCTGAAAATGTGTGGGTTTGTGATGAGCTGAACACTGTGTTGCTCCCTGGATTAAAATAATTATTTCATTTCATGCGTATTTTATTATTAGTCATGGACTATACGAAAATTTGCCTCAAAATCAAAGATGGGACCAAAACCCAGGTCTATTACCCCGTAATATTCCATACTGTTGATATTTTGTTTATATGCACCCCACACATATACATATATCAATATATACACATATATGTACCATGTATACACACAGGCATATACACACACATAGGTACAATATATACACACACATATACACATATATAAGTACTTTATACATACACATATACATATGCACACATATATGTATTGTATGTATACACACATATGTACTGATATATACACATGTGTACTATATGTGCATATATACATATATGTGCTATACACACATATGTACTTTATATATAAACACATATATACACAAGTACTTTATACATACCCATATATACACATATAATGTAGTCTATATAAGCACACACACTTATGTACCATATATGTACTTTATATACACACATGTACTAATATATACATACATATGCTATATACACATATACAGACATGTATATACTGTTATATATGACATATATATAGTTATACTGTGTATATATGCATATGTATGTGTATATATATAAAGTAATATACATGGGCGTATGTGTGTGTTTGCATATGTCTATGTGTGTGTATATATGCACATATGCTGTGTACATATGCACACACACATACACCCATATATATTACTTTATATATACATACACACATACATATGCACTATATATGCACACATATATTACTTTATATATACATATACACATACATATGCACTATATATGCACACACACATACACATACAAGTATATTTGTACCATATAACACACATATATAGATGTACATACTATATATGACACACATATACACATATGTATCATATATACATATATGTATATGCACTATATGTACACACATGTACACAAACATATATGTACAATATAAACACACTTATATGTACTATTTATACACACATATATACACACACATATACATGCGCCATGCTCTCTCTCTCCACACACACACACACAACATGGAACTGTAGGATTATATATATAGGTAAAACAGCATATATAAAAAGAGTATCCATATTAAACAGTATATATATGTGTATGTATGTATGTATGTATGTGTATATATATGAATGTTTCAGTGAATTTCAATTTATATCAGAATTTGTCTTTCCAAATAAAGTTCTGAAATTCTGCTCAAGAAATGTTTGTGGCTATAAATAATCAAAATGGGGTCAAATTATGGTAAAGAATTTATGGGATGCATTCATATGTCAGCCCAAGCTCTTAATGGGATGAAATAATGCCTTTTATAAAAGCTGCCTTTAGGAAATGAAAATTGACACAAACTTACAATTTATAGCTTGTCCTCAACTCGTTATGGCCAGCAGATTTTCTCTGGTTATCTCTGATGTTATTCATATTCCAAATCTGCCAGATGTTTTTTCTAGTAGCAGTGGGCGTAAAGAAAATGCAGGCTGGATTTGAGGACTAGCCTAGGACCTGGGAAAAGGCCAACTTACATGAATTCAAGCTCTCCTTCTAGATATGAATGAGCTGAATGAGCTTTATTATGTTCTTATAGAATTTTTGATGTTTTTTCTGACTATTCAGTGTATGGAAGTAACCTCCTATGATTAAACTTCTACCATAGACCAGCAGAATTTAATATAAAAGTTATTTGTATTGGCTCTTATTCAAAGAGCTTATTTATTGAAATATCAAAACAATTTCCTATAAGGTTATTTTAGCTGGAAGGCAAACTCACATCTTCTACATAAGAGATGTTATCCTAAGACTTCACCATAGAGTGAAGCTGACATTTTTCTCCAGGTATGAGACAAGATGACCTACAAGCCAAGTAGCCAAGAAAATGATTTGCTTCATTCACTCCCATGATGTCATATTTGGAGAAGAGATGCTCTAATGAACATTCCAGGTGTGTTCATATTAAGTCCTGGATAAATTCCATTCAAAGCCCAATTCTGTGACTGACAAACAGTGGATGCTTTTCTCAGGATTCCAGTAAATAAAAAGTATGGATGGGGGTAAGGGGACGTGTCTTGAGTTCATTAGTTCATTCTGTCGATCATATGTCCAACATCCACACACTGTCTCTCTTTTGCCCCTTGCTGAATCAGTCACAGAATCCCGACTCTTTTATTTCCTCCAGAGATGAATAAAGGACTAAGTAAAGGAATAATCAAACAAAATAATTCACACAAGACTTCTTTGTATGCATCAGGCTTTGCTGAGAAGGTTTAGAGGATGAGGGAGACACGAAGAGCCAATCTACACAGATGGCTAAAAATTGGATATAAAAGATTCTTTTCCGGTAAGTTCTTTTTAGTGTCGCCACTACTGATGATTTGTCATTGGTCCCACCATTTAGGGATATCCCCAGCATCCAATTATTTGGCTTCTCTCCCCTCTTCCACTCCCTCCTCCCAAGCAGGAGCAAAACAAAACAAACACAAAATAAAACCAGAGAGACTTGTTACTCTATTTGCACATCTGGAATCCCCACTACTCTCTACATTGTATCTTTTTAGACCTACATGGCTTCTATAACAGAGTAACAGTGCCATCAGAGCAGCAGTGTCAACTTTGGCACTGTTGACATTTGGGGCTGCATGATTCTCTGGTGGGGCATCCTTGTGTGCTCTACGGTGTTGAGCAGTGTCCCTGGGCTCCACCCACCAGATGCCAGGACCAACCCTCCACCTGGAGAAAATGTCTCCAGGCATTGCCAGTGTCCCCTGAGGGCAAAGTGGACTGCAGTTGGAAACCATTGTGATGATAGATAGATAGATAGATAGATAATAGATAGATAGACAGATAGATCGATAGATAGATGGTGATAAGGTTTGGCTGTGTCCCCACCCAAATCTCATCTTGAATTTTAGCACCCATAATTCCCACCTGTTGTGGGAGGGACCTGGTGGGAGATAACTGAATCTTGGGGGGCAGTTTACCCCATATTGTTCTCCTGATAGTGAATAAGTCTCAGGACATCTGATGTTTTAATAATAAAAAGAAACCCCTTTCTCTTGGTTCTCATCCTTTCTCTTGCCTGCTGCCATGTAAGACATGCCTTTCGCCTTCCTCCATGATTGTGAGGTCTCCCCAACCACGTGGAACTGTGAGTTCATTAAACTTCTTTTTCTTTATAATTTACCCAGTCTTGGGTATGTTTTTATCAGCAGTGTGAAAACGGACTAATACAGATGGATTGATAGATAAATAGATAGATAATCAACAGATATATAGATAGATAATAATGATAACAGATAGATGACCAAATAGATGATAGGTGGATAGATATATAGATGATAGACAGATAACAGATAGGTGGACAAAAAGAGAGATAGATAAATAGATGACAGACAGGCACACAGAGTCTCTCATGCTAAGGCAGGGTTTTGCAGTTGAGCTGGCACTGCTGACATTTCGGAGTGGATGATTCTCTGTGGTGGGGGTGTCCTGTGCACTGTAGGGTGTCGAGCAACATCCTTGGGCTCCACGCACCAGGTGCCAGTGAGACCACTCAGTTGTGACACTGAAGAATATCTACAGACATTGCCAAGTGTCCCCTGGCATAGAACAAAATCTCCCTACCTTGGAGACCATTGTTCTAAAACTCATAGAGCTCTTTCACTCGTCATAGACAGCATTTGTCTGACCATTTTTATTGTTTCTCAAAATTATGACCTGAATTCTCTCAATTGTTTTGATAAAATTGACGTTGTAAATGTCTTCAAGAGTCTTAGGTTCATTTCCCATCTTAGAAACAAAATAAAGGCCGGGCACGCTGACTCACGCTTGTAATCCCAGAGCTTTGGGAGGCCGAGGCGGGAGAGTCACTTAAGGTCAGGAGTTCGAGACCAGGTTGGCCAACATAGTGAAACCCTGTTTCTACAAAAAAATACAAAAATTAGCTGAGTGTGGTGGCCTATGCCTGTAATCTCAGCTACTCGGGAGGCTGAGGCAGGAGAATCGCTTGAACCTGGAAGACAGAGGCTGCAGTGAGCTGAGATTGCACCACTGTGCTCCAGCCCAGGGGAACAGAGCGAGATTCTTTCTCAAAAAATAAACACACAAACAAAAAACAAAATAAGGTGAGTCCCTATCATTTTCATTTTAAAGAATTTTCTACATTTCTTATTTTAATTTTGCATGACAACAAACACATTCAGGTTTGCATTTGAATGTGTGTTGCTGAAAGAATTAAAAATTAGCGCTCAGCACATTTCACAAAGCCCACACACGTTATGCAGCTATACGGGTTGATCAAAGTCCCTTATACGGGTTGATCAAAGTCCCTTAAAAATTTCAAACTAATTATATATATCTACCCTCTTTTTGCACACCAAAGAACATGCTTCCAGGAAAGCCAAGCAACCCAAGCTCAGATGTTATTGTCAATGCTGAAATTGATCTAATTTCTTCCAGGACAAAAGAAGTCCACTGCATGTGCCTTGGTCCTACAGTTAAATCTACACGACCATTTCCATATCAACTGGTTGGACATATCTACTGACCACAAAGGATGGTGAGGATCTGGGAATAAGCCACCCAATCCACTGTGGATCACCAAATTGAGTTATTCAAAGCACAAAGCAGCTCCTTCTGCAACCTACCAACTCAGGTGTATATTTATCAAATGTCTGTATCATAGTCTCTATCTTATGGACTTGAATTAGACAAAGCTTTACTAGTTGTGGGAACATTGTTCAAAAAAGAACATCTCCAATATGGTCGCATTGAAAATTCAGGGACTTTGGAAGAATCATGTACTTTCTCATTTTATTCCTGTCCAAATGTCGCTTAAATGAAGAAACAGCGATTGAGGAATCCCCCACAAGGGGAAGAAATCCTATTTTCACATTGAATTACTCTTGGATGTTTGATGGGCTGAAAAAGTCTTTGATCCTCAAAGAATTCTGACTTTATAACTTTCAACATTCATGCTCTTTTACTAGGTTGCTATTCCATAAACTAAAGTGGTATTTTACCCAAAATCTTGTGGTCAAAGATTCTGTTATCTTTTTTTTAATGCAAGAAAAAATACACATGCATACACACATACTTACCTAATACATGCACACATACACACACATATACACATACATGTGTGTGTGTTTGTATTAGGTATGCATATTTTTTTCTTGCATTAAAAATGAATAGCATATATATTGGTAGACTAGCAAAAAGCAATCTCATTACAGAATGAAAAATATAAAAGGAAGATAAGCTCTTAAGTTTTCCTCTAAGGGGTGAGCCCAGGGTTTATTCTATCAGTTCCATTCTGACTATTACTAATGTTGAGTGGGTTGAGGCATTTCTCCCCTTCACCTGCTTTCCACTGAGGTGGGTGGTGTTCTTTACAGTTGGCTAGCCACATGGAGGTCTATGGCCAATAAAAGGATTAATGACAACGTGCTTAGAGCTATTATGTGCTTAGGTTATTATCCCAGACCACCTAGACACCAACTCTTTCAGTGTCTCAAAGTGAAAATGAGCACATCCTTGTAAGATTCTCTGCTTTGGAACCTAAAAATTGGCTTTCAGCATGGCTTCAGCCAACTCATAGGTTACATGTCATTTTATAAGCAAGTGTGCTAGGTGGAAGAACTGAGGTTGAATCCTCTATCTATGGGACATCTCAGAATGTTTATAAATTCAGCTGTGTCTGAGGAAACCACCAAAGCATGAACTAGAGCATTGAACAAAATCTGGGATGGGTCAAACGTATAAACTCTTTTATTTTGGGAAATGCCTCTATATAGCCCTCATATTACGAAGGCAAACTGTATCCAATTTGGCCAAAAGTAAGTGAAAGAGCTCTCGTGCTCCGAGGGGTGATGTAAAAGATGGCTAATGTGGAATGTGCACAAATGTCTTAAGTTCTTGGTGCTCTTCCCAACATTGTCTTCCTCTGAGTTATGTTTAGTCTGAGACATAAGATTAAAGCATTACTTTGCCTGTATACGTCTCTGTCTTGGACATATGTGCCCCCAGGTGCTCTATATACGCCAAGGATGGGTGGGGAGGCTGAGAACTATCTGCATTCTGCCGCCAGATTAATCTTATGAAAATACCACTTTGATCACCTTAAGGTAGGAAAAGCCCTTAATCACTCTCCTCCACCAACAGGAAGAAATAAACACTACACAACCCATCATTTAAAGCCCACTGTACTAAGGCTTCAATCACCTCTTTTGAATTATCCTCCATTTCTTTCCAAACAAATCTTTCCCCAGAAAAGTTGTCTATCATTGTTTATAAAGACTGCCTCTTGACTAGACTTGGACTTGAGAAAGAGCCAAGCTATGCAAACTCAACCTCTCCTTCTAGGAACGCATGAACTGAATGAGCTTATATTCTTGTAAGATTTCCCCCTTTTTTCCCCTAAACTTTCAATGAATGGAAGTGAACTCCTGTGACTATCTTACTATAGCACAGCAGAATTTATTACAAAGGTTATTTGTGTTGGCTTCTCTTCAAGAGGGTTTATTTTATTGAAATGTCAAAACAATTTCCTATAAGGTTATTTCAGTTGGAAGGCAAGCCTTTGATAATATAATCACGTGGTTGTGCCTATCCAGAAGTCTCACGGCTGGGATGAGGCAAGTGGTGAGGAACTCATGTAAAGAATCAGGGATTGTCAGTACAGTTCAGAAACAGAGAGGCTCTGGAGAGCCAGAGGACCTGAGTAGGAAGCTTGTTCCTATAGTTGTGAGGTCTGCAGTTGCTGAGAGTCCTGGAGACAAAACCAGGGCCAGTGCTGAGGTGTCAGCCCACCCATGTTTTAGAACAGGTGCATCATTCATCATCAAAGTATCTTCATGTGGAGGCTAAAGTAGCTCCATCTTGAATGCTAATCCACCATGTTGACTTCTGATTGACCCTAGTTCCAGGCATGCCTCTAAGATTTCTATTCTATCTACTGTTCCTTGTGTAAGAGCATGTTCTTGCCATAAATCCTGCCCTTAAACAATCATCCTACACACCCCTTACTCCATGGTATATAAGTCCTGGGTTATTTGGGGGTAGTGGTGTGGAGATCCACCATCTTCTCTCTCTGCCATCCAAGACACAAACATGGCTTCTGTTTTTAAGTACCTATGAAATGTTTTGGGGTTTTTTTTGTTTGTTTGTTTTTTCTGAGAAACTAGATGTGTCAGCCTCTCTCTTTGACTTCTCAGCTTTCTTGGACTTTTGGGGAAAGGTTTGCATAGGCCTGCCTACTGCAGAATACCTCATCCCAAAATTCAAGCCAGGAGGACAAAAGATGAAGACAGTGTCAGAGATGCAAAACCCAGCCACCAAGCCAACAATCCAGTCAACCAAGAGATATCCCATCAACCCACAAACCCAGAAAGTTTTGGGTAAGACATCTGGGCTGAGAGGTGAAAGTTTCATGTTAAGGTTAATGACATGTAATGGCACATGTGCTGAATAATGCCAGTCCAAGTGTGGGCTGCCCTCTGCTGTCAAGTCCAGACAATCAGGGGACATTACACCCATTATCTGTCCAAAGTGAGTTGAGTTTCTCCAGGATCTAACCCTGTCACATCACCTTCATCTTCTTGTCCAAACCCCATTGTTGTGAACAATCAGAACAAGCCTCATGAAGTCAGTCATGGTCTCTGTAGCAGCAATAGCCCCAACCTTCTACAGACCCTCCAAAACACCTAAGATGGAGACCATGAATGCTCCTTAACTTCTTCCAGCAAGTTCAAGATATTCTGATGTGCGTGCCCATCTTGAACACATGGGCAGACGAACACGGTTAGAGCCTGGAGTTGTTTAGTATAAAATACAGAAATTTAATCTTTACCTAGGAGATAGAACTTTGAAAATAAAAGGAGCTCTGAGGATGAACAAGGAGTCATTCCGTCATTTCTCTAAGTGAGGAATCCAACATCAATGGGGTTAATAATCGCCTCTTGGTGACGTTGCTTGATCAGAGACAAGCCAGGAGAAATTCTCCAGAAATCCTGTCGGCTGAGTTCTTGCTCCTAAACAGCTCTTGGAGATCCAACTCTATTACACTATAGGACTGGTATTTCTTGAGGGCTCTTAGGGGGAAAGCATATGTAACTGGTGTGTCGAACAAGCATGACTCATTGAGTATAATCACAAAGCAATTTTATTTTATCTCTTACTAGCTCTTTCAAATATATTCAGTGGGGCTTAGCGAGCAGGGAGAGTTTTGTTGGCCTCCGGAGGAAATGATAGCCAGTCCTGTAACTTTTCTTCAAGCACACAGTGTCTCTCTTTCTCCCTGACTCCCTCCTTCCTTCCCTCTCTCTCCTTTTCTCCTCTCTTTCTCCATCCCTTCCTTCCTCTGTTTATCCATTTGTTCCTTTCTGTCTGGCTCTCTTTCCTTCTTTCTCTTTCTCCCTCCCCCTCTTTTCTTTCTCTTTCTCTTTCCTCCTCCTCCTCTTCCTCCTCCTCCTTCTCCTTCTTTTCTCTCTCTCTTTCTCCTTTCCTTCCTCCATTCATATCTCTCTGACTATCTCATCTCTCTCTCTGTCTGCTCTCCTTCTCTTTCTCTTAATCTCTTCTCCCTTTCTCCATTTCTCCCTTCTCTCTATTTACCATTCGTTCCTCTATCTCTCTCACCCTCTTTCCCTCTCTTTCTCTTACTTCCTTCTCTTTCTCCCCTCTGCTTCCTGTTTTTCTTTCTTTCTCTCTCCTCCTCCTCCTTCTTTCTCTCTCCTTCCCTCCCCCCTCTCTTCTTTTTTTGGTCCTTTTTATATTTCTCCATTTCCCCCTTCTTATTCTCTCCTTTCCTCTCTCTTTCTTCCTCTTTCTCTCTCTGACTCTCTGTCTCACTCTGCCTCCCTCTTTTCATTTTTTTCCTTTCCTTTCCTCTTTTCTTTCCTCTCCTCTCCTCTCCTCCCCTTCCCTTCCTTCCCTTTCTCTCTCTTTCTTTCTCTCTCTTTCCTTCCTTCCTTCCTTCCCTCCCTCCCTCCCTCCTTCCTTCCTTCTTTCTCTCCCTTTCTTCCTCTCTCTTCCTTCATCCCTCTCTCTTTCTTCTTTCTTCTCTCTCTTCCTTCCTTTCCTTCTCTCCCTCTCTCTTCCTCCATTCTTCTCTCTCCTTCTCTCCCTCCATAAAAACGTGTGTGTCCTCTCAGCATCTTCCACCTCCAGGTAGGAATCATTGAGTCAGAGAAGGATATTAAGAGAAGGCAGCTTTGAGCTTCTTTTCCTTCCATCCAGTAGCATAGGCTCATGTGCAGGAGGAGGGGGAGCCTGCTTGGGTCATGTGACAGGCTCTCTTTCCATTGTAACTGGAGCAGTGATAGACAGAAGTCCTTATTTCTCCCCAAACCCCCTGTAGACTTTGCAGTGGGCTCCTAACCAAGTGGGGAGGGGCACACATAAATTGCTCCTTAAATGCCCAAAGTCATCATCTAGGAGACCCTGAGAAGGATGCTGAGAAACAATGAACTCTGAGCTGTTTTGCAATATCAGGGTTTCTTGTGTAGCCCCATGGAGGCTGCGTAAAGTGCTGGCTGCATGTTCCTGTGACCTTGCAGTTTTTGGCATCTTATGCCATGAGTGGGGGTTGCAGCTGCTGGCTGTAGGTACAGCCAAAGGTAGCAACATTGACACTCGCAGGCCACTGAGGACCTTAAACCATGACTCCTCTGGCTGCTGGTCTAGGTATTTTGCCTTATAAAGGAAGGGGCTTCATTTCAGTGGCCAAAACAGAAATTTAACTGAGCCTCACTGGGCTGAAATAAGGGTGTCTGCAAGAATGGTTCTTCTGGATGCTCCATGGATGAATCTGTTTCCTTGCTTTTTCCAGCTTCTAGAGGTTGCTGTATTCCTTGGCTTGTGGTGCCTTCTTTCTTCCTGCATCACGCCAACCTCCACTCTCTTTGTCACATCTCCTCTTTCTCTTTTTCTGAATCCCTGCCTTCCTTCTATAAGAACCACTGAGACTACATTGAATCCACCCAAATAATCCAGAATAATCTCCCCATCTCAAGATTTTTAACTTGATCTCATCTGCAAAGTCTGCTTTACCATGTAAATCAACATATTCATTGGACATGGACACCTTTGGGGCCATTATTCTGTCTACCACATGGGGATTAGGATGTGGACATCTCTGGGGCCAGTATTCTATTACATGGGGATTAGGATGCAGACATCTTTGGGGACATTATTTTTTCCACCACATGGGGATTAGAATGTGGGCATCTTTGGGGGCATTATTCTGTCTCCCACATGGGGGATTAGGATGTGGACATCTGTTCAGTTCTGCAGACCTGGAGGTAAAGAGTTTAACGTTGCTCAAGGAGAGGTCTGGGCTTTGGAGTTGGCTAGAATTTAACTTTGCTCAAGGAGAGGTCTGGGTTTGGCGTTGACTCTAAAACTTGACATCTAAGCCTTTGGAATGTGTGCCAAACAAAGACAGGAGTGTATTTGTTTCTGTAGGGGTGTTGGTTCACACTGGGCAGTCTAACAGTGTGATTTGGAGTCAGGGTAGCCACATCCATTAGTAACAATGGGATTCAGGTTCCATGGTATTGGTAGACTTCCAGTGAGACTGGAGAATGATCAGCCACATAGACAATTAATCAATCACAATGAAGCCTCAGTAAACACTGAACCCCAAGGCTCAGGTGATATGCCCAGTGATATGGTTTGGATATGCTTCAAATCTCATGCTGAAATGTGATTCCCAAGGTTGGCAGTGGGGCCTGGTGGGAGGTGATTGGATCCTGTGGGTGGATTTTTCATGAATAGTTTAGCACCATTCCCCTTCGTACTGTCCTTGTGATAGTGAGTGTGCCCTCATGAGATCTGGTCATTTAAAAGTGTGTAGCCCCTCCTCACTCTCTCATTCCTGCTTCCACCACGTGAGACACCTACTCTCCCTTCACCCTATGCCGTGACTGAAAGCCTCCTGAGGCCTCCTGAGAAGCAGATGCCAGCATCATGCTTCCTGTACAGCCTGCAGAACTGTGAGCCAATTAAACCTCTTTTCTTTATAAATTACCCAGACTCCATTTATTCTTTATAACAAGGCAGGAATGGACTACTACACCCAAGTTGGCAACACTTCATGCATATTGCCATACACTGATGCCTAGAAACCAACACTTCCCTGACTCCAAGGGGAGAGGATAATAGAAGCTCTGTTTGGTACTTGGCTTGGACCTCTATCCCATGCACCTCTTCCATTGGCTGACTGTGATCTGTCATCCTCTCACTGTAATAAACCACAAATGTGAGTGTAACATCTTCCAGTGAGTTCTGTGAGTCCTTCTAGGGAACTACTAAACTTGAGGGTAGTTTTGGGAACTCTTCTCAACCTGCAACTGGTGTCCGAAGTGAGAGTGGTCTTGTGAAATAGCCCCCTCCTCTGAGGGCTCACTTCGTTGCTTGTTTTACTGGCCTTAAGACATCTCTCTGCCTTGGCTGACCCAAGTAGTGTGTTCAGTCCTTCAGAAAGACAGGGGTCTAGGCAAGGTGGTTCTCAGCTATAATCCCAGCATTTTGGAAGGCCAAGGTGGGAGGATCACTGGAGCCCAGGAGTTCGAGACCAGCCTGAGCAATATATTGAAACCCTGTCTCTACAAAAATAAAAATAAAAATATTAGCCAGGCATGATAGCACACACTTGTAGCCCCAGTTACTTGGGAGGATGAGGTGGAAGGACACTTGAGCCCATGAGTTTGAGTCTGCAGTGAGCTATGATCACACCACTGTACTCCAGCCTGGGTGAGAACAGAGTGAAACCGTCTCTAAGACAGAAAGAAAGAAAAAAAGAAAGAAAGAAGAAAGGAGGGAGAAAGAAAGAAGAAAGGAGGGAGAAAGAAAGAAAGAGGAAGGAAGGAAAGAAAGAAAGAGAGAGAAAGAAAGAAAGAAAGAAAGAAAGAAAGAAAGAAAGAAAGAAAGAAAAGAAAGAAAGAAAGAAAGAAAGAAAGAGAAAGAAGGAAAGAAAAGGAAGGAAGGAGGAAGGAGAGTGAGAGGGAGGGAAGGAAGGGAAGGGAAGGAAGGAAGGAAGGAAGGAAGGAAGGAAGGAAGGAAGGAAAGAAGGAAAGAAGGAAGGGAGGAAAGGAAGGAAAGGAACGAAGGAAGGAAAGAAGGAAGGAGAAAGGGAGGGAGGAAAGGAAAGAAAGGAAGGAAAGGAAGGAAGGAAGGAAGCAAAGAGGGGGAAGGGAGAAGCCCATCATGGTTTGTTTACAAGCGCTTTGCTTTTCTACCTGCCCTGTCTGTCTTTAATGAAATAACTCTTTTGGTCAGAATCTGAGCCATGAGTACGTTGCAGTTAGCCAAACCAAGACTTCCCTTCCACATTGTGCTGGCAGCGATCACACAGACGACTGTGAGGCCCAAGAAAGAGAGATGAGTTAATGTCACTCTCTGTCCTTACCAGGACAGGGCCCGATACAGCAATCAGCTCTGGGGGTTCAGGGAGAATGCTTTGCCGAGAGAAACCACACCTAGAATTTGGCCTGGAAAGCCTGTAGACTTGTTTCTGACTCTTTGAATGTTATCATGAAAATGTGTTCTAGCCATACACAATAGAATATTAATCAGCCTTAAAAAAGAAAGAAGCTTTGACACACGCTACAATGTGGAAGAACCTTGAAAACATTAAGCTCAGTGAAAGAAACTCGTCACCAAGGACCACATATGGTATGATTCCATTTATAGGAAATGTTCAGAATAAGCAAATCCATAGACAGAAAGCAGATTACTGGTTGCCAAGGGATGTGGGATCAGGGGTAATTGGAGGAATAATGCAAGGATAGCTAAAAAGTGTGGAATTTCTTGTTGAATTGATGAGAATGTTCTAAAGTTGATTGTGGTGATTGTTGCACAACTATGAATGTCCTAAAAATGATTGCGTGTTATACTTAAAATGGGAGAACTGGGCTGGATGTGGTAGCTCACACCTGTAATCCCAGTACTTTGGGAGGCTGAGGTGGGAGGATCACCTGAGTCCAGGAGTTTAAGGCCAGCTGGGGCAACATAGCAAGACCCCAACAACAACAAAATCAGGCAAGCATGCTGGCACATGCTGGTAGTCCCAGTTTCTTGAGAGGCTGAGGTGGGAGGATCACTTAAGCCCAGGATGCTGAGGCTGCAGTGATCCATAATCGCGCCACTGCCCTCCAGCCTGGGTGACAGAGTAAGACCCTATCTATAAAAAATAAAAATAAGAAATAAATGGGTGAATTGTGTGGTATGCAAATTATATCCCAAGAAAGCTGTTTCAAAGAGAAAACATAATGAGCCTTCCTTCTCATCTGTCCATAGTAGTTACTGAGTCCTATCTGTCTCTGGACATCAAACGCCACATCTCTCCTCCTAGGTGCTCTCACACACAGCAATTTTCTGCCACAAACCACAAAACTGCCTAGGATAGCCAAATGTATGCTCACTGCTCATTTATACATAATTTACACTCCATATGCCTCCACATAGAATCAAAGGATTTGATGTGGCTTATAATAAAATCACATGTGCACATGGTTGTTAAAATAAAGCCTCAAGAAACACCAAAAAGCAGCTGTGAAAAAAGAGAGACAATTTTTTCTGGAGCCTAAAGAAATTCTCATCATAATCTTCTAAGCCTCCTAAAACTACAAACCTGAAAACCCTGTGATTCTTCCCATATTATTGAGGTTTACAGATGTTTTCTTGAGATGCCAAGGACCCTGTGCTTCCCATTGCAAAATGTTTAAAATTTCTGCAAAGCTGACCTGTATATTTACATAGCAAAAAATGTTTAACACCCTTTATATCCTTCCCTGGAATAAAATCTCATTTTCCCCCTCCAACTCCCTCTAACATATGGAATTAAATGCAAGTTCATGCAAGAAATGGAATTCCAAGTGAATCTTGGAAATTATCGATGATTCATAGTTGCAATGCATCTTAAAAGTTACTAAACGCATGCCTTCATGTCGCAGCTGTGAATCTTCTTGTTACAAAAATTATCAATGATTTATAGTTGCAATGCATCTCAAAAATTATTTAATGCATGCCTTCATGTTGCAGCTGAAAAAAATTGATGCCAATAGAAATGGCTTTCATAAAGACAGATAGTTAACAAAATACAGAGCAGAGATACCAGCCTGGATCTACCACGCTTTTACCACATCCTTGTGAGTTATTTCAACTTGACACCAAACATTTTCTAACTTGAGTGAAGACAATATTAAAAATGATGCTTAAAGAGCATTTAAAAGCAAATTCAATTATGTTATTTGTGTCCATTTATGGGGTACAAGTGTAATTTTGTTACAGGCGTAGATTGCATAGTGGTGAAGTCAGGGCTTTTAGGGCATCCATCATGTGAGTGATGTACATGGCACCCATTAAGTTGTTTCCCATGCATCCTGTCTTCCCACTCCCTCACCGTCCTCAGCGCTGGTCTTATAGCTAACAATTTAATTTTTGTTTAATGGAGATTGTTTTGTCAGTCCCAGGCATATAATAAGAAATATTTGTTCAAATTTTGATAATATAAGGCAGTCATGGTTTAAGACCTGCTTCTTAGTTTTTTCAGCTACTACAGCAGATTATCATAAACTGAGTTGCTTATAAACAGAAACTTATTGCTTACAGTTATAGAAGCTGGGAAGTCCAAGATCAAGGCGTGGCAGATTCAGTGTCTGGTGGGGACCCACTTCCTGGTTCATAGACGGCGTCTTCTCGCTGTGACCTCACATGGTGGAAAGGGTGAGGGAGCTCTCTGGGGTCCCTTTTATACAGACACTAGTCCCACTTATGAGGCTACACCATCTCATGAGTCCCAGAGGACTCAACCACAACACCATACTTGGCCAAGAACTTAGACTTGTCTTTTGCTGGTGAGGGTAGTACATTCGTCTGCTAAAGTTGTCTCAAAGTTTCACAGACTTGGTGGCTTAAAACTCAGAAATCTGTCTTTTTATGGTTCTAAAAGCTGGAAATCTGAGATCAAGGTGTAGGCAGAGCTGGTTGCTCTTGAAACCTCTTACCTTGGCTTGTGGACTCATCTTTTCCCTGTGTCCTCATGTGATCAGCCCTCTGTGTGTGTCTGTGTCTTCATTTCCTCTTCTTATAAGACACCAGTTCTATTGGATCAGGGCCCACTCTAGTGACCTCATTTTACCTTAAGTACCTCTTGAAAGACCCAATGTTCAAATGCAGTCATTTTAGTCATACTTGAAACCTATATTTAAATGAGGTCCTGGGGTTTAGGCTTCAACTTATAAATTTAGCAGGGACACAAGTCAGTCCATAAGCGGTAGGGAGGGAGGTAGAGCAGTGAATAAACAGTTTCTGTTGCAAATTACCCAAGAAGAAAGGTGATGTTTGCCATTGTCCTTCTAGGTCACCACTCCTAGATTCTAGCACCTTTCTGTGGTCACACCAACTGATGGGCTAGACAGTCACCAGTTACGAGCTCGATAAATGCTGTACTTAGACCAGGTATTTATGATACAAAATGATAGATGACTGTGGATGTTTAAATTATTGTGTCCAACCTCTACATGGTCTCCAACAGAGAAAGTGGTTCTGAGCCCTTCAAAGCTCCTGAATCCATAGCTAGACCTTCATGTAGGGACTGGCGTCATCCAATCAGCTTTAGGAGAAAAGAGTGAGGTCCCTGCAGAAGAGAGACTGTTGCCTCCAATGCCTTCAAACTCAAGCTGCAACATCAGCCCTTCCCTGGGTCTCCAGCCTGCTGATGGCTCTCATCCATTCTTCCTGACTGCTGTGTAATATTTCGTTGTGTGAATAGGCAATTGTAGGAAGCAGAATTCCAAGATGGCTGCCAAGACTTTGGGCCCTGGTAAGCACGCACATTGTTCAGTCAAACACATATCTGGGTGTTGCTGTGATGGGATTTTGCAGACATCATTAATGTCCCAAATAGGTGGACCCTAAGAAAGGGAAGCTTGACCTAATCACATGAGCCATCTAAAACTGGGCCTAGAGTCAGACACAGGGAAGTCAGACATCCAAAGTAGCAGTGAAATTCCCCTGATGACCTTGCAGACAAAAAAACTGCCATGTTGTGGAAAGGGCCATAGGGCCAGCTACCTGTAGAAGCTGAGTATGGCTTTGGCTAACAGCTAGAAACAAGTTAGAGACACACTCCTTCAGCCTCTAGGAACTCAATTCTGCCAACAACCAGGGAGCTGAGAAGAAGGCACCCAGCTTCAGATGACACTGCAACCCTGATAACACCTTGATTTCAGCCTGGGGAGACCCTGAGTAGAGAACCCAGCCAGAACATGTCCAGATATCTGACCTATATCACTCCAAGATGATAAATGGGGATAGTTTCAAGCCACCAAGTTTGTAATTTGTTATGCAACAGTAAAAAATGCACACAAACAGGGTGGCGATTCCTCAAAGATCTGGAACCAGAAATACCATTTGATCCAGTAATCTCATTACTGGGTATATACCAAAAGAAGTATAAATCATTCTATTACAAAGATACATGTGTGCATATGTTCATTGCAACACTATTCACAATAGCAAAGACATAGAATCAATCCAAATGCCCATCAATGGTAGACTGGATAAAGAAAACATGGTACATATAAACCATGGAATACTATGCAGCCCTGAAAAGGAATGAGATCATGTCCTTTGCAGGGACATGGATGGAGCTGGAAGCCATTATCCTCAGCAAACGAATGCAGGAACAGAAAATCAAACACAGCATGTTCTCACTTAAAAGTGGGAGAGAAACAATGAGAACACATGGACACAGGGAGGGGAACAACACACACTGGAGCCTATCAGGGGAGCAGGGGGAGGGAGAGCACCAAGAAAAATAGTTAATGCATGCCGGGCTCAATACCTAGGTGATGGGTTGATAGGTGTGGCAAACTACCATGGGACACGTTTACCTATGTAACAAACCCGTACATCCTCCACATGTACCCCAGATCTCAAATTAAATATAAAAATTTTAAAAAGAGAAAATGCATAAAACCATAAAAAAGTCTACCAGTCTACTGGACCTATCTAAGAAATCTAGTATTATAAGAAGAGCCATAGATTTTTCAAGCCATCTAAGAGTATTTTGTAAATCATGGCTTGGTGCCCAAGACTACTTTGTTCTTTCAGAATTTCAGATTTTGGATTATTATTTGATTGAATTGGGGAAAACTTGTACTATTCACCTTCTTTATGTTGTTAATTTAGAGGTGATTATCAATATAGTCTATCAGTTTCTGAAGGGCATGTGGCATGTGAGATAACCTTTTTTTGTAGACATGAGATCTCGTTATGTTGCCTAGGCTGGTCACAAACTCCTGCACTCAAGCGATTCTCCCACCTCAGTCTCCCAAAGTGTTGGCATTAGAGGCGTGAGCCACTGCACCAGCCAAGATCACTTTTGAGTTGAAATATATGAGGCTATGGAATAATTTTATTGTAGAATTATTTAGAATAATTATATAAATAAATCTAAATCTAAATAAAATATTTAGAAATATTTTATTTATTTCTTATTTATAACTATTATTATTATCATTATTATTATTTTGTGTTTGGTAGGATACAAATACAAAATAGGTTTGATTTTGCAAATGTGTTTATATCCCTTACGTACGTTTTATAAAGGGAAAATTAACGGGAGAAAGTCAATGTTATTAAAAGAGAATACATTGATGCTATGATGCTTAATGCTTATTTTTAATAAAAGTTACTTTTTGAACATTATTGCTGTTACACCTTCAGCCAAAGTTGCTAAAATGTGAGAGAACACAAGGCCAGGTGCAGTGGCTCATGTCTGTAATCCCAGAACTTTGGGGAGCCGAGGCAGGAGGATCACTTGAGCCCAGGAGTTTGAGACCAGCCTGGGCAAGATAGTGAAACTCCATCTCTACAAAGAATTAAAGAAAAGGTTAGCTGAGGACAATGGTGTCAGCCTGTGGTCCCAGCTACTCAGGAGCCTGATGTGGGAGGATTGCTTGAGCCCAGGAGTTCCAGGCCCCAGTGAGCTATGATTGCACCACTGCACATTAGCCTGGGTGACAGAGTGAGACCCTGACTTTTAAAAGGAAAAAAAGTAAAATGTGGAAGAACACAGAAAGTCAATGGGGCCAGGTGACATGGAGTAATGCACCATCCACCACCACTAAGAAATTTCAAGATATAATCATATTAGCCAACAAATAGGAATTTTCACTAGCAGGATACTTTCTTCATTTCTATGTGCAGGGGTAGAGAGTATAGCCCTATGGTGTCTTCTAGTTCTCAATTTTCATCTGCAATTCCATCCTTTAGTCAACGGGGAATTGCTAAAACATTTTGGAAATGAGAACTGGCAAGAGCAAAACAGCAATTTAGGAAGACTGATCTATGAAGATTCCATCAAATAACTTTGTGGATGGAGACACTGGAGGGCATGGGGCCTAGGTCTGTTTTGTGCTGCTATAGCAGAATACTCAAGACTTGAGTAATTTATAAAGAACAGAAATTTATTCCTTCAGTTCTAGAAGCAGGAAAGTCGAAGATCAGGATGTTGGCATCTTGCAAGGGCCTTCTTGTGGCATTCTCCCATGGTGAAAGGGAGAAGAGCAAGAGGGGAACCAAACTCACTTCCTCTCATTTATTTTATTAATCTGCTCATAAAGGTGAAGCCCTCATGACTTAAACATCTCCCAAAAGCCCCACCCCCGCACTGTTGCACTGAGGATTAAGGGTTTTTGTTTGTTTGTTTTTTGAGACACGTTCTCACTCTGTCACCCAGGTTGGAGTGCAGTGGTGTGATCTCGGCTCACTGCAGCCTCTGCCCCCTGGGTTCAAGCGGTTCTCCTGCCTCAACCACTTGAGTAGCTGAGATTACACGTGTGAGCCACCATGCCTGGCTAGTTTTTGTATTTTTAGTAGAGACGGGGATTCACCATGTTGGCCACGCTGGCCTAGAACTCCTGAGTTCAAGTGATCTGCCAGCCTCGGCCTCCCAAAGTGCTGGGATTACAGGCGTGAGCCACTGCATCCAGCCAAAAACCGCAATGACTTTTGCACCAACCTAATAGTTTCTGTTCATCTCAAAACAGACTTCACACAATGGTTGTAATTCCTAGGTTTCAGTTCATTCTCTTCCTCAGCTTCCTCCCTTAGAACTCTATCATTTTTAACCTCAATGTACTGCAGAAACTAAGTCAGAGCTACAGAGAAAATAGCACTGCATATTCTTTCAACAACTCTTCCAGGTTTCCCATGAAAAATGACTTTATACCAAAAAAAATCATCTGGGTGTTTATGAAAAAGTTGGAAGGAAATAGAGAATGAGAAGTTTGGTAAGTTTCCATTTAAGAATTTATTTCCTTTGGAATGTTATGTGTTGAGAGAAATCTCAACTCCTGTTCTTTCAAGTTAAAAGAAGGGAGATAAGAGAAGTGGGGTGAAAGAAAGGCGTTAGAGAAGATAGAGTCAGTGTCAGCCATATCTTCTTCCCCAATGGAGAAGAAAGCATCTCTTTTAAAATGCATGTGCTGAAATGAGAACACAGGCCAGTTTTTGTGTTGCAACATGTTTTTTAGCAACATAGATTCTAATTAACGGTTTTAAAAAAAAGTAAGCACAGAAGAAAATGCAGGGGCGGTAGGAAGTCATCTTTATGTTACTCAATGTGTGGGTAGCAAACATGTAGAATAATATATAATACTATTCTTAGATATTAAAAATGCATAACTTCACTGAGAGAAGAGTATACTAACATTAAAACATGACTAAGATTTAAGCAATCATCAAACTCGTTTTACAAAATAAGATTTTGCATAATTTGATTGTTTTTTGTTATAATAAACTGAGAACATAGTTCAAGGTTATCAGTGTGAAGTGCGGCAAATCACACACAAGGACAGCAAATCCACAGCAAAGCAGAGCTCAGCTTGGACTATGATTAAAAAGGTTTTATCTAAACTGTTGATAGCATTTGCTTTTAAGTTTAGGTAAAGACACCCATTCAAGCAACAGGCTTTTCTGCAAAGAAGAAAAAGCTCATTTGTGGTGCATGAGAGTCCATCCAACCTCTCAACATCCTTTTTAAAAAAAAAAAAAAAATCATCGTCATCAAACTTCAAAGGGCCTTTTCCTAATGCCAAGTAAAAGTACTGCTGGGTTGAAAAGTTGCACAACCTGGATCTGTGATTAAAAATACAAAATAATACTAATTTACAAAAAGACTGTACTCTGCCTGACCTTCACAGTGAGTGGGATCACTTTTAAGTGTTGTTAAGTAAACACACTCATTTCCTGCTCTCCGAGTCTGTCATTTCTCTAGAAGAACCAGGACTTAATCTATAAAAATAAAGAATACATGGATTCTGTGTAGAAGACAGATCTAATTTTGAATAGAAGTAAAATTATCTCAAAATATCAGCACCCAAATGTCCAATACCTTAAATGTGGGTGATGTTGATTGAGTGTTTGTGTCTCCCCCTTTCTGGGGCTTTCTCACTCTCCTTCTCTCTCTTCCTCTCTCTCTCTGTCTCTCTCTTTCTCTCTCTTCCTCTCTCTCTCTCACTTCCTCTCTCTCTCCTCCCTCCCTCCCTTTCTCTCCTCCCACCCTCTGCCATGCGAGGACACAATGAGAATATAGCTGTCGACAAACCAGACAGAGTTTCTTCACCAGACACCAGAGCCGCTGGCATCTCGATCTTGGACTTCTAGCCTCCAGAACCATGAAAAATGAATTTCTGTGGTTTATAAGCCACCCAGTCTTTGGCAGTTTGTTATTGCAGCTGAAGTCATGCTAGACAAGCAGTCGTTTTTGCAACTGAGGCTTTGATTAGTGACCTACTTGCATCCATTGATTCACGAATCTAACAGACCTTCTTGCATTTCTCTCTGGACCTCGTTGCAATTCCACACTTTAGCTCCCATGGGCAGAGAGCAAAGGGTTTTGTTTCACTTTGGCTTTGATAGTGGACTACACTCATTGACAAGGTTACAGGAGAGGCCTCTAAATTAGGAAAGACAAGATGTTTGGGTGCTATTTGCCAAGGGCAGAGATGTCAGCCTGGATCTACCACGCTTTTACTAAATCCTTGTGAGTTATTTCTACTTGACACAAAACATTTTCTAACTTGAGTGAAAATGATGCTTAAAGATCATTGAAAAGCAAATTCAATTATGTTATTTGTGTCCATTTATGGGGTACAAGTGCAACTTTGTTACAGACATAGATTGCATAGTGGTGAAGTCAGGGCTTTTAGGGTATCCATCATGTGATCTTCTCAGCACTGGTCATCATAGCTAACAATTTAATTTTTGTCTAAGAGTGATTGTTTTGTCAGTCCCAGACATATAATAAAAAAAGTTTGTCCTAATTTTGATAATATGGGGCAAAGTCGTGGTCTAAGACCTACTTAGTTTTTTTTTCAGGCAGCTATAGCAGATTATCATAAACTAGGTTGCTTATCAACTGTGATGGTGAATATTAGGTGTCAACTTGATTGGATTGCAGGACGCCTAGATAGCTGGTAAAGTATTGTTTCTGGGTGTGTCTGTGAGGGTGTTGCCAGAGGAGACTGACATTGAGTCGGTGGACTAGGAGAGGAAGACCCACCCTCAGTGTGGGTGGGCACCATCCAATCAGCTGCCAGCACGGCTAAAATGAAGCAAGCAGGAGAAGTTGAAAAGAGCAGACTTGCTGAGGCTTCTGGTCTTCATCTTTCTCCCGTACTGGATGCCCTTGGACATCAGGCCCCAGGTTCTTCAGCTTTTGGACCCTTGGACTTACACCAGTGGCTTGCCAGGTGGTCTCAGGCCTTCGGCCACAGACTGAAGGCTGCACTGTCAGCTTCCCTACTTTTGAGACTTTGGGATTTGGACTGAGCCACTACTGGCTTCCTACTTCCTCAACTTGCAGATGGCCTATCGTGGAACCTCACCTTGTGATCATGTGAGCCAATGCTCCCTCATAAACTCCCTTTCATATACACATAGATCCTATTAGGTTTGTCCCACTGGTGAACCCTGACTAATACACAAACCTACTTAGCAAAAAAAAAGTCTAGTTAAGAAAGCAGAACAGTGCATTATATAATGCAGATTACAAATGCTATTGACTGGCTTATGGAGACTTTCCATGTTAGTGGACTTTCAATGTACTATTTTGAGGGCTTCCTGTTTTCCTGAATATCTCCAAATATAAACACATCTTCAAACAAAAGGAATCTGTATTTGCTTCTTCCTAGGTAGTTAAGGAATCAGCACTTTTCTCTGGAGTCAGTCTTCTTACTGACATTAATTCTTCGTCTACTTCATTATTTGCAGTGTGTCTGTAAACTTCATAAAGAGAGTGAATGTGTCATCCATGTGATCATTGTATTCTTGGCCCCAAGCAAAATGTCTATGTCAGAGAAGGTTCTCCGAAAACAGATTGTTACAAAAATAAACAGAAAAGCCTTATAATATCCTGGTACTCAACTGAATTTAGGAATGCTAAGCCATCCTGCAGAAAACATTAAGTGAGTCTTCAAAAAATCTGCTGTAATGGAAATCCCAAAACTTTTCTCAGTTGTCCATTATGAAAGAAACTGGTTTTCTCAACTTAATTCTCTCCCACATTATCCTGAGCTTTAGCCAGAGCTCATATTTCATAATGATGTCAAGTCATAAAGAAGAGAATGTATTATTACACACCCATTATCCAATTTAAACACAGCTCTTTGTATGATTAAAAACAGCTATCAACTTAGCATTTGACTCTTGCCTTTTACGAAGAACCCATTGTATTTTTTGGTGAACCTTTCTGAGCCTAGTGGATTGTATGAGAAGCCCGTTTAGCCACAAAAAGAAGAGTGAATTCTAGAGTCAAATGTGTACACAATGATGTTCTGCCCATTGGGAGTTCTTCTTGTATGATAGATACCTCTTTGTATGCATAGATAGAATGGTTGTATCTACAAGCCTTAAAATAAAATTCTAAGTCCCCACGCCCCCATCATCTGAATGGACTCTTCCTCTTGGCAAGGGCGTTCCATTTTTCAGGTGTAATCTGAAAAATGTGTTCAGGCCATGAAGGTGAAGTTGGGCATGGCTCATGATACCCTCCCCCATTTTGGAATTACTGAAAGAACAGACTCTAATAAGGAACATTTACAATTTATTCTCTGAAGCCTGCTACCTGGAGACTTCCTCTGCATCATAAAACCTAGGTCTCCACAGCCCCTGACCATAACCCAGACATTCCTTTCTATTGATAATAATTCTTTCAACCAATTGCCAATCGGAAAATCTTTAAATCTACCTATGACCTGGAAGTCCCCACTTCAAGTTGTCCTGCCATTCTGGACCGAACCAATGGACATCTGATATGTATTGATTAATTTCTCATGTCTCCCTAAAATGTGTAAAACCAAGCTGTAGCCCGACCACCTTGGGCGCACATTCTCAGGATCTCCTGAGGCTGTGTCATAGGCGCATGCTTAACCTTGGCAAAATAAACTTTCTAAGTTGCTTGAAACCTGTCTCAGAAACTTTTCATTTGCATATTCATGGATGGAAGTGGATTCAAATCCACATTAGTAACCAGAGGTGTGGATTGAGGCCAGGACTCTTGTTGGTTTCCATGACAATCTCCTGCACCTTACTCCCCCTGTTTCCCCATCCTCCAATCCTAGGTTTCCTCTCTTCAATCTTTAAACATAGATTAGATTGAGTCACCTGCTCACCTCCGGACAAATTATGGGAACACAACAAACTCGCTGGCTTATTCCAAACACAACATTCCCCAGAGCTGATATAGGGCTGATGTATGCGTGTACATGTAAGTACAGGACTCCAGAAGGAAAAACGAAAGAATGGCTGATAAGCAAACCTCCTTCTCTATAAAGTTATTTGGTTAGAGCACTTCATAATTATCTGCTTTCCAGGGAACTCCTAGGTAATTGAGGAGAACCCTTAGGGCCTTATTTTAAGAATTTAGATATTGTCACACATGTGGGACACAGTTTAAGAGGAAAGTGTGATATTACACACACCTTATCTTGCTTTGGTTTAAGAAGTAAGATCCCCATAATTACTCATTTTCTGTTCTGAGTATTACCACAAAGCGGTCCCCATCCAGATCCCAAGAGAGGGTTCTTGGACCTCGTGCAAGAAAGAATTCAGGGTGAATCTACAGAGCAAAGTGAAAGCAAGTTTATTAAGAAAGTAAAGGAATGGCCAGGCACGGTGGCTCACGCCTGTAATCCCGGCACTTTGGGAGGCCAAGGCAGGCACATCACCAGAGGTCAGGAGTTCGAGACCAGCCTGGCCAACATGGTGAAACCCCGTCTCTACTAAAAATACAAAAATTAGCTGGGCATGGTGGTTCATGCCTGTAATCCCAGGTACTCAGGAGGCTGAGGCAGAAGAATTGCTCAAACTTGGGAGGTGGAGGTTGCAGTGAGTCGAGATCGCGCCACTGCACTGCAGCCTGGGCAACAGAGCAAGATTGTCTCAAAAAAAAAAAAAAAAGAAAAGAAAAAGAAAAGAAGTAAAGAATAGCTATTCCATAGGTACAGCAGCAGCTTGGGCTGCCGGACAAAGGATACTTATAGTTATTTCTTGATTATATGCTAAACAAGAGGTGAAATATTCATTATTTTTCTGGGAAAGGAGTGGACAATTCCCGGAACTGAGGGTTTCTCTCCCTTTGAGACCATATAGGGTAATTTCCAGATGTTGCCATAGCATCTGTAAACTGTCATGGTGCTGGTGGGAGTGTCTCTTAGTATGCTAATGCATTATAATTAGAGTATAATGATTAGTGAGAATGACCAGAGGTTGCTTTTGTTGCCATCTTGGATTTGGTGGCTTTTGGCTGGCTTCTTTACCACATGCTGTTTTACCAGCAAGACCTGTATCTTGTGCCAGCCTCCTATCCCATTCTGTGACTTAGAATGCCTCACCTCCTGGGAATGCAGTCCAGTAGGTCTTGGCCTCATTTTACCCAGCCCCTATTCAAGATAGAGTCGCCCTGGTTCAAACACTTCTGACATGAGTACTTTCCTTAGATTTCCCTAGATTCCTCCCTCCTACCAATAAATGAAGGCTTTCTCAGTACAAGGTGGACATTCCTCATCTGAAAATCCAAAATCCAAAATGTTCCAAAATCTTTAACTTTTGGAATGCTCACATGATGTCAGATTTTCTGCATGGATGACCGAGAGACTGACAACTGACACCTTTGCTTCCTGTCTTATTTATTTATTTATCTATCTATTTTTTACTTTTTTTCAGATAGGGTCTCACTCCATTGCCCACCCTGGCTGGAGTGCAGTGGTGCAACCATGGCTCACTGCAATCTCCACCTCCTGGGCTCAAGAGATCCTCCCACCTCAGCCTCCTGAGTAGCTGGGACTACAGGTGTGTGCCACCACACCCGGCTAATTTTTGCATTTTTTTGTAGGGACAAGGTTTTGCCATGTTGCCCAGGCTGGTCTTGAACCCCTGGGCTCAAATGATCCACCCCCCTTGGCCTCCTGAAGTGCTGGGATTACAGGTGTGAGCCACCAAACCTGGTCAACCTTTGCTTTCTGTTGGTTCGCTGTAAACAAACTTTGTCTCATGCACAAAATTATTTTAAAATATTGTATAGGTTGGGCACAGTGGATAATGCCTATAATCCTAGCACTTTGGGATGCTGAGGGCGGAGGACAGCCTTAGCTTAGGAGTTCGAGATCAGCCTGGGCAACACAGCAAGAGCCCATTTCTAGAAAAAAAATAGCCAGGCATGGTGGCACGTGCCTGTAGTCCCAGCTACTGGGGAGGCTGAGTTGTGAGGATCACTTGAGCCCGAGAGACTGAGGCTGGAGTCAGCTGTGACTGCACCACTGCACTGCAGCTCCAGTGACAGAGTGAGACCCTGACTCTAAAAGTATAATGATGATAACAACAAAAATAACAGTATTGTATATGAAAGGCTATACAATAAACTATGTGTATAAAGTGTATATAAAACACAAATTAATTTTATGCTTATACTTATGTCTTATTCCCAAGACATCTCATGCATATTCAAATATTCCAGAATCTGAACAAATCTGAAATCTGTCACTGCTTCTGGTCCCAAGCATCTCAGATAAGGGAAACTCAGTGTGTGGTAGTGAAAATGCTAAGTGTAGGTGGAGGATGTCTTGCTTTCCATGAGATGGTGCATTCTGAAGTGGACATAAGCCCAGGTGGGGCTCTTGGCATCCCAGCCATGGGGTTTCCCCACATCCCTACTCATAGCCCTCACCCCATGTCTCCTTTAGAGTTAACTGAGCATCAGGGAAACCCGATGTAATGGCAATCATCAGCACCCATCCCTTGCAAATAACACCAATAACCTCAGCTGCCTATCATCTCACCAGATGCCACTTGTCCCAGGGTGAGCTGATATGCCACTTCTGCAAGGAACACAGCCTTCTTGAGGCTAAAAATAGCAAAACATTAAAATGAAAAAGTCTTGCTTCTTCTTAAACTGCTCTTGAAAAACTAAATCAAACCTGTGGGTCTGGCGGGGCACAGTGTCTCATGCCTAGAATCCCAGCACTTTGGGAGGCTGAGGCTGGTGGATCACTTGAGCCCAGGAGTTTGAGACCAGTCTGGGCAACATGGCAAAAGGCAGTCTCTACTAAGAATACAAAAATTAGCTGGACATGGTGCCAGGTACCTGTAGTTCCGGCTACTTAGAGGGCTAAGGTGGGAGAATCACTTGAGCCTGGGAGGTCGAGGCTGTAGTGAGCCGTGAACGTGCCACTGCACTCCAGCCTGGGCAACAGAGCAAGATCCTGTTTCAAAACAAACAAACAAACAAACAAACAAAAAACCTGTGTGTCATCCTGTGGGGTGCTGTGATCATGAATCTAGGATTTGAGGCAGATATGTACCCTGACCACCAAAAATCCCCTGTTGCCACCATGGGCAACATGCAAATAAAGGGACTCTGAGGTTGGCTAAGAATTTTCTTCTTGAAGCTATGATTGCAGATGACTGGAGGAGGAATCATAATAGTAACAATAAAACTCTTGACTTCAAAGGATCAGGCAAAAAAAAAAAAAAAGAGAGTTCTACAACAGCAGAAGTTTCTTTGCATTAAGCTGTTGGGAGGGAGGACAGCCGTCTCCATTGCTGTTGCATGGTACAGCTTAGGCTATCATGACCATGTGTTTTATTCCCCATACACTAGTAAACTGAACTTTGCAACAGCAAACATTTGTGGGAAGAAAAGGACTTTAAGGATAGAAATTTAAAACACCAAGCTGGGTCAGAAGAGTGAGAGAATCCACATGGATTCAAATACAGGGGACATTCTCTAACATGAATCCTGGTCCCATCCGGTGTTCACTGGTAAACCAGAGAGGCTGTATTAGTCCATTTTCACGCTGCTGATAAAGACATACCTGAGACTGGGCAATTTACAAAAGAAAGAAGTCATGGTTCCATCTGGCTGGGGAGGCCTCACGATCATGGCAGAAGGTGAAAGCCATGGCTCACATGGTGACAGACAAGAGAGCTTGTCTAGGGAAACTCACCTTTATAAAACTACCAGATCTTCTGAGCCTTATTCACTACCATGAGACTAGCACGGGAAAGACCTGCCCCCATGATTCAATTACCTCCCACTGAGTCCCTCCCACAACACATGGGAATTGTGGGAGCTACAATTCAAGATGGGATTTTGGTAAAGACACAGCCAAACCATATCAGAGGCTAAATTTGAGCTGTGTCTTTGTGTCAGGGTCTTGCTTCACAGTTTGCTTGTCCTCATTCCTTCTGTGAACCCTGGAGGTACTCAGCCATAAGGATGCACTTTGGGGACATTTTCTGGGTCCAGTTGAGTTCCCCACATTGTAATTCATTATGATGATGGGTCCAGCCCCTACAGCAACTCCAGGACACAGGTCCAGAGAGGCTTGGGGTGCAGAAGATGCCAGAGGCTTGAGACTAGATTCAACACAAGTGAAACCACCAGGAAGCATGTCCTGCTTCCCCTTTGGGAGTTTTGAAGAGCCAAGGAAAAGTACTGTCATGCATCTTCAAAGAGGATAAATGGAAGTTGGCATGCATGGGTGTATCATTGCATACAAAAATGCAGTGCTTCCTCCAGGTCACTAATAGGGAAAGTGAGACATAACCCTATGCATAGACTTTCTAGATGGATTGATGGAAACCACATCTGCATCACATAATGTGTCACCAAAGACAATAAAAATAGCCTTCTCAGAAACACCTCTTGGACCATCTCAGAGTAAAGCACTTGGAAAGGCTCAGTGGGCACACGTCTTTGATAAGCAATCTGGCTTCCCTTTCAGGAATCTCATAACATCATCCTTACCATCGTTTAGAGAGGAGGACATCTAAGGAAGTTGGGCAAATTCTTGGGCTGTGAACTTGATCATCCAGTTGAAGAAACACGCTGACTTAGAGTGTCACTTTCTAGAATTTACAAAAAAAAAATTCTTACTTTGTTAAATGTCATCGCATTCTGCTCTTGTACTGTTCTGCTATTTTTACATCAACGCGTGTGTGTCTCTTCCAAACACGACCTCATTTGCTTGTGTGTCGGTGGGTCTTTGAACGTCCATGGCAAACGATTTCAGAATCACTTTCTCACTAAGGATCCTAAGAAGTTCTTGACCTTGTGTGGAGTTTTTTCCACTTATCCATTGCCAAAGTCTGACAACAGCTGTCTGAAACACACTCAACTTTTTTTTTTTTTTTTTTTTTGAGACAGAGTCTTGCTCTGTCACCCGGGCTGGAGTGCAGTGGCGCGATCTGGGCTCACTGCAACCTCCGCTCCTGGGTGCACGCCATTCTCCTGCCTCAGCCTCCCAAGTAGCTGTGACTACAGGCGCCTGCCACCATGCCCGGCTAATTTTTTTTGTATTTTCAGTAGAGACGGGGTTTCACCGTGTTAGCCAGGATGGTCTCGATCTCCTGACCTCGTGATCCACCTGCCTCAGCCTCCCAGAGTGCTGGGATTACAGGTGTGAGCCACTGCGCCTGGCCAACTTTTTTTTTTTTTTCTGTTCAAATTACACTTTTGGCAGAAAACAGGCATTTGAGCTTCCAGAGAAGAAATAACGCAGATTTTCTTTTCCATGTGGCTTTGAACATATTTGAGTAACATTGGCTTATTTTTCTTCCTTTTACATCTTGAAATGTAATACAATTGTTTAGTAGGATGTTATGTGTAATATAAATATAATCACTTTACAAGGTCATTGCTAGGTCATATGCTATTCATGATTTTACATCCTTGACATGTCTACATTTCTGGAGTAGCATGGTAGAAATAAAATTCAGGGCCAGGCAAGGTGGCTCACACCTGTAATCTCAGAACTTTCAGAGACCAAGGCGGGCGGATCGCTTGAGCTCAGGAGGTCGAGGCCAGCCTGGGCAACATGATGAAATGCTGTCTCTGCTAAAAATACAAAAATTAGCCAGGTGTGGTGGCGGGTGCCTATAATTCTAGCTACTCAGGAGGCTGAGGCACGAGAATCACTTGAACCTGGGAGGCGGAGGCTGCAGTGAGCTGAGATCACACCACTGCACTCTAGCCTGGGCGACAGGGCGAGACCCTGTCTCAAAAAAAAGGAAAAAGAAAGAAAGAAAATTTACTAGAGCTACATGGAATTAAAATATTTCAGAAGTGAATTCTTGATTTTGTGACTAACGAGTGCCTTAGCATAATGTGGAGATGATGATGTACTCATGGAATATGAAGTGAGAATGATGTTCTGTGTCCAAAGATTCTGTCACAAGAAGGTAGTGAAGTCACCTAAATGGCCAAATATCCCATTAGGACATTTCAGAATCGTTGGCTTCTTTTAGCCATCACTTCTATGATTAAATGCCTTTGGAGAATTCTGCTTACATTACATGTCTTTAGCAAATGAATCAGTAAAAGAAAATAGGAGTAGAAAATCTGTTTCCATCATTAGTTGCCCACATAATAACGTAAACACCCTGATGTCTTCAGCATGGAGCCACAGAGGTTCTGCCTACAAAAACACTTGTGCTCATTCTGGGCCCTCAAACATTAATTTTAACAGCGTGGAATACCGGAAAAAAACCTCCCGAATGCACAAGAAAATCTCCATTAAATCAAGTTTGCTGATAAATTTCAGTGACCTGTTCTTCCGAAACTCAATTCAACGTACACTTTGACAACCAAGTTCTCCTTCTACCCCGACTGCAACAGAGGCTGACCTACCATGGCTGTTTTAACTTCTCCTCTGAGTGCATCTTCCCTGTTTTACATTATGCAAACCACTCCCAAATTTTTTAAACCAGTTTCCCATGGCTTAAGCAATGATCCCAGTAATATCCCTCCAAGCTTCAAGGGGGATTCTTACGCAGGTTTCTCTGCCAAGAGCAGCTTCTACCATGCACCTTTCCAAATAATAGTCATGTACTGGCTGGGAGCAGTGGCTCACGCCTGTAATCCCAGTAATTTAGAAGACCAAGGCAGGCAGATCACCTGAGGTTAGGAGTTCGAGACCAGCCTGGCCAACATGGTGAAACCCTGTCTCTACTAAAAATACAAAAGTTAGCCAAGCACAGTGGTGGGCGCCTCTAATCCCAGCTACTCAGGAGGCTAAGGCAGGAGAATCGCTTGAACCTAGGCGGTGGAGGTTGTAGTGAGCCACTGCACTCCAGCCTGGGTAACAGAGCAAGACTCAGTCTCAAAGAAAAAAAAAAAAAAGTAAAGAAAAGAAAAAGACCAGTCCTGTACTAATGATAATGTGCTGATTTTATCCACAGATATGGCATTCAAGGAAGCGCAGCCCCCCTGCCTCAGAGTGTCCTGTAGAAACGTTGGAAAGTCCCCGTTCCTGGTCTTTCAGCTTTGCTGTACTAAATGATTCTCCAGTGGTGGGGATTACAAGTAGACTCTAAGTCCACATGTTTTTTTAATTTATTTCATTGAATTGTATTATTTTATTTTTTGTTTTAGAGACAGAGTTTGCTGTCACCAGGCTGGAGTGCAGTGGTGTGATCATAGCTCACTGCAGCCTGGAACTCCTGGGCTCAACTGATTCTCCTTCAGCCTCTGGAGTAGCTGGGACTATGGACATGCACTATTATGCCTGCCTAATTTTTTTAAATTATTTTTAGTAGAGAGGAGGTCTCACTGCATTGTCCACGCTGGTCTTGAATTCCTGGGCTGAAGAGATCCTCCTGCCTCAGTTTCCCGAAGTGCTGGGATTATATAATGAGATCTCGTCACTAGTAAAAATAAAAAATGTAGCCAGACATGGCAGAGAACACCTGTAATCCCAGCCACTTGGGACGCTGAGGTGGGAGGATCACTTGAGCCCAGGAGTTTGAGGCTGCAGTGAGCTCTGATCGTGCCACTGTACTCTAGCCTGAGTGGCAGAGCTAAACCCTGTCTCAAAAAGAAAAAATAATAATAAATAAATGAATCTTATACAGAATTGAGTGTAGGAACTCAGAGAAAGGTTCTTCTCTCTGCAAAGCTGCATTTCTGAATGCTAATTTATGTGTTGCTATAGAGATGATATCTACCGTTTACACCAGTCCTCATCGCGGTCTAGGCATTTTTCATGCAAGAACATACCAGGAGTTTCAGAAGAGGCTCTACACAGAGAGGAAACAGGTCCTTATTAACAAGTTTTAGTATTTGCTTTTTTCCACTTTTCCATACCATAGAATAGCGGAAGAGAAATGTCTATGTCAAATCCCTAGAACCTCAGAATGTCACCTTATTTGGAAAAAAGGTATCTGCAGATGTGATTAAGCGAAGGACCTTGGGATGAAATCATAGTGGATTATCTGGGTGGACCCCAGATCTACCAGTGTCCATATAAAGAGAAGAGACACAGAGACACTCAGAGGAGAAGGCCACAAGGAGAGTGAGAAAGAGACTAGAGCAATGTGGCCACAAGCCCAGGGACACCTGGAGCCCCCGGAGCTGGGAGAGGCAGGAAGGAGCCTCCCCTAGAGCTTTCAGAGGGAACTGGGTACAACTGTATAGTGGCCCCTGGAAAGATCTGTCCACATCCTAATGCCCAGAGTCTGTGAATGGGATCTTATTTGGAAATAGGGTCTTTGTAATAAGTTAAGGATCTCAAAATGAGATCGTCCTAGAGTAGGGTGAGCCCTAAACCCAATGGCCTGTGTCCTTTTAAGAGACAGAAGAGGAGACGGAGGCAGAGACTGGAGTGATGTGGCCACAAGCCCAGGGATGCCTGGAGCTCCCAGGAGCTGGGAGAGGGAGGAAGGACCCTCACCTAGAGCCTCTGGAGGGAACTGGATACAACCGTAATGGATTGAATGGCGACCCCAAACGTGTTCATGTCCTATGCCTCCGAACGTGTAAATGGGACCTTGTATTTAGAAATACAGCCTTTGCAGATATAATTAGGAGACGGATCTTGAGATGAGATCATCCTAGATTAGGATGGGCCCTAAATGCAATGACAGGTGTCCTTCCAAGAGACAGAAGAGGAGACACAGAAACAGAGGAGAAGGCCACATGGAGATGGAGGCAGAGACTGCAGTGATGCGGCCACAAGCCCAGGGATGCCTAGAGCCCCCAGGAGCTGGGAGAGGCAGGAAGGATCCCCCACTAGAGCCTCTGGAGGGAGCTTGGCCCTGCGCACACCTTGATGTGAGACTCCTGGCCTCTAGGACTGGGTGAGTACATTCCCGTTGTGTTAACCTACCCAGCCTGTGGTCATTTGTTGCCCACTCTAGGAAATGAGAACACACCCTGATAGCAAATGTGCTCTCAGTAGCTGCAAGTAAATACGGCTTCAGACTTGGAACCTAATATCAGCCATCTGGTTGGGTTCACACAGGGATTTGCAAAGTGACAAGCAGCAGGTGGAATTCTGCACTGTGGCGTATTTTGAGCATCTTCTATTCCCACTGTGGTATCCCTGGATTTCCTGGGCATATAGAGTAGGGGAGCTTTGGTAGATCAGGGTTCCAGGGTGAGATTTGGGCTCAGACGTCAGAGAGCAGGGCTTGCCCAAGCTTCCCGGGAGACGCCAAGAGATGGGCATGAGTGAACATAGGGTCAGGAACCAGAATGGTGGACTCTAAGAGTTTCCTAGGGTGTCCAGGGCAGATGGGTGAACCCAGTCAGCCTCCTGCACTGCAGCCCAGGTGAATAAAAGGGAATCATCCCAGGAGGGAGTCCCTGAGTCACTTCCAGGGCTGGACTTCGAAGGTCTGGTGACAACGTTGTGATCAGGGAGAGAGCCACGGCGAGTTCCCAACTGATCTGGGTTCTGCCCCACAGGTGTGTCATCTCCCTGGTTTTTCTCATTCCCATCCTGCCTGCCGGTCCTCAATCCCCGTTCCCTGCCCCCTCCTGCCCCCATCTGCCCTCAGAGGTGGCAGCTGCCTCTCACCTGCCTCAACTACATCAGGTGCTCCTGCAAAAAAAAAGGGGAGGCAGTGAAGAAGAGGAGAAACAGTATGTGCAATTCTCATTCCCCCATGTATAATCACAAAGCTTACTAATGTGTTTAAGTTGATGTAGGAGCTACCATGCATTTCCTGATCTTATTTGATCGCAAAATATCTTTTTCTTTCTTTCTCCTTCCTTCCTTTCTTTCTTTTTCTTTCTTTCTTTTTCTTTCTCTCTCTTTCTGTTTTGTTTTTCTCTCTCTTTTTTCTTTCCTCTTCCTTTTTTCTCTTTCTTTCTTCCTTTCCCCTTCCTCTCTTTCTCCCTCTCTCTCTTTGTCCCTCTCTCCCTTCCTTTGTGCCTTCCTTGTTTCCTTCCTTCCTTCCTTTCCTTCCTCCCTTCCTCCTTCCTTCCTTTCTTTTTTCTTTCCTTCTTTCTTTTTCTTTCTTCTTTTTTCTTTCTTTCCTCTTCCTTTTTCCTATCTTTTTTCTTCCTTTCCTCTATCTGTCTTTCTCCCTCTCTCTTTTTCCCTCCCTTCTTTCCTTTCTTTCTTCTTTCTTTTTCTTTCTTTCTTCTTCCTTTTTTTTATTCCTTTCCCCTATCTCTCTTTCTCCTTTCCTTCTTTCCTTCCTTCCTTTCTTCTTCTTCGTCTTCTTCTTCTTCCTCTTCTTCCTCTCCCTCTCTTTATTCCTTTTTCTTCTTTCCCTCCTTTCTTTCTCTTTCTTCCTTTGTGTTTTCTCTTTTTTCTTTCTCCCTTTCTGCCTTTCTCCTTCACCTCCCTCCCTTCCCTTCCCCTTCCTTCCTTATTTCCTTCCTTCCTTGCTCCCTGCCTTCCTTTTTTTTTCTAGAGCCCTTTTTAATATCTTGAAGAACCAGTCCCTTGCAGAACAGCCTGGGAAAAATGCTGCTGTATCATTAATATTTCCCATGTTTTTGACTACCATCTTTGTGAATTCCACAGTAAGCTCCAATTTCAAACTTCCTCTTGAGTTTTCAAACCACCTAGCGACTGTCCTGCACGCTCAACACAAAGAACCTATGATATTGCATCATCTCGACTCTCCAAATTATGCATTCCCAGGCTCTCCTATTTCTCAAAAATTTTACATGAAGCTCTCATATCTCTTTCTCTAATATAATAATCTCTCCATTTTATTCCCTCTTGCCCATCAGAAGCCAATCAGCTACTTTGGTTGAATAATTATTATGAACTGAATTATGCCCTTTTGCTCCAAATTCATGGGTTTAAGCCATAAATCCTCACGTGAGATTATGTGAAGACAGAGCCTTCAGGGAGGTGATTGGGTTTAGGTAAAATCATAAGGGAGGGGTCTTAATCTGATACGCCTGGCAAATTTATAAGAAGAGGAAAAGATTTCAGAGTTCTCCCCCTGCACACACACAGAGGGACAAACATGTGAAGACACAGAGAGAAGGTGACATCTACAAGCCAACGAGAGAGGCCACAGGAAGAACCAGCCCTGCCCACACCTTGATCTCAGACGTCCAGCTTCCTGTATTGTGGGAGAGTAAATGTCTGTTGTTTAAGCCTCCCAGTCTATGGTATTCTGTGATAGCAGCCTGAAATGGACTAAGACACCTCATAAGAAGAGGAGATGAGGACACAGACACACACAGAGGGACAACCCTGTGAGGACACAGGGAGAAGGTAGCTTCTCCAAGCCAAGGGGAGAGGCCTCGGGAGGAACCAGCCCTGCCCACACTTTGATCTTGGACGTTCAGCTTCAAGGATTGTGGGAGAATCAATGTCTGTTGTTTATAAGCCACCCAGTCTATGGTAGTCTCTTGTAGCAGCCTGAAATGAACTAAGATATCTCATAAGAAGAGAAGATGAGGACACAGACACACACAGAGAGATGACCCTGTGAGGACACAAGGAGAAGACGGCATCTACAAGCCCAGAAGAGAGGCCTCAGGAGGAACCACCCCTGCCCACACCTTGATCTTGGACTTCCAGCTTCAAGGACTGTGGGAGAATCAATGTCTGTTGTTTGAGCCACCAGCTCTGTGGGACTTTGTTACGACAGCCTTAGTGGATGGATATGCTGTTCTTTAAGCCTGTGGCCAATACCGTTCCTCTCCTCTGTCACCATCCTCAACCAGACCTTCATCAACTGTAGCACAGCTCATAAATAGTTCTGAAAAGATTCTTCTGAGTTTTCTATGGGCTCACTGCCAAGAGAAGTTGATTGAGCTACAGAATTTTTTTTAATGTTCAATTATATGCAAGTTATGCGTGACTCCATTCCATGGTGCAGAAGTGGAATAAAAATGACTCTTTTAATCAGTTCCATTTCCTTCTAAAGTTGTTGTTGCTGTTCATTTTTTTTTCTTTAAACATTCTTTGAACAATTTACCACCCTTTTGCCAAAGCTTTCATCATTTTCCATTTCTCCCTGGACTCCTTCCATCTTCTCCAGGTCTGAGTTCACCATAGCCTGCCTCTCAGCTGCGAGTCTACAAGCCGGCTCTTCTTGGAATTGAGATCTAAGAACACTGGAGATTTTTAGGAGTCCATGAAAATATTAAAAAATGTAACTCAAGTGCATTCATGGCTTGGTCTTGATAGATGAGGTGACTCATTCTACAGCAACAGAAACACGCTATCTAAAATAGGGTTTTAGTTTCTCAGTCATTTAATGTGTATCTCGTGTCCAGGGCTGTTCAAAGTACACATGCTCCTCGACTTTCACAATAGGGCTACAGCCCAATAAACCTGTTATAAGTTGAAAATAGTGTAAGTCTAGGCTGGACACAGTGGCTCACACCTGAAATCCCAGAACTTCGGAAGGCAGAAATGGGAGAATCACTTGAGCCCAGAAGTTTGAGACCAGCCTGTGCAACATATCGAGACTCTGTCTCTACAAAAGAAAAAACAATTAACTGGGCATGGTGGTGCACACCTGTAATCCAACTTGGGAGGCTGAGGCAGAAGGATCACTTGAGTACCAGAGGTTGAGGCTGCAGTAAGCTATGATTGTACCACTGTCCTCCAGCTTGGGCAACAGAGTGAGACCCTGTCTCAAAAAAATAAAAAAGAAAAAAAGAAAAAAACAAAATTGCAAGTCTAAAATGCATTTAATACACCTAACCTACTGAATCCTGATACAAAGATTCTATTAAGGAGTTTATCTGGGTGGCGAGCCAGGAAGCACCAACAGAAAGTGGAATAATGAGCTAGAGAGTGGAGAAAGTCCTTGAATGGGATGTTTACCAAGCAGGTGACCACCATGGATAACCAGGGTGAAGACCCCGGCTGAAGTAAGCTCCAATTTCAAACTTCGTCTTGAGTATTTCAAACCACCTAGCCACGGTCCTGCACTCTCAGCACAAAGATTATATAATATTGCATCATCTCGACTCTCCAAATCATCCATTCCCAGGCTCCCCTATTTCTCAAAAATTTTACATGAAGCTCTCATCTCTCTTTCTCTAATATAATACTCTCTCCATTTTTATTCCCTCTTTCCCACCAGAAGCCAATCATCTACTTTGGTTGAATAATTACTATGAATTGAACTGTGCCCTTTTGCCCCAAATTCATGGGTTTAAGCCCAAAACCCCCATGTGAGATTATGTGAAGACAGAGCCTTTAAGGGGATGATTGGGTTTAGGTAAAATCGTGAGAGGGGTCTTAATCTTTATAAGAAGAGGAAACCATTTCAGAGTTCTCCCTCTGCACACACACAGAGGAACAACCACATTAGGACACAGGGAGAAGACAGTGTTTACAATCTACAAGCCAAGCAGGGAAGCCTCAGGAGGAAGCAGCCCTGCCCACACCTTAATCTCAGACTTCTAGCTTCCGTGACCCTGAGAGAATCAATGTCTGTTGTTTACAAGCCATCCAGTCTATGGTAGTCTGTGATAACAGCCTGAAATGGACTAAGACATCTCATAAGAAGAGATCAGGATGCAGAGTGCTGCAAGCTTTGGAAAGAGTAGAATACTCTTTCCAGCTGTGGGATAGGTGAGTGAGAGTACTTGCCCTTCAACATTCATCAGTCCTCAGCTGAGGGCGGTTCTTTGTGGGATCTCCTAGATTCTCAGCACTATGGCTTGACTGACACATGTCCAACTATCGGGCTCCCCGGGTCAGATAAAGACTCCAAGCAAAGGAGCACAGAGACTCCCTGTTGGAAGCATTAGAGTCAACGTGTGCTATAATATAATACAGGAAGGAGGTGACATTACAGATCAGTGAGCAAATGAGGAACTATTCAATAAATAGAGCTGGGACAATTGGTTTTCCATATGGAAAAAATGAAAGCCATATGAACCCTCCCTCCACTACACATACACATATTTCCAGATGGATTAAAGTTAAACCTCTAGAAGGAAATATAGGAAAAATATCTCTCTCATCTTGGAGTCCAAAAGGATTCTTTTTTAAAGACACAAAAATATTAACCATTGAAGGAAATGCCATGCTAACAACTTACCCTTAAGAACTTTTGTTTTTCTAAAGACTCCATAAATAAAATGAAAAGGAAATGCCAATATGGGAGAAAAACTGCGCAAAATCTTTGGAAAAGAAGAGATCAAACGATTTATATCCTGGACATATACAAAGCTTCAGATACATAGAAAAGATACAACTCCTTAGAAAACTCAGAAAGTCAAAGAGGAGGCATTTCACGCAAGAGACCTCAAAACGTTGGAAATGATGCTTGATTTTGTTAATTCAGGGAAGATAAAACCACAATGTGATAAATATCTTATCCATTTAATTAGCGAAAGTTTCAACATTCTGAAAATGTCAAGCATTGAAGAGAATCTAGATCAACAGAGAACGCTTAGATAACGCTATCTGTTGTGCAAATTAATACCACCTCTTTGGAAATGTTTTTTTTCCTTGAGACAGAGTCTCACTCTGTCCCCCAGGCTGGAGTGCAGTGGCACAATCTCAGCTCACTGCAACCTCTGCCTCCTGGGTTCGAGCGATTCTCCTGCCTCAGCCTCCCAAATAGCTGGGACTACAAGCATGCGCCACCACACCCAGCTAATTTTTGTATTTTTAGTAGAGACGGGGTTTGACCATGCTGGCCAGGCTAGTCTCCGACTCCTGACTTCAAGTCATCCGCCTGCCTCTGCCTCCCAAAGTGCTGGGATTACAGGTGAACCACCGCCCCCAGCCGAAAACGATTTTTGCATCATCTGTCAGCTAAATCCACGTGCCTATGCTTCCGCACTTCCTCTCCTGACTGGATATCGTAGGTAAACACTTGCAGTCACGCCTCCAAACACACGTACTACATTGTGTCCCTGTTGGTAAACAGTCAATCCTGGAAGGGATCCAAATACCCATCGACAGGAAAATGTACAAATATAATGTGGTCCACCCACTCAACTGGGTATTTTGTACCCAAAAAAAAAAAAAAGAAGAAGAAGAAGAAGAAGAAAAAGAATGAAATACAGACACATGCAACGATATGAATAAATGTAAGCAAAAGAAAATTGAGTGAAAAAGGAAGTCCACAAAACTACTATGAAGTATGATACTATTTTTGTTGTTTTCTGTTTTGGTTTTTTGTATAATTTATTATTTCATTTTATTTTATTTTAAGTTCTGGGGTACATGTGCAGGGATGTGCAGGTTTGTTACATAGGTAAATGGGTGCCATAGTGGTTTGCTGCACCTATCAACCCGTCACCTAGATATTAAGCCCAGCATGGTTTTTTGTATAAATTTAAGGGGTACAAGTAAAATTTTGTTACATGGACATATTGCATAGTGATAAAGTATTGGCTTTTAGTGTAACCATCACCCTAATTACTTACATTCTACCCATTAAGCGAGTTCTCATCCCTCACTCCCCTCCCACCCTTCCAAGTCTCCAATGACTATTATTCCACACTCTGTCCATGTGCACACATTATTTGGCTCCCACTTATAAGTGAAAACATGCAGTATTTGGCTTTCTGTTTCTGTGTTGTTTCACCCAAGATACACAGATGGCGTCTAGTTCCATCTGTGTTGCTGTAAAAGAAATTATTTTCTTCTTTTTTTTTGACTGAGTAGTATTCCATTGTGTGTACATATATATATATATAAAATATATATCACATTTTCTTTATCCATTCATGCATTGATGCACACTAAAGTTGATTCTATATCTTTCCTATTGTGAATATGCTGTAATAAACATGTGAGTGCCCAGTGTCTTTTTGATATGATGATTTCTTTCCCTTTGGGAAAATACCCAGTACTGGGATTGCTGGGTGGAATGGTAGTTCTATGATACCATTTTTTTAAGTGTCAAATCAAGCAAATTCTATATTACCTATTAACAGTGTAGATGTATGTCCAATTTAAGATCAAATATATGTATCTACATGAATACACACGCACTTACAGTTTAGACTTATTAGAATATATAGTAACACAATTTATAAAACAAGGAAATGATAAAATCTAAATTCAGAATAGTGGTGAATGCCAGGTAGAAACAAAATAGGGGATGAAACAGGGAAAAAACAGATAAATACAAGATATTATTACTAATGTAATTATTATGTTGAACAATAGGTATTTTACAGTTCATTATATTATTATGCCTGACATACTTCATATTTTGTATATGGCAAATACTGCATTTAAAATAGAACAAATGCTGGGCATAGTGATTCATGCCTGTAATCCTAGCACTCTGGGAGGCCAAGGCAGGAGAACCGTGCGAAGCCAGAAGTTCAAGGCCAGCAGGGTTAACATGGCAAGACCTAATCTCTACAAAAAAATTTTAAAAAAATAGCCAGGCATGGTGGCACAAGTTTTGTATTGGCCCATTCTCACATTGCTATAAAGAAATACCTGAGACTGGATAATTTCTAAGAAAAGAGGTTTAATTGGTTTACGGTTCTGCAGGCTGTACAGGCAGCATAGTGGCTTCTGCTTCTGGGGAGGCCTCAGGAAACTTACAATCATGGCGGAAGGAAAGGGGAAGCAGGCGTCTCAAATGACAGAAGCAGGAGCAAGAGCGGGGTGGGAGGTGCTACACACTTTCAAACAACCAGATCTCGTGAGAACTCACCATAACACAAACAGCACCAAGGGGATGGTGGTAACCCGTTCATGAGAAACCACCCCTATGATCCAATCACCTCCCACCAGGCTCCACCTCCAACACTGGGAATTACAGTTCAGCATGAGATTTGGGCAGGAACACACATCCAAACTAGATCACACTTGTAGCCCCAGCTACTCAGAAGGCTGAAGCAGGAGGATTGCTTGAGCCCAGGAGTTCAAGGCTACAGTGAGCTATGGTTGTGCCACTGCACTCCAGCCTGGATGACAGAGCAAGACCCTGTCTCTTAAAAAGAAAATTAAATAGATAAATAAGTTAATTAAATAGAACGAACTATTTTTTACAAAGGTAAATAGCTATAGCATTCTTGCAACCTTTTATTCCGTTATATGTATGCATCTTGTGAAGTCTAATTCTGTTGAAGAAATTCTGCCCAAATCACAGAGTACCCAGAAAATTGTCCTTCTATTTCCACTCTGTTTATTCCAGTTCAATGCTCAGTATGACAGTGTGAGTTGAATATTTCTCTAAAACAATACATTTTATTAATAAGACTTTGATTAATTTTTTTAGGATAAACATGTGGAAATATAAGGTATTTGAAGTTTCTCATCTACTTAGACACCTTCAAGCTAAGAAAATAATGGCTGGAAAAAATGAAAACCATGTAAAATGTCTGCTCGTGTAAAACTTTAGAAAGGATTGTTATGTATCAAGAAAGCTGTCAGCTTCAAATCACCTTTAGAGAGAACGGAGGGCATGGCCTTTAGAAAAACTTGCCAAAATATCTGATGCACTTCACCAGGAAACGTCCACATGCATTTGCAGTTGGATTTGCATTTACCATAATACTACCAGCTTCCTATTTACGTTCTGAAATTGATTGGGATGGACACATGAAGGGCCTTCACGAGAGCTGGTCAAGTTCTATTTCTTTCATTGTGTCTGCCTTCTAATAATTCACTAACCCTAGCCCACATCGTATTTATCTATATTTCTATTGCATTTAATAATAAAAATATAAGCCAGGCGCAGTGGCTTGCATCTGTAATTCCAGCACTTTGGGAGGCTGAGGTGGGAGGATCACTTGAGCCTAGGAGTTCGAGACCAGGCTTGGCTACATAGACAGACCTTGCCTCTGCCAAAAATTTAAAAAAATAGCTGGGCGTGGTGGCGCATGCCTGTGGTCCCAGCTACTCGGGAGGCTGAAGTGGGAAGATCGCTTGAGCCTCAGAGTGTGAGGCTGCAGTGAGCTGTGATGGTACCACTGCACTCAGCCTGGGTGACAGAGTGAGATCCTGTCTTAAAAATAATAAAGATAGCCATATAAACTAATAATAAAATACATATTTTAAGAAAAATAAGAAAAATGTAAGCATTGATTCATTTTCTATACTTTATTATATGGCTTCAGAGCTGATGTGGTACAGATACTAGCTTACTCTGGGATGCTTTAGAGAGGAAAACTCTAAAGGGATTTAAACTGGATTTTAAAAGAGAAATTTAGAAAAGAAGAGAGAGAATATCTGGGAGCAAAGAGAGAAGATGTGCATGAGTTACAACTGAATACATGACTTTGGAATTCAGAGCTGGTTATGAACAAGGTGTCATAGATGACTGGGGAAATGGCTTGCTTTAAGTTGGGGACAGCAGAAGGAATGGGAGAATTTGTAACCCAGATGCAGCAGTTCCCATATGGCAAATCAGAATGTAGGGAGACACGAGAGACTCCAGTTATGGGGTAGCAGGAGAGAAAGCAGTGTGTGAGGTGGACTGTGGGAGAGGCAGATTGGACTTGGGAGTGGTTGAGTTCTCTTCAAAGCAGGCTCTGAGGTGGAGTTTAGTTCACCAGATGCTTATTACAAATGCTGATTATTGGAAAACAGAATTGCATTTGACATGAGGCTGTGTGGTCCAGAAAAATGTCGTTCTTTCTTGAGCGATGGCTTATGCACTATGCCTGAGCCACAATAAATTTTACCACCCGCATTTTCCTTCCAAGAAGTCAGGCAGCTCATTAGTTGCCACAAAGGAAGGTTTCATCCCATTCTGACTTCTCCGGTTAGTGGAGAGAACACTTGCAAATTTCCAAATTGTCCCTTTGAAACTTTCTAGGAATGGCATATTGATTATAGATAGATAGGTGAGAAGGATAATAGGTGAGTCAATAGATTATAGGTAGATGATTAGATAGATAGATGAGATAGTTAATAGATGATTGGATAGATAATAGATGGATAGAAGAGAGATAGATGAATGGATGGACAGATGGAAGGACGAATCAGATAGATAGATAGATAGATAGATAGATAGATAGATAGATAGATGATAGAAAGAGTAGATGGATACATACATAGATATAATATATGGATAGATAGATGAGATACATAGATATAGATGGATAGGTACATATATAGGATAGATGGATAGATAGATGGGATACATAGAAGATAGATGGGTAAATAGGTGATCGAATAAAATGATAGTTGATAAATTGATAGACAGATAAGTAGATATATAGCTAGATAGACATAGAGATAGATATAGATATCTCATATCTATGTGCCTATTTAGGAAAGCTTGGAACATTGCTGTTTCTCAGCATGGCTAAGGATGCTCTGATTTTTTCTTCCTTATGAAGTGTTCATAGGCTCTAGTACAAGGAGAAGGCAGGCACATAGCTGGGAGTTCAGGAGTTAATGCAGGGTGAGGCCAAAGTGTGTAGTTAGAGGCATCCCACCATTTCATTATTAATTCTTTGCAAAAAAGAAAAGAAAAAAAAACCCTCCCCTTCTTGTTATGAACACTTGAAATTCTTATTCCATGTGCCAATTCCTTACCTTCTTCAATCAGGCCCACTTCGGTGACACTTCATCATCAGAAATGTTGCAACTGGCATGCGGTTGGAGGTTGGTTCTTAATGGGGAAGGGCTGTGAGTAGGGGGCAAACATAAGATAGAAAAGGAGCCCAGAAATGGAGAGGACATAGCGGTGAAGCTGTTTCACGTCTTGTACGCTTGGGCAAGGCATCCTTCCTCCTCCGTGGCAAAGGGCATCTGAGGTCGTGTCGGAGACCAGGAGCACCAGAGAGAAACAGTGGCAATGACAAGTGGGCCCTGGCTAGGTGTTGGGGAAACAGGAAGAGCAGCACGGCTGTGACAAGGGCAACAGCTGACAGAGGGTGGTTTGGATGAAGCTTGTGTGGCCAGGAGACTGTGGGCTGGCTAAGGGGGACCAGGTGGGTGGTAATGAACAGAATGAAGCCAGGACACGGGATGTGCCTTGGGCAACACCTCACCCCGTCTTTCATTTTCCTTCTGGAAACAGTGGGAAAAATAAGCTGGCAGGAACAACAAACACTTCCCCACCTGGCTTTCCCAATTTATTTTGCATGAATTGCATGCGTTGTTTTCGATGGCATCGTACCTGTGACTGAATTCACTAGTGATGCTTTCAGAAGGAAAATAGTGAGACGGTCTGGAGAGAAAAAAAGGAATAGATTAAATCACTTAAAATAATGGATCTAGCATTAACCTTCTTCAATCTTTTGTGTGCGTGTGTGCCCTTTAAGAAATTAATAGAAGGCTACTAACAAAATAATTCCCTCTGAATAATGTAGAAAAAGATCTTAGGGATCTAACAGAGGGATGTTGTAGTTATTATCAGACTATATCTAATTTTTTTTTAAGACAGGGTCTGTCTCTGCCACCCAGGCTGGAGTGCAGTGGTGCAATCATGGCTCACCACAGCCGCAACCTCCCGGGCTCCAGCAATCCTCCCACTTCAGCCTCCCAGGTAGCTGGGACCAAAGGCGTGTACCTCTCTGCTGGATTTTTTTTTTTTTTTTTAGACATAGAGTTTCACCATGTTGTCCAGGCAGGTCCTGAACTCCTGGCTCAAGCAATCCTCCCACAGAAGGTTCAAAATTTAAAAAAAAAGAGAATAGCAAGAAGTAATTACACAATCAGCCCTCCATTCTGTGGATTCAAACACTCATGAATCGGAAATACTAAAAAAAATAATTCATCTGTACTAAACAAGTACAGACTTTCTTTTTGTTGTCATCATTCCATAAATAATACAGTATAGCCACTATTTACATAGCATTTACAGTGCATTCGGTATTATAGGTAATCTAGAAATGATTTAAAGTATACAAGAGGGTTGCACAGGTTATATGCAAATATTACACAATTTTATATCAAGAACTTGAGCATCCATGGATTTTAGTATCTCTAGGAGGTGGTTGAATCAAAAGCAAATCTCTCTGTTTCTATTAGGTGAGGACTATGTGATAAGCATAGCTGGTAATTTTTAACAATGCTCCCCCTACCTGTACAGCAGATGGAGGGCCAATTTCTTATTGCTATTTATGACTATGATGTGGAGAACATTTCCTGCCTGAGTTGAGATTTTCACTCTATAGAAGCACATTTGCTTATTGCTAAACTCTTTGGGTCCAGTTATAAGCATGGCTCTATCCTCAAATATAATATGCAACCTACCTAGGTTTATAAAAAATCAGTTCATAAATGTTTTCTAGCCCAAGGGCAGGGGTCTATATGGTGATGGTGAGGAACCCAAAAGACTTCTCCCAAACTCCTTCCTGCCAAGGAGACAGAGTAGCTGCTAATTTGAGGGCCACATAACTAAAACGTTTTAGATCAATCCCTATTTAAAATATTCTCTCAGGCAGGGCTTGGTGGCTCACATCTGTAGTCCCAGCACTTTGGGACGCCAAGGTGGGAGGATTGCTTAAAAGCAGGAGCTTGAGCCCAGGAGCTCAAGACCAGGCTGGGCAACACAGTGAGCCCTCATCTCTTAAAAAAAATTAAAAATAATTAGCTGGGCGTGGTGGTGCATGCCTATAGTCCCAGCTCCTTGGGAGGCTGAGGTGGGAGGATCACTTGAGTCTAGGAGGTCTAGGCTGCAGTGAGCTGTGATTACACCACTGCACTTCAGCCTGGGTGATGCAGCAAGACCCTGTCTCAAAAAGAAAATAAAAAAGAAACTTCTCATTTTACCCACATGGAGGAAAAAAAGAAAAAAAGGAAAGATGGGAATTGCTCAAAGAAGAGAAAGATGGAATAGGAAGAGAAAGGAATGAAGACGTGCATTTATTGAATCCTAAGTCACATCAGACATACAACAAAAAGTAGCAAGCACATATAACAAATCTTACTCTATAGATGAGGAGATGCAGGTTTAAAGGGTAACTGGAAAGCAAATGGCATAGAAATAAAAGATGAGTTCCAGGACAACACCTCCAATGTGAGTTTTCCTGGCTTTAACATCTGTCTTTCTCCCATACCCTCCCAGGCCCTTGGTGTGTGGGTTGAGCTTGGTTGGGAAAATATGGCCACCATATTGCTAGGAAAGAAACCAAGGGTGGACTGTTACCAATGCCCAGGGGACATGAGTCACTTCACATTTTCTTTTCTCCTGACTTTAAATACTCAGTGCTTTCATTTCAGATCAAAAATTAATTTCTTTTCCAGAGACAGAAGGATCCTAAAATATTGTTGCCTTGGCTCCATAAACCTGACATTTTAGAAGAGTAATTCAAAGAGAAGTACCATTAAATGAGAACTTAGAAGTGGAGAGCCTCAATTGCCCTCTGTTTTTCTCAGGGGAAGAGCACAAAACAAAAGACGACAACCAACCAATCATCACCAGCCCTATGGCGGTTCTGAGCCTCGGTCATGCCACATGCATCCTCCAAATAGCACATGTTTCTCATCACCCTGGGTGGATGATGGAAAAGTCAAGCCACTTATTCCAACGCATTCAACAATGCTCACCCACAGTGGAGCCCACAGAAATGTCAATATGTCACGATCTCTGATTTTCCTATACTTATTTCTACTGCAAATAAGAGAGGGGAAAATCGCAGAGCCTGAGATATAGGTTTATATATGATAATATAGTTCTCCTCCTTCAATAATCAGGATGTTACAGTCAAGAAAACAGGCTGTCAATGTTCAACTCACTAAACTAGGTAGTATAGACACGTATGTATTTAAATTTATTCAAACTTAATTCAAACTTAAGAACTAATGAGGATAAATGTTATACAATATTCCCACCTGAGATGAAAAAAGAACTAAGCTTAAAGATAATGGATATTTAATAAGACACAGCTGTGGTGACTCTTACCTGTAATCCCAGTGCTTTGAGAGGCCAAGGTGGGCGGATCAGTTGAACCCAGGAGTTCAACACCAGCCTGGGCAACCTAGTGAAACCCCATTTCTACTAAAAATACAAAAATTAGCTGGGCATGGTAGTGCATGGCTGTATTCTCAGCTACTTGGGAGCCTGAGGCTGGAGGATAACTTGCGCCCAGAAAGCAGAGGTTGCAGTGAGCTGCGATTGCGTCACTGCACTCCAGCCTGTGCGACAGAGTGAGACTCTGCCTCAAAAAAATGAAATAGGACACCCTATAAGGTATAAGGACACAGGTATTAATTATTGTACTCCATTGAACTCCTAGTCATTACATCGAGGATTTATCTTGTGCTTAATTTTATCAGGAGTTATAAAGAAATCACATGAAAGCAGAAAATATGCCTGTAAAAACAATAATAAGGATATAAGGAAATAATTAACCCACAAGTATTTAGTCAATGTGGACCCTGATTAATTTGGGAGAGTTATAAAACATAACCCACAGCCTCCCAGAATTAAAATATATTGCAGCTTTCTTTTTTTAAACATTCAGATTGTATTTTTATGGTCTCTAACATGTACCACATATGACCACATATGTAACATATAACTGAGATTTCAATACGTATCAATTAACATTGTAGACTAACAAGCTTTACTGACAATAAAATCCAATTTTTCCTTCAATTTTTAAACACAAAATATCCAAATAATTGCATAATTTAATCTCAAGCATTGAGACACAAATAAAGATGGAATTACTTGGGGGGTTTCTGATCACGTGAAGTACTGTTTTTGTATTACTATGTGTGATAAGGCTATTCCTATACCTCAGCAGGAATTTTCACTTAGAAGCAGAAAATCATTTTCTTTCAAACCTTGAAAAGATGAACTCTGCCCCCATCCTTATCCAAAGATAATATTGCTATGAAGTATAGAGATTCTTCTTGCCTATGCAAAATGTGACCAAATAGAAATCACTATAGAAAGTCATAGGACATTGCTAAAGGGTTCATGTTTCATACAAAGGAAATTTGAATCTTCATCTCCCATTATCTTTGCACCAAAGCCTGACCTCAGAGCTGGGCTAGCTGCCTAAACGTCGGTTCTGACAAAAGATAGTGACTATCATTGAAACCAAATGGATTTAAAGATCCAAGAACTGTGGAAATGGGACTCAAAGGAATTCCAGCACTAACGTTCCCTCTCTGTGTGGACTACATTTATTCAAGCTAATATGAACTGCAATTTTCATGATGTTGGATGCACAGTATTTCGAAATTACCCAAGGCAAGCGCCCTGACAGAAGTTCTGGCTAATATTAACAGGTTACACAAGAAAGAAAATGGAAATAGGTCAAAGAATTTCTAAATAGAGAAGGAAAAAAAAGAAGCTCTGTTGATTCTTCCCAGTCAACTGTATGTGTCCTAGAAAAAGCTTGGGTGTTCTGGTCCTTGTAGCTCCTCAGCAAAGTAATTGTACATGAGTATAATTTTGAGGATACGATACTACATACATTTGGGAAACTCTTACTGAGCCACTGATACCAACCTACATCCTGTTTCTACATAATTGTTGCTGGCAGGGTCCAAGTTTATTTGGAGGGGTAACATTCTACTTCTCTGAGGTCATATATTCCAAGAGAGGCTTTTGATCAGATGCTGGTCGATCAAAGCTAACCATGAGCGGTTCCATTTCTTGTGCCACGTGTGGGTTGAGCACAGGCATACAACACCACTTTGTCTAAAGACACATAAGGTTACATTTTCTGGGGTGCTCTATTAGTCTGTTCTCATGCGGCTAATAAATACATACCCGAGACTGGGTAATTTATAAAGGAAAGAGGTTCAATGGACTCACAGCTCTACATGGCTGGGGAGGCCTCAAAATCACGGCAGAATGCGAAAGGGAAGCAAGACATATCTTACATGGTGGCAGGCAAGAGGGCATGTGCAGGGGAACTGCTTTTTTATAAAACCATCCGATCTCGTGAGACTTATTCACTCTAAAGAGAACAGGAGGGGAAAAACCCGCCCCCACGATTCAATCATCTCCCACCAGGTCCCTCTCACAACACATGGAGATAATTACAATTCAAGGTGAGATTTGGTTGGGGATACAGCTAAACCATATCAGGTGCTATTAGCAAATGTTTCCTCTCCTACCTGGGCATGGTGGCTCACACCTGTAATCCCAGCACTTTGGGAGACTGAGGCAGGAGGATTGCTTGAGCTCAGGAGTTTGAGAACAGCCTGGGCAACATGGCAAAACCCCATTTCTAGAAAAAATACAAAAATTAGCCAAGCACAGTGGCATGTGGCTGTAGTCCCAGCTACTCGGAAGGCTGAGGCTGGAGGATCATTTGATCCCAAGAGGCAGAAGTTGCAGTGAGCCAAGATGGGGCCACTGCACTGCAGCTTGGGTAAAAGAACGAGACTCTGTCTCAAAAGAAAAAAAAAATGTTCCCTCTCTCTTTGTTGTCACCTGCAGATACTGTCAGACTTGCTTGGGACATCTGGTTTCTATCTAAAGAGCATCAGAGGAGCTAGTATGTAGGCAGAATTAACATTAAGAGCCAGAGTCTCATCAGTCCATGCCTAGTACCTTCTCATCACGTGCATCCTTATTGTGTGAATTTGTTAGGTTGATATTTTACGTCAGTTTCAGCTAGAACTGATGGAAGAAATCCAAATCATCCCAAACATAATTTTTGTTTGTGCAGACCCTATAGTCTGGAACCAGATACAGGCACATCCAATAGTGAGCTCTGTGACAACCACATTGATCATGCCGACTGCAGCATTGAATTCATTTCTAGACTTTTTATTGTCTGCAGCATTTAGATAAGATGTTTAGCCTCTCCACAATGTGCTGTCAGATAAAAACAGAAGGTCTAAATTCATTCAAGGACAGAGATGTGGCTGTTGGAAGATAAGTACAGAGAAAGCATCCCTTGGACTGAATGACAAAGGGTGGGAATATTTTTGGTAGAGATGGGGTCTTACTACGTTGTCCAGGCTAGTCTCAAACTCCTGACCTCAAGCAATCCTCCCACCTCGGCCTCCCAAAACACTGAGGTTACAGGCAGGAGCCACCATGCCCAGCCAAAGAGTGATCATTTGTCAAGAAGAACAAACAGGACAGTGATGATTGATCATTGCATGAGAGAGACCTCAAGAAAAGTGAGCTTGGGAGAGGCCTCTAGACTGGGAAATCATACACCATGGGTCATTGCTTTAACAATGGTCTTCTCATTAAAAGATGAAACCAGAAATACAGCTGTAGACAACATTGATGGTCTAGCAGAGGAAACAGTGAAGCCAGGAGACAATTTGACACAGAAATAAGTGCATGAAAATCTAGCAAATAAATATGGAAGCTCCAAGAGCAACAGCAATGATTATGGTGTTGGCAACATCATTAGGGTTGAGGTCCCTGCAAAGTCATGAGAGTCCAGCCTGCACCCCAAACCCCTTCTCATTGCATCCCTTTTACATAAGGGAGATAGACTCACGTTTGGCGTGGAGCCTGCATTTCATCAATGGGAAGTTAGATGCCAGATGAAAGTCTGCCCCAGAGGTAAACTCAATTCTCCCTCTCTAAGACAATGGAAACCTTCCATGATGCAATTTTGATTATTGCTTTCTTCTAGTTGAAAAATTATAGACAAAATTCATGAAATCAAAAAGTATAAGAAGAAAATTAAAATTGTCCCTCATTGCTTCATTCAGAAATTATAACTGTTAATGCTGTTTTTTTTTATTTTAAAGGAAAATATATGTTATTGAATGGAAAGAAAAATACCTAAACTGAATATCACAAAATGAGATATGTAGTAATCAATGTTGCTAAGGAAAACAACAATGCCTACAATTATGTTAAGAAAAAAAGTTTAAAACTCTGAAAATAGTGAGTTTTTAAAACTATACAATGTTTTATGAGCTTAGCATTTTCAAAAAGCAAAATACAGTTTTTATCTTTGATTTTAAAACTATAAGGCTGAATTGATATCTAAATAAACAATCCAACAAGCACTCGGTTAAAATTTTTTTAAAAAAGAAGAAAAAATTAAAAGCTTTAAATTTTAAAGTTGAAGAAAAAAATTTCTTTAAACTTTTTTTAAAGAAGAAAATATTTAAAGGCTGAAGATGATCCTCTAAGAAAATTTAATATATCTAATAAAGTGGGAAATCACTACACCCAACACGAGGAAATTATTTTAATTGAAACTCTGCTATTAATCCAAAGAGAATTTAATATATTCAAAGGGGTTTTTCTTTCTTTGGGAATTGCCTGGCCAAGGAAGAATTCTGTTTTGTTTTGTTTTTTTCTAGAATTACTGTTTCTTACATTTGATTAATCATTGAAAAAATAAAAAAACAAAAAAGACCTACCACATTTTGGTTTGCTTCTTGAACAGCAAGTAATTTTTTCTTTCCCAGAGATTATCTTCCTTTTGTTGAAGAAGCACAGGCTTTCATCTCTACGTAAAAAAACTTTTGAATCCCCCTCTAGCCTAGAGATATGCAATTCCTCCCTGACAAAATTCTTCTGGGAGCCCTGTGATTTCCTGTTCTACCTTAATCCAAGTGGATTAATCCAGCTGCTTTTTGAATTTTACCACTTATTTCCTCTTAATCTGGAATATATCAAGTATTTACTTTTTGTTTTGTCTTGTTTTCAGAAAAGAGCTTTGGAATGAAAACTTTCTAACCTTTCGCAGATGAAAAACTCTTCCTTTTTTCTTCCCTCATACTGATTCACAAGTCTGGCCAGATTTGGAATTCTAGAAGAAAAAAATATTGTTCTCACAGGAAGCTGCATGCCTTGCAACATTGTCTCATAGCATCCACTATTGCTGTTGAGAAGTTTCATGATTTCTGATTGTGGTTGCAACTTGGGTAACTTAATTTTATTTTCATCTTGGAGAAGAAAGATCTTCACTGGTACCAGTGCAACAGTTAGTTCATGTTGAGTAACAAACCACCCTGAATTTGAGTGGCTTCAAACAACACTGATTTGCTTAGCTCTCAGTTCTCTGGGTGGGTAATTTGGGCAGGGCTCAGTGGGGCACTCACTTTTCTGTGGTCAGCAGGCTGGTCAGCTAGGTGGCCCCGCTTATGGGAGAATAGGGGAAATGTGTCCCTTGTCTCGTCACACAGCAGGTGGGGTTGCACTTCTTCACATGGTGGCTGGATTCCAAATTCAGCGAGAAAGGAAGCTGCAAACCTGTTGCAGCAAGGCTTGGAATCAGCATGACCTTGCTTTCCCCGGATTTCAAGGTCAAAGCACATCCCAGGGCAAGCCCACACTCAGTGGAGAGGGAAGCGACTCTACCTCTTGATGCATTGTGTCATAAGAATGGTGGACTTTTCTGCAATCTATGGTAGTCAGCCTCTTAGCATGTTTTTTTCTTAGTATCATTTAGTAACACTTTTCAATTCAAAGATGTAAGTGGATGTTTTCCGTAAGTTATGTATCTATTAATATATACTAAATATATGATGTATAATCAATATATTAATTATTATAGTTTACTCTTGAACAATGTGGGGGGGTTAGAAGCACTGACCCCTGCACAGTTGAAGATCCACCTGTAACTCTGGACTCCCTCAAAACTTAAATACAAACAACCTATTCATATATACATATATAATCTCTTTGACCACATATACATACATGTATATGTCTATTTTATAATGAAATATTTTAATTTTATAAATATAAATAAAACATGTAAACATTAGCTATATAACTACATAAATATTAACATGTACATACATATAAAACATTTTATAATTAATATACAGTTATGTTATAATTTATAATATTTAAATATTATACTATAATATATTAATATAATATTAATATACTATATTACATATTGATATACAATATCATAATATTGATTTGTTATGAATTTATTATTATTTTCTATAAATTATTACTTTATTATATTATAAATTTTTAATTCATAATATAGTTATATTAATTTATACTTTATAAATATATACATTATATAATTAATATACAGTGGATCCTTGAACAACATGTGTTCAGGAAGCATTTTTTAATGTCAGAACTGGGAAGAAATCTTGGCCAGAAACCTCACCAATATTATAAACAGTAAATTAATACATATCGTGTATGTTTATATGTATTATATATGGTATTCTTCTAATAAAGCAAGCTAGAGAAAAGAAAATGCTTTTAGGAAAATCATAAGGAGGAGGAAATGGATTCACTATTCATTAAGTGGAAGTGGATCATCATCAAGGTCTTCATTCTCATCATCTTCACATTGAGGAGGTGGAGGAAGAGGAGGAAGAGGAAGGATTGATCTTGCTGTCTCAGGGGTGGCCGAGGCGGAGGAAAATCCTCATATACCTGTGTTGCTCAGGGGTCTACTGTAAATTAATTGTAGAAATAGATGTATTTAAATGTTAATATTTATAAAGTTGCATATCTAATCATGTTTAAATGTTTTATTTATATTCATAAAATTAATAGATTTTGTTATAAAATAGACATATACATATATGTATATGTGGTCAAAGAAATTATACATATTTATAAATAATTAAGTTTAATGTTATATATTTATACTTATGTAGAAAATATACATTTATATTTACATACATATATACACACATAATTTCTTGGATTATATTCTTTTAATCACTGTCTTTTTCCTCTATGTTTTGAAATGCTTACTAAGGAGACATTGGCTTTTATGAATCTCATCCAGGGTTTCTCAACCTCAATACTACTGACATTTGGGGCATTTTTTTTTTTTTCAAGTCAGGGTCTCACTCTGTCTCCCAGGCTGGAGTGCAGAGGCTTCAGGGTACTAATTCAGTTCTCTGAATTCTTTTTGTTTCTTCTGCATGACCTACATTTCTTCCAGGAGGGTTCTTGTATACAGCACTGTATTAGTCCATTTTCATATTGCTATGAAGAAATGCCCGAGACTGAGTAATTTATAAAGAAAAAGAGGTTTAGTGGACTCACACTCCCACATGGCCAGGAAGGCCTCAGAATCACAGCAGAAGGTGAAGGAGGAGCAAAGGCATGTCTTACATGGCAGCAGGCAAGAGGGCGTGTGCAGGGGAACTGCCGTTTAGAAAACCATCAGATCTCATGAGACTTATTCAGTACCATGAGACTAGCACAAGAAAAACCTGCCTTCATGATCCCATTACCTTCCACCAGCTCCCTCCCATGACTCGAGGGAATTGTGGGAGCTACAATTCAAGATGAGATTTGGATGGGGACACAGCCAAACCATATCAAACACCCTTGGCATAACTAACTGCATCTTAGAAAAAGACTCCATTTGATGTTTCACAGGGCCCTGTGCAAAGAAGGATAAGAGGTTTTGCTTAATAAACAAACAAACAAAAAAATAAAGACTGCATCCAACCAGATAAGGACATAACCAAGCACATTCTTCTACCATCAACCCTCAACAGAGGATTCTGTGGTCATAAAAAGAGCAGGACTTCAGCAACTCAAAACAGTTGTCTTAACTGACAACTGTCTTGCTGTCACTCCTGAAAAGAACTTGGCATCAGCCACCAAAGGCTGTGCCACATCAAAGCCTTTGCCTTGCGAGACTGATGCACAGCCAGGCCCAGACCATGACATTCTTCTTGTCCACATCACTCTATTTAGACTGGTTTCTTAGCCATTTCTTTTCTTTCTTTTTTTTTCACAGGGGTCTCACTGTGTTGTCTAGGCTGAAGAGCAGTGGCACCATCTTTGCTTACTGCAACCTCCTCCTCCCGGACTCAAGACATCCTCTTGCCTCAGCCTCCTGAGTAGTTGGGACTACAGGCGCACACCACACCACCATGCCTGGTTAATTTTTTTTTTTTTTTTTTTTTTGTAGAGACAGTGTTTTGCCATGTTGGCCAGGCTGGTCTCAAACTCCTGAACTCAAGGGATCCTCTCACCTCAGTCTCTCAAAAGTGCTGGGATTACAGGTGTGAGGCACCGAGCCCAGCTTTGTTAGCCATTTCTCCTATCTCTTTTTCCTCTTGATGTTCCATGTTACTTTGTTTGCCATGGAATGTTTAATCCGTAACATTTATTTATTGAATATATAATCATTATGTATGGTTTGCAATATCAACTGACATGTGGAGTGGCTTGAACCTGTGTGCCCGCAGCTCTGACTACCAAGTGAACAGGAAGCACTAAGGAGAATTGCCTCCTTGGGAACTCCATGCAGCTTGTGGCCTTTGTAATTGCAATAGCGTCAATAAAAGACTGACATTGTGGAAAGACACAATTATGCATGGAACTGGTTATCTCCAACCTTGCACCTCTCATGAGAGTCAGACCTTCTGTTTGTTCATTTTAGAACTGGTTCATACTGTTAATTTCCCTCAACTATCTGGCGGTTTACTTACATTGTGGAATTATTTTTCTAGGCAGATTAGAACACCTAGGAGGCTCAGGCTTCCCTGGCAGTTTTGGAGAGCTCTTTCTCTTGCTGATGGGGAGACAGCCCAGCGAAAGACTCTGCAAACCAGAGCCTATCTAACTCTACGTGTCCCTCTAGGTAAGGGCTGAGGCAGGCTGTTCAGCTCAGAACCACCACAACAGCCAAAATAAGAGGGTGTTCTTCTGGAGTCACAGGGTTTAGAGCGCATTACTCCACAGATCGAAGCCAACTTTCCTTTGCCCTCTAAGTCCACGGGGGAGATCTGAATTCATCCTGGACTTCTGTCTCCTTGTTGTCCTAACTCCCATGATAGAAGTCCCCACCTCACCACCCCAGGGTGGTTCCTGCTTTGTCTAGAAAGAGTTCTAGGGGTTTTTACCAGGAGCAAATGAAACAGTGAGATGCTCTCTGCAAATGTCAGGAAGAAGCCAAGTGGCCCAGCTGTTGAGGTAAAAATAAATAAGTTCTTCATCTCATTACCCAGTTGATCAGTTCGGAACTCAATCCTGATGACTGGATTTCTTCTTTTTCATTTTGATCTTGAAAATTATCTCAAAAATGACTATTGACTCCACATCATAAGCATTTTTTTAAATTGTGTAAAATATGTGTAACATGAAATTTACTCTTTTAGCCATTTTTAAGTGCACAGTTCAGTGGTATTAGGTATAGGCACATTGCTGTGCAACCATCACCAATATCCATCTGCAGAACAGTTCATGTTGCAAAACTGAAACTCTGTCCCCATTAAACACTAATGCCCCAATTCCTCTCCCCCTGGCCTCTGGCAATCAACATTCTACTTTCTACCCCTAACAATTTGACTACTCTAAGGCTCTCATATATGAGGAATCATATGGTATTTGTCCTTTTTGTGGTTGGCTTACTTCACTCAGGAAAACATCCTCAAGGTTCATCCATGCTGTAGAATATGTTAGGATTCTCTTCTTTTTTAAGGCTGAATAACATTCCATTGTATGGATGGATCACATTTTGTTCACATATTCATTCGTCTATGCACATTGGTTGTTTCTATTTTTTGACTGTTGTGAAGGATGCTTCTGTGAACATGTGTGTACAGCATAAGCATATTTTTAAAAACATTTCAACCACATCAATGCCTGTTTCTCTTATGGCTGCCCATCCTTCTCTAATCTATTCTCCTACCTACCTTCAGAGCAACTTCTTGTTCCCAGTGAAGCAGAGGCTGGGACATGTGTAGAAGTTGTCTCTTGTCCCTGCCTGTGCCTGTGATCCAACACATCAGATAAAGATCTTCAGTCAGTACCATGAAGGAAAGGACAGAACATTGATTTCATTGGCCTCATGGTACCTGGAATGGCCAGCACCTCCTATGATAAAAAAAAAAAATTAGATTTGTTAATGGTTCTTGTGGTAATAGGGTTTCTTTCTTATTCTCTTTAACATCATCACCTTCCTCCCTCCCTCCCTTCTTCCTTCCTTTCTTGCTTTCTTCCTTCCTTCCCTCGTTCTTTCCCTCCCTTCTTCCTTTCCCTTCTCTCTCTCCCTCCCTCCTTCCTTCCTTTCTTTCTTTCTTTCTTTTTCTTTCTTTCCTTCTTTCTTTTCTTTCTTTCTTTTTTCTTCCTCCTTCCTTTCTTTTCTTCCTCACTCTCCCTCCCTTTCTTCCTCTTTCCTTCCTCCCTCCCTTCCTTCCCTTCTTTCTTTTTCCTTCCTCCATCCCTCCTTTCTGCCCTCCCTCCTTCCTTCCTTTAACTCTCTTTTCTTTCTCCTTCCCCCTCCCTTCCTTCCCCTTTTCTTCCAGTTGTAAAGTCCTTTGCCCAATAATAATTTCAGCATATTGTCTTTAGATGAGATAATACATGCTAACATCAAATAATAGATTTTTAAAACACTTAAACATATTCCAAAGTGAAGACTCATGACCACTGAGTGTAAATTCCTGACCAGTACCTTAACTGCACCACCTCTTTTGTGGAATCATTCTACATCTTAGAGAACAAATATAATCTTTCAAACAAATAAGACATTTCCAAACCACAGAAGAAAAAAAGTACTCAAAAGAAATACAAACTGTGCAAGAACTGAGGTTTCATAAAAATGACAATTTTAAAAATTTCACCTCAATCTCAATGGAGTTCATATTATGTTTTGCATAAAAGTTAATTATGAGCTACTGTTGTTTTTTTAACTTTGTAGTAATAGCCATTCTGACTGGTGTGAGTTGGTATCTCATTATATATCTCAGACAGCTGGAGGAGCAAGATAATTTTCTAGGCAACTAAATGTCCTCTGATACATTTTATCAGATTTTGCCTGAAGGTGAAAGAGCAAGAAGTACACCATAGTTTCCATACAGGGTGAAAAATAATGTGCCCCTTGTTTCTCTTCATTATTCCCCAACAGATGTAGAATTGTGGACTCATCTGTAGAACAGAACAGGCTGTTACAGAAAGGAAGGAAATATTAGCAAACTATGCATCTGACAAAAGTCTAACATCCAGAATCCAAAAGGAACTTAAATTAACAGGCAAAAAACAAATAACTCCATTGTATTACTCTGTTTTCACACTGCTATAAGGATACTATCCTAGACTGGGTAATTTATAAGGAAAAGAGATTAAATTGACTCACAGTGCCGCAAGGCTGGGGAAGCCTCAGGAAACTTACAATTATGGTGGAAGGGAAAGGGGAAGCAGGCACCTTCCTCACAAGGCAGCAGGAGAGAGAGCAAGAGCAGGGAAAACTGCTATTTATAAAACCATCAGATCTCATGAGAATTCACTCACTATCTCAAGAACAGCATGGGGGAAGCCATTCCCATGATTCAGTCACCTCCTACCAGGTCCCTCCCTCAACCCAATTTGAAATACAATTCAAGATGAGATTTGGGTGGGGACACAGAGCCCCACCATATCATCCATTAAAAAGTAGGGAAAAGACATGAACAGGACATTTCTCAAAAGAAGACATACAAACAGCCAACAAATCTATTTTTAAAAGCTCAACATCACTAATTATCAGAGAAAATGCAAATTGAAACCACAATGAGATACCATCTCATACCAGTCAGAATGGTCATTACTACAAAGTTAAAAAAATAAAAATAAAATAAAATAAACCAGCAGATGCTGGTGAGGTGGTAGGGAAAAGAGGACACTTATACACTGTTGCTGGGAATATAAATTGGTTCAGCCACTGGTGGATAGCAGTCTGGTGATTTCTCAAAGAACTTAAAACAGAACTACCATTGCACCCAGCAATCCCATTATTGGGTATATACCCAAAGGAATATAAATTGTTCTACCATAAAGACAAGTACACGTGTATGTTCATTGCAGCACTATTCACAATAGCAAAGACATGGAGTCAATCTAAATGCCCATCAATGGTAGACTGGATAAGGAAAATGTGGTACATATACACCATGGAATACTATGCAGCCACAAAAAAGAACAAAATCATGTCCTTTGCAGCAACCTGGATGGAGCTAGAGGCCATTGTCCTTAGTAAATTAACACAGGCGCAGAAAACCAAATACCACACGTTCTCTCTTAGAAGCGGAGCTAAACGTTGAGAATATATGGGCACAAAGAAGGGAACAACAGATGCCAAGGCCTACTTAAGGGTTCAGGGGTAAAAGTGCAGGTTTGTTACATAGATAAACTAATATCATGGGGATTTGTTGTACAGATTATTTTGTCACCCAGATATTAAGCCTAGTACCCATTAGTTGTTTTTCCTGATCCTCTCCCTCCTCCCTCCAAAAGACCCCAGTGTGTGTTGTTCCCCTCTATGTGTCCATGTGTTCTCATCCTTTAGCTCCCACTTACAAGTGAGAGCATGCAGCATTTGGTTTTCTGGTCCTGTGCTAGTTTGCTAAGGATAATGGCCTCCAGCTCCTTCCATCTCCCAGCAAAGCATCTCATTCTCTTTTATGGCTGTATATGCATCTCATGGTACGTATGTACCACATTTTCTTTATCCAGTCTACCATTGATGGGCATTTAGGTTGATTCCATGTCTTTGCTATTAAGAACAGTGCTGCAATGAACATATGCATGCATGTTGAACCCCTGATTTCTAATGCATGAATGTTTTTGTGTCCAGTCTCCTTGAGTCATTTGCAAGATGTCATCCTCCACCAACTTGGCTTCTTAGCTTACAGAATTCCAGAAACAGTGTGCTCAATTAACATTATAAAGGCATTGTTTCCCAACCACAGTAATAAACTAATGAAGATTCAAATATTTAAGAAGTCATTCAAAACCTGAGAAGACTAATGAAATTTGTTGCGCTCAGATTTTCTCTCAAGCCATGCTATTGTTTTGGGAGACGTATTTTATTTTTCTTTTAATTTCCCTAAGTTGTAATAAAGCAATCATATTTGTGGTTAAGAGGATCGATTCCAAACCAATGTTAGCTTCTTTAGATGCACTTAAGAAAATCAAATCCTTCTTCACACTTTCTCATGGAAAATTCCATAATCCGTTTTTCATGTCAAAATGCTGCATTGATTACTTGAAAGGACGCTTATGAATGCCAATAACTAAGTCCTCCCCTCTAAGATTAACGAATAAGTAATCTTCTCAAAGTGCTAACTCAGCATTTGGACGTCAATTTACTTTTGAGCAACCAATGTGCTAGGTTATTGTATCTGAGGTTGCAGAGACTTCAGGAATTGTAATAAATGTATCATTTAATGATACAGCTGCAAAGGTCTTCAATGGCACCTTGTCAAGCATAATATACTTTCATGAGAGTAGAGTCTAACAAGATGTCTTTGTTGTGGGAAAAATTCAGAAGCCAGTAAAAATATAAAAGATACATGCTGTGTTGGAAATGTCTCCCTCGCCATTGTGAAAAAAAAACAAATACTTGATTATGTTTATGTGGCAATTTTTTTTTTTTTGAGACAGAATCTCGTTCTGTTGCCCAGGCTGGAATGCAGTGGTACAATCTCGGCTCACTGTAACCTCCACTTCCTGGGTTCAAGCGATTCTCCTGCCTCAGCCTCCCAAGTAGCTGAGATTACGGACATGCACCACCACGACCTGCTAATTTTTGTGTTTTTAGTAGAGAAGGGGTTTCACCATGCTGGCCAGGCTGGTCTTGAACTCCTGACCTCAAGTGTTCTACCTACATCAGCCTCCCAAAGTGCTGGGATTACAGGCATAAGCCACCATTTTTTTTGAATGAATAAAAATGGTCAAATCATAAGAATTTTCAAATCTCCAAGATTTATTCAATGCAAGAGGCTCAGAATTTGTATTGCTTCACCCAGCAGATTCCTCCAGAGCAAAATTGTTGCAGGACTCCATTTTGTCGGTAAAATAAATTGTGTTTATGAAGCATAAAAATTATGCCAAGTCAACATTGGCTCTATTAAAACATCAGTAACTCAGCCATGAATGCAACTTGTCGCCTACGCTCCACACACTTCTGAAATATTTGCCTGGGTTTATAAAAACGATGGTATTGAAGTGGATGTGTGCATCTTTCTCAAGGCAGCAAATTAAAAAATGGTTTATTCTGCCCCTCCGCAGCTCTTCCAGCCACATGGCATGTGGGTGTAGGCGTTACTGAAAGAAGCCATTCCCTGAAATCTGAGACTGTGGTTTCAATCCACCTGGCAATCGCCAGACCATGCTGGCCCCCACCAGCCCACAGTACAAGGATTAATGGTGCCATAACCCTCGCACACTGCATCACCCACAAAAATCCTGCATCTGAAAATTGTCTTCAGGTTTTGTCCACTATTTTTCTTGGAAAGTCAGAACTACAGTTCTACCTTATAACCCATTTCTGATTTCATCATGTGCAAAGCAGACAAAATAATAATGAGGAAATGGTCAAAACCTTTGGAGGTTCAGAAATTTTTTTTAAAAGCTTTCTTTGTTCTTAATCTTCCCAACTGTTTAAAACCATTTGTATCAAAGTATGTGAAAGGGTTATTGCAGTTTATCACTTGTCTTTCTAAGCATGAAAGCCAGGTTAGGATGGAAGTCTATTTAGAAACAAATTTAATTAACAACAAAAATACCCACACAAGAGTGTGGGGTGCTCACAGTGTGAGAAATGTGTGTGGCGTGTGTGTGTTTTAATCAAAAACTGATGCAAATGTAATGGGACATTGGTTCACTTCCTAATTCCTCCCTGAAAAATAAATTATAGCCTCCTAATGTCTCTTCCTTTGGATCTAAGCACAAGCAGATGTGTGGAGACAAGGAACTAAAGAGGATAAATTACCAGAAAGATGTGCAAACCAAAAGCCCGTTATGCACTGTCATCAACTTCAAGGTTGATAGTTTGAATTCCAATCATACCACACAGTTCTTATTAGAATCTTATTCGATACCTCCAAATCACAGAGAAATGAGATGGGCTCTGTCTTGCCCAATCTCATGTTTTCTTACTTGCTTTTTCTTTTTTTTCTTTTTCTTTCTCTCTGTTTCTTTCTCTCTCTCTCTCTCTCTCTCTCTCTCTCTCTGTCACCTGCAAAGAAAAATAATAGACTTTGTTTTGATAAAATCATAACATCCAAGATTGAAAGGAATGTCTAAAGTCTCCATTTCATGCATTCCAACTAAGACAGGGTAGGTGTAAGGGTTGGTCAAGTTCATTGTTAGAGGGGACAATCCCCATATGACCACCCACTGTTCTGACATCAACTGCAAATTTTGGGGTCCCCAAGACAACCCTCAGTTTGGCTCTTTGGATAGGATGACAGACCTCACCATTACACTCATGGTTATGGTTTATTACGTGGCAAGGATACAGATTGACATAGCAGCCAAGAGAAGAGGGATGTGGGACAGATAGAATCCAGGAAAAGTTGCAGACACAGAGCTCCTTCTGTCCTTTCCTTGTGGAGTTGTGGACAGCACGGAGCCTCACAGTCTTAGCTTGTGCAGAATGCCTGAAGCATTGCCAACCAGGGTAGCTAGCCCAAACCCCAGTGTTCAGAGTCTTCAGCTGGGGCTCCACAGTCAATGGCCCACAGAGTTGACCTCAATCTGTAGCCTCTCCAGAGGTCTGAGCTGATACTTCAAGACCCAAAGCTCCCACCCTTAACCATATTGTTAACACCTAGTATGTCCATCTCATACTCTAAAAATCTCTGCTATGAATAGCCCCCTCTACCCTAAATCACATTGCTAGATTGTCCAGTTACCCCAGGTCCCCCAGTACATAAACACATTCCTACTAGGCAGGACATTCCAAGGCTAGTGTGCACCTCTCAGGAGCTGGGGGCAAATGCCCCACCCCTCTTTGAGCAACATTAACCCTTTACTTTCACAGCAGGGCCCACTGCAAAAGTGGTTTTGTCTAAATTATGAGAAAAAAGCTAATGGTCTCTTAGCACTGTCTGTATGTGTGTGTATAATTAAAACATTATATACGTCTTGAATATTTATCAGTATCGTGACTATGGAGTTTAGTTTCAGTTTTTTGGTACCTCCTGAAATTTGTGCCTGATGAGATTGTGTCATTAGACATTCTAGCCCTGCCCTAGGCACCACAGCTGACGATAATATTAAAATATTATATATATAGTGTATATATATATATATAAAATGTAGTTTACATGCACATATAAAATTTTAACCAACTCTATACATGATATTTAATTTATATATATATATCTTTTATTTATGTATAACATTTTAAGCAACTATATAAGATAGACATATGTATATGCATAAAATATAACATGTATATATATGTAATTTTTAATCTGTGTGTATATATATATATATATATATATATATATATATATATACACAGATGTATACAGAAGCTCCTAGATTTACAATGGGGTAACGCATTGATAAAACCATTATAAAGTTGAAATATTGTAATTTGAACCTTCGTTAAGTCCAGATACTGTTTGTTTAACAATAGGGTTACATGTTTAACAATAGGGTTACATCCTGATAAACCTATCATAAAAACAAAAAAGTCCTAAATTGGCTGGGTGTGGTGGCTCATGCCTGTAATCCCAGTGCTTTGAGATGCCAAGGCAGGAAGATTGCTTGAGGCCAGGAGTTCAAGACCAGTCTGGATAACATAGGAAGACCTCATCTCTATTTAAAAAACAAAAATGTTAAGAATATCTGGGCCAGGTGTGGTAACTCACACTTGTAATCCTATTGTTTTGAGAGGCAGAGTCAGGAGGATTGCTTGAGACCAGGAGTTTGAGACTGGTCTGGGCCATATAGTGAGATCCTGTCTCTACAAAAAATAAAAATTTAGCCAGGCATGGTGGCTCACACCTGCAGCCCCAGCTACTTGAGAGGTTGAGGCAGGAGGATCCCTGAGCTCAGCAAGTTGAGTCTGCAGTGAGCCATCATTGCACCACTGCACTCTAGCCTGGGCCACAAAGGAAGATCCTGTCTTAAAAAAAATAATAAAAAATGAACTGTAAGTTGAACCCATCTTAAATGAGGGACCATCTATATATGTACATACATGCATACACATATACATAATTTTTTATATGTACAAACGCTATATGTCTAAAAACATAATATATATGTATGTATAAATAGAATTTTTAGCCAGCAGTGGTGCCCAGGACAGGGCTAGGGTGGGGAAATTGAGCCAACTGCTTTGAGCACAAAATTTCAGTGGGCACCAAAACTTCAGTGGTCAAAATATGAAATACTTTAATTCCATATCATAAAAAATCAAAGTGAATGAAAAAAATTGTGATTAACAAAAGATCCAAATTTTTAGTGAAGATAAATTCCCCTACTCTGAAAGAGCCTATTTTCATGTCCACATGCCCCTTTTGAGGCTAAAATATACCCACGAATGGCCAGGAAACGGATACACCTTTTTTCTTGTATTGCCTCGGGAATATTGTTGGGATAAAGAAGGTGATGTGGGGTGAAGACATCATCATTGGATTAACACACCGAGGGCTTAGTTGGGCTTCATTCGTGCTCTGCTGTTTCGAAACCACAGCAAGCTGGCGTTGAAATGACCACCTTCGTCATCATTTTCAATGGCTGTTCATGAACTGGAACGATACCAAGAGGACTGTTCTCTGGAGTAGTTTGCTTTTTGCAGAAAACTGGTTCCTAGTGTGTAATCCACAAGAACTGGATGAGTTTTTCTAATCCAGAAAGCAATAGTGGTTTCTGAGCCACGGTTGGTGAGACAGGATTGGATGTTAAAACATGGAAGAGTTTTTTCTAGGACTTTTATCTATGCAAAAGAAGAGTAATCATTATATCAAAAAGACACCTTCACTCTTATGTTTATCACAGCACAATTCGTAATAGCAAAGTCATGGAATCAACCTAAGTGTCCATTAGCAGATGATTGGATCAAGAAAATGTGGTGTGTATGTATATAGACAGACATAGATATGCATACATGTATATTAGGTTGATGCAAAAGTAATTGCAGTTTTTCACATTAAAAGTAACAGAAAAAGCCACAATTACTTTTGCACCAACCTAATAACAGGTATATAGAGGTACAGATATATAGATATGTATAGATATATAGATATATAGAGGCATAGATATATAGATATGTATAGATATATAGAAGTATAGATATATAGATATGTATGGATATATAGATGTATAGATATATAGAGGTATAGAGATAGATATTTTTAAAATTTATTATTTGTTATGGCTGCGTGGTATTCCATGGTGCATGTATGTACATACATCTGTGCACCCATGTACATACATATGTACATTCAAGCACCATGGAATACTACACAGCCATAAAAAAGAATAAAACCATGTCTTTTGCAGCAACACGGATGGAGCTGGAGGCCATTATTCTAAGTGAAATGACTCAGAAGCAGTAAATGAAATGCCATACGTTTTCATGTGTAAGTAGAAGCTAAACACTGGGTACACATGGACATAAAGATGGAAATAAGAGCCACTGCAGGTTTCTGCTTCTAAGTGGGAGGTAAATAGGCATGCACATAGACACAGAGAGTGGAATAATAGACACTGCAGACTCAGAAGGGTGGGAAGGAGGTGAAGGATGAAAAATTACTTCATGGGTACAATGTACACTATTCAGACCATGGGTACACTAGAATCCCAAAACTCACTGTCAGACAATATAACCATGTAACAAAGCTGCATGTGTGCCCCTGAATCTAAAACAACATTTAAAAAACATAAAAGTTACAAAAAATTAAAATATTTTTTAAAATTTAAATAACGAAGTGAAACAGCCCAGAGGAACTCCTAGTAGAATTTAACTCACACCAGTAGCCTAGGGAAAAGGAATTTTTTCCAGGAACTTCACGACTAAATCCAGAGACACCACTAGTGTGTAACCCAGAAAGCTTCTGGGAGCACCATTCAAGGGAAAAACCATGGTGGACGTGGAGCCAGGGGGCTCTGGTTGTGGTTTCTCAAAACCTAGAATATACACAGAGAGAACTGGCCTGTCCAGCAAGAATCATGTTGAGATTTTACTATCAGAGTTCTGTGTTCAGACGTATCAAACATGCCAATGCTACGGGTCTATAATCTGCTTGTAAAAGTGCAGTTTATAGGCTGAGAGTTACTTTGGGTGATGCACTCTAGCCTGAGCTGTGGCAATCACCCCTCCGAAGCCCTAAATGTGCAGGAGAACATGGACCATACTGAGATGTCTGCAGCGCCCCCTAAAACACGCAGCAAAGAAGATCCTGCACCCATACAGTAACCCCTTTTTCTCCTCTGACCATTTTCACAGGAACCAGGGGAGGAAGGACAGAGGGAACCCACCCTAGGGAGTGGAAGAAGGGTCCTGTTGGCAGGTGGCCTAGGTTGGGAAGACCACCTCTACGTTTTCCATGGCCACATTAGTATTGCTGCTCCTCAGGTAACAATACAAGTGCACGTGTGCTCAACGCAGCAAGCATAACTGTACCTCAAAGCCAACACCTTAAAAGCAAACTCTCATGTATTTTCAGAATCAACTTTTTAGTTACTGTGAAATAACTAAAAACGGCTGGCTGTACACAGTGGCTCATGCCTATACTTCCAGCAATTTGGGAGGCTGAGTTGGGAGGATCGCTTAAGGCTAGGAGTTTGAGACCAGTCTAGGCAACACAGTGAGACCCTGTCTCTACAAAAAATACAAAAAATTATTTTTTTAGCATGGTAGTGCATGCCTGTGGTCCCAGCCACTTGGGAGGCTGAGGTGGGAGAATCGTTGGAGCCCAGGAGTTTGAGGCTGCAGTGAGCCAAGATCACGCCACTGCACTCCAGCCTGGGGAGGGAGGGAGACTTTGTCTCAAAAACAAAACAAAACAAAAACATAAACTAGAAATAACTCTAAATTTGAAGAATTAATTCTCCAAAAGCCTCCTAAAAAGAACATAGCAGTATACTTGTCCTCTGAACCCCTTTAGGGTAAATTCTTCCAGCCTACTGGGCCTTCCAGTTGGCAAATAACAAAAACCACGAAAGACATCTCCCCGCAAAAGAACTCTCTCTCTCTGAGAATATGTGCTGTAGTTACTTATTTGTAGTTTTCTTGTCTGATAAACTATGCAAAGCTAATCTTATTATTATTATCATAATTATTTTGAGACAGGGTCTTGCTCTGTTGCCCAGGCTGGATGTGAACATGGCTCACAGCAGCCTCGACCTCCTCTTCACAATAACCTTGCTACCACTCACTCTTTTGGTCCGTGCCATCTTTAAGAGCTGTAACACTCACCGCGAAGGTCCGCGGCTTCATTCTTGAAGTGAGACCACGAACCCACCAGAAGGAACCAACTCTGGACACATTTTGTGACTGGCTTCTTTGACTAAGCATTCTCTTTTGGGGATCACCCATGCTATAACATGTCTGCACTCTTTTTCTTTTCTTTTCTTTCTTTTTTAAAAGACTGTTTTTTTAGAGCAGTTTTAGGTTCACGGCAAAAGTGAGCGGAAGATACAAAGATTTCTCAGATACTCTCTGCCCTCTTCCCAAACAGCCTCCCCCACTATGAACATCCCCGACTAGAGCAGTACATTTGTTACAATGAACATTTGTTACAATGATGAACACACACTGGGTTCATAACATAACCCCAAAAGCCCAGAATTTACATTAAGGTTTACTGTGTTGCACATTCTATAGGTTTTGACAAATACATAATCACATGTATCCACCAGTATAGCCTCATACAGAACAGTTTCCCTGCTGTAAACATTCTCTGCTGCACCTGTCGGAGGTGTTTGAACCAGAGCAACTCCATCTTGAATAGGGGCTGGGTAAAATAAGGCTAAGACCTGCTGGACTGCATTCCCAGGAAGTTAAGACATTCTAAGTCACAATATGAGATTGGAGGTCAGCATGAGATACAGGTCGTAAGGACCTGGCTGATAAAACAGATGGTAGCAAAGAAGCCGGCCAAAGCCCACCAAAACCAAGATGCCGACGAGACTGACCTCTGGGCATCCTCACTGCTATACATCCACCAGCACCATGACAGTTTACCAATGCCACGGCAAGGTCAGGAAGTTACCCTATGAGCTCTAAAAGGGGGAGGCATGAATGATCCACCCCTTGTTTAGCATATCATCAAGAAATCACCATACAAATGGGCAACCAGCAGCCCTCGCCCTCGGGGCTGCTCTGTCTGTGGAGTAGCCATTCATTTATTCCTTTACTTTCTTAATAAACTTGCTTTCACTTTACTTTATGGACTCACCCAGAATTCTTTCTTGTACGAGTTCCAAGAACCTTCTCTTGGGGTCTGGGTTGGGCCTCTTTTCCAGTAACACTGACACCTCCAGCAGGCTCCTGGCATGCCCTAAGGTAGGGCTTAATTCTCTGTAATACTGCCTTGGCAAGTCAAGAGCCACTTTGGGCCTTCATGCCTTTTTATTTAAGCACCAGGATTGCTCCTTCTGGCTGGGGACAGAAGAAAATATCTTGCAGCCAAAGTATTGCAACAGAGACATTTCCTTGGAAGCCTCCAGGGCCTTTTTGGTTTTTTCCTAGTTCCTCCTTAAGTGTATCTGCCAAACAGAACCCAACTGAGCCTGTGTCCTCATCAAAGTCTCCCCAGCCCCAGGATAGAAGCCTCCAGCACTTTTTAAACTCTCCCTCCCTTCTCTCCACCTCTATTGGTGAGCTCATCATCAAAGCCTTTCCCTATTTATTAATCTGTTTTGTTTCTTTTTCAGTGTGCAAAGCTACTGTCATCCTGCTGCCCAATGGGGTTACCCTGCTAAGTTCTCTAAGCAATGGAACTGTTCTCCGAGGGTCAGTTATACATGTGGAATTTTAAAACACTGGACAGGAAAGCCACATTGTAAACAAACTGAACATTAGTGAATTCCAATGCAAGAGTATCCGCTCTTTCAGGCTGATGATTTTGCAATGGCCCGAGTTCAAAGTAAAACATTCGTTAACAGATCTGACGTGCTGTAGGAAAAAAATGAATGTTTTCCTAGGGAGAGTGTGGTTATTTTACTCTCCAGGGGAAAAAGTATAGGAGAAACCCCTCCACTTCTCCCAAGAAACCTCTTCAACTCTCATGCTCATCTTTTCCTCATCCCAGGGGAGAAGGAATGACTTTTTCTCTTGAGAAAGTTGGGTCCCAAACTGAGTATGTCCTCATTCTGACCTGCCTTCAGGGAAGGGGGGCTGCCTCTCTTCCCTGCTGTCTTAATCTCGAGGGAGGCAGATTCTGCCTCTATACTGAGATTTCTTCTACACAAAGCAAAGAAGATGAGTTCAAACTCCTTTGCACAATTTCCACTGGCCTGGTGTATTAGTCCGTTTTCACTCTGCTGATATAACATACCTCAGACTGGGTAATTTATAAAGAAAAAGAGGTTTAATGAACTCACAGTTCCACATGGCTGGGGAGGCTTCACAATCATGGTGGAAGGCAAAAGGCACATCTTACATGGCAGCAGGCAAGAGACAATGAGAGTCAAGTGGAAGAGGAAACCCCTTATAAAACCAGCAGATCTTGTAAGACTTATTCACTATCATGAGAACAGTATGGAGGAAACCACCCCCATGATTTAATTATCTCTCACTGGGTCCCTCCCACAGCACATGGGTATTACCGGAGCTACAATTCAAAATGAGATTTGGGTGGGGGCACAGCCAAACCATATCACCTGGGTTGGGACGCAAGCTGAAAGATCACACCCCTTGATCTATCTCCTATTTTTTTTCCTTCTATTTCATCCAGATAAACTCTTCCAGAAGTTCATAGTAGGCAAAATAATCCTACAGTTTTGTCCTAGAAAGATGCTCAACTATAAAAGCAGAGAGGACAGAAAATGTTTGGCTGTAATGTCACATACACAGGTCAGCAGGGAAGTCTGAGATCAAGGTTTGGCAGGTTGTGCAGGGTCTAGATTTTATGGGAAAAAAAAGTATGTGTATATATATATATATACACACACACATTTTATGTATATATACACAAATTTTATGCATACACATATTTTATGTATATATACATACACATAAATACATATGTGTATATATACACATTATATATATATATATATATATATATGGAAAAAAGTTGACAGGGTTGGTTCCTGTATTAGTCTGTTCTCACACTGTTATGAAGAAATACCCAAGACTGGGTAATTTATAGAGGAAAGAGATTTAATTGACTCACAGTCAATTCTGCATGGCTGGGAAGGCCTCAGGAAACTTACAATCATGGCAGAAGGTGAAAGAGAAGCAGACATCTTCGTCACAGGGCGGCAGGATGGAGTTAGTGCAAACGGGAAATGCCAGACTCTTACAATACCATCAGATCTCGTGAGAACTCACTCACTATCACAAGAACAGCATATGGGAGAAACCACCTCCATGATACAATTGCCTCCACCTGGTCCTGCCCTTGACCTGTGGGGATTATGGGGATTACAACTGGAGATGAGATTTGGGTGGGGACACAGAGCCAAACCATGTCAGTTCCTCTGAGTCTCCGAAGGAGAGACTGTCTCATGCTTCCTCCCTCTCTTCTGGTGGTTTCCTGAGATCTTGAGCACTCTTTGGTTTCAGAAACATCAGTCCTATCTCAGCCTTCATCTCCCCATGGCATATTCCCTGGGTGTGTGTCTGTGTCCTAATTGTCCCCCATCCTTTTTTTTTCCTTAAATATAGAAATGGGGTCCCACCATGTTGATCAGGCTGGTCTCAAACTCCTGGCCTCAAGTGATCCACTCACCTGGGCCTCCCAAAATGCTGGGACTACAGGCATGGGCCACTGCACCCAGCCCAAATTCCATCTTTTTATTAGGACACTAGTCGTTGGATTTAGGACCCACCCAAATGACTTCATTTTAACTTGATGACATCTACAGAGACCTCACTTCCAAAGAAGATCACTTTCACAGGTATTGGGGATTAGCATTTTATCATGTGAATTTGGGGGACAGGAGGTCACTATTCAAACCATAACCATGTGTTGTCCTTAAAGAAGAACATTGGTAATTACACCAAGTGATAGAATTGCATACATCACAATATTTCGTTTCTGGTAGAAAACTTATTTATATCTGAATTATCTACAGTGAACACATGTCTGGTATTTCCATCTGTGGCTGGAGAAGGAATTCCAAGCCAGATTTGAGGTTTCACAGGGTGGCTTTCAGCAGCCAGGGGTGTGGAGAGGCTGGTAGCTCAGGCCATGTTACTCTCAGGATGGACATGAGACTCTATGCTTTCAATCCTCTCTGTACAAAGAGCATCCCTAAGAGAAGGACCAGAGCTTGAAGAGTGAAGATTTATTATTATTATTCCCAATGATTGGGAATTTGAACAATTTTTTTTTCTTTGAGACAGAGTCTCATTCTAGCTCCCAGGCTGGAGTGCAGTGGCACGATCTCTGCTCACTGCAACCTTCGCCTCTGGGGTTCAAGTGATTCTTCTGCCTCAGCCTCCTGAGTAGCTGGGATTACAGGCGTGAGCCACCACACCTAATTTTTTTTTTTATTTTTTTTTGAGATGGAGTCTTGCTCTGTCACCCAGGCTGGAGTGCAGTGGCACATGGTGCGATCTCGGCTCACTGCAAGCTCCACCTCCCGGGTTCACACCATTCTCCTGCCTCAGCCTCCCTAGTAGCTGGGACTACAGGTGCCCGCCACCACACCCAGCTAATTTTTTTGTATTTTTAGTAGAGACAGGGTTTCACTATGTTGGCCAGGCTGGTCTCGAAGTCCTAACCTCAGATGATCTTCTTGCCTCGGCCTCCCAAAGTGCTGAGATTACAGGCGTCAGCCACCGCGTCTGGCCCTGGGAATTTAAACTTTGTCTACATGTATGTGTGTTATTTACCAATATTAAAGTGAAGTTTTTTTCCAAATGAAATAATAGTTGAAAAAGACCTCCACTAAGCCGAATTTCTTTTTTTTTTCTTTTTGTTTTTAGAGACAGGGTCTCACTCTGTCCCCTAAGCAGGAGTGCAGTGGTGCGATCACAGCTCAATGCAGCCTCAATCTCCCAGGCTTGGGAGCGATCCTCCTGCCTCAGCCTCCTGAGTAGCTGAGACTACAGGTGAGTGTCACCATGCCTAGTTAATTGTTTAATATTTAATTTTTCATAGAGATGAGGTCTCAGTATGTTGCCCAAGCTAGTCACAAACTTCTGGCCTCAAGCAATCCCCCGACCCTGGCCTCCCAGAATACTAGGACCACAGGCATAGAGTCACTGCACCCAGCCTGACTTTCTTATAAACACTATTTTGATATCTTTCATTACCTTTTCTTTTTTAGGCACTCTCCATTCTTTTATACATCTCTGTAGTGAAATAAATATTGGCATAGACATCTTAACATCTGCTCTGCTAAGAATCCTCCACAAAACTAACGTAAGTAATAAATAGATAATTGTATTTATGGGTATTTTCTTAAATGTCAACTTTGTTCCAGGGTGTATGTCCAAATGTAAAGTCAGCTTAGGAATATGGAATGATGCTTTGCTTTGTCTCATAAGTCAAATCTCCAGGATTCTTCTGAACTCCAAAGATTATGTTGGGCAGCTGGGCATGATGGCTCATGCCTGTAATCCCATCACTTTGGGAGGCCGAGGCAGGCGGATCACTTGAGGCCAGGAGTTCGAGACCAGCTTGGCCAACGTGAGAAAACCCCATCTCTACTAAAAATACAAAAATTAGTCAGATGTGGTGGCACATGCCTGTGGTCCTAGCTACTCAGGGGGCTGAGGCAGGACAACTGCTTGAACCCAGGAGTTTGAGGCTGCAACGAACTATGATTACACCGCTGCACTCTATCCTGGGCCACAGAGTGAGACCCTGTCTCAAAAAACAAAACAGACACCAAAGACTATGTTGCAAGTACTGACAGGTGAAAGAGATTCATGCCCATCTCTCATGCCCATCCTCCAAGAGCCTTCCTTGGTGTGCCAAACTTCTCCCACCATCCCACCTGGGCCCCTTTACTGTTTCCTGAGACCCCCATTCCTGCCATGTAGTTGTGCACTGCTTCCTGCAGAGCTGAGAAAAATAGCTCTTCTCCAGGCTTAGTCCTGGACTGTGTCTGTTCTTTGACGTTGTCTTCAAAACTTGAAGTTCACGTGATTCTTTTTTAATTTAAAGAAAACATATATCCTGGCCAGGTGCAGTGGCTCAGGCATGTAATCTCAGCATTTTGGGAAGCTGAGGCAAGTGGATCACTTGAGGTCAGGACTTTGAGACCAGCCTGGCCAACATGGTGAAATCCCATATCTACTAAAAATACAAAATTAGCTGGGCATGGTGGTGCACACCTGTAATCTCAGGTACTTGGGAGGCTGAGGCAGGAGGATTGCTTGAACCTGGCAGGTGGAGGTTTCAGTGAGCCGAGATCACACCACTGCACCCCAGGCTGGGCAATAGACTGAGACTCCATCTGAAAAAAAAAAAAAAAAAAGACGTTATATTCAGAGAGAGAGAAAAAAAAAACTCAGTGTCTTCCTCCAAATTCAATCCTGTCCACCAGTTTAAAGCAGAACTGTCCACTTCAATTCAGCTCATGAAAATGGACTACATACAGTAGGGGGTTGTGGAATTGTTAGAGGGGTAGGAGCATTTGCATGGTGAGACTCCAGGAGCAGTTCAGATGTGTTCCTGTTTTGTTTTGTTTTGTTTTACCACCTACACCTCATGGCTAGCCTAGACAATGCATTTCCAGCATTAGAGGCAGGAATGCCTAGACATTGATAGAGGAACCGCCAGAACCACTAATGAGAATGTGTTACACTGATTTGGGAGATGCCCAGAAAAGCAACAATGGAACATGTAGGATTTGACCTCAGTAAGGAAAAGAAACATTTCTCTCTCTTTTTTTTTTAGACAAGGTGTCTCTCTGTCACCCAGGCTAGAGTGCAGTGGTACCATCACAGCTCACTGCAGCCTCGATCTCCTGGGCTCAAGGATCCTCCTGCCTCAGCTTCACAAATACTCACTACCATGCCTGGCTAATTATTTTATTTTTTGCAGAGATGGGGTCTTGCTATGTTGCCCAGGCTGGTTTTGAACTCCTGGGCTCGAGTAATCCTCCTGTCTTTTCTTCCCAAGTAGCTAGGACCACAGGCATGTGCACCACCACGCTCAGTTAACTATTTTATTTATTTATTTTTTTTTTTTGCAGAGATGGTGTCTCCCTATGTTGCCCAGGCTGGTGGTCTTGAATTCCCGGACTCAAGCCATTCTCCCTCCTTAGCCTCCCAAAGTGTTAGAATTACAGACATGAGCTACTGTGTGCTACCAGAAGGAAACATTTCTAAAATAGGAAAGACTTGCTCACATAGCACAGGCACTGTGGGACATCTGACGTGGGCAGAGTGAGGCCAGAGGATTGTGTTTTTGAGGAAGCCTGATTACTGAAAGAAACAGCTACCAGAGGCTCCCAAACAAGCTTCTACTACTCTCTACTCAGCATTTTTGCCAAGACTCCACTCTGTCAAGAAAGCTTGAGCCTGTTAATCAGCAAGTCATTCTTGAACTAGAGGCTAAAGTGGAACATTGCAAAGACCTGTTCTAATAAAACCAGGAATATGATCATCAGCGCTCTTTGTCCTGTTCATAGACTGTTTCTCCTGGGCTGAGATGCCCATGTCTTAACATCTCAGTCATAGATTGCTTTTCCTGGATGGAGATGCTCATGACCCACCATTCGGTCATAGATTACTTTTCCCTGAAATCATAACATCACCACCCACCATCAGAGTCAGAGATTGTACTCTTCTTATTATTTCTCATAAGAACATCCCTGACCTCTCCCCTTGATTTTAGATATATAGTTATGAATAAATAACCCAGTGGCCCCACAACATTGACATATTTCCATGTAGGAAAATCTTCCAGAAATCTTCAAATATGCGGTTGTCATTACTGAGAATAAGACAGAGCATTTATGTAGTTATTTGCTTTTTTTGAGACCATGGGCAGCCTACATGTAAAACTTGAAAATGAGGAATTGCAAAAGGGAAAATGTAAACCAAAATATAATATATTCAGTACCGAAAGAGATAGTGATCGTTGCCTTAAGTAAAGACAGTGACTCATACAACAAATGCTGACTTGAATGGAGGTGTGAACATATCCAGATACGTGCAGTGTGTCACACAAGCATCTAATGAAATGAAACAAAGCAAATAAAAGACCTAAGTCCAAGCTGCCATATCTATTGGTTATAGGAGTTAGAGGAGAAAACACCCTACTCAGCTGAGAGAAGACTGTATTTCCAAGGACATGCGCCTCTTTTTATAGAAAAGAACTCTTAAATCCATTTGAGTCAGGAAACATTCAGTTCACTTAAGTTTTATGACTCTGTAAACTCAAAAATTATCTCCCAATCCACTTATGTTTTATGACTCTGTAAACTCAAAAATTCTCTCCCTAATTATAATGTAGCTTTGCATATATACTTCTTAATTGGAGAAGACGATTGCCTTAGGTTGATGCCTAGCAGTTAAAAGGTTTACTGAATTAACATTACAAATGAATTTGAATAAACATATAGCTGACATTTTGGTTGTCATTCAGAATCTTTTGCATGCAATTCAATGAATTCAGCATGAGGAAGTATCATGGAATTCAACAAACTAAAAACATAATTTTGACCCTACTCAGTACAGGTAAATAGAATGTGTACAGTTAACCTAAAATATAATTCTCTGGATTAAACAAAAACATAATCTAACAGTAAAAACGTGATTTTCTGGATTAAAAAGATTTTAGGACATTTTCTCTAAGGTTCTGTATGAAGCTTATCCAGTGATAACTGATCCCATCTCACCACTTTTCCAGGTGTTTGTAAGTCAGCTACAGGATTGGCCAGTGGTCTTATCTTAAACCCCTTCATTCATTCACCAAGACAAAGGGGATCAGTGAAGTAGTAGAACCAACCAGCGTCATTAGCAAGGTCATCAGTTTGCATGCAGTGGCTCAACTCAAGCTGTTGAAGATGTATAGGAGAAGATCCCATATACAAAAATGGCCCTTTGTAAACTATATCTTCTCCAAGAGCCTGAAGGTATTATTGCATTGACATTCTGTGAAGAACGACAATTTGGTTAAAAACAAATTTTGATTTCAGCTCCATGCAAAACCGTTCCCTAAAACAAGGGGTAGATTGGTTAAAATCAAGAAAGAAAAGAAAATCAGAACAATAACAGAGTAATTAATTGGCAGGCATATACAAGAGTCTTTTTTTCTTTCACAGCTTTCCTCAATAATTACTTTGCCATGGAACAATGATCTGCTGATTAAGGTAACACAGATTGTTGTATTTCAGAGAAAAATTGTTGTATTTCAGGGGAAATAGTGAGATCAGGCTACAGGGTAATTGGGGTAAAGACAAAGTCAGAGGAGTCAAAAACAATACCAGAAATGTGGAATCTGTTAGAAGATTTCTCATTCCTTCCGTTCATCACTGAGACCAGCACGATCTGAGGTCAGCCCAGCGATGGAGCCATCATGCTGACTTCTTTCTTTCTTTTATTGCGAGGAATTTTGGTTCTGGGAATGAGAAGCTTAAGTAACACATGTCTGAAATTCCTAATCCTTCACAGGTCAGCCTTCACTGTTCATTAAGCACTTTAGGATCTTGTGCTTTGAGTCGGTGGCTGGGAAAGTTCACTTCACTTCCCAAACTGGATTTCATAATTCCATCAGCAGATCCCCTTGGCTGAATACAGTTACCACTGAAGGTTCCTTCTTTTTTTTTCTCTCTCTCTCTCTTTAAATTCAATCATTTTTCCCTCTGGATATTCTCATTTCATGAAGTCTGGATTTCTTTTAAAACCCTCTAGCATGCCTTATTAAAGATTTACATGGAATAGGTAATATTCTGTATAAAAACGCACTTTACTACTTATTCCTGACTTAAAAAGGAGCGGCAGCTCAGTCAGCTGACATTTCCCAAGAGTGAATCATTCTTTTTTTTAAATGCCTGAATGAAAATTCACCTTGAATGACCCGTAGAAGTCAACACCTCATTCTCAAAGATTTATTGAAAACAAAACATAAAGTTGTATTCTAAACAAAGAATAGAAAGGAAGAAACTCTTTCTATATTACAAAACAAAATAGGGGAAAATTATGTAGTTTTTTTCTCATACAGGACTCAGAGAATTTCAGTAAGAACAGTCAAGATAACTCAGGTCCGACTTTTTGTTTTGAAGCTGAAAAAGCTGAAATCTAGAGATAAGGTGATCTGTTCAGGATCCTACAAAGAAGGTAACACACCACACTGAATGGCTTCTCATCAGAGCTTAATCTCTTTTCATCCTGCTTCGCTGTAGGTGGGAGTCTTGTGCAACTGATATGTTAAAAAAATAACAGGCCAGGCACAGTGGCTCATATCTGTAATCTCAGAGCCTTGGGAGGCCGAGGTGAAAGGATGGCTCGAGGCCAGGAGTTTGACCCCAGCCTATGCAACATAGTGAGACCTCCCCCACCCAATCTCTACAAAAAATTAAAAACTTAGCTGGGCATGGTGATGCACAGCTGTAGTCCCAGCTACTCAAGAGGCTGAGGCAGGAGGATCACTCCAGCCTAGGATTTAGAGGCTGCAGTGAGCTGTGATTATACCACTGCACTCCAGCCTGGGTGATAGACTAAGATCCTGTCTCTAAAAAAAAAAAAAAAAAGAAAAGAAAAGAAAAGAGATTGAATATTGCTTAATCAGTTAATCCCTAACCTGTAATGATATACAGCTTTCGAGGTCCTCACATTTTCATTAATTTTCTCTATTTATCATACTTTTCCATCCCCCTTTTCTTTTTTCTTTTCTTTTTCTTTTTGAGAGAGAGTCTCACTCTGTCACCCAGGCTGGAGTGCAGTGGTATCATCTCAGCTCACTGCAACCTCCGCCTCCCAGGTCCAAGCGATTCTCATGCGTCAGCCACCGGAGCAGCTGGAATGACAGGCGTGAACCACCGCACCAGGCTAATTTTTGTATTTGTAGTACAGACGGGGTCTCACCATGTGTGCCAGGTTAGTCTCTAACTTCTGGCCTCAAGTTATCCACCTGCCTCGGCCTCCCACAGTGCTGGGATTACAGGCATGAGCCACAGCGCGCAGCTCAAATTTACTTTTACGGTATCTGCTTTTAAAATTGTGCACCAAAAATTCAGGCTGTTTCTATTTTCTTTGATATAGTAGATTCGTGTGTGTGTGTGTGTGTGTCCATGCGTGCACGTGAGTTTGTGTGTGTGCTGTTTGGTTAGCCATTATTTTATCATCTTCTCCCTAAATTATGCATCCTAAATTCCAGCTCCCCTTTAAGCGAGGTGTGTCGGCTCTGTGTCTGTAGGGTGCATTCTATGCGCTTGTGTGAATCTGCCTGTCACTCTCACAAATGACACCACTTCTGCAAGATCAAACACATTTCTCACGACTGCACCACTGTCCATATTTCTTTCCTGGAAGCTTTATGTCAGTGTCTTAGATTAGCTCATTTATTTCCCACCGACTCAGGCCTTCACACCAACAATGTGCCCTTGCCATTTCTGCAATTGAAAATATGTCTTCCTCTTTGAAGTCATCCCATTAAAACCTTTCCTGAATCGCAATGAATGTGTCCGGTTGTTCTTTGATATTTTCCAACAGAAGCAGGGATCTTCATCTTTGATCAAATATCTCATTCTCTTTTTCATAAATTCTTCCCAAATTTACATGTCCTTACCTATGGCCAAATAACGTAATTTTGAGTAATCAATTTTGGCTACTCTCATGTGATACTCAGCTAAAGGTCTTATAATTTCCAGGCAATAGTATCCACTGTGTTTTTTAAATATTATTATTATTTTAATTATGTAATTATGTATTACTGAGGCAGGGTCTGAAATGCAGTGGTGCAGTCACAGCTCACTACAGCCTTCACTTCCTGGGCTCAGGTGATTCTCCTACTTCAGCCTCCCAAGTAGCTGGGACTACAGGCACGTGCCACTACGCCCAGCTAATTTTTGTATTTTTTTGAAGAGATGGGGTTTCTCCATGTTGCTCAGTCTGGTCTCAAACTCCTGGTTTAAGCAGTCCTCCCACCTCAGCCTCCCAGTGTGTCGGGATTACTGGCGTGAGACACCGTGCCCAGCCCAAATATTATTATTTTTTTATTGCTCAAAATGGTAAAATTACTGATATAATTAAAGAATATACTATGACATATAGTATCTGTGATCTCACAACCCAGAAAGTCAATGTTAACATTTTGGAAAATTCTTTAAAAAAATACTGGTTTGGGGCCAGGTGCAGTGGCTCATGCCTGTATTCCCAACACTTTGGGAGATCAAGGTGGGAAAATCACCTGAACTCAGGAATTTGAGACCAGCCCGGGCAACATGGCAAAACAAAACCCTATCTCTATCAAAAATACAAAAATTAGCTGGGCATTATGGTGTGCACCTGTAGTCCCAGGTACTTGGGAGGCTGAGGTGGGATAATCACTTGAGCCTGGGAGTTTGAGACAAGCCTGGACAACATAGTGAGACCCCCTCTCTAAAAAAAAAAAATACAAAAATTAATTGGGTGGTGATGTGCACCTGTGGTCCCAGCTACTGGGGAGGCTGAGGCAAGAGGATTGCTTGAGCCTGGAAGGTGGAGGTTGCAGTGAGCTGACATCGCACCACTGCACTCCAGCCTGGGTGACAGAGCGAGACTCCATCTAAAAAAAAAAAAAAAAAAAATATATATATATATATATATATATATATATAGCTTTTGTAAAAGAGTGAATCAATCCTACTTTATTAAAGTCTATAAATGGCTGTTTTAAAAACAGGGAAATGATATTTTACACCATCCTATTTATCTTTTTTTTTTTTTTTTGAGACGGAATCTCTCTCTGTCACCCAGGCTGGAGTGCAGTGGCACAATCTCAGCTCACTGCAGCCTCCGCCTCCCGGGTTCAAGCAATTCTCCCGCCTCAGCCTCCCAAGTAACTGGGATTACAAGTACGCGCCACCACGCCTGGCTAATTTTTGTATTTTTAGTAGAGATGGGGTTTCACCATATTGGCCAGGCTGGTCTCGAACTCCTGACCTCAAATGATCCACCTGCCTCGGCCTCCCAAAGTGCTGGGATTACAGGCGTGAACCCAGCCCCTATTTATCTTTTAAATGATCACTGTGGTTCCCTCCTAGTGACACAAGTGGCTGAGCAAATGCACTCACGCTTACTCTTACCATTGACACATGGAAATGCAGGTTAAAAAACATAGTCACTTAAAAATGAAATCTCAAAGTCCTAGACCTGAAGACAGAAACTGCAGCCAGAGTAATAAATATGAACTAATTCCCTAGCAACTGCTTGACATCGCAGAAGATGGAGGGTTCACACAGACTAGAAATGAAACCTCCCCAACAGAGAGACAAAAAAGCCAAAAAGCTGAAAATTAGTTCCCTCAAGAAGCCCAAGGTAACCGCTCAAAGGGTTCACCTTGCCTGCTACCTAGACAGAGTGGATTTATCAAGATAGGGGAATTGCAATAGAGAAACAGTAATTCACGCAGAGCAGGCTGTGCGGGAGGCTAGAGTTTTATTATTGCTCAAATCAGTCTGCCTGAGCATTCCGGGATCTGAGTTTTTAAGGACAACTTGGTGGGTCTGGGGAAGCCAGTGAGCCGGGAGTGCTGATTGGTCAGGGAGCTGAATCGGTTCCTGGATGGGGGCCAGTTTATTGATCTGGGTGGTGCCAGCTGATCCATCAAGTGCAGGGTCTGCAAGATATCTCAAGCACTGATCTTAAGAGCAGTTTAGGGAGGGCCAGAATCTTGTAGCCTCCAGCTGCATGACTCCTAAACCACAATTTCTAATCTTGCACTAATGTTAGTCCTAAAAAGGCAGTCTAGTCCCCAGGCAAGAAGAAGGTCTGCTTTGGAAAGGGCCGTTATCATCTTTGTTTTAAACTATAAACTAAGTTTCTCCCAAAGTTAGTTCAGCCTACGCCCAGGAGTGAAAAAGGACAGCTTAGAGGTTAGAAGCAAGATGGACTTGGTTAGGTTAGACCTCTTTCACTGTCTCAGTCACAATTTTACAAAGGTGGTTTCACCAGGACATCAACGAAACAGTTGCTTTATCGTGTTTGTGCAAACAAGGCAAGGCCTAGAGAAAATCCTGGGAAGCCTAAAATTTCTTAAAATAGAGACTAAACCCTTTCCTTTGCTCAACTGGTCAAACACTACTCTATGCAGTGAGAATTTGTGGTATCCTCTTTCTCCATCACCCCACAGGTAAAGTCCATTCTCAAAACTGGGAAACAAAGTTTGTCAATTTGGAATTGCCTCTCATGGAAGTCAAAAATAGAGCTGCAGTCATAATTCGGTATTTAAAATAAAAAAAAGCTTTTTTTCCTCCCTGAACTTCGGTTTGCTCCATGACAATCCTCCAGCTTTTGGTGTTGCAGAACGATCTTGTCTTTGTTTTCTTAAACTGCATTATGCTCCCACGTATATTACAAACGTCTGGTGCTTATCAATGTATGTTCTTAATAGATAGCACACTCCCAATAGGGACACCGTTTTTTCTTATGGCCTTCGTGTCTCTGACATTGCTTCCTTTACAGTGAGTGATACGGCTTGGATCTGTGTCCCTGCCCAAATCTCAAGTTTAATCGTAATCCCCAATGCTGGAGGTGGGGCCTGGCGCGAGGTGATTGGATTATGGGGGCAGTTTCTAATGGTTTAGCACTATCCTCTTAGTACTGCTCTCGCGATAGAGTTCTCGGGAAATCTGGATGTTTAAAAGTGTGTGGCACCTCTTCTCTCTCTGTCTTGCTCCTACTCTGGCTGTGTAAGACTCCTGCTTCCCCTTCACCTTCTGCCATGATTGTAAGTTTCCTGAGGCCTCCCCAGCCGTGCTTCCTGTACAGCCTGCAGAACCATGAGCCAATTAAACCTCTTTTCTTTATAAATTACCCAGTCTCAGGTAGTTCTTTATAGCACTGTGAGAATGCACTAATACAGTGAGCAACAAGAAACCTTCAATTCTTTGTATTTTATTAGAACAGATGGATTTATTTCTTAATTGATGCAGAGAAATTGAATTGGGGGTTTAAAAAATACATAGTGGCCCAGCAAGGTGGCTCACGCCTGTAATACCAGCACTTTGGGAGGCCGAGGAGGGCAGATCACCTGAGGTCAGGAGTTCGAGATCAGCCTGGGCAACATGGCAAAATCCTATCTCTACTAAAAATACAAAAGTTAGCCAAGGGTGGTGGTGCACACCTGTAGTCCCAGCTACTCAGGAGGCTGAGGCAAGAGAATCACTTGAATCTTTGAGGCGAAGGTGGCAGTGAGCCGAGATTGCACCACTGCACTCCAGCCTGGGTGACAGAGCGAGACTCCATCTTAAACAAAACCAACCAAACAAAAACATACTATCATGCAGTCTGGAATTCTAAATCAATTCTGCATACATTATCTGGATCATCTTACATCTGCAATGGTGTTATAATGATATAGTAACATATATGCACTTGTCAAAACCCAGAGAGTGTACAATGTAAGTGGTAAACCTGATAGAAACTATGGACTTTAGTTAAAAAATAATGTATTATGAAAGGAAAATACATCTCATGATCCCAAAATTACTAACCCGAAGAGAAAAGTCAAGCTGGGAACTGTGTCGGGCAAACCTGCCTCCCATTCTGAGATGTGAAGCCAGCTGGGCTTCTGGGTCAGGTGGGGACTTGGAGAACTTTTCTGTCTAGCTAAAGGATTGTAAATGCACCAATCAGCACTCTGTGTCTAGCTAAAGGTTTGTAAACGCACCAATCAGCACTCTGTGTCTAGCTAATTGGGTGGGGACTTGCAGAACTTTTGTGTCTAGCTAAAGGATTGGAAACGCACCAATAAGCACTCTGTGAAACAGACCAATTAGCACTCTGTAAAACAGACCAATCAGCACTCTGTAAAATGGACCAATCAGTGCTCTGTAAAATGGACCAATCAGCAGGATGTGGGTAGGGCCAAATAAGGGAATAAAAGCAGGCCACCCGAGCCAACAACGGCAACCTGCTTGGGTCCCCCTTCCACGGTGTGAAAGCTTTGTTCTTGCTCTTCACAATAAATCTTGTTGCTGCTCACTCTTTGGGTCTGTGCCACCACACTCACCACAGAGGTCTGCAGCTTCACTCCTGAAGCCAGCGAGATCACGAACCCACCAGGAGGGACAAACAACTCCGGACGGGAGGAACGAACAACTCTGGACGCGCCACCTTTATGAACTGTAACACTCACCGTGAAGGTCTGCAGCTTCACTCCTGAGGCCATCGAGACCATGAACCCACTGGGAGGAGGGAACAACTCCAGACGCGCCACCTTTAAGAGGGTCCGCAGCTTCATTCTTGAAGTCAGCGAGACCAAGAACCCATCAATCCAGACAAAATTCTATTCCTAAATAAGATAACTGCAAAGATAACGAACATACATCCCTTCCTCACAATTTGCCCACGAGGAAATTCCTTGTGGACAAAGGGCAGAAGGAACTCAAAGTCATCCCTTGGCTCCTGTGAGACCAATGTATATCAGATGGTTTCATCTGCCCTATTGTTTCACTAAGCCAGACTGAGGCATAAGTGACTAATTCCTATAAATTTTGCATTCAGTGAAAGGCTAATCAGAAACTCAAAAGAATGTAACCATTTTTTCTGTTATCTACTATGATCTGCAAGTCCGCTCCCCCTTAGAGTTGTCCCGCCTTTCCAGTCTAAACCAATGTACATCTTACATATATTGATTGATGTCTCATGTTTCCCTAAAATGTATAAAACCAAGTTGTGCCCTGACCACCTTGGACAAAAATCATCAGGACTTCTTGAGGTTGTGTCACCAGTGTGTGCTTAACCTTGGCAAAATAAACTTTCTAAATTGACTGAGACCCCTCTTAGATATTTTGGTTCAAAGTGTCAACATTGCTTTAGCAATTGTGACAAATGTATTACACTAATTTGAGACTGGAAAATGGATAGAATGAGAGGGTATAAATGAAAAATAAAATTCTAAGCGTCCCAGCCAGGCACAATGTCTCACACCTGTAATTCCAACACTTTGGAAGGCTGAGGCAGTGGATCACTTGAGGTCAGGAGGTCAAGACCAGCCTGGCCAACATGGTGAAACCCCGTATCTACGAAAAATATAAAAAATTAGCCAGGTGTGGTGGTGCACACCTGTAATCCCAGCTACTCGGGAGGCTGAGGCAGGAGAATCGCTTGAACCTGGGGGGCAGAGGTTGCAGTGAGCCGAGATCGCGCCACTGCACTCCAGCCCAGGTGACAAAGCGAGAGACTGTCTCAAAAAAAAAAAAAGAAAACATTCTAAGCCTCCCACCCCCAATCATCTGAATGGACCCCTCCTCTTGGACAAGGGCTTTCTAAGTTAACCTGAAAAACTGGTTCAGGCGATGGCGGGAAGGGAAGGTCAGACAAGCTTCGTTATACCCTCCTCCTTTTTGGAATTCAGGAAAAACTGCCTAGCATTAACATCACCACAGACCTTAAGTTTGGTAAGAAATATTTACAATCTATTCTCTCTGAAGCCTGCTACCTGGAGGCTTCATCCACATGATATTAATAAAACCTTGGTGTTCACAATCTTTTATCATCATAACCCAGACATTCCTTTCTATTGATAACTCTTTCAATCAATTGCCAATCAGAAAATTTTTAAATCTACCTATGACCTGGAAGCCGCCCCAGCTTGGAGTTGCCCTGCCTTTCTGAATTGAACAAATGTACATCTTACATGTATTTGATTAATGTCTCATGTCTCCCTAAAATATAAAATTAGCCTGTGCCCCAGCCACCTTGGATGCATGTCCTCAGGATCTCCTGAACGTTGTGTTATCAGGGGTGTTTGTACCGGAGCAACTCCATCTTGAATAGGGGCTGGGTAAAATAAGGTTGAGACCTACTCGGCTGCATTCCCAGGAAGTTAAGGTATTCTAAGTCACAGGAAGAGATAGGAGGTCGGCACACGATATAGGTCACAAAGACCTTGCTGATAAAACAGCATAATGTAAAGAAGCCAGCCAAATCCCACCAAAACCAAGATGGCAATGAGATTGACATCTGGTTGTCTTCAGTGCTCATTATACACTAATTATAACGCATTAGTGGCTAAAAGACACTCTCACCAGCACCCTGACAGCTTACACATGCCATGGCAACATCGGGAAGCTACCCTATATGGTCCCAAAAGGGGAGGAACACAGGTCTGGGAAATGCCCACCCCTTTCCCAGAAAACTCATGAATAACTCACCCCTTGTTTAGCATATAACCAAGAAGTCTTAATAACAAGAAGTGTAAGCAGTTAAGCAGCTCACACCGCTGCTCTGCCTACGCAGTAGCCATTCTTTTATTCCTTTAGTTTCTTAATAAACTTGCTTTCACCTTACTCTATGAACTCACCCTCAATTCTTTCTTGTATGAGGTCTAAAAACCTTCTCTTGGGGTCTGGATCAGGACCCCTTTTCTGTAACAGTGTCATGGGCCATTAATCACTCATATTTGACTCAGTATAAATTTTTTCAAATATTTTACAGAGTTTGACTTTTTTTCAACAACAAGGCTATATAAGACCTCTCTGTATTTTCTGGTTATTTTTCTGTAAGCCTAAAAATGCCTAAAAATAAAGTCTATTATCTTAAAGCAAACCAAAACAAGAAAAATGAATGCTCTTTATTTGTGTACTTGTATTTTTACTAGAAAACTTAGCTTACAAATGAAGATACTGAGTTACTCTCACTCTTCATCTCTGGTACATGTAGATTCTCTGCAGCGAAACAGTTTAATGATGCTCATGCCTCCCCATGTGCAAATAATAGCCCTCCTTCCCCAGCCCTTGCACTGATGGAGGATTTCGTGCATGATTAAGCCCCATGGTTCTCTTCCTGCTCACCGTGGGGGCTGCCTGAAAAGTCCACGGGAGGTCAGCACACAAAAAAAAGACCAGAAGTCTGAAGTAACCCAACCCAAGGATTCAATACTTTTATGTGGCTTCATTTTCATCCTTAGGTGATAATCTACTTCAGTTAGGAACACTGCTTTCTAACTGAAGCTTGTTGACTCAGAGAGACGCTTGCAAACAACTTTTTGCTCCCTACAAAGTGATGTGATGTGTCTCCTCTTTGCCTTATGAATATTCCTTATTCATAAAAGCAGACCGACTAAAATTTGACATCCAGTCCAGTCACCTTTCTTTCTGGGTCTGTATAACAAAAAGGAAACTATTCATTAAAAAAGAAAACAGAGAGTTTCGATGTATAAACAGAACCCTCTTTCTTCTAAGAGACTGTGACTAATCAGGAGGCCACATGAAAATGTAATCCATTTCCAGCTTGCAGACAAAACATTTGGCCACGCTGGGGCCACTTGTTCCCCTCTGTAAGCCTTCACCTTTTTACTGGCAAAATAAATTTGCAAATGAGGATACTAGTAATCACCAAGAATAATGAAGACCTTAACGAGCATCGGGTCATATTTGTAGCAGTATTTTTTGTAAAAGGGATGGCGTCCTGATTAACGGCTGGTAAACTTTCATGATTGATAGTAATTACTTTATCAAAATGATGTTCACCAGACAAAGCTTCTCTGTCTCCATCCAAATCCTTCCTTGTGTATGCTTGCTCTCACCTGTCCAATCTTTCCAGGGATCAGGAAGCCAAAAATTGAAGGGCATTCTATCCCTGTTTCTCCTTTACACAGCCACTTCTTCCTCCAGTTGTAAGATACATAAGTTGCAAAATGTTATCATTGGATGCTATTCTCAGGAGGAAGTGCTTCCTGTGTTAGCCAGAGTTCTCCAGAGAAACTACCAATAGGAACTAGGACCAGATAGAGAGATATGTGATACAAAGTCGCAAGTGTAACAAGCTATGTTAGTGCCTTCTGTTTGCCAGGGGAATGTCACAAAATCCCTGACTGAGTGACATAGCCCAGCCCTGTGGAAGAATGCCCTGAGGGCGATAAATGGGATAAATCGAGCACAGGTTCCCACATCTCTTGCCTGAATCGCTGCATTTTTAGAAAAGATGGTTTCAGTGCTCCTAGTCCCTGCCCCTTCCCACACATAATGTCCGACAGGATTAATGACTGTGCCTCTGTAATCTATACACAGTTGTTCCCTGGCGCTCAAACCTTGATGAGAACTGGCTCTAATGCAACACCTGAGCACATCTGAGGTGACTTCTGAGAACATGTGTTGTGACTTCTATGACTTCTGAGCACATTTGTTGTAACTTCTGAGCACCTGCAGAACTTCTACCACCTGTGTATAAGCTGTGGGTTGAAACACTGTTTTGGAGCAGTCTAACAGAAACTCTGAAAGATTCCGGGATTGCAATCTTCAGTAAGATACTGAATAAAACTAATTATTTAAAAGCCTGATTTTTCCTTTTTTTAAGGTTTTTTTTTATTTTTTAAATAGAGACAGGGTCTCACCATCTTGCCCACGCCGATCTTGAACACTTGGGCTCAAGCAATCCCCCCGCCTTGGCTTCCAAAAGTCCTGGGATTACAGGTATGAGTCTCCATGCTTAGCCCTGATTTTTTTGTTTAGTAGATAGATACATAGATAGATGATTGATAGAGAGGTACATAGATAGATGATAGATAAGATACATAGATGATAGACCCAGGGCATATATGTTATCATATATATGGTAGACTCCCCTTTCACCTGGAGGAATAGACCCAGGCATATTTTACCTGATATATGGTAGACTCCTCTTCCACGTGGAAGAATAGACCCAGGGCATATTTTATCATATATATGGTAGACTCCCCTTCCACCTGGAGGACTGGAGCCAGGGCATATATTATCTTATATATGGTAGACTCTTCTTCCACCAGAAGGACTGGACCTATTGAGTGCCCTTGGGATGTATTGGTTAATTTTATATGTCACCTTCAGTGGGCTATGGTATCCAATTGTTTACTCAAACCAGTCTTGGTGTTGCTGTGAAGTTATTTTGTAGATGTGATTAACGTCTACAATCAGTTGACTTGAAATAAAGGACATGACCCTCTATCATGTAGAGCCTCATCCAACCGGTTAAAAGCCTTAAGAATAAAGACTGGGGTCCAACCTGGGCAACATGGCAAAACCCCATCTCTACTTAAAATACAAAAATTAGCCAGGCTTGATGGCCCTTGCCTTTAATCCCAGGTACCGGGGAGGCTGAGGCATGAGAACTGCTTGAACCCGGGAAGCAGAGGTTGCAGTGAGCTGATATCGCACCACTGCACTCCAGCCTGGGCAACAGAGTGAGACTCTGTCTCAACAACAACAAAATAAAGACTGGGTTTTTCCAAAGAAGAACAAATTCTGCCTCAAGACTAAGGTATAGAAATTACGCCTGAGTTTCTGGCCCAATGCCCTACAGAATTAGGAGTCGAGGTTGCAACATCAATCTTACCTGAATCTCCAGCCTACCACCATGTCTTGAAGATTTTAGACTTTCCAGCTCCCACAATCGTGTGCCAATTCCATAAAACAAATCTCTACGTACTTCTATATCCTATTGTTTCTGTTTCTCTGGAGAACCCTGACTACCACTGCAAAACAAAAACGACCGACCCATCATCTCAAATATGGTAGCACTGGCAGTGTCCAAGGAAGAGGTAAGCTGTGCAGGCAAGGCATTCAAAACATGGTCCAAGGAAGTGCCTGAAAAGGAGGACACATTCAGAATTATGGAATTCCAGATGTGGAGCGGAGGGTCCATTTTTATATGAATCTATTTCACAACTTGAGAGTTTTCCAAGTCAGTGAGCTTTAGCATGGGAGGACATCCAGTAGATTTGGAGGTTATGGGGACTTGCTGACCAAATCCCCATGCAGTCAACACTACAGTAGAAAACCTCACTGGGTGGATTTAATGATGTCACTGTGGACATGAGTCTACAGCTGTATGTAAGATAATATATGTCCTGGCTGCAGGAGGAAGGGGAGTCTATCATGTATATAATAATATATGTCCCGGCTCTAGTCCTCCAGGTGGAAGGGGAGTCTACCATATATATGACAATATATGCCCTGGGTATATTAGGGTTCTCTAGAGGGACAGAACTAATGGAATATATATATATATGGAAGTTTATTAAGTATTAACTCACACGATCACAAAGTCCCACGATAGGCCGTCTGCAGGCTGAGGAGCAAGGAGAGCCAGTCCCAGTCCCAAAACTGAAGAACTTGGAGTCCAATGTTCAAAAGCAGGAAGCACCCAGCACAGGAGAAAGATGTAGGCTGGGAGGCTAGGCCAGTCTCTCTTTTCACATTTTTCTCCCTGCTTATATTCTAGCCAAGCTGGCAGCTGATTAGATTGTGCCCACCCAGATTAAGGGGAGGCCTGCTTTTCCCAGCCCACTGACTCAAATGTTAATCTTCTTTGGTAACATCCTCACAGACACACCCAGGATCAATACTTTGTATCCTTCAATCCAATCAAGTTGACATTCAGTATTACCCATCACACTGGGTCCTCCTGGTGGAAGAGGAGTCTACCATATATATGATAATATATACCCTGGCTTCAGTTCTCCAGGTGGAAGGGAAGTTTAACATACACAGATAATATATACTATGGCCAGGCGCAGTGGCTCACACCTGTAATCCCAGCACTTTGGGAGGCGGAGGCGAGTGGATCACAAGGTCAGGAGATGGAAACCATCCTGGCTAACACGGTGAAACCCCATCTCTACTAAAAATACAAACATTTAGCCAGGCCTTGTGGGGGGCGCCTGTAGTCCCAGCTACTCAGGAGGCTGAGGCAGGAGAATGGCGTGAACGCAGGAAGCAGAGCTTGCAGTGAGCCGAGATCATGCCACTGCACTCTAGCCTGGTCTACAGAGCGAGACTCCGTCTCAAAAATATATATATATAAAATATATATTAAAAAAAAAGAAATCTACCACATAGATGATAATATAAGCCCCCTGCCATCCTCCAGTTGGAATTGGAATTTACCATATATATAGCAGTATACGTACTGGGTCCAATACTTCGGGTGAAAATGAGGCCTACTGTGTATATGCTAGTATATGCCCTGGCTCCAGTCCTTCGGGTGAAAGTGAATTTTTTTTTTTTTCACTGCAACCTCCACCTCTCTGGTTCAAACAATTCTCCTGCCTCAGCCTCCGAGTAGCTGGGACTACAAGGGTGCACCACCACGTCCGGCTAATTTTTTGTATTTTTAGTAGAGACGGGGTTTCACCATGTTGGCCAGGATGGTCTCGATCTCTTTACCTCATGATCTGCCCACCTCGGCCTCCCAAAGTGCTGGGATTACAGGCGTGAGTTACCGCACCTGGCCGAAAGTGGATTTTATTTTATATATAATAGTATATGTCCTGGCTACACTCTTCCAGGTGGACATGAAATCTACCATATGTATAATAATACCTGTCCCCTTTCCAGGCCTCCAAGTGGAAGTGCAGCCTACTGTATGTATGATAGTATATGTCCTGGGGCCAGTGGCCCAGGTGGACATAGAGTCTACCATATATATGATAGATAGTTCCATCATTCCAGTTTTCCTGGACATGGTCATCACATATACGTGCAAAATCAGGTGAAGTTTGGTAACTATCTGGTCAATTTGATCAGTTCAAATTGCCAAAGCCATTATTCAGCCCTGAAAGCACTCTTCCTGTTCTTTTTCTAAGATATAGCACCTTTGAGAATGTTAATATTTAAATAACACCAGCATATCTTTACAACGGAATAACATTTTGCAATTTTTTTCTGAATAATGCACATTCCCCAAATCTCAGTCAAATTTTATTTTCTTAAATCATTGATCTTCCTAATTCACTTTTTTTTTTTCAGACAGAGCCTTACTCTGTTGACCAGGCTGGAGTACAGTGGTATGACCATGGCTCACTTCAGCCTCGACCTCCAGGGCTCAAGTGAAATCTCACATCTCAGCCTCCCAAGTAGCTGAGATTACAGGCACATACCTTCATGGTCAGCTATTTTTTTTTTTTTTTTTTTTTGTAGAGATGGGGTTTTGCCATGTTGCCCTCTCGAGCTCCTGGGTTCAAGTGAGCCTTTCGCCTCCCAAAGTGCTGGGGTTACAGGTGTCAGACACAGCACCCAGCCCTAATTCACTTTTGAAAGACAAACGTTTCCCCCTGGGTTAAAATGTTAAGTGTATTTTTAGAGCTCCAAGTATTTTTGGCTTTGATGTAGACATTGTAGCTTCTTTAACAAATTCCTTTTTCTTTTTGCTTTCCATTTAGTCAAAAAACAATTCTGGGAAAACCAAACATGATCTCATTATGTGTTGGAGTTCCTGTTCTTCAAAAATTTTAGTTAGTCATGATTTGCTTGGCCTCACAGTGTCTGGCATTTTTTCTAGTGCAAGCAAGAAGTGGATGAGTTTCTAATTCATCAGATCTGATAATATGAATTGTAGAACTTAGGCATCCCCTATGATAAAGAAGACATGAAATCATCATCAATTTCACTAACTAAGACCACTTTTCCTTGCTTATTCATCTTCATGGCCATCAGTGCTTCTTGCTCACGATCCTATAAATCAATGGTGTTGAGAAAATCTGTAAAAATTGCAGAAAGAAGATATTAATAGCTTGTGTGTGCATAGTAGTCTATGGTTTTCTTCTCATTTAATTCCTTGTGAAGAAGATATAGTTACTGTGGAGATGTGTTACAAAGGAGTATGCTTGTGTGTGGTGAGGGCATAGATCTACTTTCAGGACTCTACTTTTATTTTCTACCCTATTCTAAAATACCTCTACTGGTTTTTTCCCCCAGAAAACAATATAACTGCCAAGCTTAAGGAGAAGTAAGTTATATATCCTCCCTATCACAAGCCACTCTTTATTCAAATCGAACTATATTGTGAATTAATATTATTTTTGAGTACCAATAATTCTTGATCACCAATTACACACACACACTCTTAAAATCAACCATAGCCCCTAAATCCCCATTGCCAATGCTCTAATATCACCTCACATGTGTTCATTTGTATATTGTTTTTCTTCTTTTTCTAGGTCTGACTTCTACCTGAACTGGTCATATAATTGGCATACGTTGGCCAGCTCCAGACAAATTTATAAACTAAGTAAATTTCTCTCCCCCTCTCCAACTTCTTCTGCCTCTAAATTCAACCACTTTATGCTTTAAAATTCACCCTTGCCTCTCCCCTGCTCACAATGCAGGTCTTTGTTCTGTCACTCATGAGAGAAGTAACCTGAGATGCCAGTTCACAATGAGGTATTAAGGGCTTTGAGGCATATAGAAAGCCTCCCCAAACACCCAGAGTTCCAAGCCTGTGGAAGAATAAAAACACATGCAATCATGACACATGTTTTTCATCTAAAGGACTAAAATAATTCAAAGGAGGTCAGCATTTTAAAAATTAATTAGCGTTTTGCCTTTTGGTGAAAACCAAGGATTCGTCTGTTTTGCAGAAAACTGAGGTCATGATTTCTTTTTACTTCTTTCTTTTTCTTGTTCTTTTTCTTTTTCATTGAAGCAGATGGTTTGCATTAAAAAATGATCTTTGCTAAGGGAATTCCAGTCTTTGGGGAGAGTCCTCAAAATGAAGTTTTGGGAGGTGCCACGCCAATCTCAGCCAATTTGCAGAAAATAACCCTACACAGCAAGACACAAAGGCAGCTCACATTTCTGTCCTGCAAAATACTAGGAGGCAACGAGTCTCAAGGTCACCAAGAGGGGCAGCTTCTGTCTCTAGCCAGATCCTGGTAATTCCCCAGGAGCTTACTAGGGAACTTGGACATGCAGTCTCTTTCTGGAGCCAGAATGGCCATCACAGATTCAGCTGATTCGCTCCATTTCCAGAGCCCAGAAAGCCTTCTGAGGTACAAAGAGTGCAAATCTTGGTTAGCCCTGTGCTTCCCCAAAAACGCATACTCTCTGGGAGCAGTTCTCTAGATAAGCCACACACCCAGTAACCTCATCACTTGCCTCTGATAGTCTATGCCCCTAGTCCCACCCACAATCCCCAAGTCCGTTCTGCTCTGTGTTGTCTCTGCCTCTGAGGCAACTCTTCAGAGGGCGTTCCATTCCTCAGGTCTCCTCCGTAGTCTTGTTGCACGGTTTATAAACTCCCTAACTCCTACACATTGTAGGAGAGAAAAAGTAAGATCTTTTCCTCACCCATCGCAAGGTTAATGGCTGAGACCCTGATAAGAAAAGACAGATTAGCCAGATACAAGAAAGCATACATATTTACGTAGTATAAATTGTATGTGATACAGGAGCTTTTAGGATAAAAACCTAAAGACCCAGGGAAAACTATATATAGAGAGATAGTGTCTGGCTCTGTCTCCCAGGCTGGAGTGCAGTGGTGCAATCTTGGCTTACTGCAACATCTGCCTCCAGGGATCAAATCATCCTCCCACCTCAGCCTCTCGAGTAGTGGAGACTACAGGCATGCACCACCTCACCCGGCTAATTTATATATAAATATTTTGTAGAGACAGGGTTTCACCATGCTGTCCAGGCTGGTCTCGAACTCCTGAACTCAGGCAATCCACCCTGCCTCAGCCTCCCAAAGTGTTGGGATTAGAGGCGTGAGCCACCATGACCAGCCAGAAAACTATATTTTTGTGGGCGATCACACAGAAGTGTGATTGAGGGACAACAGGGCGTGATCTAACGGGAATAAACTGGGGTGGGGGGAACCTAGCAAGGGCTGCATGTTAGGATTCTTCTCTGTGTCTGTGTCTTCAGAAATAAAGATGTTCTTTCTCTCTGGAGATAGACAGGGCACTTCTTGAATCAAGGTCCTAGGACCTGCTTCAGGGAAAGGTTAGAGAACTCTTCCCCGGTTTCTTGACTTGCTTCAGGGAGCAGAGTGATCAGAGGAGGCTTCCTGATGCCTGTGCATCTGCTGAACTCTTGCTGATGAGTGGCAGGTGGAAAGGCTACAGTGAGCAAAAGAAGAAGGGAGTAGAGGTTCCTAGCAGGAAGGTGGGGTTCGAGACCAGCCTGGGCAACATGTTTCAGGGGAAAGGGCTGAGGGAAAGGGCTGAGGGATAGGTGAGAGTAGGTTTTCTCCTTCTGCTGTTGTTGTTGTTTTCTTTTTTTCAAATGCCAAAATGCTGTATTTTGGGGTAGTGTGTGCTGAACCCCATCAGAGTCTCCCCTTCTGCATGCATAACGTGTTGGACACACTGGCCTCCCAGTTCCATGATTAACCTCCCCAGCCATCCTGATTCCATAAGGCACTTCCAGAACCACTATTTGCCTGTCATCACTCAAGACGCACAACACAAGTGGCTCTTCCTGCAATTCCAGCTCTCAGTGATCCCCACAGGACCTGCCATCTGAACTCATGGAAATGCCAGTCATTGACTCTCCCACTTCCTCTCGGTGAATACACCCTCTTCAACTTTCGATTTCATTATTTTCTAAGTTGGAAAATTGTGTTTCTCATTCAACAAGTTTATCTGACCATATGTGGAATTTGCATCTCCTCTGCACCTCTATTATTTTGCTTTATTCTTTCTTTCTTTCTTTCTTTCTTCTTTTCTTTTTTTTTTTTTTTTTTTTTGAGTCAGAATCTCACTCTGTCATCCAGGCTAGATTGAGGTGATGTGATCTCAGCTCACTGCAAACTTGAACTTCTGGGTTCAAGCCATCCTTCCACCTCAGCTAAAAATAATTCTCACACCAAAGTGGCATATTTGGAGATGACATAGTCTGATGCCTTTCAGAGTATTTAGGGAGATATAACACACACATATACTTTATACAATTTTATTTAACAAATTATGCATTTGTATTTGTCATTGTATTCACTGATTCAGGGACACATCTGTTGAGACTTAACTAAGTAACCTAGAAAAGAAGTCATAAAATTTTGTCCCAAAAGCCAAATCTGGCCCACAGCCTGTTTGTGTAAATAAAGTTTTATTTAAACACAGCCACACCTATACATTTATATATTGTGCATGACTGCTTTTGCAGTATAATGATACAGTTGTGTAGTTGCAACAGAGACTGAATGGCTCCCCAGGCCAAAAACATTTACTATTTGACCCTTTGCTGAAAGCATTTGCCAATCCCTGAACTAGAAGAGTAAATGGAAGAAATATCTGAAACTCAGAGTAACAATACAGAAATAAAAACCATGGAGGAAAAGGCAAAAAACTTGAATGACATATTTGGGAGAGCAGCAATGCGATACTCACACATCACAGTGTGCAAAAAAATGAAAAGATGCAGGAGAAAGAATGACGAAACAAGTAATAGAATAAAAATTCCCTGAGGTCAAAACACTTAAATAACTATTGTTCCTAGCATATGTTCTCAAATCCTTATCATTGAGAGAAGTAATATACAAATGGACGGTGACTAGACTATATATAAAGAGAGAGGTCTAACCTATAAACTGTAGTAACTCATCCAGGAAGCCAATAGGAAGCCCTGTAGCAACCAGCCCAAAATGTCCAGAACTTGATCAATAACTATGAGCTTCCCTAATTTTTCCCCTACTTCCAACTCAGGACCAAACAGAGAAACCCAAATTTTCCCCCTAACCAGTCACAAAGGATGCCTCACTTCTAGTGAACCACCAACTGCCTCCAATCAGAACACACCTAAGTTTTCCCTTTTTCCCCACTATAAGGATTCCCCATGGCTCTGCCGGCCTTTGAATCTCGGCCAGACGTGAGTGATGATGGCTGATTCCTTTGCTACAGCAAGCTCTGAATAAACACCTTGCTTGTTTTCATGTGGGTGGCCTTCATTTATTTCCACACCTTCATCTGTAAATTCATCATTACCTGACCACTGTTACCTGCCTCTTCAGTACCTGCTGCACACCAGCCAATGCTAACCAATTTTAGTTCCCCAATATCTGCTATTTTTTGCCTATAAGCCAAGGCACTGGGGCATCTTTCTGCTAGAAACCCCAAGCAGGAACCCCACCTTCCTGCTAGGAACCCCTACTCCCTTCTTCTTTTGCTCAAGGTAGCCTTTCCACTTGTCATTCATCGGCAAGGGCTCAGAAGGTGCACAGGCATCAGGAAGCCTCCTCTGATCACTCCATTCCCACCTTAAGATTACATCTATGTCATCTATCCCCATGCAACCTGTACCAGGGGTAGCCAATGCCCACTAACTTCTCAGCGCTTTCTTCTAGTATGTAGCTCATGAAAGTTGATGAATCCATCCTGCTCTTCACTGGATGGACAATGACAAGCGCAATGCCAAGAATATCTTGGTTTGTCAGAATGCACCTATAGATGAATTACTGTACAAATTGCAAGGTTCCTTTTGGTTACCAAAGTGATGATTCTGCCATGAATCTGTGGAGTTTCACAAAGGGGTTTGCACAAATAGGAGAGGCTACCTGTGATCTGCACACTTTCTGTTTATCCCTGTACAGACAGGAGCTTTGCTTATGTCAGTTGGATCTTTGCTTCTGGGTTGAAAATCTTTGATTTATGGGTTGGGATGATGCAGTCATCTTTGTCCATTTGTTTGTGTCTATTAAGGACAGAGGAGCAAGCTCACTTTGCTTGAAGCCAAAGTTTTTTTTTCTTGTCCATTGAGTCTGCTATAACAAAATACCTAAGACTGGATGGCTTATAAATAACACACTGATCATGCACAGCTCTGGAGGCTGGAGACGCATGATCAAGGCATGGCAGATTCTATGTCTGGTAAGGACTCATTTCCTAGTTCATAGACGGCGCCTTCTCACTGTGTCCTCCCATGGTGGAAAGGGTGAGGGAACCCTCTGGGGTCTCTTTTATAAGGGCAATCTTCCCATTCATTAGGCTCCATCCTCATGACCTCATCACCTCCCAAAGGCCCCAGTTCATAACACCATCACTTTGAAGGGAGGATTTCAACACATGCATTTTGTGAAGACACAGACATTCAGTCTGTAACACAACACCTTGGGGAAGTTTTTTTTTCCTTTTACATCTCAAAGAAGAATTGAATAGCTATCTGCTGTAAACTGATATACAAAGCATACAAACACGCACACAGTTATTTCATCATTTAAAAAATGGTCTCATAGCAGATATATGTCTGATTGCCTGAAAACTACGTGTAAACTGCTGGTTCTTAAGGCTTTTTATAAAATAGCAACAGACAGGACAGAAGTGACAGACGCTATTCCCCAGTATTCCAAATATTATGTTTCTCTGTTTTCTTTTCTCACTATGTTTTAGATAAATGTGTTAAAAATGTTTATTATTTAAAAAATAGCTACGTGCAGTGGTGCACCTCTGTAATTACAGCTACTCCAGAAGCTGAGGCTGGAGGATTGCTTGAGCCCAGGTGTTTGAATCCAGCTTGGGCAATATAGCAAGACTCGGTCTCTACATAGATAGATAGATAGATAGATAGATAGATAGATAGATAGATAGATAGATAGATAGATACAGATAGATAGATAGATGATAGATGATAGATAGATAGATAGATAGATAGATAGATAGATAGATAGATAGATATAGATAGATATAGATAGATAGATAGATAAAAATACAGACTGCATGAAAGGGTAAGAACAAATGTAAGCCTTTCCATGTCTTTACATTCTTGTAACTTCAGTTATAGCAACATATACCATTTCACTGGGAAAATGTTTAGTGCATCTATTAACATGTAATTTTAACATAAAAGACATTATATTACAGATACTATTTGGAACTACTTTGCTACTCAATTCTCTATCATCTTTTCATTTGACAATGTAAATAAATACCTTGTCCATTTTCACAGCTATATAATATGCTGTTGCATATATTTATTCAAGGTGATTTGTCCAATCTCTCACTGACATATATTCACATTGTTTTTCTTTACTATAACGTTATCAACATTACAATAAATATAATTGCATCCACAACTGAAAGTATTTGCTTAGATTACATTCCTAAATGTGCAATGTGCTTAGTCCAAAGTTGCACATTCAGAATGCTGGCCTCAGTGTTGCCTGCAAGAGAACCCAATTTATACTATAGTGAGTGCCTGAAACTGCCTCAATTTTCATGTTCACAGCAACATTGGCCATTGGGAAAACAAGGTTGAGAGGTTTTGCGGGATTCTTGGACTAGGTGATTCTTAGCCCTGCATGACATTGTACTTTCCCTCCTCCCCATGTGTGTCTGAAATACACAGATCCATGGCTATAAATTAAATGAGCCCTACATTTTACAACTTAAGGTCTTCTATTCATTTTAAGGTTGACCTTCCTAAGACATTGAGTTTGAGACTGTCTTTAAAATTTGTTTTTGAGCTGTAAAAACTTCTAAATAGACACCCAAAGTCTGGTATTTTATGAGTGGATATATCAGTGACTTCCCTAGGCATGAAAAGGAAGATGTAATTGCATATAATTGTGCCTCTCCATGGGGGAGGAAGATGTCTGGCTTCTCACTGACTTCTGACACACTATTAACTTCCCCTTCTTGAGCAACTACTATTGAGTCCTATACAGCAGACTTCCCATTGAACGAGGATGTCTGACACATTATAAATGACTCCGTAGGTAAAGCCAAGTTAAAAAAAAAAAACCTGTAAGTAAAACAAAATCATTATTCAAACAAAACATAAGCATGAATAGGAAAGAATAATGATTTGTTTTTCCAAGTGTTTCATCCACTGAGATCCTACCTTCCGGGTGGTTAGAATAGCAAGGGGCTCCATAAGCAGTCCCTATAAAGTGTGTAAATTGATAGGGTTCTTCAGTTTTTTCCCACACAGTGAACCAGTGTTCAACTCACAGCTTTAAAATAAGGTCTATAATGAGAAAATTAGAAAAAAAAAAAAGCAAAATAAATTTCTTTGATTCACACAGAGGGTAACTGCAGCATGATTTTTTCTCTGAGACCTCCCCTGCCCAAGGCCTTGGGAGCCCACCCCTTGCACTGGGGTGCCCTGGATGGGAGACACGGAGTCAAAAGAGATTATTTTGGAGCTTTAAGATTTGATGACTGCCCTGCTGAGTTTCAGACTTGCATGGGACCTGTAGCTCCTTTCTGTTGGCAGATTTCTCCCTCTTGAAATGGGAGTATTTACCCAATGCCTATACTCCCATTGTATCTTGGAAGTAACTAACTTGTTTTTGATTTTACAAACCCATAGGCAGAAGGAACTTGCCTTCTTTCATATGAGACAATGGACTGGACTTTTGAGTTAATGCTGGCATGAATTAAGACTTTGGGGGGACTATTGAGAATACGTGATTGTATTTTGCAGTATGAGAAGACCATGATATTTGGAGAGGCCAGAGGTGGAATTATATGGTTTGAATCTGTGTCCCCACCCAAATCTCATGTTGAATCGTAACCCCCAATTTGGGAAGTGAGGCCTGGTGGGAGGTGATTGAATCATGGGGACGGTTTCTAATGGTTTAGCACCATCCTTCTAGTGCTGTTCTCATGATAGAGTGCTCATGAAATCTGATTGTTTAAAAGTGTGTAGCATCTCCCTGCCTCTCTCTCCCTCTTGCTCCAGCCATGTAAGACACCAGCTTCCCCTTCTGCCATGATTGTAAGTTTTCTGAGGCCTCCCCAGAAGCAAAAGCTGCCATGCATCCTGTACACCCTGCAGGACCATGAGCCAATTAAACCTCTTTTTTTAATAAGTTACCCAGTCTCAGATATTTCTTTATAACAGTGTGAGAATGGACTAATACATTCCCTTTGGATAAAACCTCCAGGGATAAGGCAGAAATACTTGGTTGCCTTCACTTTCAGGACAGTATAAATTGGCTGGTTAATTTTGTTTTTCTTAGTTGGGTCCCCAGTCTTTTTATTTTACAGTACAGTTAGAATAAATTAATTCTCTAAGGTAGAACCTTCCAATGTAAAGTATTGATTCAAGAGTTTAGACAGCAATGTATAAAATGAAAGATTTTATTATGCTGCACTTTAACAACCATTCATTTTATGTTTCAACTGTCCTCCCTATAATATTCAAGGACAAAACTATTTTCTGAACAAAGTGACAGAAAAAGCCCCTGTCAAACGTGTCTTGCCTGAAGATTGTGCTTTTCCGGTTGTTTCATTCAGAAGTTGTTTTTCCGCAGAAACACTAGTAGGGAAATCATGTAATAGATAGCATATTTGTGATCCTATGGACCATTTAATATGTATCAAAATGTTTTCTTTTATTTTTCCTTTTTTAAGAATATGGAATATTTCTTTATATTGTTTTAATTCCCAACTTTCATTTTAAGTTCAGGGATTCCTGTGCAGGATGTGCAGGTTTGTTACATGAGTAAACGTGTGCCATGCTGGTTTGCTGCACAGATCATCCCATCACCCAGGTATTAGGCCCAGCATCTATTAGCTATTCTTCCTGATGCTCTCCCTCCTCCCATCCCCCACCCTCTGACAGGCCCTAGTATGTATTCCCCCTTCCATGTGTCAATGTGTTCTCATCATTTACCTCCCACTTATAGGTGAGAACATGCAGTATTTGGTTTTCTGTTCCTGTGTTAGTTTGCTAAGGCTAATGGACTCTAGCTACATCCATGTCCCTGCAAAGGACATCATCGCGTTCCTTTTAATGACTGAACAGTATTCCATGGTGTATATGGACCACATTTTCTTTATCCAATCTGTCATTGATGGGCATTTAGGTTGATTTTATGTCTTTGTTATTGTGAATAGTGCTGCAATGAACATAAGAGAGCATGTGTCTTTATAATAGAATGATTTCTATTCCTTTGGGTATATACTCATAACAAGAAAGAGCAGAGAGGAATTATTTTTTCATTTTTCTTATAGACGTGAAATTCACATAAGAAAAACTAACCATGTTAAGGAGAACAATTCAGTGACATTTCGCACATTCACAATGATATGCAACCATTACCTCTACCTAGTTCCAGAACATTTCCATCACCACAAAAGAAATCCCGTACCCATTAAGGAGACATTTCCATTCTTTCCTCCCCCAGCCCCTGAATGGTACTCTGCTGTCTGGATGGCCCACGTTCTGTTTATTCATGGAACCACTGATGGAATTTGGGGTGGTTTCCACCTTCCGTGTCTTGGGCACAGAACTGCATTCAATATGTGCATACCAAGTTTTTGCTTCAGTACTTGTTTTCAGTTCTCCTTAATATATACCTAGGAAATGGAGTGATCGGGTCATATGGTTAAAGATGGTTTTAAAGACAAATTTTGGCGAGGCATGGTGGCTCATACTTGTAATCCCAGCACTTTGAGAGGCCTAGGTGGGAGGATTGCTTGAGCCCAGGAGTTTGAGACTAGCCTGGCCAACATAGTGAAACCCTGTCTCTACAAAAATTCAAACGTTAGCGAGGTATGGTGACACACGCTTGTGGTCCCAGCTACTCGGGACGCTGAGGTAGGAGCATTGCTTGAGCCCAGGAGGTTGAGGCTTCAGTGAGCCAGGATCACACCATTGCATTCCAGCCTGAATGACACAGTGAGACCCTGTCTCAAAAAAAGAAAATGTTTGTTCTTCTAAGGTTTCTTGACTTGCTGAAGTCATCCTCAGACTGAATACTTCACAGATTGTGCTAGGAAATATTGTTGCTCATACCAATACCGCTAAATGAGGATGTTGATAATCCTTTGAAAGGAGAGAGAAAAACACAACCATATTTGCAAAGGTAGACTCTCGAATTCATTGACTCTTTTGCCTAATCCTTCTTCACTAGTGCTGCTTCCTCCATTTTGCTACCCACCCAACTTAAATTCCATGGTCCAACACCTGAGGAATTCTCCACAATGTTTAATTATTTGCCCCATTGTCTATGCAAACATTTACCTAGAAAACTACCATAATGATGGTAGCTCACTCAAAGGAGTGAGCCCAAATGCCAGAGATCCCCTTCCTATCCAGGGGGCTGGTCTCCACTAACAATGCTGGTGCCACAGCACAGTTAGGTCCCTAATTCCAACCAGGTCTCCAAACTGCCTTGTCATCCTGCTCTTTGCCATTGACAAAATCAATGTTTAACTCTCTGCTGTCTTCTAACATTAGACCCTTCCACTGCCAATCCCACCAACCTCCCATCTCCCCAACACACAAACACACTCTTAATAGGTAACTGTAAAAGGGGGAAAAATAAAACCTTCGTTTTTTGATTTAGTTACTGAGAACAGCAAATTAAACTGACAAAAGACAAGTTTACAGAAGAAATGGTTTATTTTGTGTGCACGTGGAGAGACACATGGAAAAGAAGTGAGAACCCCAAAGAGGTGCTTGGGCCTAGGGGATTATATACCATCTTAACACAGGGCGACAAAGTTTAGATAAAGAACTAGACAAAGGCAAATGGAATTTAAGCTTCTAGGATAGGGGTAAGTTTGTAGAAGGTGACTAGAAAATGCCTGGTAAGTATAGATTATTATATAGACTCAAGTCATCTCAGGTGATAATCTCTATCTCTGGAATCATCCATGAGAGAACACCTTTATAAATGAAATTTTTCTTTACAAATGAATTTTCTTTTCAAATGGAAAACATATGCCCTGCTTTTAAGCAGAAAGTGGGAGGGTAGAAAGCTTGTCCTGTGTCTACTTTTACTCAGTAGCCTTTAGCTCAAAATAATGCTTGCACCAAAGTGTCATATTTTGGGGTGGCATATTCTGATCCCCTTCATAATCTTACCACATACTTCCTGGAAATGGAAAAGTCACCCATAGGAAATTCACTCCATTTCTCAGCCTCAGCCCTTCCAATCTTTTTGAGTCTCTTTCCCTCCTCTGGTCACAGAAGATTACAGAAGGTGTGTTCTTGCACTTTTGCAGGTTGTAGTGAGCTAAGTAGTATTCTCCACTGATAATTCATAATTCATGGCCATCTGGAACTTCACAATGTGTCGTTATCGGGAAGTAGAATCTTTGCAGGTTAAGTAGGCCCTAAATTTAATGACTGACACCCTTATAAGAAGAGGAGAGGAGGACTGGGTGTGGTGGCTCATGCCTGTAATCCAAGCACTTTGGGAGGCTGAGGCAGCTGGATAGCTTGAGCCCAGGAGTTTGAAACCAGTCTGGGCAACATGGTGAAACATCTTTTGTACAAAAAATACAGAATACAAAAATTAGCCAGTCTCATAACCGGGTCTCGAAAAAATAAATAAACAGAAGAGGAGAGGACACAGAGAGATATAAAGAAAAAGACCATGTGAAGATGGAGATGGAGATTGGAGTGATGCATCTACAAGTCAAAGAATGTCAAGAATGGCTGGCAACCACCAGAAGCAGAAGTGTCATAAACAGAGTGTTTCCTAGAGCATCCAGAAGGAACCCATCCTGCTGATCCCTTGATTTCAGATGCTTCTGGCCTCCAGAAGGCTGAGAGAATAAATCTCCATTAGTTTAAGCCATGCAGTGTGTAGTAATTTGTGATGGCAGCCCTCCAGGAAACCAATGCACACGCCTTGCTGGGGTGATTTCATTCACACGCACCTTCTCCATCATGGGTCCTGCTGTCTCTTTGGGTAGACCAAGTCTTATTAATTATTCTATTTGTTGCAGCTTTGACTGCTTACTGTTCATGTAGCCTCCCCTCAGCAATGCCATGAACTGGTATTTCTCATCGTAGAAACAAAACAAAACAAACAATAACAACAACGAATTTTTTTTTTTTTTTTTTACCTCAAGTAAAAGAGAGAATTGTATTTCTACTGATGGGAAGTAAAATACAATGGGTTGGTGCAAAGTATATGTAGAAGCTTATTTTTTTTATTTGTATAAATTTAAGGGATACAAGTGCAGTTACATGGATATATTGCATAGTGGTAAAGTTTGGGCTTTTAATGTATCTATCACCTGAATAGTGTACATTGTACCCATTAAATAATTTCTCATCCCTCACCCCCTCAGCCTCCTGCCCTTCTGAGTCTCCAATGTCTATTATTCCACGCTGGATGTCCATGTGGACACATTATTTATCTCCCACTTATTAGTGAAAGCATGCAGTATTTGACTTTCTGTTTCTGAGTTATTTCACTTAAGATAATGGCCTCCCGTTCTAGCCATGTTGCTGCAAAATACATGATTTTATTTTGTATGGCTGTGTAGTGTTCCATTGTGTATATATACCACATTCGATTTATCCAATCATCCACTGATGGACACTGAGGTTGATTTCATATCTTTGCTCTTGTGAATGGTGCTGTGATAAACACGTGTGCAGGGATCTTTTTGATATAATGATTTCTTTTCCTTTGGGCAATCACCCAGTAGTGAGGTTGCTGGATCATGTGATAATAGAGCTTTATGTACTATTTTGGTTCCCTGTTCCAAGGTGAAACATTGATACCTGCAAGACAGCCATAAAAACACAATAGTTCACAAAGGTAAAAATATGTGGAAAGTATTTCCCTCTCCCCTTCTAGATATGGTCAAATGGGAGGTCATAGAAATCCCTTTTGCCTTTTCAGTTTTTAATTTTGTTTTGTTTTGTTTTTGAGATGGAGTTTCACTCTTGTTACCCAGGCTGGAGTGCAATGGCGCAACCTTGGCTCACCGCAACCTCCGTCTCCCGGGTTCAAGTGATTCTCCTGCCTCAGCCTCCTGAGTAGTTGGGATTACAGGCACCCACCAACACGCCCAGCTAATTTTTTTGTATTTTTAATAGAGACGGGGTTTCACCATGTTGGCCAGGCTGGTCTCGAACTCCTGACCTCAGGTGATCTGCCCACCTCAGCCTCCCAAAGTGCTGGGATTACAGGCATGAGCCACCGTACCCAGGCAGTTTTAAATTCTTGAATGATAGTCTCTGAAATTTTATGCAAGATAGCTGTATTTATATGCCAATCTCTTTTAAGCAGGATGTTTTGACTTCCAAATCTGAAATATAAGAAATTCATTTCCCATTCACCTCCCTCTTCATCTTTCTTCTCCAAATAGTTGTTAATTGTGTATCTTGTTTTAAATTCTTCTAGTCACATCTACTGATTTTGAAAAAGGTACTTAAGCTTATTTTTCATATTCCACAAATTTTTACTGTTTTCAGCAGAACACCACTGAGTAGAATGGAAAATTTAAATAAATTTCAATCAAAGTGGAGTCTTCGGATGCCAATAATAATTTCATCAGCATAGTCTCTCACCTGGCCAACAAATGTTTCATATTATGTATTTTTCCTTTACTGGGTCTCATTTTTAATTTTATTTTGTGAAGCACCTAAATAATCTTGGCGTTTTAATGTCAAATGTCTTCAATTAGACTTCAAAGCTGGTTCCATTCAATCAGACCTGCTAATCACACCAAACATCTGTTGTCTTCCTGATTTATTCAATCTCTAAACCCACAAAACACTCACAGAAACTTCACCCTTCCCAGAAAAAAACTATTTCCTTTAACTCTTTTCAGGAAAATAAAATAATAAAATAAAAACCTACACCCTAACACCACAGGTTTTGATGAAAACTTTAGTTCCTCAACTTTTATTTTATACCCTTCTACATCCACTTTGGAAGATTGAAAGAAAAAAAAATGAATCAAATTTGCACCGTTCTCTATGCTTTGTTTTTGTTTTTTCAAGTGTTAACCTTATGGCTTTGAAGCCACTATTTCTGGTGGGAAAATAGAAGTAAAATAAAAAACAAGCAATAAAAAGAATAATAAAACAGAAAAGTGTCTCTTGCAGAAAAAAACATTGTTTGTGGTATGTGTGTGACTGTGTGTGTGTGTGTGTATGTTTGTGTGTGTGTGACTGTGTGTGTGTGAGAGTCTATGTGTGTTTACCAGGATCCCAAGGTCTGTAACCCCTGCGAGAGATGAAAACCAAATTTTGCCCACATCCTAATCCAGATGACAGTCTCCCAAGTTGCATTGGAAAGAGTAAAAAGTCCAGTGTCCTTGCAAACTCACAGACTTGTCTGTTCTTTTTTTATACCACAGTGGCAAAAATATTAAATTATGTTTTGATACTGCAAGGCTCCAATGGAGAAGGGAGCAGTGAATTATGGGGTACATTTTTGGAAAATAAAATGGAGCTTTCAGAATGGAGCAGTAAGGGATGAAGACAGGTGCTCTTACTCTCCCTACAATCACTTCAGTCAACGCTGGCAACTATAGAGACTCACGAGGCTGTGACTCACCTTGTTCATGCTTCATGGAAGTTTTTACAATTTGTGAACACTCATCCTTAAAAAGAAGAAAAGGCAGTTTCAAAAATTAAAAGGGAAAAAGAGACATTCCTCCTACCTCACCACCCCACAGAAACGTGAAAAGGTGTAACAACAAAACTAAAATCCTGAGACTAGCAAATTTTTTCTTACTTGGAAATCCCATTAGAGCTTATACCACGAAAAGTCCTAACATGCATATTCCCATATGGTTGGGAGAAAACAGCCTCACCCCTCACAAGGTGGAAACCATTAGTGCTAAGGACAGAAACATAAGTCGTGGGAAAAGGGACCTGTGGCAATTTGTGCCAGAGAACAAAAGAGATTTCTTCTTAGAGCTTGTCCACAGGCTCTTAGAACTCTAGACATCCTTGCCAGGTGTGGTGGCTCATGCCTGTAATCCCAGCACTTCGGGAGGCTGAGGCAGGAGGATCACTTAAGGCCAGGAGTTCAAGAACAGCCTGGACAACATAGCAAGGTCTTATCTATACAAAAAAAATACAAAAATTAGCTGGGCGTAGTGGCATATACCTGTAGTCCCAGCTACTTGGGAGGTTGAGGTGGGAGGATTGCTTGAGCCCAGGAGGTTGAAGCTGCAGTGAGCTATGATTGTCCAGCCTGGGTGACAGAGTGAGACCCTGTCTTAAGAAGAAGAAGGATGAGGAAGAGGAGGAGGGAGAGGAGGAGGAGGAGGAGGAGGAGAAGAAGAAGAAGAAGAAGAAGAAGAAGAAGAAGAAGAAGAAGAAGAAGAAGAAGAAGAAGAAGAGGAAGAAAAAGAAGAAGAAGGAAGAGGGAGGAGGAGGAGGAGGAGAGAGGAAAAGGAGAGGGAGGAGAAGAGAAGAAGAAATGTGAACATTCTCATGCATGGTTACCAAAGGCAGAAGAATCCTTCTCTTTCTTTCTTTCTTTCTTTCTTTTTCTTTTGTGGAAAAACAAATGTAATTCAGGAGACAGCAGAGGGAAAAGGCACAGAAGTGAAGTGAAGCCGGCAATTTCTGCTTAGAGCTGTTTTCCACTGTCCCCTCTTCAGAGACTCAACACTCTCTGCTCCCTTTCTCCCCCATGAATGTTCATGACACCTGGGGCTGGGGTTGAGAGTCTTTGTTTTCCTTCCCTCCTGCTGGCCTCAGACTATCACAGATGCTGGGAAACTTTGATCTGCTGAATCCTGTTCCTCCTAGGAAGCCACTCTGGGGTCTGCATAAACACTCCTATGACCTCCAAAGCTCCCGTCCCACTGAGCTGTCCATGAGTCGTCCAGGGGGTCAGTGGGTCAGCTCCCTTGTGTGCATGGCATGGGGGAGGGGGAGCCAGAGGTCCCCTTCAACCTCCTTTAGCTCTTAGTGAGCTCTGTAGCTGCAACTAGAAACCAAGTCGATGCTAGGCAGATTAACAAAGGAAAACATACAGATTTTGTTCATTTTCCACGGACCATGGGGATCTTCCTAAGCGTGATGTTCAAAGAGGTGACCAAACCAAGATGCTTTTATGCTTTTTAAACAAAGAATGACAAATTTGAGAAGAAATGAAAAACAAAGGGGATCTGGCTAGGGGCAGTGAATTTCTGGGAAAGTCACAAGGAGATATATAGGAGGGGTTAAACTAGTGGGAAGTGCATTTGTTGAGGTCCACTGCAGGTTCCAAAGCCCAGTCTCTGGTGATGAGAGCTATTTTCTCACCCTGGTACGGGGAGGAGTCCCCTCCCAAAGGAATCTTTATGGCTTGCTGCCTACAGGAAGAAACAGGTCGGCTAGCACTTTCTGAAACTACAATTTCTCTAGTGTTTTCAACTCAAAATATGCAAGATACCAATCCAGCATATTTTGGGAAGGCACATCCTTCACTCCTTCAACAGCCCAAATAGGTAATCACATCCTAGGGTATATATGAGCCACCCTGGTGATGTCTAGAAATCTCAATTGCTAGAAGAAATGGGAACTCTTTGCAGACTTTAATGGAAAAGGAGAGGTGAGCGGGAGAGAGGAAGACAGAGAGAGACAGAGAGAGAATAAGAAAAATGAGAGACAGAGAGAAGAGAGAGGGAAAAGAAGAGAAAGAGAAAGAGAGAGGAAGACAAGAGAGGAAAAGAAAAGGAGGAGAAAGAGAAGAAGAAAGAAGGAGAAGAAAGGAGGAAGAGGAGGAGATGGGGAAGAAAAGGAGAAGGACAGAGGGGAAAGAAAGAGTAAGGAAGTCAGAAAGGAGAGAAAAAGTGGAGAGAGAGAGAAGAGAATATGAGAAACAAAGTTAGAGACAGAGAGAGAAGAGAGAGGATAGGAAGAAGAGAGGGAGAGAGAGAGAGAGAGAGAGAGACCAGGGAGAAAAGAGAAGCAGAGAGAGAGAAGAAAGAAAGTAAGGAGAGACAAGGGAGGAAGACAGGTAGAGAAAAGAGAGGGAAAAAGGAAGGGGGGAAGGAAAAGGGGGGAATGTGTATGAGAGAGAGAGAAAGAAAAGGAGAGAGAGAGAGAGCACGCACAAATACCTGGGGTAGCTATACTTAAAAAGCCAACGGGCCCAGGATGAGAGAGAAAACAAATCCTTGTGTTCCATCAGGTACAGGTTTTTTCTCTCTTCCCAAAAACGTCATTATTTTTCTCACCCCTGACTCACAGGAATGTCAATGAAAAGAGTCAAAGTCTGTAAAATATTTGAAGAGATTTATTTTGAACAAATATTGTTACAGGAAAGGGGTCCAGGAAACAGACCCCAAGAGAGGGTTCTTGGATCTGGCGCAAGAAAGAATTCGGGGCGAGTCTATAGAGTAAAGTGAAAGCAAGTTTATTACGAAAGTAAAGGAACAAAAGAACGGCTACTCCATAGACAAGAATAGCCCTGAGGGCTGCTGGTTGCCCATTTTTATGGTTATTTCTTGATGATATGCTAAACAAGGGGTGGATTATTCCTGTCTCCTCTTTTTCCACTGTATGGGGTAACTACCTGACGTTGCCATGGCATTTGTAAACTGTCATGGCGCTGGTAGGAGTGTAGCAGTGAGGACGATCAGACATCACTTTACTCGCCATCTTGAGTATCTCAGTCCCACTCTGACCCAAGGCACGGTAGAAATTAGAAACCCTCCTCCCCAAGGCGAGTCCTAGAAACAAGACCCCCTTTTCCCCAAAGCCAAGCATAAAACCTAAAAATATAACTCTAATTCCCTCCACCTGCCTTTCCAAGTAAAAACTGGCCATAAAGAAATGATCTGAGGGTCAGGAACAGTGGCTTATGCCTGTAATTCCTGCATTTTGGGAGGCCAAGGCTGGAGGATCCCTTGAGTCAGGAGTTCGAGACCAACATGGGCCACTACCTTTTTCTCTCCTGTAAGGGACAAACTTTCTGTTCCTCCCCTGTGCAGGACACACTTCCTGTGTCCCCCTGTGAAGGACACATTTTCTGTTCCTCCCCTGTGCAGAATACACTTTCTATTTCTCTTCTGTAAAAAACAAATTTCCTCTTTCTCCCCTGTATGGCATACACTTCCTGTTTCTTTTCTGTGCAGGACACACTTCTTGTGACTCCCATGTGCAGGAGAAACATCCTGTTTATCCTCTGTGCAAGACACACTTCCCGTTCCTGCCCTGTGCAGGACACACGTTCCGTGTCTCCCCTTGCAGGACACACTTCCTGTTCCTCCCCTGTGGAACATACACTTTCTGTTCCTTCCCTCTGCAGGACAGACTTCTTGTTACTCTCCTAAGGCAGACACACTTTCTGTTCCTTCCCTCTGCAGGACAGACTTCTTGTTACTCTCCTGAGACAGACACACTTCCTGTACCTCCCCTGTGCAAGACACACTTCCTGTGTCTTTCCTGTGAAGGACTCACTTCCTGTTACTCTCCTGAGACACACTTCTTGGTCCCACTCTGTGCAGGACACACTTCCTGTATCTCCCCTGTGAAGGATACACTTCCTGTTCCTCCTCTGTGCAGGACACACTTCCTGTGTCTCCCGTGTGAAGGACACACTTCCTTATCTCCCCTGTGCAGGACACACTTCCTGTTACTCTCATGAGACTCACTCTTCCTGTTTCTCCCCTGTGTAGGATGCACTTTTTGTGTCTCTCCTGTGCATGACAAATTTCCTGTTCTTTCCCTGTGCAGGACACACCTCCTGCACTTCGTTTTTGCAGGACACACTTCTTACTCCTATCAGTGAAGCACACACTTTCTGTTCCTCTCCTGTACAGGACACACCTTCTGTTCATCCTTTGTTCAGGACACACTTCCTATACCTCCCCTTTTCAGGAAACACTTCCTGTGTCTCCCCTGCACTGGACACATTTCCTGTGTCGCCCTTGTGCAGGACACACTTCCTATTTCTCCCCTGTGCAGCACACACTTTCTGTTCCTCTCTTGTGCAGGATACACTTCTTGTTTCTCCCTGTACAGAACACACTTCCTGTTCCTCCTCTTTGTGAGACACGCTTCCTGTGTCTCTTCTTCGCAGGACACACTTACTGTTCCTACCCTGTGCAGCACACAATTTCTATTCTTGTCCTGTGCAGGACACACTTCCTGTTACTCTCCTGAGAAAGACACACTTCCTTTTTCACCCTTGTCTTTCTTTTTCTTTCTTTTTTTTCTCTGTCTGTCCTCTTTCCTTCTATTTTTTTCCTTTCTTTCTTTTTCTTTTCTTTCTTTCTTTTTCTTTCTCTCCTTTCTTTGTCTTTTTCCCTCCTTCCTCTTCCTCCCCCACCTCCTCCTCCTTCTTCTTCCTCCTCCTCCTCCTTCTTCTTCTTCTCCTTTCTTCTTCTTTCTTCTCTTTCTTTCTTTTTTGTCTCTCCTTTCTTTGTTATTTTTTGCTTGTTTCTTTCTTTCCTGTCTTTGTTTCTTTCCTTTCTTTTCTTTTCTTTTTTTTTTTTTTGTAGAGACAGGGTCTCACTATATTGCCCTGGCTGATCTTGAACTCCTGGGCTCACGTAATCCTCCTGCCTTGGCTTCCCAAAGTGCTGGGACTATAGGTGTGAGCCACCGTGCCTGTCCCATCTTTGTTATCGATCTTTGTAGCCACAGATAATTATTTCAAAACAATTAAGTAATACTTCTCTTACAAAAAATCTTTGTCTTCCTTCCCCCACCAAATATGCACATAGTTTCCTATGGCATGCGAATTTCCACTGCAATGCTACATTCCCAAATAAATATCTTTTCTTTTACAGAGGCTTTCTCTGTTACTTAGGGTGACACCAGTTTATTTCAGCACACTTAAATATTAAAACTTTAGGCATTTTTTTCAATTGATGGCCTGATTCAAATCAGCATAACCTGTTTGTCAAGAAATCCTGGTTAACAATTCTAAAAATCGATAAAGGTGGTGTTCAAAGTTATTAATAAACTTAAGAAAACATCCAAGAATGATAGACTTTTGTACACTTTGGAAAAAGAAAACTCTGCAGAAAAAATAAGTTTTAAGACATTTTGTTCCCTATTTGACATGTATGTCTCAATATTGATTCATTTGCATAACAAAGTTTAATTCTTAACTAATAACAGTGGAGGGAATTATCGTGGGATTTATCAACATACTTACACTAGTTATAAAAATTGTGTCGGGATTTTTTTCTGTCTTTACAGCATTTAGATGAGGAGAGGCTCAAAGAAACCGACAAAAATAAATGTCTCTCTTTTGGAAGTGATTTTAAAAAACTACACCCACCATGATGATATGATTCAATGCATTTGGAACCTACAATTCATACTGGATAATTAATCCACTTGCAATGAATATGAACAATGTCATATGTTTTTATAGGATGAGCTTAATGAGCTGGAAAAGAAATGACTTTGAGGCACAGTACAATTCAATCAATCTAATTAGAAAAGTTTTGGAACAAGTTAACTTTTATTTCTAGTCTATGGAGACTAGCAGGATGACTCGCACGGATTTTCTGGCTAAATTTTTGGCAGTGCAGGAGATCTGGGCAGCAGGGATGACGGAATTCAAGAGCACATTAGTTAACAGTCTTTACAAATGAAAACCCCAGTCTTTGTTGAGAATCCAAAATGGTAATCATGTGTGCATTTTAGCACTGTTGTTTTCTACCCTCACTCTCAGCAATGCCTGGAGGTTACCCTCATGTCTTTGGATAGTTTCTTATTGCCATTTTATTTTTCCCACCCACCCTTCATCTCCTATTGCCTATGGAAGCATTTGGTGACCATTAGACACCAGAAGTGGGCAATTGCAAAACAGGTGATGTCGTTGTTTTTTGTTGACCTTCACATCCACATTTCCATTATCATCACACAGCAACTTACCTTGATTGTCTGCATATTATGAGGACCACCCCCAAGCTAACAACTTTCTCTGCTTTATTTTAATCTGTCTTCACCACCTGTAAACTTTTTGGCATACTATGGCTATTTCAATTAAGTGGATGCTCCTTTTTGCTATCCTATACAAATATTTTTCTTCTGCATTTTTTCGTTTTGTTTTTTGTTTTGTTGAGAGTCTCCCTCTGTCAGCCAGGCTGGAGTGCAGTGGTGCAATCTTGGCTCACTGCAGCATCAACTTCCCAAGCTCAGAAGATCCTCCCACCTCAGCCTCACGACTATCCAGGACCACAGGTATGTGTCACCATGCCCAGCTAATTTTTTTGCATTTTTTGTAGAGACGGTGTTTCACCATGTTGCCCGGGCTGGTCTCAAACTCCTGGGCTCAAGCAATCTTCTCGCCTTGGCCTCCCAAAGTGCTGGGATTACAGGCAAGAGCCACCGTGCCAGGTCTGCATTTTTTCATTCTAGTCCTTGCTTTTATTGAAGTGTCCACCCTACTCCTCTTGTGTTTGTGTGAATGTATGTGCGTGTGCATGTGTGTGTGTGTGTGTGTGTGTGTTGTACTTCCTGCATGAATGTCTTCTGTCTGAACTCCTCCTCCCTTCCTGTCTTTGGCACCTCATTCTCCCCCAAGAAATTAGAATTTCTCCATAGCAGTTAAATTTTCCCCATAGAAACTAGAATTTCTTTTTTTTCAAGGTGGATCATAGAATCCAGAACCTCTTTTCTTCATGACCAGCTGTAAGAACTAAAAATATTACTGTGTGTGCCTTTCTCGGTAAAAACTGGCTCATCTCTGTGTTTCTTTTAAACCCAAATGAACTGAGTAGAAGTTGACTCAAGTACATAGTTACTGTAATATTAATTTGGTAAAATTATGCCTAAGCATTTTCATAGAAACACAATTGATTACAGCAGCAATTATCCACCTTTCACTCTCTTTAATTACGGCTAGATGTGGCATTTCCATCTTTGTGTATTTGCATGCAAGGAGGTTATATGGATTCCAAATATAAGTGCAGGCTACGAAGAGGTGTCACCAGTCATTGATTCTGAGAAAGGTCCCTACAGAGCCTGCCTGAAAAGCATTTCAACAAAAAGGATGCTGTATCTGGAATTCCAGTGTGAATTCATGCATGTAACACAGTCCAGGGAAAGAGAGACCCACTGAGCCCCTCAGAGCTTCTCCGTGTATCTCAATACTTTCTGCTTTATGTTAAGTAGAGTTTCACGAGACCCACAACCTCTTATGGTTTTACTTTGATTTTCCCAATAAGAAAATTGCAATAAAATTCACATTAAGATGTTAAAGGGAAAGGAAAGAATTATTTACCAGTATTCTACCAAGTGAAAAACCAAAACTTCTCTAATATATCTAGGTAACCCAGGTAGACTTTCATTTCTAAATAAGGTCCTCTCTCTCATTTGATTTCTCTAACTACTAACTCTATCTACACGAGGCATTTCTCCAAAATTCTTTTGGTCTTCTTCTTCACTTGCCCATCAAATATGCAATAAAACAGAAGACCAGTGATAATAAAACATGAATTGTTTATAAGAATGGCCTTTCCCTTATTCCTCAAAGAGATGATCACTCATAAGAACTTTTATTTATTTGTTTATTGGTTTGTTTATTTATTTATTTATTTATTGAGACAGGGGCTCATTCTGTCACCCAGGCTGGAGTGCAGTGGTGCAATCTCGGCTCACTGCAACTTCCGCCTCCAGGGTTCAAGCAAATCTCTTGCTTCAGCCTCTCGAGTAGCTGGGATTACAGGTGCATGCCACCACGCCCAGCTAATTTTTGTACTTTTAGTAGAGACAGGGTTTTGCTATGTTGGCTAGGCTGGTCTTGAACTCCTGACCTCAAGTTATCTGCCCACCTCGGCCTCCCAAAGTGCTGGGATTACAGGCGTGAGCCACCGTGCCCAGCCTGCTCATAAGAACATTTTGTGTGTAGGAAATCTCAACTTCGTGGTGGCTTCAACCTGTTTAATGGTACCTGGATAGAAATAAATGAAGCCTAAGGTCAAAGTCAAGATCAAGGTATTCTGATGGCCAATGGCAGACCTGGAGTTTCCAAAAACAAATGTAGAGTCAACAGCAAAGGGCTCAAAAGCAAAGAAGCTCACATGCATACCCTGCCTGAATTTGGGTTCTCTGAGCTGTAGTGTAAAATGAGGATGCGAACACTTTATTCACAAAGATGTTAACAACTAAATTAGGTAAGGTATATACAATGTCTGACACAGAGTAGTTATTTAAACTTCATCTTGACTAAAAAATAATGTTTTCTTTCCAAAAGAAATAATTCAGAATGTTATTTTTTAAAGTTAACTCTCTGCTGCATGCTTTCAATTATATGACATTCTGGAAAAAACAAAACTACGGAGACAATAAAAAGATCGGTTGTTGATACAGGTTGGGGGAGGAGGGATATAAATAGGTGGAGCACAGAGGATTTTAGGAAAAGTGAAACTATGCTGTGTGATAGTATAGTGTGGGATGCATGTCATTATGGATTTGTCAAAACCCTCAGAATGCGCAACACCAACCAGGAACTTAAACTATGGACTTTGGGTCATGATGATGTGTCAATGTAGGCCCATGGATTGCAGCAAATGCGCCACTCTAGTGGGGGATGTTGACAGTGGAGGAGGCTGTGCGTGTCTGGGGGCACAGAGTATGTGGATAGTCTCTGTACTTTCCACTCGATTTTGCTGTAAACCTAAAACTGCTCTAAAAATAAAGGTCTATTAAAAATAATAATGTGGTGGCTCATGCCTGTAATCCCAGCACTTTAGGAGGCCGAGGTGGGCAGATCACCTGAGGTCAGAAGTTCAAGACCAGCCTGGCCAACATGGCGAAACCCTGTCTCTACTAAAAATAAAAAAAATTAGTCAGGCGTGGTGATGCATGCCTGTAGTCCCAGCTACTTGGGAAGCTGAGGCACAAGAATCACCTGAACCCAGGAGGCGGAGGTTGCAGTGAACCGAGATCATGCCATTGCACTCCAGCCTGGGTGACAGAGTAAGACTCCTTCACAAAATAATAATAATAATAATAAGGCGGAAGGATTGCTTGAGGCTCATAGTTCAAGACCAGCCTTGGCAAGATGATGAGACCCTATCTCTACATAAAATAGAAAAATTTGTTGGGCATGGTGACGTGCACCTGTATTCCCAGCTACTCAGGAGACTGAGGTGGATGGATTGCTTGACCCCAGGAGGTCAAGATTTCAGTGACCCATGATCACAACACTACACTCCATTCTGGGCAACAAAGCAAGATCTCACCTTGAAAAATAAATTACTACTACTACTACTACCAATAATAATAATAAACAACAACTATATGATCTATGGAAACTTTGATGTATATTAAAAACTCTTGGCGAGGTATGGTGGCTCACGCCTGTAATCTTAGCACTTTAGGAGGCTCAGGCAGACAGATTGCTTGAACCCAGAAGTTCAAGACCAGCCTTGGCAACATGGCAAAAACCCATCTCTACCCAAAAAAACTACAAAAAACATTAGTGGGTTGTGGTGATGGCATGTGCCTGGAGTCCCAGCTACTCGGGAGACTGAGGTGGGAGGATCACTTGAGCCTGGGAGGTGGAGGTTGCAGTGATCCAAGATCACACCACTGCCCTCCAGCCTGGGCAACAGATCCAGACCCTGCCTCAAAAAAAAAAAAAAAAATCCGTGTCTTATATCATATGGCAAACAACACCAGGTATTAACATCATTAATTTTAGATTCTTTGTTGACTCACTCAACAAATTCTTGATGTCTACCGTGTGATAAACCAACTCTAAGTGTAAAGAATACAAGAGAAAAAAAAAACCTCTCAATATTTTCATCTGAAAAACAAAACTGTAAAGTAAGTCAACACCTTATTTAAAAAATCAGTTAATTTTTGGAGTAAATTGCTATTTGTGTAAATTGAGCTGTGTCAGAGGCTCAATCCTGGCTCACTCAAAGTGATGTCTGTGTGAAACAAAGCCTTCCTGTATTTGAATGTGTGCACTGCAGTCTTATTGACATGCAAATGATGTTGCGAAGAACAACGCCCATCGTGTAACAGGATATCTCAGAGGTGCAGGAAGGTGGGAAGATCATATCTTGACTGAGCTTTAAAGCTAAGATTAAAATGCAGGTCTAACTGGCTTGCAAGTCCTGTTCTTTGTGCTGTCTCTGACATCATTAAACTGTTCTTTTCTCAAGGTTGGGTCAAGGTTGGACAGAGGCAAGCAGAAGCCTTAATCCTCTCTCGCCATCCCTGCATGCTCTTGTAAGCCAAAAAGAACTGTGCAGAGCCCACAGGTGAGGGCTGCCTTGAGTAGGACTGAAGTCACACAGAGCACTGATGGAGCCAGCGGACTTGTAATGGTGGCTGTCACCTGCTCTCCCGCTTCATCCCATTCCACAGCGTTGACAGCTTTCACGTTCTTTCTTTAAGGTTGAGTGCTAACCTGCAGATGTCTCTTGCATTAGGAGCTGGGACAGTGACTCCTAGTGCTAAACAGAGCACCTCGCTGCTGAGAACAAGGAGGTATCAGTGTGAGGAACAAGGGAATGAAAATCAAGGGGCCCTCTCTTGTATCTGAGAAGGGCTTTGGCTAGCACTGTTTCAGACGCATATGGAGAATTTAGGTTCAATAAATTCTGTTCTTTATCCTGCTGTCCAGACCGTTTATTCTTTCTATTTATTTCTATCTATATATCTATGTATCTATTTATCTATCATCTATCATCTATGTATGTATGTATGAATTAATGTTTCTATCTATCTATGCGTCTATCTGTATTAGTCTGTTTTCAGGCTGCTGATAAAGACATACCCAAGACTGGGTAATTTATACGGGAAAAGGAGAGTATTGGACTTACAGTTCCACGTGCCTGAGGAAGCCTCACAATCACGGTGGAAGGGGAGGAGGAGCAAATCACGTCTTACGTGGATGGCAGCAGGCAAAGAGAAGGAGCTTGTGCAGGAAAACTCCCCTTTTTAAAACCATCAGATCTGGTGAGACTCATTCACTATCATGAGAACAGGGCAGGAAAGACCTGCCCCCGTAATTCAGTCACCTCCCACTAGGTTCATCCCACAACACATGGCAATTGTGGGAGTTACAATTCAAGATGAGATTTGGGTGGGGACACAGCCAAACTATATCACTATCCAGCTAGCCACCTAACTACTTAGCTACCTACCTATCCATCCATCCATCCATCCATCCATCAATTTCATCTATGTATTCCATCCATCTATCTAAATATTCACCCATATATTCTGTCTGTTTATCTATCATCTATTTATCTACATACCTAGCTACCACCTATCTATCCATCCATGTATTCTTTCTTTCCTTTCTCTCTCTTTCTTTCTTTTCTTTCTTTCTCTCTTTCTTTCTTTCTTTTCTTTCTTTCTTTCTTCTTTCTTTCTTTCCTTTTTCTTTCTACCTAGGTACCTACCTATTTTATCTATCTATCTATCTATCTATCTATCTATCTCATCTATTATATTTATCTCATCTATTAATTATCCATCTCATCTGTCACCTGTCTATCTTTGTCTAATTATCTATCTTATCTATCTAGTCTGTCACTTATTCCTCTATCTATATCTATCACCTGTCTATCTATCTCTATTTGTCTATCTAATTAGGTATCTCACCTATTTGTCATCTCTATCTATCTCATCTATCTATCTGTCTAATTTATCCTCTCTCTCTCTCTCTCTCTCTCCCTGTCTGTCTGTCTGTAAAGTTTCACCACTTTTCTAAGCTACTGCTTGGAGGTGACCATGTGAAACCAAGTATCCACTAAATTTTCAACAGAAGGCATTGTGTAGGTTGCATTTGCAATGATTTCCCCTCTCTCTCACTCCAGGAAGTGATCGGAGCCATTTGGCATTTAATTCAGCTAAACTGTGATTCCATTTGGATTTAATCAACATTTCCATGTAACTCTGCAAAAACAACAAGTGGGTCTAGATTTCATCCACAGTGTCAGAAAATCTGGGATATGCATTAACTAGAGGCGATGATTAACTTAACATTTGCATGGTATAAATAAAACTTGCCATAGGTCATTTTGTGTGTGTTTACGTGTGTGTATTCCAACTATAGTTGCATCATCAATTTTTAAAATGGCTTTCTCATGCATTTGGGGAGTGTCATTGATTCCATATGGTTATGTGGTAGCCATCTGTTCAAAATTTTTTCAACATTTAAGCAATTTCCCTTAATATTTTAACTCTACAACTGAAGATCAGAGAGCTAGAGAATTTTGATTCTGATTTGATTCATTTGTTTCAAAAGCACCCATTGGACTTATGCTATTTTAAGTGGAAGTATGTTTTTTCATGTGAGTGGAATTTCCACGTGCTTTGAAAAAATAAGCAGTGATTCATGAGTTTCCCCATAATATACTTCCCCACAATTGAAACTGGGTGTATACCAAGTATTTGCAAATCCAGGAAGACATGATAACCAATAATCTTCATTTAATTTTACAAATTACCAAAATCAGTATAGGTAGACATATTTCTTTGTACACCAAATCCTGCATAACATAAGTAAAAGCATGAGTCCCTGTGCTCACGTTAAATGCACGTAAATAAATCGGATTAACAAGGCATATGAAAGAGGGAGTTTCAAAGAATAATTTCAAAATCCCTTTCCACTAAGGTTACCTTATATTTTCAGCTATTCATTTACTGCTCATATTAATGTTTCACTTCAAATCTTATAATTCTTTCCTTTACAAAAAAAAGTGCTTCACTTTCTTTTATCTCTGAACCAGCAAGTTTTGTTTTTTAATGAAAGGAAATCTTGAAAATTACTCTCTGTTCATTTTCCTAGTCTTTTCCACCCAGCTATTTTTTCCATTGGCGTAGATGTGGACATGGAACTCTCCTCCTTCAAAAATTATATTTCGTGTGCTGCTCCTGAAGCATTAAAGGTGTCTGGTGAGCTGGCAGGAGGTAGTAAGGTTTTAACAACTTTTAAGTTTTTCCCTTAATTCATCCAAGTCTCAAATCACACCCATGATACTTAATTCCCTGCTACTTATTGTAAAGATTCATTAAGCAAATCTGGGGAACTTTTATTTTGCTAAAATACCAAGGGTATTTCAGGAATGATAATTATTCCTTCCTTTACAGCTCTTAAAACACACAGAAATCCAGTTTACATCACTGGATGCTGGGCAAATATGTCCCATGGAAGCTGTAGTAGGTTGAATGGAGACATTTAAAATATGAGTTCACATCTTAACCTCAGAACCTGGGAATAGGACCTTATCTGGAAATAGGGTCTTTGCAGATGGAATCAAGTTAAGGATCTCAAGATGGGATCATCTTGGATTATCTGGATGGGCCCTAAATCCAATGACCAGTGTCTTTCTAAGAGGTGTCCTCTTCGGGTCATATGCAAAGCAGACCCCTTGTTCTTCGTGAACACAACACACTTTTTTTTCTCCATCTTTGGGCTTTTTCTTGGGAGTATAACTTTTATAGCCAAGCATCAAAGTGCTCCACTGGGGGTCAGGCATGGTGGCTCATAACTGTAATCCCACCACTTTGAGATGCCAATGTGGGAGGATCACTTGAGGCCAGAAGTTCAAGACCAGACTGGACAACATAGCAAGACCCCATCTCTATTGTTTTAAACAGTGCTCCACTGGGAAAATTCTCCTCTTTCATTTGCTACCACCATCTCCCTCTCAATGTCACCCCTACTGTAGAAGCAATGCTGTCAGACCTTTGCCATTCTCAGAGACAGACACAGAGGAGAAGGGCCATGCGGAGATGGGAACAGAGACTGGAGTGATGTGGCCACAAACCCAGGGATGCCAGGAGCCCCCAGAAGCTGGAAGAGGCAGGAAGCATCCTCCCCTAGAGCCTCCGGAAGGAAGTGAATACAAATGTAGTGGACTAAACAGTGGCCCCCAGAAAGATCTGTCCATATCCTAAAGCCTAGAATCTGGAATGAGACCTTATTTGGAAATAGGGTCTTTGCAGATGTAATTAGTTAAGGATCTTGACATGAAATCATACTGGATCACAGTGATTTCTAAATCAAATGAGAGGTGTCCCTATAAGAGACAGAAGAGCAATGGATGATTTGATGCAGAAAATACATAAATAAATGCAATAAAATAAGAGACAGAAGAGGTAACACAGACACAGACACAGAGGAGCAGGCCATGTGGAGACGGAGGCAGAGACTGGAGTGGTGCGGCCACAAGCCCAGGGATGCCTGGAGCCCCCAGGAGCCGGGAGAGGCAGGACGGAGCCTCCCCTAGAGCCTCTGGAGAATCGTGGCCCTGAGATGCTTTGATCTCAGGCTCGGGTGTTCTGAACTGGGGGAGAATAAAGTCTTGTTATTTTTAGCCACCCAACGTATGTTAATTTGTTAGGGGCCTCAGTACATTCCTCCAGAAGTTTTCCTGGAAGCTGCCAATTTTGCCTTTTTAGCAATACCCGTTTCCTTGGTCCCATAAGGCAGGAACCATTCAGGGCAAAGAGAACGGCTGGGGTGCAGCATGCCTTCTTCGAAGTGCGCTTCTGCAGGTCACGGGCTTCATCTCTCTCTGCATCCTGCCTGTCCAAGATGGTCATTGGCATCAAACTCTGTCTTGATTTCATGGCATAATAAAATTGTCCCATGAAATTCCTCCCCTCTGCTTTACAGCTTGCCTGACTTGTCCTCTTTTGCTCTGGGGAAAGCTATAAAATTACACACTGAAAAAAACGGATTTGGCACTCCAGTCTCCCAATTCCACGTGTCAGAGAGGCTGCATGTAAAAAATTAAACAGACAGGGTAGATTGTCTTCCCTTTATCAGAAAGTAGGAAAAGTAGACACTTGTAGAGACAGGGGTTTCTGTTTAGAAGGAGGAAGCATCGCTCTTTTTAGCATAAGAGTTTTGCAAAATGAGCATGGCTTTTGTGAACGTATAGATCTGAATCAAAATGAAAAAACTGGCTTTCGATTCGGGAGCAAATCAAACTTTGAAATCATGAATGTTGGTGTGTTCTTTTACTCTTGTGTCTTTACTCTTGAAGGACTTGGAACTTTCTGCAAATTCTTCTCCAAATATTTGGGAGGGGCCGCCAGGTGATCTCTCTTGGGGTTATATACAAAGCAGACACCTTGTTTTTGGTAAACACAACAAACATTTTTTTCTCCATCTTTGGGCTTCTTGGGAATATAACTTTTATAGCCAAGCACCAAGGTGCTCCACTGTGGGTCAGGCATGGTGACTCATACCTGTAATCCCACCACTTTGAGAGGCCAATGTGGGAGGATCACTTGAGGCCGGAAGTTCAAGACCAGACTGGACAGCATAGCAAGACCCCTTCTCTATTAAAAAAAAAAAAAAAGTGCTCCACTGGGAAAATTCTCCTTCTTCACTTCCTACGACCATCTCCCTCTCAATGTCACCACTACTGCTGAAGCAATGCTGTCATATCTTTGCCACTCTCGGCAGCATGGAATATAAGCATGCCTCTCTCTCTCTTGCTGTTTCTCTCTGAGAAAACCCCAGAAACCTAGCTCACACCCAAAGCCTCACATAGATTGCAATGAAAGATCTCTTTCCTCTCCTCTTATACCTTCTTATTACTTCCTAAAAGGACTACAGATGTTGATCCAAACATTTACTAATAGTATGACCCCATTCATGGAATATCTTTACAATGTAGTTTTTTGTTTTGTTTGGTTTTTTTTGTGTGTTTTGAGACAGACTCTCACTCTGTCACCCAAGCTGGAGTACAATGGTACAATCTCGGCTCACTGCAACCTCCGCCTCCCAGTTTCAAGCCATTCTCGTGCCTCAGCCTCCCAAGTAGCTGGAATTACAGGCGTGTGCCACCACGCCTGGCTAATTTTTGAATTTTTAGTAGAGACAGGGTTTCCCCATGTTGGCCAGGCTGGTCTTGAACTCCTTACCTCAAGTGATCCTCCTGCCTTGGCCTCCCAAAGTGCTGGGATTACAGGCATGAGCCACTGTGCCTGGCCTGGAAGTTACGATTATTAACAAGACAAAATAACATATAGGTCAGAGGTATGAAAATCAAGATAGAACTCTTTTAGTATCCTCAGGTAGACATGTATTCAACTTTTGGTCAAGTGTAGATGCCTATTTTTAAAAAAATATTTGGTTGGAGAGGACACAGAGAAGCTAAGGGGGTTGGTGAATGCAAATGGGAAGAAAGAATGCTTAATGCATCTTGAGAAAAGTAGAGGCAAGCCCTGCGATCTAGTCAAAAGTTTTATAAAAGCATCATTAAAAGATGGCATGAGAATCCTTATTCTCTGTCTCCACAGATGTTCAAAGCTGAGAAGAGAGGAAGCTGCGCTGTCTTATTAAAATGGAGTCAACTACAGAGGCACGTAAGTGATTTCTTCTATCAAAACCAATCAGCAGTGGGATCTGTAGAGACCTGTCCAAGCTCCCTTCCAACCGTATATTTCCATGAACGTGCCCCAGGTTATGAAATCAGTTCCAGGACCAGAGTTCACAGTCCCTCCGAGCCCACTTAGACTTGCATTACAGAAAACGACAGGGGTCCTCAACTCTGTATTTGAAAAATAAATATGGTCCTAATTATACTAACTACCTTTCCAAGCCAGAAGTTTTATCCATTTCACCTTAAGGTCATGTATTCGGGAAAGGACAACCTCACATGTGGAAGCCATTTCTCTACAATTTACTAGGTGATCACAGGCTTCATTTCATCAAACCATTTTTCTACAGTAGCCTCATAAAATTCCCAGAAATACCAAGGTGAGGAGTGGCCATTTGCTGCTATGTTCTTTCCTTGGTTGGTTCCATTATAGCCCTTCAAGGATAGAGCAACCAGGAGTGATGGCCCACACCTGTAATCTCAGCTTTGTGGGAGGCGGAGGTGGGTGGATCACTTGAAGCCAGAAGTTTGAGACCAGCCTGGCCTACATGGCAAAACTCCATCTCTATGAAAAATACAAAAATTACCTGGGCGTGGTGGTGCACACCTGTAATACCAGCTACTCAGGAGGCCGAGACAGGAGAATTGCTTGAAACTGGGAGGTGGAAGTTGCAGTGAGCCAACATCACGTCACTACACTCCAGCCTGGGTGACAGTGAGACTTTCTCCCCAACCCCTAAAAAAGGAAAGAACAAAAGATCAAAGAAGACTTCTGACAATAATCCTACTTCTTTCTCAGAGATGGTGGTCTGGAACAAGAAAACAAGGATGAATAATAGTGAAGTTGATTTATTGGAGGCTGCGAATATCATTTAATCATGAATCATTTAATCTTCCTGTCTTGTGGCTTGACCCTAAATAGCTCCTGGACCAGTCTACATCGTGCCAGCTCTCATAATGTTAGGAGCCAGGTGGAAGATTTCATCATCTCTTCCTTTCTTGATTGCAACACCCCACTAACTTGTACCGCCTCAATTCCCAGCCTTATTCTTCTCTAGTCCAAAACCCTCTGGACACAGTAGAAGATGAGATTATAGACCTGACCACGCTGTGTTCTGTGTAGACCCATTTCATGGTTTTCCACTGTTCCTGGGATAAAGAAGAAGCTCCTCATCTCGGACCACGAGGTCTGAATCATCTGTACTTGTTGCTTCTTTCCTGCTACCTCTCCGTCCTCAATGTTTGCCATCGTTTACCTCATTCTGTGTCTCCCAGCCACACTGCAGTTCTTACTGCTCTTCAGGGTTGCGTCACCCATTTTGTTACTGAGCAATGGGCTTGCTGCTTGACATGTATATAAGCCAATACTAGGGCATTGCTTTGGGGATTTTGTTGTTATTGTTTAAGACAGGGTCTCACTCTGTTGCCCGGGATGGAGTGCAGTGGCACGATCTTGACTCAGCGCAGCTTCTGCCTCCCAGGCTCAAGTAATCCTCCCATCTCAGCCCCCCGAGTAGCTGCGACCACAGGCACACATCACCATGCCTAGTTAATTTTTGTATTTTTGGGTAGAGACTGGGTTTTGCTGTTTCCCACGCTGGTCTCCAACTCCTGAGCGGAAGCAATCCACCTGCCTCAGCCTCCAAAGTGCTTGGATTACAAGTGTGAGCCACCACGCCGTGCTGTAGGGTACCGGTTTTTTTTTCTTTTTTCTTTCTTTTTAAGACTTTATTGTGAGGTCAACTGGCAAGGAGACAGGAGGCAGGGCTCAAATCTGTCTCCCTGATCTGGGGAGTTAGCTCAAATGTTTATGGGTTAAGAAGTATGTGGCTGGGCACAGTGGCTCATGCCTATAATGATGGCACTTTGGGAGGCCGAGGCAGGAGGATTGCTGGAGGACAGGAGTTCAAGACCAGTCTGGGCAACATAGCGAAACCATATTTCTACAAAAAATACAAAAACTAGCCAGGTGTGATGGTGCATGCCTGTGGTCCCAGCTACCCACCCAGGAGGTGGATGTGGGAGGATCAATTAAGCCCAGGAGGTCAAGGCTGCAGTGCACCATGATCACGCCACTGTACTCCAGCCTGGGCGAAAGAGCAAGACCGTGTAAAAAAAAAAAAAAAAAGAAAGAAAAGAAAAGAAAAGAAAAAGAAGTATGTGGAAGTGCTGGTGCGGCAAGTTTTAATCAAAGGGCTTTAACCTTGGCTATTATAATAAGGTATGGAATGGTGGATTTCAGCACAATGTCTTCTGGGAGAGTAGACCTTTTGCTTCTGAATGGGTTTCTGCATCCTGGTTCTGGTCATGTCCAGCTGTCTTTGGTTCCATAGGGAAGCATCATCAGTTTCCAGTGTGATTGGAGGTCAAAGCTTTTTCCCTTTGCCTGTGCCCAGGCTACACAACATGCAATGTTGGTTCTGTTTCAACTGTATAACAGCTTAAACAATTGAGTTGAACTGGTTCAACCTGATCTCATGGTTACAGTTTCCCTACTCCATTCCTTGCTAAACTCTACCAGGAAGGACCCAATGCTCCATATTACCACCCCTTACCCTACTCACCCATCAGATTTTCCTTCAAACATCACTTTCTCGGGAAATCCTTCCTTCCTTTCCAAACTTGGGGAATTTCCTCTAACGTTCCTTTATTTCTACTGCCAAACACTCCTCCTGGTACTAATGAAGTAGGAACTAGTACTGTTATTTCTCTCTCCACTAAAACATAAGAGAAAGACAAATATGGTAACCACACTGCTAGCATGTTCCCTCGGGGTATTCTCCACTCATTACATGCTTTTTGAATATGTAATATGTAAATTTGCCAATATGTAAATATTCAATATGTAAATATGCCGATATGTGAATATTCAATATGTAAATATTCAATATGAAACATATTGAAATCTACTTCAAAGCTCATGGGTTTTTTGGAGTTTTCTTTTTTTTTTTTAATCGATGCATAATGGATCTACATAGTTTGGGGATACATGTAATAATTGAATAGATTCACATAATTTGTAAAAATCAAATGAGTACTTGGGATCTTCATCACCGTAGACATTTGTCTTTTCCTTGTACTAGAACCATTTGAATTCTTTTCTTCCAGCAATTTTGAACATGTAATAGATTACTGTAAACTATAGTCACCCTCCTGACCTATCTAACATTAGGACTGTTTTCCTTCATGGAACTTTATATTTGTACCATTGAATCAACAAAACTGATGTTGATTCATGAGATTAAACATCTGAAGAGATATCATCAATTCTCACTTTGCTGGGGACACACTTCTTCCCCTTGTGGGTAATAATTGTATCTACACTGATGACATGTGACTCTGAGGTACTCTGTTTTTTTAATTTTTATTTTTTAATATAAATAGAAATGGAGTCTCACTATGGTGTCCAGGCAGATCTCAAATTCCTGGGCTCAAGTGATTCTCCCACCTTTGCCTCCCAACATGCTGGGATTACAGGCTGAGCCACCAAGCCTGGCTTACTCTGTTTTTGTTTGTTTTGTTTGTTGGCTTGTTGTTGTTGTTTTGTTTGTTTGTTTTCTCAAGACAGAGTTTTTCTCTGTCACCCAGGCTGGAGTGCAATGGTGCGATCTCAGCTCACTGCAACCTCCACATTCCAGGTTCAAGCGATTCTCCTGCCTCAGCCTCCCAAGTAGCTGGTATTACAGGCATGCGCCACCAGTCCTGGCTAATTTTTTGTATTTTTAGTAGAGATGGGGTTTCACCATGTTGGCCAGGCTGGTCTCAAACTCCTGACCTTGTGATCCGCCTGCCTCGGCCTCCCAAAGTGCTGGGATTACAGGTGTGAGCCACCGCACTCGGCCCGTTTTGGGTTTTTTTGTTTATTAGTTTGTTTGTTTGGTTTTTTTTTCAGACAGGGTCTCAGTCTGTTACCCAGCTTGGAGTGCTGTGGCACAATCTCGACTGACTGCAATCTCCATCTCCCAGGCTCAAGCTATTCTCCCACCTCAGCCTCTTGAGTAGCTGGGACAGCATGCACTACCACCATGCCCAGCTGATTTTTGTGTTTTTTGTAGAGACAAGGTATCTGGACGGGCGCAGTACCTCACACAGGTAATCCCAACACTTTGGGAGGCTGAGGTGGGCAGAACACTTGAAGCCAGGAGTTCGAGACAGCGTTTTGCCATGTTGCCCAGGCTAGTTTCTAACTCTTGGGCTCAAGCAATCCTCCTGCCTCGGCCTCCCAAAGTGCTAGGATTATAGGCATGAGCCACCCTGCCCATCCATCGAAAGTGTTTTCTATTCCGTTTTAAGAGAATGTTCTTTCATTGAAATGCACTATCTTGTTTATTTTTTTCTTTTTTTTTTTGAGATAGGGTCTCACTCTGTCACCCAGGCTGGAGTACAGTCGTGCATTCATAGTTCACTGCAGCCTCGAACTCCCGGGCTCAAGCCATCTTCCTGCCTCAGCCTCCTGAGTACCTCGGCCCACAGGCATGAGCCAGGGCACCTTAAAAGAAGTATACATTCGAGCCTTTGTAGCATCAGAGGAGTAAAACAAAAAACAACAACAAAAGAAACATGTTGGGACTGTGTCCCCAGAAGGCCAGATATGACTTGAACTAGTATGAGATGTAAATTTAAAGAAAACCACCCAGTGTGGCTGAAACCAGGATCCCCTAGTACCTCTGTCTCACATGCAGACCAACAGTCTCCTGTCATCCAGCCTTCCACTCCTTCCTCGGCATTTCCCCTGAGGTATCTCAGTGGCATCTCCAACCCAGGGTTTGCAATGCATAGGTTCTTCCATCAGATCTGCCAGTGGCACCAGGATTCCTCTAGCAGCTAAAGCCAAAAAAAAAAAAAGAAAAAACAGGCTTACACCTATGGTCCCAGCTACTCGGGTGGCTGAGGCAGGTGGGGGACATCTGTACTCTTAGCTATTTGGGAGGCTGAGGTGGGAGGCTGCAGTGAGCTATGATGCTGCCACTGCACCCCAGTTTGGGTGACAGAGTGAGAACCTGTCTCTGAAAAAAAAAGAAAAATAACAATATATAAGTAAAATAAATTTACCAGAGTTTAACTGAGCAGAGAACGATTCACAAATTGGATAGCCCATGGAACCAGAGTCGGTTCAGAGAGACCCCAGCACTGTCTCATGTTGAGAGAAGATCTGTGGACAGAAAAAGGAAAGTGGGGTGCAGAAAACAGAAGTGAGGTACAGAAATAGCCAAATTCGTTCCAGCTCACCATTGGCCTCATTTGAGCATGGTTTGGACAGTTGACTTCCTTCGGACAAAACTTTGTGATTGGCACAAAAGTAGGTTCCAGCCTGTTTACACATCCAGTTAGGTTTCAGTGCACTGCGTACGGAGAAACCTTTAGGCAAACCTTAAAATATGTCAGGGGGCAGCTTTAGGCTAAACTGAATTCGACGCATCTTTTGGTGCTCAGCTTAAATATAGCTCTTGCCTTAAACATGAACAGTCTAAGAAGAGGGCCGTGCCTGTCTAGTGAGACCTGAAATTTCGGCTGGGTTTTGGAAAACCAGTGACACTTGCCCTAAGTTACCGTGAAGGCTCCAGGTGTTGTCTGGGTGATATTACCCATGTTCAGGGTGAACTTCAAGATGAAGGACCTCCACTGTTGCACAAGGCCCTGTCATCAGAGAGACCAAAATAAATGCCCCTTTAGCAACTAAAACAGACCCTAAGGTTAAGGAAAGAAAAGTTTGCTACAGGCTGAGTTCACAGAGAGGCTAGGGTGGCAACTTCCTAAATTCCTACGGCTATAAGAAAAACAACACTCTTGCTAAATTCCGTAAGAAGACAAGCTACCCAGGCAAATTATCAGACCCTTCTAACACTTTTTTTTAAACAAGGTCTCACTGTATAGCCCAAGCTGGAGTGCAGTGGTATGATCATGGCTCACTGCAGCCTTGACCTCCTGGGCTCAAGCAGTCCTCTCACTTCAGCCTCCTGAGTAGCTGGGACCACAGGTTCATGCCACCATGCTCAGCTAATTTTTGTGTGTGTATTTTTTGTAGAGATGGAGTTTCACCATGTTGCCCAGGCTGTTCTCAAACTCCTGAGTACAAGCAATTTGCCTGCATCTGCTTCCCAAAGTGCTGGGATTGCAGGCATGATCCACTGTGCCCAGCCCCTTCTAAGTCTTGACAACCCAGACTACTATTCAGACAGAGGAGCAGCTATACACACATTCTTTTCTGATAAGCAACTGCAGACCTTACTCAAGTTTCACCAGCTCATAGAGGCTTCACACAAACTGTCTTTGTGTCCTATAGTTCACCTCTTCATATGAAGAGCCAAATCCCATCTCATTTTTTTTTTTTTTTTTTTTTTTTGGATACACAGTCCCACTTTGTCACCCAGGCTGGAGTGCAGTGGTGCAGTCATGGCTTACTGCAGCCTCAATCTCCTGGGCTCAACCGATTCTCCCAACTTAGCCTCCCAAATAGTTGGGACCACAGGTGTGTGTCACCATGCCTGGCTCTTTTATTTTTATTTTTTGTAGAGACGTGGTTTCACCCTGTTGCCCAGGCTGAGCTCAAGTGATCCTCCTGCCTTGGCCTCCCAAAGTGCTAGGATTACAGGCATGAGCCACCACACCTGCCTCATTTTAATGCTAAAACATAGCCCCAAAGTGAACATGGGACATATGTTACATATATGTTTACCCATTGGGCATGCACTCAGCTCCCCTCATAAATATGCATAGCTTCTCCCCCAAATCTGCTGAATATGCATGACTCTATTGTGTAATATGATCCCTATGAGGCATGAGATCCAATCTCTCTTTTCCCTCTTCAGAGAGAGAGCACCTTCTGTTTATGCCAGGGACACTTACTACCCAGTTTGCAAACTGACATCACCAATAAAACTCTCCTTTTTCCATGCTCATGGGTAGGAAGAATCAATATCGTGAAAATGGCCATACTGCCCAAGGTAATTTATAGATTCAATGCCATCCCCATCAAGCTACCAATGACTTTCTTCGCAGAATTGGAAAAAACTACTTTAAAATTCATATGGAACCAAAAAAGAGCCCGCATAGCCAAGTCAATCCTAAGCCAAAAGAACAAAGCTGGAGGCATCATGCTACCTGACTTCAAACTATACTACAAGGCTACAGTAACCAAAACAGCATGGTACTGGTACCAAAACAGAGATATAGATCAATGGAACAGAACAGAGCCCTCAGAAATAACGCTGCATATCTACAACTATCTGATCTTTGACAAACCTGAAAAAACAAGCAATGGGGAAAGGATTCCCTATTTAATAAATGGTGCTGGGAAAACTGGCTAGCCATATGTAGAAAGCTGAAACTGGATCCCTTCCTTACACCTTATACAAAAATTAATTCACGATGGATTAAAGACTTAAACGTTAGACCTAAAACCATAAAAACCCTAGAAGAAAACCTAGGCATTACCATTCAGGACATAGGCATGGGCAAGGACTTCATGTCTAAAACACCAAAAGCAATGGCAACAAAAGCCAAAATTGACAAACAGGATCTAACTAAACTAAAGAGCTTCTGCACAGCAAAAGAAACTACCATCAGAGTGAACAGGAAACCTACAAAATGGGAGAAAATTTTTGCAACCTACTCATCTGACAAAGGGCTAATATCCAGAATCTACAATGAACTCAAACAAATTTATAAGAAAAAAACAAACAACCCCATCAAAAAGTGGGTGAAGGATATCAACAGACACTTCTCAAAAGAAGACATTTATGCAGCCAAAAGACACATGAAAAAATGCTCACCATCACTGGCCATCAGAGAAATGCAAATCAAAACCACAATAAGATACCATCTCACACCAGTTAGAATGGCAATCATTAAAAAGTCAGGAAACAACAGGTGCTGGAGAGGATGTGGAGAAATAGGAGCACTTTTACACTGTTGGTGGGACTGTAAACTAGTTCAACCATTGTGGAAGACAGTGTGGCAATTCCTCAGGGATCTAGAACTGGAAATACCATTTGATCCAGCCATCCCATTACTGGGTACATACCCAAAAGACTATAAATCATGCTGCTATAAAGACACATGCACACGTATGTTTATTGCGGCACTATTCACAATAGCAAAGACTTGGAACCAACCCAAATGTCCAACAATGATAGACTGGATTAAGAACATGTGGCACATATACACCATGGAATACTATGCAGCCATAAAAAATGATGAGTTCATGTCCTTTGTAGGGGCATGGATGAACATGGAAATCATCATTCTCAGTAAACTATAGCAAGGACAAAAAACCAAACACCGCATGTTCTCACTCATAGGTGGGAATTGAACAGTGAGAACACTTGGACACAGGAAGGGGAACATCACACTCTGGGGACTGTTGTGGGGTGGGGGGAGGGGGAGGGATAGCATTAGGAGATATACCTAATGTAAATGACGAGTTAGTGGGTGCAGCACACCAGCATGGCACATGTATACATACGTAACTAACCTGCACGTTGTGCACATGTACCCTAGAACTTAAAGTATAATAAAAAAACAAACCTCTCCTTTCTATTACACTATTTGGCCACCCGGGTGGTCTTCTGCAAGACAACTGTAAACTTTGCTGAAGGCTCTTGTGGGAGAGCAGGATAGGTCAACCCAAAAGATAGCCCTTTGGCATAAGGGTTATTTTGAGCTGAAGACAAATGAGAAGCAAGAGCTGCTAAAAGAAAACAGAATAAACCTCTCATGGGGGTTTGTTATACAGATTAGTTCATCACCCAGGCATTAAGCTTAGAACCTGTGAAAGGATAATATATCTTGAGGTCTCCAAGTCACTAAGCTAAAGGGAAAAGTCCAGCTGGGAACTGCTTAGGGCCTCTGCCTCCCATTCTAGTCAAAGTCTCCGCTCTGCTCACTGAGAGATGCGTATCTGATCGCCTCCTTTGGAAAGGCTCATCAGAAACTCAAAACAATGCAACTGTTTGTGTCTCACCTATCTGTGCCCTGGAAACCCCCTCCCTGCTTCCAGTCTTCCTGCCTTTGCTTCAAGCTGTCCAGCCTTTCTAGACCGAATCAATGTGCTTCTTACATATATTGATTGATGTCTCATGTCTCCCTGAATGTATAAAACGAAGCTGTGCCCCAACCACCTTGGGCACATGTCGTCAGGACTTCCTGAGGCTGTGTCACGGCGCGTCCTCAACCTTGGCAAAAGAAAGTAAGTTAACTGAGACCTGTCTCAGACTTTCTGGGTTCACATACCCATTAGTTATTTTTCCTGATCCTCTCCCTCCTCCCACGCTCCACCTTCCGAAAGGCCCCAATGTGTGTTGTTCACCTCTTTGTGTCCGTGTGTTCTCATCATTCAGCTCCTATGTGTAAGTGAGAACATGCGGTATTTGGTTTTCTGGTCCTGTGCTAGTTTGCTAAGGATAATGGCCTCCAGCTCCAACTGTGTTCCTGCAAAGGACATGATCTCGTTCTTTTTTAACTCAAACAATAAAAGCAAGTCAGCTAAGGGAGTGGGGAAAAAAAAAAACTCTCTGCACTCTCCTATTTGCCTGAAAGTAGACTTAGACTGTTAATTACCAGAGACACAGGCCTAGAGGAATCTACATAACAAACCTTACTCAATTTGCCTTTATCTTCCATTTGTTTCCTCCTGTATTTGTCTTCTCAAAGTTTGCAGCTCCTAGGAGCTTAAAAGGCCTTTTTCCTTTGCCTTTTTCCTTCTTGACAAATGTATTGTTCTTGGCTGATTTGTTGTATGCGCCCCAAGTTCTAACCATGCTTTTGAGTTATTCATCACTGAGTTTCACCACATGTGTATATGCACTGCATGTCTTAATAAATTCTGCTTTTCTTTTGTTCTTTTGACAGTTTAATTTCCAGAGCAGTAGCTGGAGAACTGAGGAGGACAGAGGAAAAAGTTATTATTGTTGTGGTTGTTTTTCCTTCTGTTCTGCTGGCACCCTATCGAAATTCTTAAACATTTTGGAACAAGGAGCTGTTAAAAGAAAACTTCAGACAAGTGAAATTTGATGGAGTTTAATTGAGCAAAGAAAAGATTTGATTGAATCAGGCAGCCTCCAGAATCACAGCAGATTCAGACAGACTGCAGGGGTGCCTCATGGTCGGAACAAATTTATAGACAAAAAAAGTAAAGTGGGCCGAGCGCAGTGGCTCACGCCTGTAATCCCAGCACTTTGGGAGGCCGAGACGGGTGGATCACGAGGTCAGGAGATCGAGACCATCCTGGCTAACACAGTGAAACCCCGTCTCTACTAAAAATACAAAAAAAAAAAAAAAAATTAGCCGGGCGTGATGGCGGGGGACTGTAGTCCCAGCTACTCGGGAGGCTGAGGCAGGAGAATGGCACGAACCCGGGAGGCCGAGCTTGCGGTGAGCCGAGATCGCACCACTGCACTCCAGCCTGGCGACAGAGTGAGACTCCGTCTCAAAAAAAAAAAAAGAAAAAGGTAAAGAGAGGTACAGGAATCGGAAGTGCGGTACGGAAACAGTGAAATGGATTACTGCTCGGCGTTTGCCTGATTTGAACGCAGTTTGAACACTCAGCAGTCTATGAGTGGTTGAAGTATGGCCGCTGGGATTGGCCAACACTCAGCTATTGTTACAGATGCATGCTATTAACTTAGGTTTTCAATTTTGTTTGCCTATTAAGCTAGGATACCCTTCATCCACAAGGACTCAAATATAGAAGTACGGAGTACTTCTCAGGCCATATTTAGTTTGCTTTAACAGACATAACCATTTTATTTTTACTTTTACCTGTTTCCCCAAGAGCTGAGCGTTTTCATTTTGCACTCGGCCTTGCAAACTATATACCTGGTTCTATCCACAAAGGAATGATGCCAAGAACTGAGGTTGCTTAAGTCATTATTACTCATACTGATAGCAACAGTGGGTTTCTTCAAAAGTTTCCTCTTAAATATGCATATTTCCTAAGTCTATACCATAGATAGCATTTCTCTGGCAAGGACCTAAATTCGGCTCTTGGGGTTAAAGTTAGGGAATCTGGATTGCTGATCAAAATTCTGCTTAGAAGAAACAAAAATAGGCTGGGCATGGTGGCTCATGCCTGTAATTCCAGCACTTTGGGAGGCCAAGCAGGGCGGATGGCTTGAGCCCAGGAATTTGAGACCAGCCTGGGCAACATCGTGAGACCCCATCTCTACAAAGTATACAAAAATTAGGAGGGAGTGGTGGCTCGTACCTGTGGTCCCAACTGCTTGGGAGGCTGACGCAGGAGGACACTTGAGCCTGGGAGGTCGAGGCTGCAGTGAAAGATGATTGCAGCACTGCACTGCAGCCCGGGTGACAGAGCAAGACCCTGTCTCAGAAAAAAAAAAAAAAAAAGAAGGAAGGAAGTCTTTACTGTTTAAAGAATGGATACAGGCTGGAGATGTGGGTGGATATTTGGCATTTTCCAAGTGGGGGTTTCACTTGCATGTCGTCTAAATGCAATGGAAAATCAAACAAGGCATACTTGAAGAGGCAGGATTTTTCTGAACCAGAATCCAAGCTTTCTATTCTGCAGAATCTGACTGTCATCCTGCCATCCGCAGCTGGAAAATGTCCATTGCTCAATTACCCTCACCAAGAGGTGGCCGGGCAACTAATCATCGCCCCATAACATCACCCCAAGGTATCCACCCATACAAACTGTGCTTCCATGCAATGTGTACTTCCTGTATCTCCCGCTTTTTTTTACAACACTGCTAAGGAAACCCGCTCCAGCCAGAGGCAGGGCTTCTGAGGCCATTTGCAGATCTGAGTAAGGAAAACCCTATAACCCTAACCCTAGGAGTCTTTACCATTTGTGGGTCCATCCAATTTGGGATTTGCTCTTGAATCCCTGTACCACCCAAGTCAAATTTCATAAAAGATTTGGATTTGAAAAAATCATTGCAAGTAGGCTTCTAAATACACTGCTTCCTTAGCTAAATTATAGCCAAGATCTGAGGTGCGGGTGCTGCTTTCAGCCAAGCCTTTTGAGATTATTTATTGTTGGCCCATCTCAACTCTAATTCACGTTGCTTTACTCATCCTCCGAACACGGTCTTGAGACAGAAGAAACTACGTATCTTTTCTCCAACTTTAGACCAGTGCCTGGATTATTCTAGGTTCTCCATTTATGTTCACACTCTGGGGGATGAATGAGTAGCACGGATCACACATGCTAGTTGTAATTAAAATATATGTGCTTAGAAAACTCCAGATGATAAATGATGCACCTTGATACTTCTGTCTCTCTCCCCCGCTACCCTTCTGTCTTTGTTTCTCTAATTTTTGCTTTCTGTTATTCCTGTCTGAAACTTTAGGCAATGCATTCCATTCCTTCAAAGCTATTAAGGGTTTGAGGAGCTTATGTAAAATACTGACCACCTCAGATGGATAAAGTAGGTGGAGGTGAATTTCTGGATGCAATCAAACAATATGAGTTGAAAAAGGTGTCTTTCCTTTTCAAATTCCTCTTCCGAGAATAAAGTTAAAATGTATGCTATCTTTACAAAAATGAAATAAATGCACACATTTATCATATTAGGAATTTGGAGCTAGCTGTGCAGGCAGCTATATTAGCATGCCACCTAGTGTTTAAATTCATGTAATGATTAAAAACACGCAGTGCTCAATCAGGCTTGTATTCCTCAATGCGAAGGAAAGAATATAAATTATTTAAAGGATAATTCAGAATGAGGAAATAATAGACATCCCTTAAGTAACTATATTTGCAGACTGAATTGTATAATTTATCTTTCTATTTAGGGAAAAAGGTTAATTAAGGGCTTAAGGGGCATATGGAAAATATTGACCACCTCGGATAGACAAGGCAGGTGAAGGTAATTTTCTCGATGCAATGGGTCATGATAGGTTAATTAAGCATTGAGTTTGGAGTGTTTAGACCAATGGCAAAGGTTTGTATCATTTTGATAGATGACATTCTTTCAATTTTAATCTTAAGGTATTTTCAAAATAACCACTAGAAAAGGAAATATAATACTTATTAAGAGCTACCTATGGGCCTATGCGCTATGTGCAAAGTCTTTTACAGATATTATCTCCATTAATCTTTGTAAGTCTGGTAATACACTTTTTAGTTGCATTTCACAGAGGGAACAATTGAAGTACAGATAGATTAGGGAATATGTCCAAAGATATTTAGCTGGCAAGAAGAACAATTCCCATTCACCCCAATTGTGTCAAACCCTAGAGAACATTCTTTCCACCTCTGAACACCACTGTGTGGAAAAGAACGTGTTCCCTTGGTTGTACATAGCTTGCTTTTATCTACTACCTTCTCCTTGCCATGTGGTTAAAGAAAATGGAAGGACCGGAGCCAGGGAGGGAGAAGGACCTTGCATTTGGGGTTGACAACCTTGGGTTCAGACCTCATGGTCCTGCTCCCTTTACAGTGCAGACTCATTAAAGCCGCTTCGTGTCTTCACACTCTGTGTTCTTCATCTGCAAATATAAGAGCATTTGAGAAAACGATTTCAGAAGTTATTTCTCAGGCTAAAATCCTAAGATTCTGTTCTAGGGTATTCTAAATTCAAAACGAACCTCCTCCTAAGAGTGATGAGAAAACGAAGATGTTTTAGAGATCTTAGAACAAAGAGTGGCAGAAAAATGCTCAGCCTTTGTAAGGAATTCTTTTGTGGACAAATAAGGTCTAATATGGTTGCCCCAAATCACTTAGGAAAAAGATATCCTTGTTTAATAGTTAATATTAAGACAGTTATTTGTATTTCACCTGACACATTCATATTACTCCTTAGTAAAGACAAGGCAACAGTATCAGTCCATTGAAATAAGTCAAACACACATAATTTTCTAATTTTTTTTTTAGTTCCATAGGTTTTGGGGGAACGGGTGGTGTTTGGTTACATGAGTAAGTTCTTCAGTGGTGATATGTGAGATTTTGGTGCACCCATCACTGAGCAGTATACACTGCACTCAATTTGTAGTCTTTTATCCCTCACCCCCTTCCCACCCTTTCCTCCAGAGTCCCCAGAGTCCACTGTGTCACTCTTAGGCCTTTGCATCCTCATAGCTTAGCTCCCACTTATGAGTGAGAACATACGATGTTTGGTTTTCTGTTTCTGACTGACTTCGCTTACTCTCCAAACCCATCCAGGTTGCTGCAAATGCCATTAATTCATTCATTTTCATGGCTGAGTAATATTCCATTGTACATATATATACCATAATTTCTGTATCCACTCATTGATTGATGGGCATTTGGGCTTGTTCCACATTTTTGCAATTGCAAATTGACGAACACACATGATTATGTTACTCCTGGGGTTGCACCTTTGAGAGACACTCCTGGAGGACAAGTGAGTCTCAAAGTGGGGCTTAGCCCACAAGTGTTCTTGGCTTAGCTCGGGAAAGAATTTAGGGGCAAACCAGAGGTAGAAGAAAACTGCTTTATTGAAGTGACAGTGTTATAGCTCCGTGACTGCTCTTGCAGAACAGGGCTACCCTGCAGGCAGAGAGTAGCAGCTCAGGGCATATTTTTTTTGAAGTCATATTTATACCCATTTATTTTTATTTGTATTTTTTTCCTTGTTGGAGACCGTGCCTCACTCTGTCTCCCAGGCTGGAGCACAGTGGCACGATCTTGGCTCACTGCAACCTCTGCCTCCCGGGTTCAAGCAATTCTCCTGCCTCAGCCTCCTGAGTAGCTGAGACTACAAGCATGCTCCACCACACCCAGCTAATTTTTTTTTGTATTTTTAGTAAAGACAGGGTTTCACCATATTGGTCAGGCTGGTCTCAAACTCCTGACCTCAAATGATCTGCCCGCCTCGGCCTCCCAAAATATATACCCATTTTTAATTGCATGCAGATTAAGGTGCGGGTTATGCAGAAATTTCTAGGGAAAGCGTAGTAATCGTTGAGTTATTGGGTCATTGCCATGGAAAGAGGTGGTAACTCCTGGGTGTTGCCATGGCAATGGTAAATTGACATGGCACACTGATGGGCGTGTCTGACTGAAAGCTGCTTTGGTCTGCCCTGTTTTAGCTAGCCCTCAATCTGGTCTGGTGTCCAACCCCCACCTCTGGAGTCAAGTCGCGCCTCCTACTTCAACACCATAGGGTTGATGTACATGGAGATTTGGGATTGGCATGGCTAGGGTGCCAGTCTCAGCCCAGTAACACCTAAGCTGTGTTCTCCTGAGCAAATTACAGAGCATTTCCAAGTCCCAGGTACTCTTCTTGGTATATAAGGGTGCAAAGGGTTAAATTATGACCTCCTCGAAGGTTACATTAAAGTCCTAAATCCTGGTACCTGCACATGAGACTTTATTTGGAAATAGGGTCTTTAAAGATGCCATCAAGAGAAAATGAGGTCATAGTAGATGAAGGTGGGTTCTAAATTCTATATGACTATAATCTCTCTCTATAAGGAGAGAGAGATTTAAAGACACAGAGCGTAGACATTCATGTAATGACAAAGGCAGAGATTGGAGTGATATGTCCACAAGCCAAGGAATTTCAAGGATTGGCAAGGACGGATTCTACCCAGGGCCTCGGAGGAAGCACCTTGATTTTTGAACTTCTAGCCTCCAGAATTGTGGAAGAATGAATGTCTGTTTTCTTAAACCACCAAGTTTATGGTGATTTTTATGGCAGCTCTGGGCAATCTCACACAAGTGTTTATACCTAAATCATGAGGCTGAATTAAGAAGGAAATAAGATACTTCATTAATGGTCTGGCACATTCTGGGGGGATCAAAGCAGTGCTCCTCCCAGGTTGTTGATGCCTACTTCTCTTTGCTTTCTAGAACCTGGCTGCTCACCACGCTGTCTTATCAGCTGTTGCTGAAATTTCCAGGCTGCCAGGAGACCAATTGCTATGTCACTCAGTGCTAGCATGTGTGAAAAAAAAATATCCTGGGCCCCCAAAATGACTCAGGAAAACTCAAGCTGGAAACTGCTCAGGGCAAACCTGCCTCCCATTCTATTCAAAGTCACCCTTCTGCTCACTGAGATAGATGTATATCTGATCGCCTCTTCTGGAAAGGCTAAGCAGAAAGTCAAAAAATGCAACTGTTTGTGTCTCACCGTCTGTGACCTGAAAGCCCCCTCCCACTTCAAGTCTTCCAGCCCTTACTTCAAGTGGTCCCGCCTTTCCAAAGCGAACCAATGTACTTCTTACATATGTTGATTGATGTCTCATGTCTCCCTAAAGTGTACAAAATGAAGCTGTGCCCCAACCACCTTGGGCACATGTTGTCAGGACTTCCGGAGGCTGTGTCACAGGCGCGTCCTCAACCTTGGCAAAATAAACTTTCTAAGTTATCTGAGACCTGTCTCAGACTTTCTGGGTTCACACACGTTTTGCTGAATTATTGCACCACTCTTGATTCAATTTCTATCTGTTGTTGACAAACATAAACCCTTTTGGTTGGTTAGTGGCCACGTTTAGACTTGATCCTCTTAATGCACTGTTTAAATGCCTCGTATGTTGCCTCCTGATGACACAGGGCCTTATATTTAGAGCAAAGCAACTGAGCAGATGGCACAAGTGTCTGTAGGTGCTTGTTTTCTGGCACGGAAAGACACGTTTAGAAAATGGAAATTAGGCTTGATGCAGTGGCTCATGCCTATAATTCCAGCACTTTGGGAGGCTGAGGCAGGAGGATCACTTGGGGACAGGAGTTTGAGATGGGCCTGGGCAACATAGCAAGACCCATTCTCTACAAAAGAATAAAAAGAGCCGGGCGTGGTGGTATGTGTCTGCAGTGCCACCTACTCCAGAGGCTGAACTGGGAGGATTGCTGTGGAGTCTTCAGTGAGTTATGATGGTGCCAGTGCCCTCAGCTGTCAACATGGATGACATAGTAACTATCTACACAGGAAGGTCATGAGCTACTGACTTCTTCAGAGGCAACAAATGGTCATCGATGTCCTTCACCCCAGGAAGGCAACAGCACCTAAGACAGATATTCAGGAAAAACTAGCCGAAATGGACAAGACCACACAGGATGTCCTGGTTTTTTGGTTGTTTTTGAAACGGAGACTTGCTCTGTTGCCCAGGCTGGAGTGCAGTGGCGCAATCTTGGCTCACTACAACATCTGCCTCCCAGGTTCAAGCAATTCTCCCGCCTCAGCCTCCCAAGTAGCTGGGATTACAGGCATGTGTCACCACGCCTGGCTAATTTTTGTATTTTTAGTAGAGACGGGGTTTCATGATGTTGGCCAGGCTGGTCTCAAACTCCTGGCCTCAAGTGATCCCCCCACCCCAACCTCCCAAAGTGCTGGGATTATAGGAGTGAGCCCCCGTGCCCAGCCAGGATGTCCTCTTTGTATTCATATTCAGAATTCATTTTGGTGGTGGCAAGACAACTGGTTTTGGCACGATTTACAAATCTTCAGATTATGCAAAGAAAAATGAACCCAAACATAGACTTGCAAGACACAGCCCATGTGAGAAGAGAAAGACCTCAAGGAAACAGCAAATGGAATGAAAGAACAAAACAAAGAAAGTCAGGAAGACTGCAAAGGCCAGTGTTGGTGCTGGCGATAGGCAAGGTGGAGACTGGGTGACAAACAGAAGAAGTAGCAATTCTGCAGTGACATTATCAGCGGCCATCGTGCGGATTTTTTATAAGAGAATTAGTAAATTATAAGCTTTCGGGAAATAAAACAAATTTCAATCAACATTTATCCACAGGAATCCAAAAAAAAGCAGCAAGTGGAACAACCAGTGGGCCTTTAATAATCTGGAATGGTAGATGAATTTATTGACTATTAAATGCACTCCTTGCCAACTTGAAAGCACCAAAGTTAGTGCTTCCTTTGGTAGCCTGATTGTAATTATCTCTTCTCGTTAGGACCAAAGGCTTCCTCTGGTAGCCTGATTGTAATTATCTCTTCTCGTTAGGACCCCGAGGCTGAGAGACTTCCTCTTCCTTGTCACACAGACAAAATGGGAACACCCCACAGCAAGGCTTCAGCCACGTCCTGCCCTGATTCAGTTCTGAGAGTTGGTAGGTCACAGGCACGATGGTTTCCTGGTGTTCCTTCAGGGCGTTGGCCACCTTTTTAATCACAAAATCATGGAGGGGCTCTGTGGCAGGTGTCAGGGGTGTGGACTCTGAGGGGTCCCTGGAGAGATCGAAGAGCAGAGGGGGGTTGTGGTAGGTAACCTGTTCTCCGAAACATCTGCATAATGAGGTGACATAGCAGCCACCAGAAGCTGGTGGCTGGAATACCGGGGTCACATAGTGAGCCTTCCAAACTGACCCACCTGGAGGAGAAAAGAGAGACTCGTCAAATGATGCGCACTTCAGCCAGATCAAAGGAAGAAGTCCTAGTGTTCTATAGCAGGGGTCCCCAGTCCCCAGGCCACAAACTGGTACCTGTTCGTGGCCTGTTAAGAACCTGGTCACACACAGGAGGTGAGTGGTTGGGGGAGAGAGCGAAGCTTTATCTCTGTATTTACAGCCATTCCCTATCGTTGGCATTATTGCCTGAGCTCTTCCTCCTGTCAGATATCAGTGGCTGCATCAGATTCTCATAAGAGCACGAGACCTATTGTGAACTGTGCATGCGAGGGATCTGGGTTGCAGGCTACGTATGAGAATCTAATGCCTGATGATCTGTCACTGTCTCCCATCACCCCCAGATGGGACCATCTAGTTGCAGGAAAGCAAGCTCAGGGCTCCCACTGATTCTACATGATGATGAGTTGTAGAATTATTTCATTATGTAATACAATATAATAATGATAGAAATAAAGTGCACAATAAATGTCATGCATTTGAATCATCCCAAAACCATCCCCCACCCCAGTCTGCAGAAAAATTATCTTTTACAAAACTGGTCCCTGGTGCCAAAAAAGTTGGGGACTCCTGTTCTAAACACTGTAGAATAACTATAGTTAACAATAATATGTTACATAGTTACAAATAGCTAGAAGGAGGATATTCAATGTTCCCAACACAAAGAAATTATGCATGTTTGAGATGATGGATGTGCCAATTATTCTAATCTGATCACTATGCATTGCCTATCTCAAAATATCACTAGATATCCCCAATTTTCATGTGCAATGTGTGCATATTATTATATGTGTGCCACTTTTTAAAAATTTAAAAAACTTCCAATTTCTGGGTCATAAACTCATTTTCTTCTAACACTTTTAATCTTACATTTTATCTTTAGTCTGCCTAGAATTGATTTTTATAAATGAAAGTTTAGCCATGACCACTTATGCCTACAAAATAACCTGCCCATAGAAGATATTCAATACATATTTTTTTATCTCCAAAAAAAAAAAAAAGAAAGAAAGAAAGCACATCAGAGGCATGCACCCAAGGTGCTGGCTTCTCTTGTCTTCTTCCGTCTTCTCAAGGCTGGTTCTTGGGCTTCTTTTTGCCCACACGTCAATGCTAAATATTATGCAATCCTTACAACAAAACGAGAACATTAGAGTTCCCTGGTGAAATGATATACACATTTTCCAGCAGATATCAGTCCTGTTTCTAAAAATGTATATATATTTTTTGGTTTTGTTTTTGTTTGAGATGGAGTCTCACTCTGTCTTCCAGGCTGGAGTGCAATGGTGTGATCTCAGCTCACTGCAACCTCTGCCTCCTGGGTTCAAGTGATTCTACCGCCTCAGCCTCCCAAGTAGCTGGGACTACAGGTGTGCACCACCATGCCTGGCTAATTTTTGTATTTCTTAGTAGAGACAGGGCTTTGCCATGTTTGCCAGGCTGGTCTCAAATTCCTGACCTCAAGTGATCTGCCCGCCTCGGCCTCCCAAAGTTCTGGGATTACAGGCGTGATCCACCACACCTGACTAAAAATGTATGTTTCGTAAAAGTGTCTCTCTAACTTTATAGGCAAATCTTATGTTCATACATCTGTTTTCTTTATTAAAGTGTAATCGATAAGTAAAAATTGCATAGATTTTCCATGCACAATGTGATGTTTTAATGTATGTGCGACTGCTGAGATAATTAAGTGAAGCCAATTAGCATCTCCATTACCCCCACCTGCCTTTCTGCAGAAGAGCAATTCTGAGAAACTTCTCCAAAACCATGTGTTCAGTGAGCCCTGGAATGAAAGGACCGGTCTAGAGAGGAAAGGAAGAATGCGTTCAGGATACACCTGAGTGACCCTGCTCCTGGCAGGGAACAGGAAGCAACGGGTTGAGCACTCACTGTCGTCCTTGGGGATCCACCGCACGGCGTGCAGGTAGGAGCCACAGTAGTGGAAAAGAAATTCATGCTCCGAGTGCCTGACGTTGCCCTGCAGCAAGGGCATGAGGTCTCGGCCGTCAATGACCCTGCAGAGACACAGACAGTGCAGATAAGGAAAATGAGGAGAAGGGACGTTGGGTCCCAAGCTACCTGAAGGGTACTTGGTGAAGACTGCGTCATGCCTCAGGTCCAGAGGACAGCGTACTGAGTCTTTAGGAAAACTCATGCATGCTCTCTGGGAGATTACACTCCAGTGGACAAGAGAAGAAAGCTAAGTTCTGATCCTGAAATGATGAGGCCGAGGAATGTGACAATGCATGCCCCAAAGGCGAAAAGATCAGACAGCCTTGGCTGCGACACAGAGCTCTCCACAGCTCAGCAATTTATGGCAATTTCATAAATCTGAACTTCATTTGCAATTATATTGCTACCCTTTGAAAAAATTTTATGTAATCACTAAAAAGTCATATACTTCTAATTTTATATGAGAAATGGAGTAAATGAACGCACAAACAGAAAACCAATCACCATGTTCTCACTTACAAATGGGAGCTAAACACTGGGTACACATGAACATGAAGATGGGAACATTAGACACTGGGGGGCTCCGAAAAGCAGGAGGGAGGGAGGAGGGAAGGGTTGAAAAACTACCCGTTGGGCGCTATGTTCACTGCTTGGGTGATGAATTTAATAGAAACCTCAGCATCACACAATATATCCAAATAACAAACCTGCACATGGGACCCTGAATCTAAACTAAAATGAATTTTAAAAATTTATATTAGAAAATATATCTTATGCCTTGTATTAGAAAGCAATAATAATAAAACCTGCTTTGTAATGGGACACATAATAATACATCCCAGATAAGGATTTTTCTCTTTTATTTTTTTTGAGATGGAGTTTCACTCTTGTTTCCCAGGCTGAGGGGCAGTGGTGTGATCTCTGCTCACCGCAACCTCTGCTTCCCGGGTTCAAGGGATTCTCCTGTCTCAGCCTTCCAAGTAGCTGGGATTACAAGCATGTGCCGCCACACCCAGCTAATTTTGTATTTTTAGTAGAGATGGGGTTTCTCCATGTCAGTCAGGCTGGTCTTGAACTCCCAACCTCAGGGGATCCACCCACCTCGGCCTCTCAAAGTGCTGGGATTATAAGCGTGAGCCACCGCGCCCAGCCAGGATTTTTTTTTCTTTCTTGGAGACAGAGTTTTGCTCTTGTTGCCCAGGCTGGAGTGCAACGGCACGATCTCGGCTCAATGCAACCTCCATCTCCCAGGTTCAAGCAATTCTCCTGCCTCAGCCTCCTGAGTAGCTGCGATTACAGGCGTGTGCCACCATGCCTGGCTAATTTTGTATTTTCAGTAGAGACGGGGTTTCACCATGTTGGTCAGGCTGGTCTCAAACTCCTGACCTCAGGTGACCTATCTGCCTTGGCCTCCCAAAGTGCTGGGAATACAGGTGTGAGCCACCGTGCCATGCCTAAAAAGGATCTTAAAAGAAATAAAACTATATTTACTATCAGATACAATGATTTCCTATGTTAATTATCACTGAAAAAACTGCCGGAAATAATGAGTAAGACTAGCAAGATCACACAATACAATAACAACTTTTAAAAATGTCTATATATTTGCAATGAATAGCTGGGAATAGCTTTTTAAAGTATCATGTACTATAACATGAGAAAGCATGAAGTATTTAGGGATAGCATTTTTATGTGAAAAATTTGTATGAGAAAAGCCACAAAGCACCAAATAAGAGAAATAAATGGAGAAATGAACTATATTTATTGATTGGAAAATTCAAAGTTTTTTAAGACATCAATTTTCTGCAAATTGATCTATAGATTTAAAGCAATCTCAATCACAATTTCAGAAAGGTTTATGTTGAAAGGAAGAAACTTATTCCAAAATTTACATGGGAAAATAAAGATCCTAGAATGGTTTAAAATTTTTTGAAGAAGAAAATAGTTTGAAGACTCACTACATAACTCCCAGATTTACTATAAAGCTAGACTAATTGAGACAGTGTAGTGTTGAAATAAGGGTTTCAATGGATCAATGAAATAGGAGAGTCCAGGAATTGACCAACACGTATACTGCTTTTCAACAAATGCTCAAAATAATTCAGTAGAGATAGGACTGTCTTTCAATAAATGACAGTAGACAAATTGGATATCCAAATGCAAGGAAAATAAATCTCAGCCTATACCTCAAGCCACATTAAAAAATTAACTCAATGTGGACCATAAGCCTAAATGTAAACCCAAAACTATAAAACTTCTAAGTGAAAACATAGGAGAAAATCACTGTGATCTTTTGATAAGAAAATTTTTTTTAAGTTTTATCACAAAAATCACAAGTTATAAAAGAAAAAAAGATAAATTAGCCATTATCAAAATGTAAAACTTCTGCTTTTCAAATGGCAATGTCAAGAAAATAAACATGTGACCTCACTCCATTAGTGGGGAAAAAGAAAAAAAGAAAAAAATTAAAATATTAAATATCAATTTTAAAAATTTAGAGCATTAGAACACCATCCTGATTACTCTTTTAAACTTGATTACTCTAGCTTTATAGTAAATTTTGGAATTATGTAGTGAGTCTTCAAATGATTTTCTTCTTCAAAAAATTTTAGGCTATTCTAGATTCTTTATTCTAGAAAATCTTATGAAATACTTTTGATCTGCAGTTGATTGAATTCGCAGATGCAGAACCTCTGAGTTCAGAGGGATGACTATTTGCTTCTACTCCACGGCTTGTCTTTTTCTTTTCTTTTAAACTTTCTTTTAAGTTCATATTTAATATTTTAATTTTTTCTTTCTTTTCTTTTTTTCTCCACTAATGGACTGAGGTCACATGTTTATTTACTTGATATTGACATTTGAAAAGCAGAAATTTTAAATTTTGATAATGACTAATCTATCACTTTTTTCTTTTATAGCTTGCAACTTTTTTGATAAATCTAAAAAAATTATTTTCTTATCTGAATATTACAATGATTTTCTCCTATGTTTTATTTAGAAGTGTTATAATTTTGGGTTTACATTTAGGCTTATGGTCCTTTTAGGGACGGTCTTGTTTGTACTGAATATGTACAGACTTTTTCTCGTCATTATTCCCTAAAGGGTACAATATAACAACTATTTTATGTGGCATTTACATACATTGTATTAGGTATTATGAGTAATCTAGAGATGATTTAATATATACAAAAGGATGTGTGTAGGTAATATGCAAATACTACAGTATTTTACATCAGGGACGGGAGCATCTGGGTATTTTGGTATCCACGTGAGGTCTTGAGACCAACCCCCCATGGATACCAAGGGACAGCTGTATTGGTAAACCACATACCTGATAAGTCATTTTTTCCCAACACTTTGATAAACCATTGCATCCTCAGATTCCCGTGTTTCTACACATTAATGGTGTCCTCTGTTTTATCTTTACTTTTCTTTTTTGTCTATTCTACACTCTTGTTCAGGATCTCTGGTTATAAATCTGTCCATCTCTATTTTTGGTTGTAATTTGCTTTATCTGTTTTGTGTGATGAGGTGGTGAAACAAATTGTGTTAATTCTAAAAATAAATAACTATTTGGCTTTTACAGTATTAGCAGCCTTCATTTCTGTACAGGTGAGAGCCGCTTTTGAGTTCTTCTTGTTGATTTCATTGTGTTGGGGATTGAAGCAGACAGGAGAGAGGTATCCACAGGCCCTCATGATGCTGGTGTCATAGACAGTGAGCCTGATACTGTGAATTTGCTGTTTGTTCCCTTCTACGTAGTACAGCTATTCTCTATTAGCAAGGACATATTTAACTGGTCAATGCACATGCCAAAGAAGTCATGAATTCAAATAAAGAGGCTTGGGAGAACCAAGCATAGGAATAACCAAAAAATCAACCTGATGAGTAGTACCCGGCACGCCGACCTGTACGTGAAGCTGAGGTTAGGTCTCCCACCACAGTGCCTTAGTCATCTTCGCGATATTCTTCCACTTCCCGTTGAACTACAAAGATGGTGCGTCCTCTGAAGACTTAGCCTATGGCTAGTGGAGTCATGGTTGCAGGCAGGAAAGGACAGCTGTACTATACATCTTATCAAGGACACCAAACTCATAACCCTAAACCCCTGACCAAATGAGCATGTAATCTCATGGCGCCGAATGCACTGGAGTGATGAGTGACTCCAATCAACTCGTTCTTCTTTTTAACGTGAGGACAACGGCTGGAACTTGGCAGCAGTTGCCTTCCACCCTCATGCAACGTAACAATATTGTGCCTGGACATTTGCCGTCTCCCTAACAGGCTGTTGGGCTATGTGGAACGACAGACTTCTTAAAACAACTATTTCTAAATGGTAGAACAGGAAAGCTGGGCTTCTCCATAGTTTTTTGATAGGTTCTTTTTGCAATAACTTCACAGTGGTTTTTTAAATATTTTTTCTGGGCTGGTCATGATGGCTCACACCTGTAAATCCCAACACTTTGGGAGGTTGAGGAGGGAGGATCACTTGAGGTCAGGAGTTCAAGACCAGCCTGGCCAACATGGCGAAAACCCATCTCTACAAGACATACAAAAATTACCCAGGCGTGGTGGCCGGTGCCTGTAGTCCCAGCTACTGGAGAGGCTGAGGCAGGAGAATTACTTGAACCCGGGAGGCAGAGGTTGCAGTGAGCTGAGATCGTGCCACTGCACTCCAGCCTGGGCAACAGAACGAAACTCTGTCTCAAAAATAAAATAAATAAAAATAAAGAATAAAATATTTTTTCTTTCCTGTGTTAGCATCATCAATGACTAACTTCTTTCCAGGCAGAAAATAAAAATGTCTTCATCTAAAGTTCAGTCCCGAAAATTATAAAATAAATTCCAGCCTTAGTGTGTTGATAGAGATATCTGCTAGCATCAAACATAAATTTTTAAATATTAGAAAGGCAAACTTGGGGATGTGTCTTGATTAGTTCTTGATAGTTTGTTTTTCAGTAAGTTAACCATGACTTCTAAAATATTTTTCTTTTCTGTATTAGTGCCAACAGAACCTATTTCTTCAGAAATAGATTAGCTTTGTTACGTGAAGAAAGAAATATTACAAGAACTCTGTGGGCTTGGAGGAGAGACATAGCTGCGGTTCTAACCCATCTGGATTCCCTTGCAGAGCTGTGATCAATGAACTGTCAATCAGCAGCAAACCTACCTAGGCTGGTTGCTGCCAGGGAATGGAGCAATGTAGTATGAACGATCTCCTCTTGAAGAAATTCAAAGTATTCATGATAGAGTTCAAAGCATCCTCAAATATCTTACCTTCTTCTCAGTCTTCCAGATCTTTCACACCAGAGACTAGGATTATTTTTCCCTTTCTTATAGAGATGAGTGAGTTTTACCTACCATGTCTTCATCTCCAAAGCTTCCTGTCTCCATCTTTCTCTCAATTGAAAATGTTAAAGTATCTAAGATGGTCCGCATTAGATTAGTATCTAAGACTGGTCTCTGATACTTGTTCAGGACCTCTGGTTATAAATCTGTCCATCTCTATTTTCGGTTGTAATTTGCTTTATCTGTTTTGCGTGGTGAGGTGTTCCTCAGAAAACCAAAAATAGAGCTACCATGTGATCCAGAAATCCAACTACTTGGTATACACCCAAAAGAAAAGAAATCAACAGATCAAAGGAATAGCTGCATTTCCATGTTTATCGCAGCACTCTTCACAATAGCCAAGCTATAGAATCAACCTAACCACCTATCGGCAGACAAATTAACTTTTTAAAAAGTGTTATATATGCACAAGGGAATACTATTCATCCCTAAAAAAGAAGGAATTCCTGTCATTTGCAGCAACATGAATGGAACTGGTGGCCATTATGTTAAGTGAAATAAGCCAAGCCCAGAGAAAGGCAAACATCACATCTTCTCACTCAGTGTGGGAGCTAAAAATAAATAATAGTGAATCTTAGGAAGATAGAAAGTAGAATAGTGATGACCAGAGGGGAGAGATGAGAGGAAAATGAAGGGGAAAAAAAGAAAATAAGTATGTTTATTACCACTGAACTGTATACTGAAAAATGGTAAAGATGGTAAATTATATATGTATATTTTACCTCAATAGAAAAAAAGAAAAGACTGGTCTCTTCTGAAAAATGCTGAATAGACACAGTCATATAGGAAGGTAAAACTGTGTAGATACTAGGGAAAAAGTGGGTCTGCCAGGATAGAGTCAGTCTCCTTGTTCTGAATCTTCTGAGAAGGAAGAAGGGTGAAAATAAGCTCTTGTTAACAGTTTATATGACATCACCTGTCCTGAGGGAGACTTCCTCCTGACACTGATGCGACAGTTGGTAAAATATCCATTAAACTTGTAGGTTCCTTAATCAACCGTCCAGCTGGTACCTTTCCAGGCCATCGGACAATTCCTGGGACGCGGATTCCACCTTCCCAGCCCCCCATGCCTTTTCCACCTATAAGACAATGCAATTAAGTTCAATTATTGTGCCTAGTTAAAATAGTCACTGTATTGAATGTATTTAAAAGGTAAGCTAGTATCAAAAGAGATCACATTTGTATAGTGTCTACTCTATGTAGAGTCCTAGTGGGGTAAGTAGTGCACGTCTACAGAATTATATTTTCCTGTGCTGCTGGTAGGTTTTTGATTAAATAACTAAGCATATGTAATATTGGACATTTACATTCTATTTGCATGGCTATTTTCTCTACTTAAAGTGTTCTTATCTCAAATATACACCTACTTCATTTCCAACCTCCCTCATACCTTTGCTCAAAGTAACTTCCTATATTTTTTTTAATTAATATTTTTCTTGTATCCAGCCCCCAATTTTATGGAACTCACAGTAACCTCAATGAGGCGTGCCTGAACATTTTATTTGAAATGGCAGTCCCACCCCAGAATTCTTTACTCTCGTGTTTTTTCTTATTTACAGCCACCTTCTAATATGCCATATTATTTATTTATTTTATTTTATTTTCTGCTGTGCCTCCCTCCAGTAGGATATAAACTCCATGAAGACGAGGATTTCTGCCTATTTTGCTCACTGTTGATTCATGCACCTTGAAAACAAATGGAATACTATGGACATATGGTAACTTATTGTCCACATCAAGGTATTATTGAGAATAAAAGCAGAAAGTTGTCTTAATTATACCAAGATGACAGGCATACACCAGGATTTCCAGGGGGAAATTAGGAGAAGTGGCCACTGTCCTGTGTTAATTGACTCTTATTTTATTAAGTTAATCAGAGTAAAATCTACATTATGTCATGGCATGCTGAAAAGTTAATTTTTTTTTTTTTGAGATGGAGTCTCGCTCTGTTGCCAGGCTGGAGTGCAGTGGTGCTATCGCGGCTCACTGCAACCTCCGCCTCCTGGGTTCACGCCATTCTCCTGCCTCAGCCTCCTGAGTAGCTGGGACTACAGGTGTCCGCCACTATGCCCAGCTAATTTTTGTATTTTTAGTAGAGATGGAGTTTCACCATGTTGGCCAGATGGTCTCGATCTCTTGACCTTGTGATCCGCCTGCCTCAGCCTCCCAAAGTGCTGGGATTACAGGCATGAGCCAAAAATTTTTAAAAACAGTTCCCATAAGCAAACATACAATGTCTAACATGCGCACGCATGCTTATAGCAGTGCAATTCTCAATTGCAAAGATATGGAACAAGCCTAAGTACCCATCAACCAACAGGTGGATAAAGAAAACGTGGTGTACATACACCATGGAATTCTACTCAGCCATAAAAATAAGTGAAATAATATCTTTTGCAGTAACTTGGATGGAGCTGGAGGCCATTATTCTAAGTGAAGTAACTCAGGAATGGAAAACCAAACAGCCTGTTTTCACTTATAAGTGGGAGTTAAGCTACAAGAATGCAAAGGCATAAGAATCATATAATGGGCTCTGGTGACTTTGGGGAATGATTGGGAGTAGGCTGAGGAAAAAAATACTACATATTGGGAACAGAGTACATGCTCAGATGACGGTGCACTAAAATCTCAGAAATCACCACTAAAGAACTTATCTGTGTAACCAAAAACCACCTGTAACCCCAAAACTACTGAATTTTTTTTTTAAAATAGAATGTCTATAATAACAATTTCCACTAAGGATTTGTTTTGGGTCCTAAGTGCACACTTTAGTGCTACACGCTCTAAAGAGTACACATTCATACCCTCTGCAAGATGGAGGCAGAGCCTTTACCTCATTCATACAGAAATTATAATTTCCTACCGAATCCAAGACTGTGGAATCTGTAGTTGCATGAATAACAACGTATTTTCCTCTAGAAAATACTTTAAAATCTCTCTCAAGACATATGATAAAATATACTCGACATTTTCCAGATAATTATCTTTTTTCTTTTTCTTTTTTTAATCCTCATTTCACAAATGAAGATAATATTCTAACATCAGGTTACACATTATAGACTGGCCAATGTAGTAGCTTATGGACCTATTTTGTGGACTAAATGTTACAGCAGGACATAAAATCAGTATATGTGAATTTAATCATGAAACCCAAGACAGGCTTGTCTACTTTCTATGCTGTACTATATCCTTGGAAGAGAGTGTCGAAGACTTCTTAATGATGAAGGATCCCTGGTTTCTGATCTCTGTTCTCTAGGAATCACACTCCCCCTCATTTAATCTCTCAATAATCTCATAAATGGAATGAATGAGTAGATATTTCTTTAAAGACCCCATAAAAGCATCTGCTTGTGCTAACTCCTCATAATTTGATAGGGTTGTCAGAAAGGCATATTTCTAGATGCTCCCTCTACATAAATGGCTTCCTTCCACAGAAATGTTAACAAATGTAAGACCAATTTTCTTGACCTTGGTCCAATACTTCATTTTACTAAGAGTCAAATTAAACAAACTTGTTCAGTTTTTCAGGCCTCATTCCTTTGTGTCATGGGCTTTAATTATAAGAACCACAAAAAAGCTTATTCACCACCAGATCACTTGCATGAGTTCCTCTCCTCACCTTTGTATATTCCATTCCATCCACCAAGTTGGGCATGCCCTCGCCTAGCTTCCAAATGCCCTCCGTGATCTGATGTAAAGTAGACAAGGGTGTTGTTCCTTAGGCCAAAATCATCGATAGCATCAAGAATCTTGCCTAAAATAATATACAAGAGACAAGTAAAAATAATGACATTATGAGGTATTTCACCCCTAAGTCAAATGGGCATGAGCTATCTAAAGGAAAACAAGGATGGTGTGACCCTATGTCAAAAGCCACAAAAGAAAAGAAATGTGCATTAACAGTTTAAATTGACAAACCATTGAAAGAGAAAAAAACTGAGAGTCAGGCCGGGCGCGGTGGCTCATGCCTGTAATCCCAGCACTTTGGGAGGCTGAAGTGGGTGGATCACAAGGTCAGGAGTTCAAGATCAGCCTGGCCAAGATCATGAAACCCTGTCTCTACTAAAAACACAAAAATTAGCCAGGCATGGTGGCACAGGCCTGTAATCCCAGCTACTCAGGTGGCTGAGGCAGAGAATTGCTTACACCCGGGAGGCAGAGGTTGCAGAGAGCTCAGATCGTGCCACTGCACTCCAACCTGGGTGACAGAGTGAGACTCATCTCAAAAAAACAAAAAACAAAAAAACAAAAAACTGAGAGTCCAAAATTTTTAAGAAATAAAAGATGACCTGCTTTAAGAAAAAAATATTATGGCAATACAAATGAACATCAGTTGCTACTGGTATCATTTAAAAGGACAAATTCTCCTTGATAATTTCCTTCATGCAGAATGAAAACATTAAACAGAGAAATACAGTTTTTCCCACTGGATATGAAACGAAGGACTGTAGTGGTATTCTGACTGATGTTGCACAGAATGGCAGTCACGGTTTATGCAACCTCTCTGCTCACAGAAGGCAGACATTGTTACAGAATTTGAGGAGACAGAGGCAAGAATAAGACACTCCCACTGTTGGGTTCACATAATTTATTTGATATATTCTTGCAGATGATTTAGATAAGTAATTCTTTAACCATTTTCCCTTCCCTTCTTATTTGATATTTTAAATAGAGAATAGGATGACTAGGTTGGGAGAATTAGACTCAATGGGCAAGTTAAAAGAGGAAGAATGTATTCAAAATAAACCACATTTCCAATCATTTTTATAGGAAAATAGCTAAATTCCTAGAGTTCCCAAACCCAGTCTGTATTATGCATAATTATGAAAAAGCTTATTAGTCTCAAACGTGTCTAATTCTATGTGTTCTACTGTTGGTTATCTCAGATAACATTACATTAACATTCCTAAAGTACTATACCTTAGAAATTTTCTTCTAGAGCCAAGGCACACAAGTAAGGGCAAGTTAAGAAAGAATTTATATTTTAAAATACTTTTAAAAATTTACCACAATACTTTTAGCAAAAATCGCACTGAAAATTCATCCAAGAGAAAATGATCAATGGATGCTAAACCTGGCATTAAATGTTTGATAAGAACCAAAATATTGGCTTCATCTCAAAGTATCTCCCATAAAATAGTTAAAAATCTCAAATTATTAAGTAATGACAAAATAAGTAACTTTACAGTGGAGAAAACTGGAAGACACCATTTAATCAAGAGATGAAGAATTTTATAACCATTGTTGGGGCTAATTCACTTACTTGTCTACTGGATTGAGAACACACCATCACTTCCACTTCCATTGAAGGAAATGTCAAACCAACCCAATTCAAGGGACATTCTAGATGATACCCGGTCTTTATTCTCAGAAAATGTCAAGGTCTTTGAATTCAAGAAAGAATAAAGATTGCTCAGTCTTTGTCCAGATCAGAGGAGTTTAAACAGATACAACAAGAAAATCCATGGACCAGAACAGAAAGAGGGTAGAGGAAGTAGGGGTTTTGTTGGTTGGTTTTTGTTTGTCCATTGGTTTTGCTTGCTGTGTATAAATTTTCTTTTGAGGACAGCTGGAGAAGTTTGGCTGGGATTTGTGAATTAAATCCTAAGAATCCACCCATGTTAATTTCCCGATTTTGATGATTCGCAGTGATGATGTAGGAGAATGTCTTTGTTTTAGAAAATACACACTAAAGTTTCTAAATTTAATGAACATCATATCTGCATCTTATTCCCAAATATTCAGAAGCATAAGAAACATGTGGAGGTGGAAGAGAGAAAGAGAGAGAGAGGAAGAAAGAGGATGATCAGGAGAAAGGAAGAGGGGCGAGAGAAGATATATTTGATAAATTGCTAACAATTGGGAAAGATGGGTGAAGGGGACACGGGAGTTGTTTTTACTCTTCTTGCTACTTTTCAGTAAATAGTGAAAAGTAGCAAGAAAAAACAACAAAGCTAATATTTTTCTGATTATAAAAATACAAAATAGCTTGGGAAATACAAAAAAATAAAGAAAATTATAAGGAGGAAAATAAAGACCACCAATTTCCTGCCCCATTGCCATTTGACTATTTAAAAAAAATTGTTACATACTGTATTAGTCTGTTTTCACGATGCTAATAAAGACATACCTGAGACGGGGTAACTTATAAAGAAAAAGAGGTTTAATGGAATCACAGTTCTACGTGGCTGGAGAGGACACACAATCACGATGGGAGGTGAAAGGCACATCTTACACGGTGGCAGACATGAGAGAATGAGAGCCAAGCAAAAGGAGTTTCCCCTTATAAAACCATCAGATCTCATGAGACTTATTCACTACCATGAGAACACTATGGGGGAAACTGCCTCCATGATTCAATTATCTCCCACCAGGTCCCCCCCACAACATGTGGGAATTATGGGAGCTACAATTCAAGATGAGATTTGGGTGGGGACACAGCCAAACCATATCACATACTCTTGTAGATGCATCTCTCTCTCTCTATTTGGGTTGATATTGTATGAACGGTTTTCAACTTGCTTTCTTCATCCAATATTATTTCTCGGAAAATCTTCGTGTTAAAAAATTATTCAAGACTGGGCATCATGGCTCACACCTGTAATCCCAGCAATTTGGGAGGGCAAGGAAGGCGGATCCCTTGAGCTCAGGTATTTGAGACCACCCTTGTCAACACAGTGAGACCCTGTCTCAATTAAAAAAATAAATTTAAAAAATTATATGTACAATTTAATGGCTGGAAAAGTGTCCATTGTGTGTGTGTGTGTGTGTGTGTGTGTGTGTGTGTGTGTGTTGTGTGTGTATGTGTATATATATATATTTTATTTTGAGATGGAGTTTTGCATTTGTTACCCAGGCTGGAGTGCAATGGCACGATCTCAGCTCACTGCAACCTCCGCTTCGCAGGTTCAAGCATTTCTCCTGCCTCAGCTGCAGGCATGCGCCACCACACCCAGCTAATTTTGTATTTTTAGTAGAGACAGGATTTCTCCATGTTGGTCAGGCTGGTCTCGAACTCCCGACCTCAGGTGATCTGCCTGCCTCGGCATCCCAAAGTGCTGGGATTACAGGCGTGAGCCACCACACCTGGCCTAAACAATTTATGATACTTTATTTTTAAGTAGTATAAATTATTTAACCATTTTACTGTTGTTCACTATTCTGGTTAATTTTCATACTTTGCCATAATTTAAAATGCCATAATGAACAACTTTTGGCATTAATAATAGTTCATTTTCTCAATTCCTCATCAGTATCTAATGTTTGATAGGTGATTATGGTACATTATGAATGATCATGAGTTTCCTCCTGTGTCCACTCTAATATTTGTACTTTTAATCTGTAAAAGATGTTTAAAATTTTGCTGATATTTTTGGAAGGAATTATGTGTTTCCATTATTGATTTATAAGAACTCTTTATTTGTCAAGCAGTTAAAACAATGTCATGTTGTTGCTAATATTTCCTCAGTTTGCATAGGGCCTTTAGTCATGCTACTTATCAGATAACCTTTTGCTATTACTAACACTATACCTCATCCAGATGTAAATTTACTGTTTAACTATAGCTTCTTCCAATTTTTGTTTTGTTTCACTCAATGTCCTTAATGTGTATGGAAAAGCATGCTAATTGAATTGGTAATGGTTTTTCCTAAACTAACTCTGTGAATTTCCTTGGGCTGCTGAAACAAATTAGTACAAATGAGGTGGCTTAAAACAACAAACATTTATTCTTTCACAGTTCTGGGGGCCAGATGTTCAAAATCAATGTGTTGGCAGAGTCACTCTCTCTCTCTGAAGTTTCTAGGGGAGGACCTTTCCTTACCTCTTCCTCACTTCAGACAGTTGGCATCAGTCCTTAGCCTTCCTTGGCATGTAGCAGCCTCATCCTAATTCACCATATCGGATTAGGACCCACCCCCAATGACCTCATCTTAACTTGATTCCACCTGCAACGACCCTATTTCCAAATAAGATCCCATTCTCACATACCTTGGATTATGACTTGAACATACCTTTTTGGGGGGATGTAAGTCAACTCATAACACAAACTTTCCCCAACACCTTTCACCCCTGCCACCTTGATTTAAAAACTTTATTGTACCGAATGTAATGTCCTTCTCTTTCCCAGACCTGCTCTAAGGCTATTATTTTCTGCTTCATTGATCTAAAAGTCAAATCTTGTATTTCTGCGTTTTAATTTTTGTAGTTATCTTTTTGATAGCATTTCTTATGATCACAGAAGTGTTTCTTGATGTTTTCTACCAAAGACTTTCTCATCAGATGTTTCTGGAAAGTTTATTTCCTATCAGTTTATTCAGTGTGTATTTCATCATCACCTCTATAATGACCACTCCCCAGAGAACAGTAATTAATGCTCTAATCAGAGCTACCTTAGCCTTCAATATTAACTTTGAAATAACTAATACATGTATACAATCCACTCTTCCTTTCCATGTATTCAAGTTTTCTTTCATGAGTCAGCTTCGAGATACTCATTTACTGCTTGAAAAATTATTTCTAAATATTTTAGTTATTGACATTGGAGCTATAATGAATAGTAGCTGGTGATCCATTGTATCTTGAAATGCATTATTTTTAACAAAAAGAAAAGGTCTTAATTTTGGTGCATATACCCAACAGAGAAACACTGTAGACTTCATATATATGTATAACTAATATATTTTTATATATAGCTAATATATTTATGTATAGCTAATATATAAATGTAACTAATTATACTATTGGACTAATACTATACTAACATATACTATACAAAAACAAATGTATTTATTATATTATATATCAATCTTTAGAACACATATACTACATAACATGTAGTATATATGTATTTATGTATATAATAAAAATGTTTTATAAGTTATATTGTTAGATATATATAAAATATAGATAATATCAACAGCATGATATATAACATGTATATAGTTAACTACATATACATATATATAGTTAGGTAATACTAGAAAGCATGCAAGAATTTTCCTGGCTACTATCTAATTAATGCACATCTTATAAGTCTCTCAAAATATTAAGAATTAAAATATTCAAAGCGTCAGTCAACATTATGCTTAAAAGTAAAAATTGAAACTATTTCATTAATACCAGAAAAATAAGAATATTTTTGTCATTATGTAACTTATTTTTGTACATAACCTGACTAATGCAATTAACATTAAAGTTAAATACATACTTTAACACATAAAATACAAACTTAACATTAAATGTAGTGAACATACCTATGTTGGAAACCCCAGAAAGTTTAATAAAACCTCTATGGTACTGATGTATACATGTACATAATATATAATATGCATAGCATAATTGTGATATATATAAGATAGAACCATATAATATATTAAAATCTAATAATTGTATATTAATGATATGTTTATATTATATATGAACATAATAATATAATGATGTATATAAGTAATATAACTATAATATAAATTATATGTAATATAATTTTATTATAATATCATATGTCATCTATGTGCTGATATGTGTTTTATTAAACTCTAGGGTTTTTAACATAGGCAATTCTGTTCTTTACAAATAATATTAAATTACTTTGAGTTGTTTGTATTCTTAATATTATTCAATTATATTCAATTATTCTATTTATATCTTAAAATTTAGAGAGATTACATAGTGGCCATGGAAATGATTATTTCTGAGACAGGATTTTGCTCTGTCACCCAGGCTAGAGTGCAGTGGTGCAATCGTGGCTCACTGCAGCCTCAAACTCCTGGGCTTAAATGATCCTGCCACATCAGCCTCCAAAGTAGCAGGGATTACAACCATGGAAATGATTCGTACCTTTCTAACATCAACTGAAATAAATAAATAAATATAGAAATTATATGCTACAGAAATACATAATATATATTCATATATATGATAACTTTCAAATTATTAATACTAATATGTATAACAAATAATATAAATATATATATTATAAAGGGTTAAGTTATATTTTATATATGTGTCTCAAATATTTCATATAAATTATATATATATATGACATAGAAATACATGTTTACAGCCTCCTTTGCAGTTCTGCCCTGTCCAGGGTTGCTGCCCAAGCTGTGTTGCTGTCCACAGACAGGCCTGCCCTGGGATTCCACCACTCACAACTGTCTGTACAACAGGCTCAGCCAAGACCCTCATCCTTGTCTCATCTCCTGCTGATAAGGCCATTTCTCCTACTCATTTTTGCACATTTTACTTTCTTATCTGCATTCTTGAGAAACCTGCTCTTCAGATCCAAGCTGATGGACTCTTGCCCATGCAGAAATGCATGACTCATTCGGCATCAGAGATTTTCCCCTGGGTGGGGCAAGGGTGGTATCTCCAATGAAAGCCTCTCGCTGGGCTCGAAGGAAGCAGGAAGCCAGGTTGGGGGAAGTTTTTGGAGTTTTTCTGACTCCTGTGAAATGACGGTCTGTAGGAGTCTAATGGGGCTACTGGAGACTTCAGAGAAGAATGTAGCTCTCCTTCCTCATCATTCAACATGACTTCTTTGCCCTGCATAAGAGGTAGCTGAGCTAGGGAGTAAGAGCTTTGGAGCCCAACCCTGGCTTATCTCCAGGAGCAGCCACCAAAGGCCACATACTTTTGCCTCCTTCTCTGTGAATGGAGATAAACATGATGATGAAGATGATACTCGTCTCCGGGGATGTTGTGGGGATTCATCCAGAATACACTGGTAACAGTGCATGGCCCATAGGAAGTATCACTTTTAAAAGTGTTTATTATACCAGCTGGAAAGGCTACTATTAGGTTGGTGCAAAAGTAATTGAGGTCTTTGTCATTACTTTCAATGTATCCATCTATAATCTATCAATCTATCATTACTTTCAATGACAAAGACCTCAGTTACTTTTGCACGAACCCAATAAGTCAAAAAAATAAAAGAGGAACAGATGCTGGTGAGGCTGCAGAGAAGATGCAACACTTATATACTATTGTTTGGAATATAAATTGGCTCAGCCACTGTGGAAAGCACTTTGGAGATTTCTCAGATAACTTAAAACAGAACTACCCTCTGACCCAGCAATGCCATTACTGGGTGTCTACCCAAAGGGAAATAAATCATTCTACCAAATAGACACAGGCACTTGCATGATTATCATACTATTCACAATAGCAAAGACATAGAACCAATCTACATGGATAAAGAAAATGTGGTACAGATGCACCATGGAATACTACACAGCCATAAAAAAGAACAAAATCACATCCTTTGCAGTAACATGGATACAGCTGGAGGCTATTGTCCTAAGCAAATTAACACAGAAAAAGAAAACCAACTACCACATGTTCTCATAAGTGGGAGTTAAACATTGGGTACTCATGGACATAAAGATGGGAACAATAGACACTGGGGACTCCAAAAGGGGAGAAGGAAGGTGGGGGACAAGGGCTGAAAATCTATCTATTGGTTGCCATGCTCGCTCCCTGGGTGACAGGAGCTATTGTACTTCAAATCTTGGCATCATGCAATATACCCAGGTAACAAACCTGCATGCGTACTCCCTGAATCTAAAATAAAAGGTGGAAATTATTAAAAAATGAAAATAAATGTTTATTCTATCAGTAGACTCCATTATTTCAGGGCACTGCTGTGGGAAACCCATGATAATTTTTTTTTCTTTTGAGACGGAGTCTCGCTCCGTTGCCCAGGCTGGAGTGCAGTGGCGCGATCTCGGCCACTGCAAGCTCTGCCTCCCAGGTTCACGCCATTCTCCTGCCTCAGCCTCCCGAGTAGCTGGGACTACAGACGCCCGCCACCACGGATGTGTTTGTATATTTAGTAGAGACGGGGTTTCACAGTGTTAACCAGGATGGTTTTGATTGCCTGAACTCGTTATCCACCCGCCTTGGCCTCCCAAAGTGCTGGGATTACAGGCGTGAGCCACCGCGCCCGGCCACCTATGATAATTATAAAAGGCAGGAAGGTGATATCTCTACCAGGAATGGCCACAAATCAACTTTTCTAATAAGAAAAGCAACAATTCTTAGGACTTGGGGTATTGTTACAGCTTCTGGGATAAATAATTTCAGGGTAAATATATGTTTGCTTGAGAATTGCTAAAATTATATATTAAAGCAGATGTTTATTCTTCCTAAAGGCTTGATTCTGGCTGTGTGGACAAAACATTCAAAACCTCTGGGCACCAGTATCATGTACATCTCAGTTGCGCTTTTTCAAAATATAATTTTCAGATATCACAGCTTGTCCAACCAGATTCAACACACCCATCCGTTTGCGTAATATTATCTGAATGTCACCAGAAAAATCCCATCGAAATTAAAGTCATACCCAAAGTGCCTTGTTTGAACACTATGACACATCATCAGGTTTATTAAATTAGATACTTTGGGAGCTTTGTTAATTTAAATTTTTAAAGCAAATAGTAATGTCTTTTACTTATCACAGCCTGAGTTTGAATGACCTATTTCATTGATTTTCAAAGATCAAATCAAAAATAGGATCGCCACGATTTTTGAGATTGAGTGCAATATTAAGAATCTAAACTTTAAGGACTAGTGCTGGTGGAGGCAGAAAGTAAGAGGGGTATGCATAGCTATCTATCTATCTATGTATCTATGTATGTATGTATGTATGTATGTATGTATGTATCTATCTATCATCTATCTACCTACCTATCATCTACGTATCTGTCAATCTATCCTATCATCTATCTATCTTATCTATCAATCACCTATCTTATCTGTCATCTATCATCTGTCATATGTATCATGTACTTATCTATATATCTATCCATCTATCATCTATATATCTGTTTATTCATCTTTCTATTCATGTATCCATCTATAATCTATCAATCTATCATCTGTCTCTCTGTCATCTATCATCTGTTTATCTATGTATCTATCTCTCAATCATCTATCTTTCTATCGATCATCTATCGTCTATTTATCATCTATCTATCATCCATCATCTATCTATCTACCTATCATCTATCAACTATCAGTCCATCATCTATCTATCCATCTATCATCTATTTACCTATCATCTATCTATCCATCATCTATCTCTGTCAATCATCTGTTTCTATACATATGTACACAAACACTACAGACACAGACACACACACTTATACCTACATAAACATCTATTCATGTTCATGTATTTGGTTTGAATATTATTTATATTTTTAAATACTTCATATTTTTTATGTGTTTAAGACTATGCAAATTGGCTTTGCTTTTTCCAGGCTTAATTTTCCAAAGCGTCTTTCTATTTAGTGACATATATTTCACAATATCTGTGTCTGGAAAATATTATACTTTAAATTTGTGTCCTGCATATATGTGAGTTTCACTCATGGTTTTCTTTCATTAATGTTGGAAAATTAAAGCCATTTTGCTAATCAATACATTTACCATGTAAGTCCTAGGACGTCCCATTTACATTGTTCTCTCTACAGGATGAGTTCATGAGGGTACTGGATTCTGACTTACCAGTTAATTCCCAATCCCCAACTAAGATATTGGTGCTCAACAGACCTGAAATAAAGTTTGGCTATGTCACTAAAGAGTCTGAAAATATGATTTCTCTTTCTATCAAAAAGATATGTGGGCTGGGTGCAGTGACTCATGCCTGTCATCCCAGCACTTTGAGAGGCTGAGGCAGGCATATTACCTGAGCTTGGGAGTTCAAGAGCAGCCTGGGTAACATGGAAAAACCTTGCCTCTACAAAAAATACAAAAATTAGCCGGGCGCAGTAGCATGTGCCTATAGATAGCCCCAGCTACTCAGGAGGCTGAGGCAGGAGAATCGCATTAGCTCAGGAGGCAGAGATTTCAGTGAGCTGAGATCATGTCATTGCACTTCTGCCTGAGTGACAGAGTGAGATCTTGTCTCAAAAAAAAAAAAAGACATGTGCACTCATATGTTCATCACAGCACTATTCACAAGAGCAAAGACATAAATCAACCTAGGCACCCATCAATGGTGGATTGGATAAAGAAAATGTGGTACGTATACACCATGGAATATTACACAGCCATAAAAAAGAACAAGATCATGTCCTTTGCAGCAACATAGATGCCGGTGGTGGACATTATCCTATGCAAATTAATGCAGACATAGAAAACCAAATACTGCATGTTCTCACTTATAAGTGGGAGCTACTGTCACCCAGACTGGAGTGCATGGAGTGCAGTGGTGCAATCATGGCTCACTACAGCCTCAATTTATGGGCTCAAGCAATCCTCCCGCTTCAGTCTCCTAAGTAGCTGGGACTACAGGCACATGCCACCACACTCAGCTAATTTTTGTATTTTTGTAGAGACAGGGTCTCACTATGTTGTCCAGGCTGGTCTCAAACTCCTAGGCTCAAGTGATCCTCCTGCCTCAGCCTCCCAAAGTGCCAGGATTACAGATGGAAGCCACTGTGCTCAGCTGGACTTTTGTTAAATAGATTTTAGCTGATCTTGTCACAAAAAAGTAACAGTGTGAGATGATAGATACATTTGCTTACTATATTACTATTACTTAATATTACTATATTATGTTACTTAATGATTACTATTTGCTTCACTATAGTAATCATTTTACTATCTATACGTATCTTTTAACGTCACGTTGTGAATCTTAAAATACACAATAAAATTTATTTTTAAAAATGAAACAAAATAAGTGGGAGCATAACATCAAGTATATGTGGACACACAGATCAGTACAATAGATACTGGGGACTACTAGAGGGGTGAAGGAAGGAGTGGGGGAAGGGTTGAAAACTAACTATTGCGTGCTATGCTTAGTGTCCGGGTGAAGGGTTTGATCATATCCTAAACCTCAGCATCACGTAATACACCCAGGTAAAAAACCTGCACATGTACTCCCTGAATCTAAAACAAGAGTTGAAATTTTTGAAAAGAAGATTTGATTTGTTATCTGGCCAGCACTGGAGACGCAGTCAAGTAGACAAAGACCCAAGTTGATAAGTGGACAGCATGCAAAGAAAGGAGAGGAAATGCATATAGTTTTTTTGCTGACTTTCTCAATTGCTAGCAACTATTACCTCATTAATGTCTCAGACCACTCTGTCCCATAGGCATAATTCTCTTCACTCTACAGGTTGACCAAGAGCAGTTTTCAGGTGTCCTGTCCTATCAGAACACGTTAGTTTCTGTCCACTTAAGTCCTGTGACTTACCCACCATGGAGTCCATCTCTTCCACATTATCCCCATACAAGCCATGCTTGCTGGTGCCAGTGAAATCGTCCGTGGTGGGGAGAGGTGTGTGCACGTGAAGAAAGGAGAAAAAGAGAAGGAAAGTTTCCTTACTGTGCCTGAGAAGACATCAATGAAACTACTTGTGAGTTTTCAATATCTATGAATGTGAAAACTATTGTTTTGGCTTCTCATAGACATGACCTGCTTCCTTCTTCTCCAAGCTGCAGAAGATAGAGTGGGTCCACCCAAGGGCCCCATCCTGCATAGAATGGACTCCATGATCCTGCAGCACCTCAACTGCTCCCTAACCCCTTTGGTAATGCTACTGAAACCATCTCTATAAACTTCATAAAATCAATCAGAGAGGAAGGGAGCGGGAGAAACAAAATGAACTAAGCTTGCAGCATACTCAGCTTTGATCCTGAGGTCAGCTTGCCCTCTCATCTATGTATTCCTACTTGTTTGGTACCTATTTGTTCTAGAATCGCACAGATCCTGTTACAGGATGATAACATAACATCATGAAATGTTAAGTTTTCCATTTGCAATAATCTTTCAGGTTGTGCATACCAGGGAAACTGCTGATGTCTGCTTCTCTGAAGGACCCTATGAGAAGCTGACTTACCAAAGCATACCATTTCCATATTCTGATGATTCCATTCCCTCTTACCCCAACCCATCAGTGACCCCAAGACCCTCCATGATTCCCCTAAAAAATCCAGCCCAGAACTCCTTGGAAGGATGGGTTTGAGGACAGGCACAGTGGCTCACGCCTATAATCACACCACTTTGGGAGGCTGAAGATGGCGGATCACCTGAGGTTAGGAGTTTGAGACCAGCCTGGCCAACAGGGTGAAATCTTATCTCTACTAAAAATACAAAAATTAGCCAGATATGATGATGGGCTCCTGTAATCCCAGCTACTGGGGAAGCTGAGGTGGGAGAATCGCTGAACCCAGGAGGCAGAAGTTGCAGTGAGCTGAGATTGCACCACTGCGCTCCAGCCTGGGCAACAGAGTGATACTCAGTCTCAAAAAAAAAAAAAAAGATGGATTTGAGGTCTCCTCTCATGTTCGCACTAATTGCCCTGCAATTATTAAACCTTTCTCTGCCATAAACCCTGCTGCCTCAGTGTATTGGTATGTTACTGTGCAGCAGGCATATGAACCTGGTAGTCCTGTGACACCATCACAGTTCCTTTGATTCTCAGATGCCAGGACAGCTGTAGAATATACTGCAAGCCAACACGGACCTCCCATATCATGCGAGTGCGAAAAGTCAAATCCAGCTCTGTTTGGTGGATGTTCTCACTGCTCGTGAAGCCTCAAACTAGGGTCACACCCTGAGATACATCAAGAGACAGTGGTATGGAAGTCATTTCTTAGCCAGATCAAGAGTTTCACGAGCCATAAGCCAGTACAAACAGGAATGCCTTGGCAAGCCATTTGCACCCTGTAGGTTCTCACATGAGGATACAGGGAACTAGGCTGACCCGCTGTTAATTTTGATAATCCATCTGCATGAATGATAAGTCCTCAGCTACCCAGGAAAACACACAGCACAAATGCCATTCGTTGGGAAATTTCTGCTCTGGTGAGATATCAAAATATAAAGAAATAAAAAAAATGAATTTTAAAAACAAGACTTATGTCATGGTGTCTTGAACAGTGACCCCTCAAAATTCACGTTCACTTGAAACCTCAGAATGGGACCTTATTTGGAAATGGGGCCTCTGGAGATTTAATTACTTAAGATGTGATCATTCTGGATTAGGATGAGTCCCCAATCCAATAATGTTGTCCCTATAGGAGAAGAGGAGACACAAGCACAGAAGAAGAGGCCATGTGGAAATGGAGTAATGCAACCACCAGCCAAGGGGCATCTGGAGCCACCAGGAGCTAGAGGAGGCAGAAGAGATCCTCCCCTAGAGCCTCCAGAAGAAACTGGATACAATTGTAGTAGTTTGAATAGTAGCCCCCAGAAATATAAGTCCATATATTTTAAAGCCCAGAACCTGGAATGAGACCTTATTTGGATATCAAGACCTTTGCAGAGGTAATTAATTAAGGATCTGAAGATGAGCTCATCCTGGAATTAGGATGGGCACTAAATCCAATGACTATTGTCGTTATAAGAGACAGAAGATGAGACACAAACACAGAGGGGAAGGCCATATGCAGATGAAGCAGAGACTGGAGTGATGCGGCTACAAGCCCAGGGATGCCTGAAGCCACCAGGAGTGGGGAAGGGCAGGAAGAATCCTCCCCTAGAGCCTACAGAGGAAGCACAGCTCTGAACATTAAATATTTAAAATTAAATAGTTTGCATCCCAAACTAAGCTGCCAAAATAAAGAGTCGTGGTCAAAGTGATCAGCTGAATAATGCCCCATTCCAAAGATATCCACATCCTCATTCTCAAAACCTGTGAACATGTGATATTACATGGTAAAAGGTTTTTGCAGATGGGAATGAATTAAGGATCATGAGACAAAGTGATTATCCTGGGTTATCTGGGTAGGTCCAGTGGAATCAGAAATGTCCTTTTATAAGAGAGATGCAGAAGGGTCTGAGTCAGAAAACAAAACCCTACAAGCTAAAGAATGCAGGCAGCTTCAAGAAACTAGAAGAAAGAGAAAACAGATTCTCCCCTAGAACCCCTAGAAGTAACTAGCCCCACCAACATCTTGATTTTAGCCCACAAGTTTAATTTTGGATTTCTTACCTCAAGAACAGCAGAATAATAACTTTGTGTTGCATTAGGCCACTACATTTGTGGTAATTTTTTTTATTTTTTAAGACAGGGCCTCACTCTGTTGCCCAGACTGGAGTGCAGTGGTGCAATCACGGCTCACTGCAGCCTCAACCTCCCAGGCTCAACTAATCCTCCCACCTCAGCCTCCTGAGTAGCTGTGACTACTGATGCATGCCATCATATCCAACTAATTTTTTTGTATTTTTTGTAGAAATATGGCTCCCATATGTTGCTTTGGCTGGTCTCAATCTCCAGAACTTAAGTGATCGCTTACCTCAGCCTCCCAAAGTGCTGGAATTACAGGCATGAGCCATTGGACTCAGCCCTATAGTGATTTGTTATAGCAACTGTAGGAGAGTCATACACTGAGAATCCAGATAAAAATAGTTTTGAGCATTCATGAACCTAAGCCATGAGCTTATTGTCACAACGTCCAAGTCTTTATATTTCCTCTTCACCATTGTTTTTTCCATTCAATATTGTGTTATTGTGGATCATATGGAACTTTTGAAACTCGACAGAGGTTTTGGTGAACAATGTACATCTCAACCATAGGATCTGTTCTTCAAGTACTCATGTAAATTCCTAAGGAGAACTGTGTGGGAATGTTTGAAGACGAACTGGCAGACAGAAGAGAATAGGATTGCTTATCATATACTTTCAGAGTGGTTGGTGCTAATTTGCACATATTGATGCTCTGTCTGTAAAAATTCATAGAACTCTGCACATTTGGAAAGGTACCAGGGAACAGAAAGATTTGCTCTAAGTGACACCAAGCATTCAGTTGCATCTACAGAGCAAGTATGGCTTTATTACTCCCAGACAACATTTTTTTTTTTAAGACAGAGTCTCCCTCTGTTGCTCAGGCTGGAGTGCAATGGCGTGATCTCAGCTCACTGCAACCTCCGCCACCCGGATTCAAGCGATTCTCCTGCCTCAGCCTCCCAGCTAATATGTATTTTTAGTAGAGATGGCGTTTCACTATGTTGGTCAGGCTGGTCTCAGATGATCCACCCTCCTCGGCCTCCCAGAGTGCTGAGCCACCGCTGCCAGCCCCAAACTACATATTTATCACCTTCACTTGGGCTACAGAGTGAGGACAAAGCTATGTACCAGAGTACACAAGACACCTTACATCCTGAAAATCCAGATCCTAGAATGGCTATTGGTAAAGATTAAGCCTCAATCAATATGGAAAAAGCAAATGAAAAAATGTGTTTACAGGCTTTTTTTAAAGAAAGAAGGTCCAACAACAAGAGGATAGATACCCTTGAAAATTTCCAGTCATTGTGTTCTGGATGCATAAAGTTTTTATAACAATCACCTTTGACCATTTACCTCATCCAATTCATGAAATAGCCCTTACGTATCACATGCTCAAAGAGAAGCCTTCTGATTTTAATTTCCCCAAGTAGCTTTTTTTTTGTTTTTTAACAACAGGAACATAATGCAATGGAAAACTTACTTTTTTCATCTGATTTCCAGATATATATATATATTTATCTATATGTATCAGGGAACCAGACAAAAAATATTATAAAATATATTATATATATACATATATAGTATAGTATATACATATTGTATATGTACATATTCCCTGTTGTAAGTTAACATGATGACAAGATGCATTGTAAATTAACGTAAACAATTTGTGAGTTTAAGTTACTAGGGTCTGCGTCCATGGTCTGACAACATATAAATTTCAGAGCCAATAGAGAGGCCATGATTTTAATAACAGGAGCCCAAACAAGGTACCACCGCTTTAGGTACCAACTGAAGAGTCCAACTGGTCTTCAATACACTTCATATTTTTATCTAACCCTATTACACCATTTAGCAATATTCCATTTCCTAACTCAATATTTTTAATACCATCATCCCCTATTATTTTTATTAATGCATTATAGATGTGCATAGTTTAAGAGTACACGTTACAATTTAATACATTCATATAATTTGTAAAGAATTATTACAAATGATTTATTTTTTCAAATCAGTGTAATTGGGGTGTCCATCACCTTAAATATTTGTCTTTTCTTTATTCTAGAGCCATTTGACTTATTCTCTTTTAGCTATTTAGAAGTGTACAATAGATTATTATAAACTACAATCACCCTACAGATCTATCTAGGTCCTTTTAAAAAAGAGATCATTATCATTATTACATGAATTTGTAATTATTCCGCTTACCTTTCTAAAAAGGAAATCGCTTCCTTCACCATAATGGATCCAGCTCGTTCAGCCTTCATGGGCTGCTCCGTGATCTCGTGCCCCCGCATGAGGAGGCAGTCCCAGTATAAAGGGGACGTGTGGCTGGAGAACCAAGCATAGCCCAAGAGGAAAATAAACAGAATCATGGAGAAGATCAGGAGCCAGGGAACAGAGACCCAGCCGCTCAGCTTCCCAAAGGTTAGGGTGAGGATGGCAATGGCAACTAGCTGCACACAGAGCCAGAGCTGACTCTCAAAGGCTAATTCCGTGTTACGAGAGGGGTCCGGCCAGCAGCTGTCAACGAGAGTGAACGGCATGCCATAGTAGTAGTCAAACCCATAATTATATGGATGGTGGCACTGGTCACTTCGGGAGTCGCAGTTCAAGCCTTGGTGCCATTTGCCTAAAACCAAACACACAAACACATCTACGCATCAATATGTCAACATATGCCAGCACATTGCAAAAACCATGTGAGCATTCTTCACGTGAAACAATCAGCTAATACACAAAAATAAAGTAGCAGAGATATTCTCCTTCCTCTAAAAAATCCGAGTGCCACTTAGCCACATTTTTTTTGTTCTTCTTTAGTTTACAGAGGAAGTTTGTATTCAGATCCGGTTGTGAGCAACAGGATAGGATAAACAATAAGGGAGAAAAATAGAATTGTGAGTTTCTGTCAATGACGTGAACTAGAAATTTTCTCATTCACTGAGAAGACAAAGTCATAGCCACAAAGATAGAGACATCACAGAGGCAAGGCAGGTTACAGATGATGGAAGAATAGATACACCGCAGAGACAAGGCAGGTTACAGATGATGGAAGAATAGATACATCACAGAGACAAGGCAGGTTATAGTTGATGGAAGAATAGATGTATACATAGATAGAGCTAGCTAGCTAGCTAGAGATGATAGGTAGGTAGATATATAGATAGATAATATGTAGACAGAAAGATAGGTAGATAGACAGATGAACAGATGCATATGTAGATATAGCTAGCTAGATAAATAGAGATGATAGAAAGAAAGATAGATGATAGATAATATGTAGACAGAAAGATAGGCAGATAGATGATAGAGATAGAGTGAGTGGTTGGATGGATGGATGGATGGATAGATAGATAGATAGATAGATAGATAGATAGATAGATAGATAGATAGGATAGAGGAGAGGAGAGGATAGGACAGATTCAAATAAATGACGGAGGATAGATGGAGCATGTATAGATGTGTGTGTAGGTGGATGGATGGATCGATAGATGACTAGCTAATTAGATAGATGCACAAATAGATCTGTGTTGTGGGTGGATGAATAGACAGATGGGATATGATAGATAAAAATAAATTATGGTGTATACATCTATGTATACATATGTGTATGTATATATCAATAGAGAGATAGATGTGATAAATATGATAGATACAAATAAATGATGGATGGATAGATGGGGCATGTATGTATGTGTAAGTGGATGCATGGATAGATAGGTGGGTGGCTGAGTAGGTGAGTAGATAGGTGGATGGAGATCTATGGGTGGATAGATAGATAGGATAGATGAATAGATAGATAGATAGATATGATGGATAGATGGATTGATAGATGAATGGATAGATAGATAAATAGATGATAGAGATAGAGTGAGTAGTTGGATAGATGGATAGATAGATAAATAGATAAGATAGGATAGGACAGATTCAAATAAATGATGGAGGATAGATGGAGCATGTATATATGTGTGTGTAGGTGGACAGATGGATACCTGGATGAGTGGGTGATTAGATAGAGAGATGCATGAATAGATCTGTGTTGTGGGTGGATGAATAGACAGGTAAGATATGGATAAAAATAAATTATGGAGTATGCATCTATGTATACATATGTGTATGTATATATCAATAGAGACATAGATGTAATAAATATGACACGTACAAATAAATGATGGAGGACAGATGGAGCATATTTGTATATGTAGGTGGATGAAAGGATAGATGGGTGAGTAGACAGATAGATAAATAGACAGGGATAGAGATATATGGGTGGATGGGTGAATGGATAGAGAGATGTCTAAATAGATGAATGAATGGCTAGATAAATAGACAGATATAGATGATGGATAGATAGATACATGATAGATGAATGAGTGGATGAATAGATTATAGATGATAGATAGATGATGGGTAGATAGATTCATAGATGATAGATAAATGATAGATGATGGATTGATCAATAGACAAACAGGTAGATAGATAGACAGGTAGATGGATGGATAGATGCATAGAGATATATGGGTTGATGGATGGATGGAGAAAGAGAGAGAGATGACCGATGATAGCTATAGATAAATCATGGAGGATGGACCAGCATGGATGGATGAATAGCTGGCTGACTGCAAATCCTAGGGGCTCTCATTAAAACTGATCGAAGTAAGGGACTTATTCAGTAAAACGTACCACACCTTGAATGATCACCAAAGGGTGCCTGTGAGTCCTGCTAGCATGTGGATGATCAGCAAACCCTCAGAGGCTGCGATAATGTGTATCTACTAGGAATATTAACAGCTTCCTGTATGTGGTGAGGGCCCCATCAAGAATGCCTGTGCTTCCATCAACCTCTGAGTGCCTGTGGGGATAGGTAGAGGAGAGGCAGTGCTACTGGCTTAGGCTTCCTGTCCTGCAACCCCACGGAGATTGCCTTCTCTTATCAACAGCAGATGTATTACAAAAATTGAAGGGATTTAAAACAGCATGTTATTCTCACACCAGCTGAAACCCAGGCTTCCCAAACAGGAATAGTAGTTGGAGTTCCAACTACTGGGTGGCTGAGGACTTCTATCATCCTTGGCAGTGAGAAGAAAATCTGTGTGGTCCATTTTTAGTGAAATAAAGAGGCAGATGACAGGATACACGGTGAGAGACTATGCGGGCAGGCAGAGCCAGAAAAATTTTATGTTCTTGTAATATATTCATTTTAAAACATCTCCTATCACTGAGCTGTGTGAAGAATCAGACTAGGTGTGGTGGCTCACATCCATAATCCCAGCACTTTGGGAGGCCAAGGCAGGCAGACCACTGGAGGCCAGGAGTTCAAGACCAGCCTGGCCAACATGATGAAACCCCATCTCTACTAAAAATACAAAAATTAGCCAGTCGTGGTGGCACGCGCCTGTAGTCCCAGCTACTTGAGAGGCTGAGGCACAAGAATCCCTTGAACCCAGGAGATGGAGGTTGCAGTGAGCCGAGATTGTGCCACTGTGCTCCAGCCTGGGTGACACAGTGAGACTCCTCTGTTTTAAAAATAATAATAAAGAAAAGAAGTCCTGCCACAAGTAATCCTCCCACCTCAGCCTCTGGAGTAGCTGGGACCATAGGCACATGCCACAATGCCTAGCTAATTTTATATTTTTAGAGACGGGGTCTTTCTATGTTGCCCAGGCTGGTCTGAAACTCCTGGTTTCCAGCGATCCTCCCACCTTGGCCTCCCAAAGTACTGGGATTGTAGGCATGGGCCACTGCGCCTTTACATAAGACATTGTAAAATACAGCGTTTCCAAGAAAGTCATAAATCAAGGGTAGAACAAAGGACATGATTACCTTATGATCAATGACTAACACCAATTCTTGTGTCTTACCTATAAGCCCCGTGCTGTATCCTTGCTTCTTTAGCAAGGCTGCAAGTGTTGTCTCATTAAGAGGGAGGCCTGCGGGGACTGCAAGATTTTGGATGACACGTCTATTACCACTAGAAACCATACCTAGATGTAGTGTGGAAAAAAGTACAATGAGTAGGTGTTGCTACAGAGGGAATATTTTTGTCACTACAAAATTTGCACATTGAAATCCTCATCTGCAAGGTAATGGTTAGGAGGTAGGGCTTTTAGGAGGGGATGAGGTCAGGAGGGTGGAGCCTCAAGAATGGAATCAGTGCCCTTACAAAAGGGACCCCAGAGAGCTCCCTCACCCCTTCCACCATGTGAGGACACAGCAAGAGGGCGCCGTGTATGAACCAGGAAGCAGGTCCCCAGCAGACACTGAATCTGGCATGCCTTGATCTTGGACTTCCAGCCTCCAGAACTGTGAGCAGTAAATGTCTGTTGTAGATAAGCCTCCCAGTCTATGGTATTTTTGTTATAGCAGCCCAAACAGACTAAGAAAAGATCTTTTTTTTTTTTTGAGATGAAGTCTCGCTTTGTCACCAGGCTGGAGTGCAGCAGTGCCATCTCAGCTCACTGCAACCTCCACCTCCCAGGTTCAAGTGATTCTCCTGCCTCAGCCTCCCAAGTAGCTGGAACTATGGGTGCACGCCACCACACCCAGCTAATTTTTGTATTTTTAGTACAGACGGAGTTTCATCATGTTGGCCAGGATGGTCTGCATCTCCGGACCTCATGATCTGCCCGCCTTGGCCTCCCAAAGTGCTGGGATTACAGGCATGAGCCACTGCACTCAGCCAAAAAAGACCTTTTCTTTCTTCTCGTCCAAAGTCAGTGTCAGCAGACTGGCAGTAGGGTTGATACGTGCGATTTTATTCTGCCTCCAAGAACCGCTATCTGGAATCCACATAATTTGGCATTAAACTGCGGCATCTGTACCCACAAGCGAAGACTACTTCCCTCACCATTTTTTTTTCTTTTTTTTTTTTCTCTCTCTCTCTTTTTTTTTTTTTTTTTTTTTTGTTGTTGTTGTTGACATGAAATCTCACTCTGCTGCCCAGGCTAGAGTGCAGTGGCATGATCTCAGCTCACTGCAACCTCTGCCTCCTGAGTTCAAGCAATTCTCCTGTCTCAGCCTCCCGAGTAGCTGGGATTACAGGTATGTACCACCATGCCCAGCTAATTTTGTATTTTTAGTAGAGATGGGGTTTCACCATGTTGGCCAGGCTGTTCTTGAATTCCTGGCCTCAACTGATCTGCCCTCCTCAGCTTCCCAAAGTGCTGGGATTACAGGTGTGAGCCACCATGCCCCAAGCCCACTTCCCTCACCTTTAAAAATAGAACTATATGACTGGATGTGGTGACTCGCACCTGTAATCCCAGCACTTTGGGAGGACAAGGCAGGGGGATTACCTGAAGTCAGGAGTTCGAGACCAGCCTGACCAATATGGGGAAACCCCGTCTCTACTAAAAATACAAAATCAGCTGGGCGTGGTGGTACATGCCTGTAATCCCAGCTACTCAGGAGGCTGAGGCAGGAGAATCGCTTGAACCCAGGGGCAGAGGTTGCAGTGAGCCGAGATTGCGCCATTGCACTCCAGCCTGGGCAACAAGAGTGAAACTCCATCTGAAAAAAAAAAAAAAAAAAAATAGAACCATGCAACCCAACAATTTCACTCCTGGGGAATGTCAAAAGAATTGAGGTTCCTGAGGAACCCAAAAGGATTGAAAACTGGTATTCAAAGAAAAACTTGTACATGTATGTTCATAGTTGTATTCCTCACAATCACTAAACAATAGAAACATCTTGACTGCCCATCAATTGATGAATGGATGGAGAAACTGTAGTGAATCCATGCGAGGGAATAGTATTCAACATAAAAATAAATGAAACTCTGACCCAGGCTACCATAAAACATTATGCTTGGTGACAGACGCCAGTCACAGACTGTCACATACTGTATGATTCCTTTTATGTGAAATGTCCAGGACAGACATGTTTGTAGAGACGGAAAGTGGATTCTTGGTGACCGGGGGCTGCGAGAAGGGGGAATGGGGAGTGATTGCTTCATGGGGACAAGATCTCCTTTGTGGGTGATGGAAATGTTCTAGAATTCGATAGAGGTGATGGTTGTACAATATTGGGAAAGAGCTACATGCTACTGAATAGCACATTTAAAAATAGCTACTTTTGGCCAGGCACGGTGGCTCATGCCTAAAATCCCAGCACTTTGGGAGGCCGAGGTGGGCCGATCACTTGAGCTCAGGAATTCAAGACCAGCCTGGTTAACATGGTGAGACCCCATCTCTACCAAAAATACAAAAATTAGCTGGGCATGGTGGCGGGTACCTGTAATCTCAGCTACTCAGGAGGCTGAGGAGGGAGAATCGCTTGAGCCCTGGAGTTTGAGGCTGTGATGAGCTGAGATTGTGACACTGCACTTCAGCCTGGGCAACAAAGGGAGACCCTATCTCAAAAGCAAAAAACCAAACAAACAAAAAAAGTCACCAGGTTGGGTGCAGTTGCTCATGCCTGTAATCCCAGAACTTTTGGAGGCCAAAGAGGGAAGATGGCTTGAGTTCAGGAGCTCGAGACCAGCCTGGGGAACACAGCAATACCCTAAGTAGTTAAAAAATTAGCCAGGCATAGTGGTGCACACTTGTGGTTCCAGTTACTTAGGAAGCTGAGGTGGGAGGATCACCTGAGCCTGGAAGGTTGAGGTTGCAGTGAGCTGTGATCATACCACTGCACTCCATCCCGGTCAACAGAGCAAGACCTTGTCTCAAAATAATAGTAATAAATTAAAAAGTAATGAGAACATGACAACTAGAGCTTACGATAATTTCGTTCTTCTCATTTCATTTTTGTTTTATCTAAAATTGATATATGGCCGGGTGCGGTGGCTCACACCTATAATCCCCGCACTCTGGGAGGCTGAGGTGGGTGGATCACCTAAGGTCAGGAGTTCAAGACCAGCCTGGCCAACATGGCGAAACTCCATCTCTACTAAAAATACAAAAATTAGACAGGCCTGGTGGCACGTGCCTGTAATCCCAGTTACCCAGGAGGCTGAGGCAGTAGAATCACTTGAACCCAGGAGGCAGAGGTTGCAATGAGCCGAGATTGCACCACTGAACTCCAGCCTGGGTAACAGAGCGAGACTCCATTTCAAAAATAATAATAATAATAATAATAATAATAAATAAAATAAAATTGATATAAATTGAGCAAGGGGATAATACTACTGTCTCCATGGGTAAAATGCTGTGATGAAAGTTGTCCAAAAATCTGATAGCTATTTCTTGGTTTATGACTTTGTGGGTTTTTGGTTGTTGTTGCTGTTTGTTTGTTTTGAGACAGAGTCTCGCTCTGTCACCCAGGCTGGAATGCAGTGGCACAATCTTGGCTCACTGCAACCTCTGCCTCCCGGGTTCAAGCGATTCTCCTGCCTCAGCCTCCTGAGTAGCTGGGACTACAGGTGCATGCCCCCATGTCCGGCTAATTTTTGTATTTTTAGTAGAGATGAGCTTTCACCGTGTTGGCCAGGCTGGGCTCGAACTCCTGACCTCAAGTGATCCACCTGCCTTGGCCTCCCAAAGTGCTGGGATTACAGGCATGAGCCACCATGCCCGGCCATGACTTTGTGGTTTGAAAGAAAAAAAAAGATATTTTTTGGTGACAGACTGAATGTGTAAACACATGTTGTATTAATTACTTCATTCCAAGACAGCTTATCTTTGTTGACCTGGGAAACTCAAATGTACACCTTGTGACTTGGAATTCAGATAAAAAACTCTCATTGCATCAAAAGACAACTGAAGCACACAGGGTGATCTTGCATCTCTGAGAAGCGCAGCCATTTTGATGTGACCAGTGCTAGCTGTGTGTGCCAGTGCACCTATGCACATGTGTGCTTTTTCTTTTCTTTCCTTTGTATCTTTTTTTTTCTTTCTAACACATGCTCTATCAACGAGGCTAGAGTGCAATGCTGTGATCACACTCACTGCAGCCTCAAACTCCCGGGCTCAGGCGATCCTCCCACTTCAGCCTCCCAAGTAGCTGGGACCACAGACACATGCCACCATGCTCAACTTATTTTAAAAAAATTTTGTGGAGATGGGGTCTTGCTCTGTTGCCCAGGCTGGTTTGAAACTCCTGGGCTCAAGCAATCCTCCCACCTTGGCCTCCCGAAGTTCTGGGATTACAGGCGTGAGCCATCGTGCCCAGCCCTTTTTTACTTGTTAACGTGGTCAAGCCACATTTTTGTTTCCTCACATCCTAACATGAGGGCAGAGCCCAGCAGAGCCCGCCAGTTTGCGCACCTGATCGGATGGGGTATCTTCCCGTCAAGAACGCGGACCGGCTTGGGCTGCAGAGGGAGGCGGCAGAGATGTGCTGAGTCAGTCGCACGCCTTCCCTGGCAAGGCGGTCGATGTGAGGCGTCCTGAAGGGGGAGAGGGAAGGTGTATTGGAGAGAAGGAAAAGGTGGGGGGCGGGGGAAGCAGAGAGGAAGAGCGAGAGGAAGACAGAGAAGGACAAACAGAAAGGCACAGGTGGAAAGAGAGAGGAGAGACAGACAGGGAGAGAGGGAGAGACCCAGAAAGCGAGGCAGAGAGAGAGACAGACAGAAAGAAAGGATGAAAGAGAGAGAGAGACAAACGAGAAAGAGAGCAACAGAAAAGGATAGAAAGAGAAAAACAGAAAGAGAGAGATGAAAAGAGACAGAGAAAGAGACAAAGGGTAAGACACACAGAGAGAAACAGAGAGAGATGGAAAGAGAGAGACAAACAGAAAAAAGGAGAGAGAAAGACAGAAAGAGGGAGACAGAGAAAGACAGAGAGGGACAGAGAGAAGACAAGAGAGAGAGAGAAAGACAGAGAGAGAGAAACAGAAAGAGAGAGATGGAAAGAGACATGCAGAGATTAAGAGAGAGACAGAAAGAAATGGAAAGAGAGATAAACAGAGGGAGGGAGACAGAGAGAAACAGAAAGAGAGGTGGAAAAAGAGACAGATGGAGGGAGACAGAAAGAAAAACAGAGAGAGACAAACAGGGAGAGATGAAAAGAGAGAAAGAGACACAGAGAGAGATACAGAGAGAGAGATGGAGAGAGAGAAGAAGAGAGGAAGAGAGAGACAGAGAGAGATGGAAAGATACAGACAGAGGGAGAGAGAAGGAAAGAGAGAAAGACACAGAAAGAAATGGATAGAGTGAGATAGACAAAGAGAGAGACAGAGACAGAGACAGACAATCAGAGAGACATAGAGAGACAAGCAGACAGAGAAAGGGGGAAGACAGAGACAGACATAGAAAGAGATGGAGAGACAGATGGAAACAGAAGGACAGAGAGAGGGAGAGAGAGAGACAGAAAGAGATAGAAAGAAATGGATAGAATGAGATAGACAAAGAGAGGGAGACAGAGAGAGACAATCAGAGAGAGAGATAGAGAGACAGGCAGACAAAGAGAGGGAGACAGAGAGAGACAGAGAGAGAGATAGAAAGAGACAAGCAGACAGAGAGGGGTGACAGAGACACGCATAGGCATAGAAAGAGATGTAGAGACAGAAAGAGGAGAGAGAGAGACAGAGAGAGAGACAGAGAGATCTGAAGATAAACAACATCTCTGTTTATTATGATTTCCAGGTACCCAGAGCAGGTAACTGCACACGGAGTTCATTTTTCTTTTTTGCCCGTGTCAAGGTGAAGTATGACTGAGATTCCAGGCAGCTGTTGTTCTGCAGGGTTCATATACCTGGGTGCCACTATATGGTGTCCATTCACTGTACTTCAGCCTTACAAAATAAAATGCTTAAGGGATTGGGGTCTGATTCATCGAGGCTAATTGCTTACAGACCTTACTTATGCCTAACTACTCACAGACCCACCCACTCACTGGTTTGATAGATACATTTCCCTGCAGTCTGCATAGGTTGCAAAACTGTCATATGATTAAATATTCAAAAGAAGGAAATCCCACCATTTTCGACAACACAGATGAACTGGAAGGGTATTAGATTAAATGAAATAAGCCAAGCACAGAGAGACAAATACCGCATGATCTCACTTATGTGTGGAATCTAAAATAGCAAACTCAGAAGTAGACAGTAGAATGGTGGGTATCAGGCGCTGGGGTGAGGGTCGAGAACAGGTAGGTTAAAGGATACAACATTTCACGGAGCCAAACGTGAATAAATCCTCTATTTGATTTATTCCTCACATAGAGGAATAAATTTAAGAGATCTGTTGCAGATTGTGGTGACTATAGTTAATAACAATGTATTCTATTCTTGAAATTGCTATAATTTTCACCATTTTCACCACATATAAATAATAAGTATGTGTGGTTGTGCATGTTAATTAGCTTGATTTAGCTATTCCACAATGGATCCATGAATCAAAACATCATGATGTACACCAGAAATACACAGAACTATAATTCGTCAATTAAAAAATAATTTAACAAGAGATTTCTGGAGGCTGGAGAGACTTCTGGAAAAAGAATCAGTCTCCTCTTGGATGAAAATAAAATATAATGAGTTCTACATTTATTCATGAGAGAAATTATGACAGGTAACTGGTGCAAGGAGAAGTTCCAGCTTTACCAAGGTGTGCATCTGATTTTTTTTTCAGATATGGAAGTCACCTACCAACTTTTAAAACATTATTTATTTTGCAAAGAAAAAAATTGTAAACTGCATTCCTGGGGCACATGTGCCTGGTTTTAGATTTCACATTATAATCTCACTTCTCAAATTGCTAGTATTTTCAGCAAAACACCGATACCCCACGCTAACATACTCTCTGTAAATATCTGCCATTTATGGACACCATGTTTCTGCGCTTTTCGGTGAGTCCTCTCTTCTTTTCTCATAAGCAATGGTTAATTTTTGGCGACTACTTTTTCATGACTCCTAGCTCCGTTGTCGAAAACTGTGATGACTACCTTCAGCATCTATTAGTCATACAACGCAATGATCTTAAAAGTGTATGATGTACGTCTGATAACGATGTACTCCTAAGCTCAGTATAAGAATGGCTAATACAGATAGCTTCTATTATCCACCACAAAGCACTGAGTTTGTTTCATATCTGTTTTTCTTCTTTCAGAATGCCCATTGTTAAAAATACAAGCTCACCATCTTAAAGAATCTATTGGCTCACCAAATTAGGAAACAGAATGAATTCTGCTGAATATACATATTCACATTTATATATTTATGAATATATATAATTGAATATATATTCATAAATTCATACATATTTATTAATATATATTTATATATTATAAATCTATATTTATAATATATATTTATTAATTATATATTTAATTATATATTTATAATTATATATAATTTTATTTATAAATATATTTATAAATATTTATATTATATTTATTTATATTAAAATATTTATATATGTATAATTAAATATATATTAATAAATAATATATATTTATTTATTAATATATAGTATAGTGATCAGATCAGGGTAATCAGCACATCCAGTGCCTCTAGCATTAACCAGGATGGTCATAGTAAAAGCATGGCTATCTGGACCCGAGTCCTGGCTCTGCATTTACTAGCTCTGAAGTCTTGGAGAAGTCGCTGAACCTCTCTGTGCCTGTTTTCTTATTTGTCAAATGCAGAGAAGCCTTTATATCCCTGAGTTTATGTGTGTAAAGAACTTAGAATAGTACCTAACACACAACTACCCTCTATCATACAGCCTATTATGAATATTATATATTATATATATAAATATATATTTATATATTATCAATATATATTGATAATATATACTTTTATATATTATCAATATGTATGAAGATATATTCATTTTATATAAATATTTATTTATATAAAATGAATATATATTTACATATATTTATTTAAATGTACTTTTATAAAATATATAAATATATGTTTATATATTTATTTAAATATATTTATATTTAATTTTTAAAAATACATTTATATAAAAGTGAATATATATTCATAGACATAGAAATATGTATATGTTCATGTATATATGAATAACATATTCATATATATTAGTAATATTATATATTCATATATTATAAATATATTCATATATGTTTATACATTGAATGTATGTTCATATATTCATAATATATGGATATGTAATATAATAAATGTATGATATATACTTTATATATTATAGAATATATTCATATATGAATATATCACATATATTTATATAATGACATTTATATGTTCATATCTGTATATGTACATGTACATACAATCATCATGCTTCATAATAGGCTGTATGATAGAGGGTAGTTGTGTGTTAGGTACTATTCTAAGTTCTTTACACACATAAACTCAGGGATATAAAGCCTTCTCTGCATTCGACAAATAAGAAAACAGGCACAGAGAGGTTCAGCGACTTCTCTAAGACTTCAGAGCTAGTAAATGCAGAGCCAGGACTCGGGTCCAGATAGCCATGCTTTTACTATGACCATCCTGGTTAATGCTAGAGGCACTGGATGTGCTGATTACCCTGATCTGATCACTATACTTTGTATGTATCCAAACCTCACTGTGTACCCTGTGAAGATGGACAATTATTATTTCTTAAGTTTAAAAACTGAAAGAGATTCAAATTAAAATTATTAAAAATGTAATTGTAAAACTATTACATAATCTAAATAATTTAAAACTATCAAAAAGTTTAAAGTAACTTAAAAAAAAGTCCCAACAAATACATTTGGTTTTGCACATAGATGCAGCCGTACAGCCAGCCTGCTGAACCTGAACGACTGACGAACGTATGACTGGCCATGAAACCGCCTTACCTCATGGTGTCATTGCCGTAGCAGCCCAGATCTCCAATACCCAGGTCATCAACCATGATTAGGACAATATTAGGCTTGTCGTCATGCACCCTGTGTGCCTGGCATGTGTTCAAGAGTGCACACACCAAAGACATGAAGACCAAGGGTCTCCTGGAAAGCAAGCAGGGATTTTATTGGTATCAGGCTTCTCTGGGTGGATTCAGGATCCACCTCCCAACACAACACAACAGGGGTCTTTGGAGATCACGTGGATCTCCCAGGCATCTCCTGAAGCTCAAGAGTGTCTCTCTCCAAGCACCGAGCACTGCTGCTGAATGGTAGCGGAAGTGCCCAACGTAATGCGTTATTGGCTTCTCACTTTGCATAAAATAAAGGCTAAAACAACAGATGTTAACATGGATGCAGTGAAAAGGGAATCCTTTTATACTGTTAGTGGGAATGTACAAGCGCTGTGGAAAACAGTATGGAGATTCCTTAAAGAACTAAAAGTAGATCTACTATTTGATCCAGCAATCCCACTCCTGGGTATCTACCCAGAGGAAAAGAAGGCATTATATATAAAAGACACTTGCGGCCGGGTGTGGTGGCTCACACCTGTAATCTCAGCACTTTGGGAGGCCGAGGCAGGTGGATCACCTGAGGTCAGGAGCTCGAGACCAGCCTGGCCAACATGGTGAAACTCTGTGTCTACTAAAAGTACAAAAATTAGCCGAGTGTAGTGGCACACTCCTGTAATCCCAGCTGCTAGGGGGGCTGAGGCAGGAGAATCACTTGAACCCGGGAGGCGGAGGTTGCAGTGAGCCAAGATTGTGCCACTGCACTCCAGCCTGGGTGACGGACCGAGGTTCCATCAAAAACAACAACAACAACAACAACAACAACAAAAGACACTTGCACACGCATGTTTACAGCAGCACAATTTGCAGTTGCAAAAATGTGGAACCAGCCCAAATACCCATCAATCAATGAGTGGATAAAGAAAATGTGATATATAGAGATAGATAGCTATAGATTGTATACAAAGTGAGAAGCCAAGAGCGCATTTCTTTGGGCACTTCTGCTGCCATTCAGCAGCAGTGCTTGGTGCTTGGAGCGAGACACTCTTGATATCTATAGATCTGTAGATACCTATATATAACACATCTTCTTTATCTGTATAGATCTGCAGGTATCTATCTATCCATATCAAATTTTCATATTCATACACACACACACACACACACACACACACACACACCATGGAATACTACTCAGCCATAAAAAGGAACAAAATAATGTCATTTGCAGCAACCTGGATGGAGTTGGAGACAATTATTCTAAGTGAAGTAACTCAGGAATGGAAAACCAAACATTGTATGTTCTCACTCATAAGTGGGAGCTAAGCTATGAGGCTGCAAAGGCATAAGAATGACGCAATGGACTTTGGGGACTCAGGGAAAGGGTGGGAGGGGAGTGAGGGATCAAAGACCGCACATTGTGTGCAGTGTACACTGCTCAGGGGATGGGTGCATCAAAATCTCACAAATCACCACTAAAGAACTTATCCATGTAATCAAACATCACCTGCTCCCCAAAAACTATTGAATTTTTTTTAAAAGGCTAAAGTAGATGCCCTTCCAGGAGGGAAGTCTGAAAACACGTACTCAGGGGCAAATCATTGCAGAGGACGGAGACGATAAGACTCCTGAGGTTAACTCCCTCTTCCAGGGACTTAACCTCATTTAAGGGACTTAAATGAGTCTCTACAGGTAAGGGATTTAACCTTAACTTCATTCTAAAATTAGAATTTTTATTCTAATTTAAGGGCATGTGGGTGTGTGTGATCCTTACAGTACTATTCACAATGGCCAAACTGTGAAATCAACCTCAGTGTCCATCATTGCATGAATGGATAAAGAAAATGCGGTACATATACACCGTGGAATATTATTCAGCGTTAAAAAAGAATGAAATTCTGTCATTTACAACAACGTGGATGAACCTGGAGGTCATTATGCTAAGGAAAATAAGCCTGGCACAGAAACACCAATACCACATGATCTCACTTCTATGTGAAATCTCAAAAAGTTGATCTCATAGAAGGAAAGGGTAGAATGATGCCTGCTGGGAGCTGGGGGGCCAGTGGAGGGGTTGGGGAGATGTTGGTCGAAGGATACAAAATTTCAATTTGACAGGAGAAATAAGTTCAAAGAATCTATTGTACTTGTGCTGACTGTAGTTAATAAGAATGTATTTTAGAGTTGAAAATTACTGATAAAATCTACTCAAAGTGTTCTCATCACAAATAGGTAAGTGGATGAGGTAACATGCATTAGCATAATTGAGCTATTCCAAAATGCAGGCGTATTTCAAAACATCAAGTTGTACACCATAAATCTATGCAATGTTTATATGTCAGCTTTTTTGACTCAAGGGACAATAAAAAAAGAAAAAGAAATTTAAAAAGGAAAAAAATAAAAAGAAAAATGAATTTAAAAAGAAAGAAAAAATAAATAAAAATAAAATATTCATAATATAAAAAGAATAAATACATGCAATTTATCATTACTCCAAATTTTTAAAAAGTCAGGTTGCAGTGGCTCACACCTGTAATCCCAGCTCTTTGGGGGGCTGAGGCAGGAGAATCAGTTCGTCACCAGCCTGGGTAACATAGTGAGACCCCATCCCTACAAAAAAATGTAAAAATGAACTGGGTGTGGTGGTGCATGCCTGTAGTCCCAGCTACTCTGGAGGCTGAGGTGGGAGGATCGCTTGAGCTCAGGAGTTCAAGCCTGCAGTGAGCTGAGATTGCGCCACTGCACTCTAGCCTGGGCTACAGGACGAGACCCTCAAAAGAAGAAAAAGTGTGAGAATAGCAGCTTTGGCTGGAGAAAAGAAAAACAAGCAAAAAAATAAATAAATAAAATAAAATAAGGAATTACCAAGTAAAGGAAAAGTGGAAGTTGGGGAAAGAACTGAATTGAGGAAAAGAAAGAAACGTGGACTCTGAGGACCACCTGAGTCCACTTCATAGTTTTGCTCAGTCCCAGCTGAGGTCATATTTTCTTAAGGAAACACATGACGCTCTTCTCAGCATATCCCTACTCAGTTATCAGGTAATGAATATTGGACATGTGGATTATTGATTCAATTCCTATCTCATGTCTATACATGTTTCAAAACCCACTTCAAATATCTCCTCTGAGAGAAAAAATACAAACAGGAGTTCATCCCTATTGGCTCTCAGAGTCCTTTGTAAATACTCTGAAACAATGACAGCCACAGAAGAGTACAATTTTTTTGCTGTATGCAAACATCTCCTTGAAGATTGAGAATGTCTTGCAGGCAAAAGCTACATGCTCAGGACTGTGGGCCAAATCCCCGAAGTTATAGAAATGCTTTTCATCTATGCAAAGTTAGTTGAATTTTTTCACCTCCTGTTTTTACAACACTTTAAAATCATGTATACGGCTGGGCACAATGGTGGCTCACACCTGTAATCCCAGCACTTTGAGAGGCTGAGGCGGGGGGATTCCTTGAGCCCAGGAGTTCAAGACCAACCTGGGCAACAAAATGAGAACCTGTCTCTACAAAAAATAAAAATAAAAAATTAGCTGGGCGTGGCGATAAGCACCTGAGGTCCCAGCTACTCTGGAGGCTGAGGCTGGAGGATCTCTTGAGCCCAGGAGTTGGAGGTTGCAGTGAGCTATGACTGCACCACTGTCGTCTACCCTGGGTGACAGAGCAAAACCCTGTGAAACCCTGTCTCTAAAATAAATAAAAATAAACATAAACTCATATGTATCTGTTGGAAATTTACAGTTTACATCTCTATCAATTGCCTAACTCCTACCTTTTTAAAAAACTTACACACTTACTAAGTCGAGAGAATGAACTTAGACATCTTATGGCCAGCCATATAAAGACAGCATGTTGACTCATAGTAGGTTACAAGAAAAGAAAAAGAAAAAAGAAAAAAAGGCAGATGATATTAAATGCCTCTACCTATAAGGCTGGATTCACAAATACACAGAATTATACATTAGATTCAATGTGCTCACAATGCAGTATATGGCTTTACCTACCTGGGCCTCATTGTGCAGCTTGGAATACCTTCTTGTTGTCTTTGGCAGAAGACACAGACGTGATTTAAAAGACCAAAAAAAAAAAAAAAAAGTATCATTCATGTGTCAATTAAATTAGTTCCCAGCATGAAATTCACACTAGACTTGTGAGCCATATCCCTAATTCCGACATTTTTAAATTGATTTTCCAAGGCCACTACTGCACAAATCCTGAACTTTCAATGAGTTCATTCTTTTGACCTTTTTTTTTTTTTTGAGCCGGAGTCTCGCTGTCACCCAGGCTGGAGTGCAGTGGTGCAACCTCAGCTCACTGCAACCTCTGCCTCCCGGGTTCAAGCCATTCTCCTGCCTCAGCCTCCTGAGTAGTGGGGACTACAGGCGTGCACCACCACGCCCGGCTAATTCTTGTATTTTTAGTAGAGATGGGGTTTCAGCATGTTGGCCAGGCTGGTCCTGAACTGCTGACCTCAAGTGCTCTGCCCGTCTTTTGGCCCATTTTTAAAAGAACTCCTGCTGCCCCAAGTCCTGGGGCTCTTGGATGAATTGTCTCAGTGGCAAAACCTGCCCTGAAACATGCTGGCCCAAGAGCATTGTCTCAATGTCCTGCCAAGCCTAAAAGTTTAAACTCAGAAAGCTTCTGTGTCCTGAATAAGGAAAGAGGCAATTAATCAAAATGAGCTCCCTCTTTTTTGACTGCAAAATGCAGAAACCACTGAATGACTAATGGTTATATTTAGTTGGCAGTGGCAGAGGGGTTAGGACTAAGGGATATGACAGCCAAATGCATTACAATGAAAGAAAAGCCCATCTGTAGTCTGCAAGTTATTACCCATATTTGTACCTTAAAATAACACTAAGGACAAAATACAAACGCATTCCTCCTTAAATTCATTTTGTTCCAAAGCATGTATACTCTGGACACATACTATACACACTACACAGACACACACGCACGCACACTCACACACACACACACACACGTTCTTGGTTAAGAAAGAAAAAGGAAGGGAGGGAGGGAGGGAAGAAAGAAGAAAGGGTATGAGAGTAACAGAAAGGAGAGAAACTTGCTCACACTAAAATTGGTTTGGAATCCATTTCTCAGTGCCTAAGCTGATGATCCATTGAGTTTCAGAATACAATAGGTCAATGGATCTTTCAACTATGCCCGTTTCTACCAGAGGTTAAAAAAAAAAAAAAAAGGCTGAGAAAATGTGTCCAAACAAGCCTTCCCCAACTCACCTATCAGCCGTATTATCTCTCTAATGTCTAGGAGCAGAACAGACAGGCTGTTCTGCAAAGGCTCTGCCTCTTTTGGCAGCTGCCTCGAATCATTACGAAAGCATCAGCTGCTCCGTGTCACCTCTCTCTCCCATGGGAGGGCTGGTCCCTGCTAGGCTCACCCAGATGGTTCCCGTTGCTAATCTGCAGCCCGCATTTGCAACTCCTACTACACACCCAGGAAAAGAAAAACAACAGCACATCAACAACAAAACATTACATTCAGCCAAATACCTACAGCCTTTCTTGCTGACGCTGAATGTTCTTATCTGGGACGACCACCAAAGCCATTCATCGCACCAGAATTAAGACTGGCTGTTTTGAGCCAGAGCAATCCCATTTGATGTCCCTTGTGTTGCGGTGACCTCATGGTCTATAGCAGTGCCTCAGGGACATCTGTGCTCCCAACTAAAGGTGGTGGGGACGTGGGAGGGAAATGGAAGGTCTTCCCTGTCTTTATATCTTAATAATATTCAACAAGACAAAGTGTGGGGTATAATTTGGAAGATGGCAGGTGTGCTGTTCGTCAACACCCACCCCAAAAGGATGGCTATTATATTAAACACTGATGCAAAGCCAGATAGCAACTCTCCCAGCATTTTAAATAAAGATTTGAGAATATCAGAGGGCATACATAACCCTCTCTAAACCAAACACCACCTTGTGAGATGGAACGCTCCATGAAACATGCTGTTGTATGATTCTATAAACTCTAGAAACCAGATTTTGTTTTGTTTTGTTTATGAGACTGGTTGTCTCTCTGTTACCCAGGCTGGAGTAAAATTATGGTGATCACAGCTCACTGCAGCCTCGACTTCCAGGCTCGAGTGATCCTCCTGCTTCAGCCTCCCGAATAGCTGGGACTACAGGCACCCACTAGTCCATGGATAATTTTTGTATTTTTACATAATCTCACTATGTTGCCCAGGCTGGTCTCAAACTCCTGGGCTCAAGCAATCCTCCCATCTCGGCCTCCCAAAGTGCTGGGATTATAGGCGAGAGTCACTGCGCCCAGCCTGGAAACCAGATCTTGCATTAGACCAGAGATGCAGATTTCTTCAGGTAAATGTACCTGGAGAGGAATTTTGAACTGGAATTGTCTAAAAACACCAAAATAATATATGTTAAGAAGATGTGAACTTATTCCCTAAAATGAAAATTTACATATAAAGGGCATGTGCATTTTTTTTTTTTTTTGAGACAGAGTCTCACTCTGTTGCCGAAGCTGGAGTGCAGCAGCACAATTTCAGCTCACTAAAATCTCTGCCTCCTGGTCTTAAACGATTTTCCTGTCTCGGCCTCCTGAGTAGCTGGAATTACAGGCACCTGCCACCATGACTGGCCAATTTTTTTTCTCCTGATTTTATTTTATTTATTTATTTATTTATTTATTTATTTTTATTATACTTTAAGTTCTAGGGTACATGTGCACAACATGCAGGCTCGTTACATAGGTATACATGTGCCATGCTGGCCCGCTGCATCCATCAACCCGTCATTTACATTAGGTATCTCTCCCAATGCTATCCCTCCCCCAACCCCCCACCCCACAACAGGCCCGGTGTGTGATGTCCCCCACCCTGTGTCCAAGTGTTCTCATTGTTCAATTACCACCTATGAGTGAGAACATGCAGTGTTTGGTTTTCTGTCCTTGTGATAGTTTGCTCAGAATGATGGTTTCCAGCTTCATCCATGTCCCTGCAAAGGACATTAACTTATCATTTTTTATGGCTGCATAGTATTCCATGGTGTCTATGTGCCAGGTTTTCTTAATCCAGTCTATCATTGATGGACATTTGGGTTGGTTCCAAGTCTTTGCTATTGTGAATAGTGTGCATATGTCTTGATAGCAGCATGATTTATAATGCTTTGGGTATATACCCAGTAATGGGATTACTGGGTCAAATGGTATTGCTAGCTCTAGATCCTTGAGGAATTGCCACACTGTCTTCCACAATGGTTGAACTAGTTTACACTCCCGCCAACAGTGTAAAAGTGTTCCTATTTCTCCACATCCTCTCCAGGATCTGTTGTTTCCTGACTTTTTAATGATCGCCATTCTAACTGGTGTGAGATGGTATCTCAGTGTGGTTTTGATTTGCATTTCTCTGATGGCCAGTGATGGTGAGCATTTTTTCATGTGTCTTTTGGCTGCATAAATGTCTTCTTTTGAGAAGTGTCTGTTCATATCCTTTGCCCACTTTTTGATGGGGTTGTTTGTTTTTTTCTTGTAAATTTGTTTATGTTCTTTGTAGATTTTGGATATTAGCCCTTTGTCAGATGGGTACACTGCAAAAATTTTCTCCCATTCTGTAGGTTGCCTGTTCACTCTGATGGTAGTTTCTTTTGCTGTGCAGAAGCTCTTTAGTTTAATTAGATCCCATTTGTCTATTTTGGCTTTTGTTGCCATTGCTTTTGTTGTTTTAGTCATGAAGTCCTTGCCCATGCCTATGTCCTGAATGGTATTGCCTAGGTTTTCTTCTAGGGTTTTTATGGTTTAGGTCTAACATGTAAGTCTTTAATCCATCTTGAATTAATTTTGTATAAAGTGTAAGGAAGGGATCCAGTTTCAACTTTCTACATATGACTAGCCAGTTTTCCCAGCACCATTTATTAAATAGGGAATCTTTTCCCCATTTCTGGTTTTTGTCAGGTTTGTCAAAGATCAGATGGTGGTAGATGTATGGTGTTATTTCTGAGGCCTCTGTTCTGTTCCATTGGTCTATATCTCTGTTTTGGTATGAGTACCATGCTGTTTTGGTTACTGTAGCCTTGTAGTATAGTTTGAAGTCAGGTAGCATGGTGCCTCCGGCTTTGTTCTTTTTGCTTAGGATTGACCTGGCAATCTGGGCTCTTTTTTGGTTCCATATGAACTTTAAAGTCGTTTTTCCCAATTCTGTGAAGAAAGTCATTGGTAGCTTGATGGAGATGACATTGAATCTATAAATTACCTTGGGCAGTATGGCCATTTTCACAATATTGATTCTTCCTATCCATGAGCATGGAATGTTCTTCCATTTGTTTGTGTCATTTTATTTCGTTGAGCAGTGGTTTGTAGTTCTCCTTGAAGAGGTCCTTCACATCCCTTGTAAGTTGGATTCCTAGGTATTTTATTCTCTTTGTAGCAATTGTGAATGGGAGTTCACTCATGATTTGGCTGTCTGTTTGTCTGTTATTGGTGTACAGGAATGCTTGTGATTTTTGCACATTGATTTTGTATCCTGAGACTTTGCTGAAGTTGCTTATCAGCTTAAGGAGATTTTGGGCTGAGACGATGGGGTTTTCTAAATATACAATCATGTCATCTGCAAACAGGGACAATTCGACTTCCTCTTTTCCTAATTGAAAACCCTTTCTTTCTTTCTCTTGCCTGATTGCCCTGACCAGAACTTCCAACACTATGTTGAATAGGAGTGGTGAAAGAGAGCATCCCTGTCTTGTGCCAGTTTTCAAAGGGAATGCTTCCAGTTTTTGCCCATTCAGTATGATATTGGCTGTGAGTTTGTCATAAATAGCTCTTATTATTTTGAGATACGTCCCATCAATACCTAGTTTATTGAGAGTTTTTAGCATGAAGGGCTGCTGAATTTTATCAAAGGCCTTTTCTGCATCTATTGAGATAATCATGTGGTTTTTGTTGATGGTTCTGTTTATGTGATGGATTATGTTTACTGATTTGCATATGTTGAACCAGCCTTGCATCCCAGGGATGAAGCCAACTTGACCATGATGGATAAGCTTTTCGATGTGCTGCTGGATTTGGTTTGCCAGTATTTTATTGAGGATTTTTGCACTGATGTTCATCAGGGATATTGATCTAAAATTCTCTTTTTTTGTTGTGTCTCTGCCAGGCTTTGGTATCAGGATGATGTTGGCCTCATAAAATGAGTTAGGGAGGATTCCCTCTTTTTCTATTGATTGGAATAGTTTCAGAAGTAATGGTACCAGCTCCTCTTTGTACCTCTGGTAGAATTTGGCTGTGAATCCATCTGGTCCTGGACTTTTTTTGGTTGGTAGGCTATTAATTATTGCCTCAATTTCAGAGCCTGTTATTGGTCTATTCAGAGGTTCAATTTCTTCCTGGTTTAGTCTTGGGAGGGTGTATGTGTCCAGAAATTTATCCATTTCTTCTAGATTTTCTAGTTCATTTGCATAGAGGTGTTTATAGTATTCTCTCATGGTAGTTTGTATTTCTGTGGGATTGGTGGTGATATCCCCTTTATCATTTTTTATTGCATCTATTTGATTCTTCTCTCTTTTCTTCTTTATTAGTGTTGTTAGCGGCCTATCAATTTTGTTGATCTTTTCAAAAAACCAACTCCTGGATTCATTGATTTTTTTGAAGGGTTTTTTGTGTCTCTATCTCCTTCAGCTCTGCCCTGATCTTAGTTATTTCTTGCCTTCTGCTAGCTTTTGAATGTGTTTGCTCTTGCTTCTCTAGTTCTTTTCATTGTGATGTTAGGGTGTTGATTTTAGATATTTCCTGCTTTCTTCTGTGGGCATTTAGTGCTATAAATTTCCCTCTACACACTGTTTTAAATGTGTCCCAGAGATTCTGGTATGTTGTGTCTTTGTTCTCATTGGTTTCAAAGAACATATTTATTTCTGCCTTCATTTCGTTATTTACCCAGTAGTCATTCAGGAGCAGGTTGTTCAGTTTCCATGTAGTTGAGCAGTTTTGAGTGAGTTTCTTAATCCTGAGTTCTAATTTGATTGCACTGTGGTCTGAGAGACAGTTTGTTGTGATTTCTGTTCTTTTACATTTGCTGAGGAGTGCTTTACTTCCAACTATGTGGTCAATTTTTGAATAAGTGTGATGTGGTGCTGAGAAGAATGTATATTCTGTTGATTTGGGGTGGAGAGTTCTGTAGATGTCTATTAGGTCCACTTGGTGCAGAGCTGAATTCAAGTACTGGATATCCTTGTTAACCTTCTGTCTCGTTGATCTGTCTAATATTGACAGTGGGGTGTTAAAGTCTCCCATTATTATTGTGTGGAAGTCTAAGTCTCTTTGTAGGTCTCTAAGGACTCCCTTTATGAATCTGGGTGCTCCTGTATTGGGTGCATATATATTTAGGATAGTTAGGTCTTCTTGTTGAATTGATCCCTTTACCATTATGTAACGGCCTTCTTTCTCTCTTTTGATCTCTGTTGGTTTAAAGTCTGTTTTATCAGAGACTAGGATTGTAACCTCTGCTTTTTTTTTGCTTTCCATTTGCTTGGTAGATCTTCCTCCATCCCTTTATTTTGAGCCTACATGTGTCTCTGCACATGAGATGGGTCTCCTGAATACAGCACACTGTTGGGTCTTGACTCTATCCAATTTGCCAGTCTGTGTCTTTTAATCAGGGCAGTTAACCCATTTACATTTAAGGTTAATATTGTTAGGTGTGAATTTGATCCTGTCATTATGATGTTAGCTGGTTATTTTGCTCGTTAGTTGATGCAGTTTCTTCCTAGCATCGATGGTCTTTACAATTTGGCATGTTTTTGCAGTGGCTGGTACTGGTTGTTCCTTTCCATGTTTAGTGCTTCCTCCAGGAGCTCTCGTAGGGCAGGCCTGGTGGTGACAAAATCTCTCAGCATTTGCTTGTCTGTAAAGGATTTTATTTCTCCTTCACTTGTGAAGCTTAGTATGGCTGGATATGAAATTCTGGATTGAAAATTCTTTTCTTTAAGAATGTTGAACATTGGCCCCCACTCTCTTCTGGCTTGTAGAGTTTCTGCCGAGAGATCCACTGTTAGTCTGATGGGCTTCCCTTTGTGGGTAACCCGACCTTTCTCTCTGGCTGCCCTTAACATTTTTTCCTTCATTTCAACTTTGGTGAATCTGACAATTATGTGTCTTCTCGAGGAGTATCTTTGTGGCTTTCTCTATATTTCCTGAATTTGAATGTTGGCCTGCCTTGCTAGGTTGGGGAAGTTCTCCTGGATAATATCCTGATGAGTGTTTTCCAACTTGGTTCCATTCTCCCTGTCACTTTCAGGTACACCAATCAGATGTAGATTTGGTCTTTTCACATAGTCCCATATCTCTTGGAGGCTTTGTTCATTTCTTTTTACTCTTTTTTCTCTAAACTTCTCTTATCACTTTATTTCATTCATTTGATCTTCAATCACTGATACCCTTTCTTCCACTTGATTGAATCGGCTATTGAAGCTTGGGCATGCATCACGTAGCTCTTATGCTGTGGTTTTCAGCTCCGTCAGGTCATTTAAGGTCTTCTCTACACTATTTATTCTAGTTAGCTGTTCGTCTAATCTTTTTTCAAGGTTTTTAGCGTCCTTGCGATGGGTTTGAACATTTCCTTTAGCTCGGAGAAGTTTGTTATTACCGACCTTCTGAAGCCTACTTCTGTCAGCTCGTCAAAGTCATTCTCCATCCAGCTTTCTTCCGTTGCTCGTGAGGAGCTGCAACCCTTTGGAGGAGAAGAGGCACTCTGGTTTTTAGAATTTTCAGCTTTTCTGCTCTGGTTTCTCTCCATCTTTGTGGTTTTACCTACCTTTTGTCTTTGATGCTGGTGACCTACAGATGGAGTTTTGGTGTAGATGTCCTTTTTGTTGATGTTGATGCTATTCCTTTCTGTTTGTTAGTTTTCCTTCTGACAGTCAGATCCCTCACCTGCAGGTCTGTTGGAGTTTGCTGGAGGTCCACTCCAGACCCTGTTTGCCTGGATATCACCAGTGGAGGCTGCAGAACAGCAAATATTGCAGAACAGCAAATATTGCTGCCTGATCCTTCCTCTGGAAGCTTTGTCCCAGAGGGGCACCACCTGTATGAGTTGTCAGTTGGCCCCTACTGGGAGGTGTCTCCCAGTTAGGCTACAAGGGGGTCAGGGACCCACTTGAGGAGGCAGTCTGTCCATTCTAAGACCTCAAACACCATGCTGGGAGCACCACTGCTCTCTTCAGAGCTGTCAGACAGGGACGTTTAAGTCTGCAGAAGTTTCTGCTGCCTTTTGTTCAGCTATACCCTGCCCCCAGAGGTGGAATCTACAGAGGCAGTAGGCCTTGCTGAGCTGCAGTGGGCTCTGCCCAGTTCGAGCTTCCCTGGCCACATTGTTTACCTACTCAAGCCTCAGCAATGTTGGATGCCCACCCCCCCAGCCAGGCTGCTGCCTCACAGTTCAATCTCAGACTGCTGTGCTAGCAGTGAGCAAGGCTCTGTGGGAGTGGGAACTGCCGAGCCAGGTGCAGGATATAATCTCCTGGTGTGCTCTTTGCTAAGACCATTGGAAAAGTGCAGTATGTGGGCGAGAGTGTCCCAGTTTTCCAGGTACAGTCTGTCACAGCTTCCTTGGCTAGGAAAGGGAAATCCTCTGACACTTCCCAGGTGAGGCAATGCCCTGCCCTGTTTCGGCTTGCCCTCTGTGGGCTGCACCCACTGTCCAACCAGTCCCAATTAGATGAACAAGATACCTCAGTTGGAAATGCAGAAATCACCCGTTTTCTGTGTTGATCACGCTGGGAGCTGTAGACCGGAGCTGTTTCTATTTGGCCATCTTGGAATGGAATCCCAATTTTTGTATTTTTAGTAGAGACGGGGTTTCACCATGTTGGTCAGGCTGGTCTCAAACTCCTGATCTCAGGTGATCCACCCACCCCAGCCTCCCAAAGTGCTGGGATTACAAGCATGAGCCACCGTGCCTGGCCGCATTTTCAATCCAAACAATAAAATACAAAGAATAAAAGTGACTGTAATTCAGATTCCCATGGCAGCTCCATGACCATCGGTTTGCAGTCTCATTGGTGAATTAGTTAAGTGACTCTGCTTTCTACAGATTCCTCTCCTCCCAGCTTCCAGGACTCTCTCAATTCATTCTGTTTCTCCATGGAATAAGTATTCACTTTGAGGACTTCTTTCAGAATCCCTACTTATAATCACAGAAAGGTTTTCCACCTTCATGCAACTGCTCATGGTAAAATCTTGGTTTCTAAAGAATTTACTAATCTCTTTTTTTCTTTTTCTTTTAGAGACAGGGTCTCATTCTGTCACCCAAGTTGGAGTGCACTGGTGTGATAAGAGCTCGCTGCAGCCTCAGCCTCCTAAGCTCGAAAGATCCTCCAGTCTCAGCCTCTGGAGTGGCTGGAACTACAGGCATGCACCACTGCACCTGGGTAATTTCTTTATTTTCTATTTTTTTGTAGAGACAAGGTCTCCCTATATTGCCCAGGCTGGTTTTGAACTCCTGGCCTCAAAGAATCCTCCTGCCTTGGCCTCATGAAGCACTGTGATTATAGGTGTGAGCCATCATGCCCAGCCTAGATTTACTGATCTTGATATGTTCTGCCTTTTCTGACTCCCTTTTATGTTGACAAAAACAGCAAGTAGCCTGCCTGTGGTCCCGGCTACTCAGGAGACTGAGGTGGGGGATCGCTTCGGCCCAGAAGTTCTGGGCTATGGTGCGCTAGGCTGATCAAGTATCTGCACTACGTTCAGCACCAGCTTGGTGACCTCCCAGGAGCAGAAGACCACCAGGCTGCCTAAGGCCTGGTGAACCACCCTAAGTCACAAATGCAGCAGGTCAAAACTCTCGTGCTGATAGTGGTGGAATCACATGTCTGAATAGCCACTGTACTCCAGCCTGGGCAACACAGCAAGACCCTATCTCCTAAAAAAAGAAAAAGAAAAAACAGACAGTAACATAGCCACACTTAGCCAAATTCTAAACTATGGTTCATGCTACCTAATCAGTCGTGTCTATTTAATGCAATAATGCCATTGCACACAACTGTCATAAGGGCAGGAAAAGAAAACACTAGAACACGAAATGAAAAGGAACAAACCTTTGACCAAACCAAGTGTTGTTTCCTGAGCTGTGTAAGTCAAAGACAGTCCTATTACAGGTCATGATTTGCAATGTTCTGCTGTCCATTGAGTGGTTGTCGGGGTAAGGTGCATGTGTCTGACTTCACCCAAATTGTTCAGAAATGGCACTTGCCTGCCATCTCTGAAAGACATAGATGAATCTTAATACAGTCCTTGTACATAGCTTTTCTATGTATTTTTTTCCAGTGGGACAAGAAACACATGGCAGACTTTACTGTCATGCTGGGTATAGTGACCCAGTGAAGATAAAGCTCCCCTAAGGAAATTGATAGCATGTCTATTTTATCAAAGTTTGCATTTCTTTCAAAGGGTAGCATCTGGCCAGGAAATATAATGTCCCCTCTTCTAGGAAATAAAGTGAAATTGTAATAAATGCAATGTTTATCATCGACACGTCTACATTCCTGAAATTCTTGGAGTTCACTTTTCTCATGGGTGAAATCAGGATTGGCGTGTTATCTGTGCATAGCCTTTGATGTAAAGATGACGACACTCCCTAGCCACATTCCCTAGACGATTTCAGCTGCCCCCTAATAAGACGTTCTGCCTGTTACTCTTCAGAATTATGGGATGAAGAGGGCTCCATAAACCATCTCACCGAAAGAGAATCAGAACCACCTACTCTTCCAGGAGCTGAAGAGAGCTTTTAAGCAGATCACAGATGACCAAGTGTCCTAGTAATGTCAGAGTTTCTGGGGAAAAAAACGCTAATAAAGAGCAAAAGTGCTCCCTGCATTTCTGATGCAACAGATAATTCTTGCTGAAGCAAAGCAAAACAAACAAACTTTTTTTTGCTTCTCATTAATATAAATTTTGCTTAACAATATTCAGCTCCAGAGAAGATATGACACATGTCATTTTGCAATAAGCAACCTGCTAGGGTGTTTTTTATGAAAAAATATCCAGGGATCTATCAAATGATGGGCAACCGACTCTTTTACCCCAAAGCCGAAGTTCATTTGTTCATGGAATATTTATAAAATCCCACCTGAGCATCTGACTTCCAGGGTAGACTTTGGAGTCACAATGAATGGAATCAGAATAGCTCCTCTCTCAGCAGAGAGGATCAGTGTCAGTCGTGGCTATTAAAAAGTTCAATAAAGTGTCACAGACAACAAGCTTAATGTATCCTGGGTTGAAACAGACACAGGTTAGAAAGTGAAAGGAATTCTACCTAGGGTGATCGGAAGAGAATCATAGAAAAAGGTCAATGTTCTCCTGTTTTCTAATAAAGCAGTCGGCCTGTCTACAAGAAAATTGAGTGAAACAGATTTTGTTTAAGATTGAGATAAAGTCAGCACTGCCTCCATCTGTTTCAGGTTGGGTGGAGAGGGTCATTCTCTTCAACAAGATGTTGTTTTGATACGATCCAATATGTTCAATTCTTTTAAATGTCTAGACTAGACATTGAAATTAAGAATGATGCTTCGTCCAGGAGTGGTGGCTCATGCCTGGAATCTCACCACTTTGGGAGTTGAGGCAAGCAGATGGCTTGAGCCCAGGAGTTCGAGACCAGCCTGGCCAACAGGGCGAAACGCCGTCTCTACTAAAAATATAAAAATTAGCCAGGTGTGGTGGCACATGACTGTAATCCCAACTACTCAGGAGGCTGAGACAGGAGAATCACTTGAACCCGGGAGGCAGAGGTTGCAGTGAGCCGAGATAGCGCCACTGTGCTCCAGCCTGGGTGACAGAGGGAACTTCATTTCCAAAAAAAAAAAAAAAAAATAGGAATGATGGTGCGACCCGGCGCAGTGGCTCACGCCTGTAATCCCAACACCTTGAGAGGTTGAGACAGGCAGATTGATTGAGCCTGGGAGTTTGAGACCAGCCTGGGCAACTAGTGAGACCCTGTCTCTACAAAAAATATTTTACAAAAATTATCCAGGCACGGTGGCACACACCTGTGGTCCCAGTTACTCAGGAGGCTGAGGTGGGAGGATTGCTTCAGCTAAAGGGTTTGAGGCTGCAATGAGCCGTATCGTAATTCCACCACTGTTCTACAGCCCGGGCAACAGAGCAAGATCCCATCTCGAAAAAAATTTTTTTTAATTAAAAATTTAAGACAAAAAGAATGATGCCGCATTTCTTTTTCAAACCTTAAATCCAAGTAGGTTATTAGGGAGGTAATTGAGGGAGCATTGGTCAGGGAAAGAGGAAGAGAGACAGGGAAAGGCAGGAAGCCAGTAGAGGTTGTACTTATGAAGCAGCTTGCCACTGGGCTATTGAAGCTGAGTGCTGTGCAGAAACACTGAGATTCAACGACAGACCCTCAGAATTATCCAACCCAGGGACGATGAAGATGAGATATTTATCCTAGGATTCCTTTTCATCCTTCTGTCCCAGCACCTTTATTTGGTCTTCCACGCAGGGGCTGACAGCAGAGTCAATAGGACAACTTTGCCATGTGCTATGACGGCTAGTACCATGGGGCCATAAGCTGTCTGCAGACAGCATTCACCATATATACGTATTTCTGTGTTAACTTGGAGGTTTCCTTGATCATTCTTTATATTTCCTGACTGGTTGACTTGAACAAGAGGGATAAGGGGAAGCAGAAACCAGGCAATCTTGTCCAGCAATAGTTTGAAATAGGCATAGTTTACTCCCAAAAGTAGGAATTGGGGACAATATTAGATTTTTTTTTTTTTTTTTTTTTTTGAAATGGAGTTTTGCTCTTGTTGCCCAGGCTGGAGTGCAGTGGCGCGATCTGGGCTCACTGCAACCTCCGCCTCCCAGGTTCAAGTGATACTCTTGCCTCAGCCTTCCGAGTAGCTGGGATTACAGGCATGTGCCACCATGCTCGGCTAATTATGTATTTTTAGTAGAGACGGGGTTTCTCCATGTTGTTCAGGCTGGTCTCGAACTCCTGACCTCAGGTGATCTGCCCGTCTTGGCCTCCCAAAGTGCTGGGATTACAGGCATGAGTCACTGCGCCCGGCCAAAGATTGGATTTTAAGTGCAGTTTTGGCTGGATGTGGTGGCTCATGCCTGTAATCCCAGCACTTTTGGGAGGCTGAAGTGGGTAGATCGCCTGAGGTCAGGAGTTCAAGACCAGCCCACCAATATGGTGAAACCCTGTCTCTACTAAATACAAAAAATATTAGCCAGGCGTAGTGGCACATGCCTGTAATCCTAGCTACTCGGGAGGCTGAGGCAGGAGAATCGCTTGAACCTGGGAGGCGGAGATTGCAGTGAGCCGAGATCGTGCCGTTGCACTCCAGCCTGGGCAACAACAGCAAAACTCTACCAAAAAAAAAAAAAAGAGAGCAGTTTCATGCATCCATCCTAAAGGTTGGATTTATTTCCACCTTATCTAAACTTTCATGAATGCTTAGCGATTTGAATTCCATAGAGAAAAGTAGACAGCCCTAAAAGACTTCATGGGTTTTAAGAGGACACTTAGGTGCGGGGGCTCACACCTGTCATCCCAGTACTGTGGGAGGTCAAGGCAAGACGATGGTTTGAGACAAGGAGTTTGAAACCAGTCTGGACCACATAGTGAGACTCTCCCCCTGTTTCAAGTAATGATAATAACAATTAATAATAATAATAATAATTGAGGAGGCTGATTGTAGGCTGCAAATTTTTTAATTAAAAAAAAGTCATTGTGGAGCCACATTCCTGAGGAAAGGCATTTGTAAGAAGCCTGTGAGGAGACACCCTGAGAACCGGGGGTGATGTCCCTTCAGGAAGAAAAGAACAGATCGTCAATGCTGGGACCTTGGAGGTAGTAATAGAGAATTTGGATTTTATCTGACAGTGAAGGAGAGCTGCCCCATGATTTATGACCAAGGTCCATCCAGTCTGGCTTGTGTTTCAATATCAATACACTTGACCAAGTACAGCACACACTGTAAAGTGAGTGTGCAGCTGGGACCAGGAACAGGCATTCTTTCTTGAGAAACTACAGTGTGTCTCCGAAAAAAAGTCCAGTAGGTAGGCTGGGTGCAGTGGCTCATGCCTGTAATCCCAGCACTTTGGAAGGCCGAGGCAGGTGGATCACCTGAGGTCAGGAGTTCAAGACCAGCCTGGCCAACATGGTGAAACCCTGTCTCTACTAAAAATACAAAAATTAGCCGGGTGTGGTGGTGGGCACCTGTAATCCCAGCTACTTGGGAGGCTGAGGCAGGAAAATCGCTTGAACCTGGGAGGTGGAGGTTGCAGTAAACCAAGATCACACCATTGCACTCTAGCCTGAATGACAAGAACGAAACTCCACCTCAAAAAAAAAAAAAAAAAAAATTACCCAGGCGTGGTGGCATGCACCTGTGGTCCGGAAGGCTGAGGCAAGAGAATCGCTTGAACTCAGGAGGTGGAGGTTGCAGTGAGCCGCAATCATGCCACTGCACCCCAGCCTGGGCGACAAGAGTGAAACTCTGTCTCAAAAAATAAATAAATAAAATAAAAATACATTACAAGTAGTGACAAGCTTAGGGCTAAGGATGCTGCAGGGTAATAGCTTGATAGTTTTGTAAATCTGCCCAAATTTAAAAATTAAGTTGTAATTAGCCAGGCATGGTGGCACATGCCTGTAATCCCAGCTACTCGGGAGGCTGAGGCACTAGAATTGCTTGAATTTGGGAGGCAGAGTTTGCAGTGAGCTGAGATCACACCACTGTACTTCACCCCGGGCAACAGAGTGAGACTGTCTCAAAAAAAAAAAAAAAAAAAAGTTGTGGATACAGCATTCACACCTGCTGAACATTTATTTTGACCAAGAAATGATCTCTCAATGTACAACTGCAAATCAAGGAAGTTCAAATTATCGGAGGACATGTCAGAAATTCTCCCTAAATAAAACGTCTGAAAAAGTGTATTTCCAAATGTGGTCCATCTTACCTACAGTGCCCTTCCCTGGAATTTAATATGCAACTCATTATGAATGTTGGGAGCTTTCTCACAATGTCAGGCTAGTTCCTGGGCATGGTTCCCAGGAAACCGATTTTCTGCCATTGCCTCACCCCATGCCAGAACTTGCTAATTTGCAGCCTGTTCACTTCCTCCTGATTTGCATCTGCTAATTCTGGGGTAGCAACCTCACCCAGTCTTTCTCAGCAATAATAATCAAGAAAATAATTTCCTTGATAGACAAGTTAGATAAGCAGGATGAACTTCAGAGAGACAGGTTCTTTAAAACATTCCTAGATGCCTTCTGTGTGCAATAACAATAACTGTAAAACATTTTTAGTGTGTGATAGGTGTAAAAGGATTGCAGGCGTATGCATAAAAAAAGGTAGCTGCAATCAGGGAGATAGGTTTTATACTGTTTTATTTTGACTTCTTTGAATGTATCTTTTTTTTTTTTTTTTTGAGACAGGGTCTCACTGTCACCCACACTAGAGTGCAGTGGTGTGATCACAGCTCACTGCAGCCTCAACTCCTGGACTCAAGTGATCCTCCTGCCTCAGCCTCCCAACGTATTGTGATTACAGATGTGACTGACCGTGCCCAGGCTGAATGTATCATTTTTACAGTAGAATATAATTTGAGCTGTTTCTTTTTAATCAGTGATTTCAAAAACTATAAAAGAACCTCTGTTGGTAATAGAAGAAAATTACACCCATGCTTAAGATAGGATATTTAGGCCTATACTTAAAGAATCAAAGCTTTTTGGCCAAAGTGGACTAGCAAAGCCAAAATATGAAGGACATGCAGAAAAAATAAATGAAGTATTGCAAGTGTTTGAATTTGACAAAATATAGGTGAAAGTACTACATTGCTGAAAACTAAAATGAATGCTTAAATACAGCGAGGCATAGACCCTGTCATGGGAGATAGGTTATACAGAGTTATGCATTTGCTTTTTCTTAGCAGAAGCTCGGTGTTATAACAAGTGCAGTTGACAAGGAAGCTTCATTTTATAAGGACGCCACTGGAATAGAAAATCTCAGAGGTGACTCAACAGTAAGTGATTAAAATAAAATTAGTTAAAAATAATCTGATGGGAGACAATAGAATACAAGTTTTTTTTTGTTTTTTGTTGTTCTTTTTGTTGTTGTTGTTGTTTTGAGACAGCATCTCGCTTGGTTGCCCAGGCTGGAGTGCAGTGGTATAATCTTGGCTCACTGCAACCTCCAGCTCCTGAGCTCAAGCAATCCTCCCACCTCAGCCCCCCAAGTAGATGTGATTACAGGTGTTCACCACCACACCCAGCTAATTTTTTTATTTTTTGTAGAGACAAGGTCTCGCTATGCTGCCCAGGCTGGTCTTGAACTTCTTGGCTCAAGCTATCCTTGGCCTTGGGCTCTCAAAATGCTATGATTACAGGAGTGAGCCACCATGCCTGGCCAAATTTTTAACCTCAGTCAAGCAATAAAGGAAAGTGTACACCATCTCCAACTTTGCCACTTTTTTCCTAAGAGATAAAAATGAACACACTAATAACTTTGGAAGGCAAAAATCTTCTCACAGTTACAGAGTCAGTCTGAAGAGGAAAAAGAAGCTCCCTCCTTGTATATTATCTTTGCATTCCCCAGGTAGCAGGTCCTACATGAACCATTTACGTTTCATCACGGAACTCTTTTGGACACCATTATTTCCATTAGCTTCGGTTAACATCCCATAGCAAGAGTGTATGCCTCTGCTGATGAAAAGGGTCAAACTCTGTAAACTATTCTAAGATATTTATTCTGAGCCAAATATGAGTGACTACTGGCCCATAGCACAGCCCTCAGGAGATCCTGAGAACATGTGCTCAGGGTTGTTGAGTTACAGATTGGCTTTATGCATTTTAGGGAGACATAAGACACCCCTCAATACATGTAAGATGGACATTGGTTCAGCCAGGAAAGGTGACACACTTCAAAGTGGGGGCTTGCAGGTCATAGATAGATGCATAGATTTTCTCACTGGAAATCGGTAGAAAGAGTTCAGTTATTGTTACAGTAGGTAGCTAGTCAGGCATGAGCAAGGCAGGAAAGGCTCTCCCCAGCCCCACCAGGAATGTCAGGCGAGCATCAGGCGGTTATTAAACTGTCTCTCTAAAATAATAATTGGTCACAGTCAGCACCAGGGAAAGGCCGTCTCCCAGTAAATAGAAAACACCTAAAACTGGTGGTCAGCAGTTTCCCAATACGATCTCAGGAGGTGAGTGAGTGGGCTCAAGCATGCACACTGAGAAGCAAAACGGTGGAGTTTAACTGGTCTATAACCTTCTAGGAACATTCAGCTGGTAAGGGAAGAACGCCTCAAGTGAGCATGCGTCCAACTCCAGTAAACACACTGCGCATGCTCCCCTCCCAAGTGCTGGCAGGCCACTGTGCATGTGGACAGCCCAACCCCAAGGGAAGACTCAGCGGAGAAGGGACACAAGACTCCAGAAGCATGCCAACCTATAAAACCCCAAGTCTAAAGGTCAACCATACACTTGATCTCTTAGGTCAGCTACTTGGCCATCTTCCAAGTGTACTTTCCTTCTTTTCATTCCTGCTCTAAAACTTTTTTTTTTTTTTTTTGAGACAGAGTTTCGCTCTTGTTGCCCAGGCTGGAGTGCAATGGCATGATCTCTGCTCACTGCAACCTCTGCCTCCTGGGTTCAAGCGATTCTCCTGCCTCAGCCTCCTGAGTAGCTGGGATTACAGGTGCGTGCCACGACGCCCAGCAAATTTTTCTGTATTTTTAGTAGAGACGGGGTTTCACCATGTTGGCCAGCCTGGTCTCGAACTCCTGACCTCAGATGATCCGCCTGCCTTGGCCTCCCAAAGTTCTGGGATTACAGGCTTGAGCCACCATGCCCAGCCTCAATTTTTCTTAAACTTCTCCAATCTGAGGCAAATGAAGAAAACTGGCATGGGGCCCCTTCATGTTGGGGGACCAGTTGGGGCTCCCTGTGGCCCACCCAACCTTTGATCATGTTGTAAAGTCTTTTGTTTTAACTCCATCAATTTTCCTTTTCTTTTATTTCTTAACAATTATCTAAAGATTCCAGCCTGCCCAACATTGTGAAACTTCGTCTCTACTAAAAATACAAAAAAATTAGCTGGGCGTGGTGGCAGGTGCCTGTAATCCCAGCTACTCAGGAGGTTGAGGCAGGAGAATCACTTGAACCTGGGAGGTGGGGTTGCAGTGAGCCAAGATGGCACCATTGCATGTCAGCCTGGGCAACAAGAGCGAAACTCCATCTCAAAAAAAGAAAAATTAATAATAATAACAAAATAATTATCTAAAGATTTCCACCCTTCTGGCATGAGCCCTTTGACTCACTTTTCCCTTCCCTGTTTTTGTTTGTTAATTTATTAATTTTGTTTGTTAATTAGTGAAAGGAAACCAAAATCCCCAAGCCAAGGGGAAAAGGCAAGCTGGGAACTGCATCAGAAAAACCTGCCTCCCATTTTCTCCTAAATAAGACAGCTATGGAGACAAAAACAAACAAACAAACAAACAAAACAAAACAAAAAGCTACATACCTCTTTCATAATTTGCCCACAAAGAAATTTTTTGTGGACCTCAAGATCTTTACCCTAAAACAGTTCTGTTCAATTTCACCTTGGCTTATCTTCACAGGTGTGGGTCAAAGGAGAGACAGAAGTGAAAGTCAGCCCTCTCTGCTCACCTGAGACAAATGCATATCTGATAGATTCCCCTGCCCTATTGTTTACGCAAACTTGCAGATTCACTGAACAGGCATCAGTCACTATTCCTCTACCCACCACCCCCACCCCCCAACCTCCGTCACATGTAAATTGTGTATTCTGATCAAAGACCGAAAAGAATGCAACCTTCTGTGTCTTGTCCATCCATGAGCTGGAATCCCCCACTTTGAGTTATCTCACCTTTTTTGAATGGAAACAATGTACGTCTTACATGTATTGATCGATATCTCATGTCTCCCTAAAATGTAGAAAACCAAGCTGTACGCAGACCACATTGGGCGCATGTTCTCAGGATCTCCTGAAGTCTGCGTCACGGGCGGCCATGGTCACTCATATTTGGCTCAGAATAAACCTCTTAAAAAAATTTACAGTTTGTCTCTTCTCGTTGACACCCTAGTCTTTTGGTAGCATCTGTAAGACCCATGAGGGAAAGCTACAACTGCAAATTTGATAAGGTTTCTCAAACCATTGTTTGATTCTGCAAGAGTAATGTCACCTGGGGTGCTCTTGTAGAAGGGGACCCTTGAACCACAACATTTATAGAAATAAACCTTTCCTTTCCAAATTTATGAGCTTCACAGTTCTTCACCTAACATCATTAATACACTGAGAATCTATTGCGAACCCAAAATATCTGAGACAGGTCTCAGTCAATTTAGAAAGTTTATTTTACCAAGGTTGAGAACGTGCACCTGTGACACAGCCTCAGGAAGTCCTGACGACATGTGCCCAAGGTGTTCAGGGCACAGCTTGCTTTTATATATTTTAGGGAGACATGAGACATCAATCAATATGTGTAAGACATACATGGGCTCAGTTCAGTAATTCAGGACAACTTGAAGTGGGAGCTTTCAGATTAGAAGTAGACACGAGACAAAAGGTTACATTCTTTTGAGTCCTTGATCAGCTTTCCACTGAATACACAATTTAGGCTGGCTCCGTGAATCTGTACTTTTACATAAGCAATGAGGCAGAGGAAGTTATCAGATAAGCATTTGTCTCAGGGGAGCCTTGGAAGGATGACTTTGAGTTCCGTCTGTCCTTTGTCCACAAGGAATTTCCTTAAGCACAAATTGTGAGGGGGGTATGTAGCTTCTTATCTTTGTAGCTGTCTTATTTAAGAATCAAATGGGAGGCAGGCTTGCCTGACACAGTTCCCAGCTTGACTTTTCCCTTGGCTTAGTGATTTTGGGGTCCTGAGATTTATTTTCCTTTCACACTATGACCTCGGTGATATAGTTTGACTGTGTCCACACCCAAAGCTCATCTTGAATTGTATCTCCCATAATTCCCATTGTTGTGGGAGGGACCTGGTGGGAGATAATTGAATTCTGGTGGCAGTTTCCTCCATATTATTCTTGTGGTAGTGAATGAGTCTCACGAGATCTGATGGTTTTACAAGGAGAAACTCCTTTCGCTTGGCTCTCTTTCTTTGCCTGCCACCATCCATGTAAGATGTGACTTGTTCCTCCCTGCCCTCCACCATGATCGTGAGGCTTCCCCCACCACGTGGAACTGTAAGTCTAATTACCCCTCTTTCTTTTGTAAATTGCCCAATCTCGGGTATGTCTTTATCAGCAGCATGAAAACGGACTAATACATTGGGTAATGGGCATATTCAGCTGGTGAATATCCCGGTCATCATTAAGCCAATCCCACATGGCTTGCATATGAAGCACATCAGCTGCTTTATCTAGGGTGCTCCACTTGGCATTTTATAGGGAGGGCTGGGCAGTCCCCTTTTCAGGATAAACAGACCTTGTAGTGGTGTTTACCTAGTCCACCAGGCTGGCCATTTCCTCAGGAAAAACTTCCTGTGCATCTGGGTCCCATACACTCATCAGCAAGTGTTTAATAGTGAGTGAGCTGCGGGCCCTGCACCAGCCCAAACATGCTCTTTCTTTCTGTGGCATTTAAAAATTAAGCATATCGGTGGGCAGAGTGGATCACGCCTGTAATCCCAGCACTTTGGGAGGCCAAGGTGGGCAGATCACCTGAGGTCAGGAGTTCAAGAGTAGTCTGGCCAACATGGTGAAATTCCATCTCTACCAAAAAATAGAAAAATTAGCCGGGCATGGTGGCGTGTGCCTGTAATCCCAGCTTCTCAGGAGGCTGAGGTGGGAGAATTACTTGAACCCAGGAGGTGGAGGTTGCGATGAGCTGAGATCATGCCACTGCACTCCAGTCTGGGTGACAGAATGAGACCCTTTCTCAAAAAAAAAAAAATTAAACATACTGTTCTTAAAGTAGTCATTCTTACAACCCATTTTAGAAAAGGGAACTCAGGAAGCTGACGATACCAATCTAGAAGATGAACCAATTCCTTTTCAAGCTTGTCCAATCCACGGCCCGCGGGCCGCACGTGGCTTAGGACAGCTTTGAATGTGGCCCAACACAAATGTGTAAACTTTCTGAAAATGTTACGACATTTTCTTGCCTTTTTTTTTTCTCATCAGCTATCATTAGTGTTTGTGTATTTTATGCATGGCCCAAGACAATTTTTCTTCCAGTGTGGCCCAGGGAAGCCAAAAGATTGAACAGCCCTGTAAATACCCTCTGGGTTTAATAGTTACTTGGTTTTGCCCTTCCTCCACATGTCTATCTTCTTGGTAATCACAGGTCTCAGAGGTAACTTTTGGTTGACGTGGCTTAATTTTTCCTTGTGTAGGAAGCTTTGAGGTCACTGGCCTGATCTGAGACAGACCCACATCTGAGCTTGGTGCTGCCTTCACGCCCAAGGCAGCACTCTTTTACTTTCATTTTAGCAACTACAGAGGCAGTAAGCAAGGGATTGAATAGTTCACTTTTTCCTTATTAATTTGCATTTGCTATATATCCAGTGAACGAAATTCCCTGGGACTATGAGTAGGATCCATCTCTAAATTCCTCTGGTGGCTTTGACCTTTAGTGACTGAAGACAAGCCAGCTGCATCTCCTTACTGATAGAGGAACTAGAAAGAAATTATTCAGGCAGATAGTGAGGGTAAAAGAGTCCTTGGCAGAATTTCCCTTTTTAAAAAGGAGCCCCCAAATCATTTCTTTTTAACAAAGAGCAGCCTGGAAAATAGAGCTGCAGGCATAGATAATAAGCAAGCTGGAAGCTTGAATGGGTAAATGCTGGCAGCTGTGCCAATGGGAAAGGGCTACCTGGAAGCCAGGTATGTTCAACATGGAGGCTCCGTCTTCCCTTTTCTTTGTCACCACGTGTACAGTAAAAAACCAGAGGCCAGGCGCAGTGGCTCACGCCTGTAATCTCAGCACTCTGGGAGGCCGAGGCGGGCGGATCATCTGAGGTTAGGAGTTCGAGACCAGCCTGGCCAACATGGTGAAACCCCGTCTCTACTTAAAAAAATACAAAAATTAGCCAGGCGTGGTGGCACATGCCTGTAATCCCAGCTACTCAGGAGGCTGAGGCAGGAGAATTGCTTGAACTCGGGAGGCAGAGGTTGCATTAGGCCAAGATCACGCCACTGCACCCCAGCCTGGGCAAAATGAGTGAAACTCCGTCTCAAAAAACAAAACAAAACAAAACAAACAAAAAAAACAGGCGACATGGCACTAGCCAGGTAAAGAGTCCATCTGCATAATAAAAGATTAGGCACCGAGGTGGGCAGATCACCTGAGGTCAGGAGTTTGAGACCAGCCTGACCAACATGGAGAAACCCCATCTGTACTAAAAGTACGAAATCAGCCAGGTGTGGTGGCAGGCACCTGTAATCCCAGCTACTCAGGAGGCTGAGGCAGGAGAATCACTTGAACCCGGGAGGTGGAGGTTGCAGTGAGCCGAGATGGCGCCATTGCACTCCAGCCTGGGCAACAAGAGCAAAATTCTATCTCAAAAAAAAAAAAAAAAAAGATTAGCCCAGCTTTTCATGCCCTATGCAAATGACACATCTAGTCCTAACCAGCTTTACATGCCCTATGAAAATGGTACACCTGGTCCAACCAATCTTTTGCGTCCTATGTAAATCATACACTGCCTCCTCAAGCTCATCTATAAAACTTGCTGCATTTCAGCAAAGAAGCAGCAACCCACTTCTCCAGGACCCCGCTCTGCTGCAGAGAGCTCTTCTCTTTCTTTTGCCTACTAAACTTCTGCTCTCAACCTCATTCTGTGTGTCCACGTCCTCGATTTCTGTGGCCATGAGACAATGAATCTCGGGTATTTACCCCAGAAAATGATGCCACTTCATTACCATGTGTGACCACGTGGCCACCCAAAAGTCAAAGGTTTCTCATTCCCCACCTCTTTATTTTTCTCTTTCTCCAATGAGTTTTATCTACATAATTTTCCATTTATTTTAAAGTGACCTTTAAATAGCCTCTAAACATTACATTTTCTTTGGCAAAAACCACATCTTTGTGTTTTTATAAACCTCACCAAAAATACATCTTACTCTCCTACTATTCCAACTCCCAGTAACCCTAATTTCCAGTGCAAAACCTAGGATTGCCTAATTTAATCTAACATTGATACAGGATGGCTGGGCTCCCGGCTAAACTACAACCTCAAGTCTGGAAGCTCGGCCCTAGTGAAAGCAGCTGACCTCGTTTCTCTGCCCAGATGATTGCCTTTTTGGCCTGCCCTGCCCCCTATCCTGTGCCCATAAGGACCAGACCAGCTGGCAGGAAGAAAAACGAAAAAGAAAAAGAAAAAAGCAACACAAGCAGCTGACCGGCAGGGATACAAGCTACTGAGTGGCGAGCAGAGAAGTAACTGAGCATTGGAGACTACAGATAAACATGACTAACTTCAGACGGTGTGGTTTTGGAGGGGAGCCCAGCCAGAGAAGGCTAGGCTTCAGAGAAACATCACCTTCTTCACACACCATCCCCTTTCCAGCTCCTCTTCCACCAAGAGCCACTTCCACTGCTCAATAAAGTCCTCCACATTCATCATCTTTCAGTTTGTGTGACCTGATGATTCTTGGACACCAAACAAGAAGTCGGTGTCCAAAAGGACAGATGCAGAAGGCTGTCACCTTGACCCTTCACTGAGCTGTTAACACATAGCTGTCCACAAACTGCAGGCTGAGTAACATGAGCCACTCCAGTTCCTGCCCACGAAGGGGGTCAAGGTCAGGGGAACAGTCCCATCTAACGTGACTCTAAGATTTTAAACCACTGGACAGGATTTTGAAATTAAATTTACCAAATTAGTCTTACCAAAGATTACTAAAGGAATGTCAATTAAAAGCATCTGAGCTAGCTTTTGGTTGTCTGATAAGCACTTACTTTTCTTTAAGCCATTTGATTAGAGCTCTTTCATATAATTTGGTACTGAAATATTACTTCCTCATGACAGATAGAAACTTACAGACAAGGCCAGGCATGGTGCCACACGCCTGTAATCCTAGCACTTTAGGAGGCCAAGACGGGTGGATCGCTTGAGCTCAGGACTGAGACCAGCCTGGCCAACATGGCAAAACCCCATCTCTACATAAAAAATACAAAAAATTAGCTGGGCGAGATAGTATGCACCTGTGGTTCCAGCTACATGGATGGCTGAGGTGAGGCAGGAGGATCCCTTGAGCCCAGTGCTCAAGGGAACAGTGAACCAAGATCACACCACTGCGCTCCAGCCTGGGTGACAGAGTGAGACCCTGTCTCCAAAATAAACAAATCAATCAAACAAACAGACAATAAATAAACTTATAGACAGACACACAGATAGAGGCACATCCTATAACATTTTTCACTTGCCTGTTTTCAAAAATTCTCTCTCTTCCTTTAGACTATTAATTTTTAAAAAATTACGGGAGCCAGCAAAAGTTGAAGGAGAGAGTTACCATCCCAGGCCTTTTCAAAAGAGGGAAAGCTCTGAGGCAAGCAGGATGCAGCAGAAGTGGAACCCCTAGGATGTCCATCTGAAGAATTTCAAGAAGAGATTATGGAATTCAAAAATAAAAAACTTCTTGCAATTTCACTGAGTACATCAGTATTTTAAGAAAATCTTGTTCTAACCAATGATCTCCTTTTGCATTACTGTATTTTTATTATTGAAGTCCAATACCTAGAATGATTATAATTTCCTTTTAGTTATAGCAAACTTAATTACATAAAAATTTTTTTGAATTCCTTTTTTACAGACTGTATTATGACTTGCACAGACCATATACAACCTGCTTGGATTTTCTGTTCTGTCCTAAACATCTCTCTTAAACAACAAGATTCTTTCTCATACAAAATTATTTTTCTTTTAACATTTCTTACCAAAAATACCTCCTTGTAACTTTCTTCTTCTTTTTTTTTGAGATGGAGTAGTCTCGCTCTGTCACCCAGCCTGGAGTGCAGTGGCACGATCTTGGCTCACTGCAACCTCTGCCTCCCGGGTGCAAGCAATTCTCCTACCTCAGCCTCCTGAGTAGCTGGGATTACAGGCACATGCCACCATGCCTGACTAATTTTTATATTTTTAGTAGAGGTGGGGTTTCACTGTGTTGGTCAGGCTGGTCTCAAACTCCTGACCTCATGATCCGCCTGCCTCAGCCTCCCAAAGTGCTGGGATTACAGGTGTGACCCAATGCACGCAGCCTAACTTTCTTTACATCTCTTGTTTCTTGGTTCCTTTTACCATATTTCATAAATAACCCTTAAATAAACCTAGAATCTGGCCGGGTGCGGTGGCTTGCACCTGTTATCCCAGCACTTTGGGAGGCTTAGGTGGGTGGATCACCTGAGGTTAGGAGTTCGAGACCAGCCTGGCCAACATGGCAAGACCCCTATCTCTACTAAAATTACAAAAATTAGCCAGGCATGGTGGTGGGCACCTGTAATCCCAGCTACAAGGGAGGCTGAGGCAGGAGAATCGCTTGAACCTGGGAGGCAGAGGTTGCAGTGAGCTGAGACTGCACCATTGCACTCCAGCCTGGGAGACAGAGCGAGGCTCCATCTCAAAAAATATAAATAAATAAACATGGAATTAGATGAAAATAACTTAGCTTTGAATAAGAACATATTTTTTAGAAAAGTTTTTCTATAATACAATTTATTTAAATTGAAAATGGCCCAGACATTTAGTGAATATCTATTATTTAACTTTAGATTCTAAATTATATTTATTTACAGGCATTTGTTTCATTACATTTACCTAATTAATTTTATAAAATCTTTTACCTAGATTATCTGTGAAAACTCTGATAGTCATCATTTAAAGTTATTTCCCTGTTAACCATTTTTATAGTCTATGAATTTTCTGTGTTTGCCTAAGCAAAAATTTTAAATATATATATATTTTACTGATAACTTGGGATTTAGCTCTTTTTACTACACTAATAACATTAAACGTCTTATTTCTCAAAAAGTACAGAAACAAAGATTATTGTGTTTCATGCTGGGTTGCTGGGTTTATAGTTTTGTAAGCCTTATGCCAAATTTTGACACCTTATAATATCTGTCAGAGGTAAATATGAAACTGCTTGATCAGTAAATGCAAACAAACATGTATGCTGACAATTTTTAAGATATTTCTAATACTATCGTACCAATAATTTTAAAGCCAGCTTATTTATTAAAGATTTATGTAAGTCACGTGAACTTGAAAAGCGTTTTGGCTTATTATTTAATTTATGAGTACTCTTTGACTTGAAGCCAATTTGACACTTCAGGGCTAAAGCACGTAAAAAATGTATATGTGCACACATATGTGCATGTACATAAACACATCTAAATACGCATGCACACTCACACAAAGATCCTATAGCTTTTACTTCAGAACTCTAGCAAGAGATATCAACACAAACTCACCAGTTTATACAAACAAAAAGGTTGGATCCCAACAGTGACTTCTATCTCAACAGCAGTGGAAAAGTAACAGAAGGGCCAGGAGTGGTGGTTCACGCCTGTAATCCCAGCACTTTGGGAGGCCGAGGCCGGCGGATCACTTGAGGTCGGGAGTTCGAGACCAGCCTGGTCAACATGGTGAGAGCCTGTCTCCACTAAAAATACAAAAATTACGTAGACGTGGTGGCGCACGTCTGTAATCCCAGCTACTGGGGAGGCTGAGGCAGGAGAATCGCTTGAACCTGGAAGGCAGAGGCTGCAGTAGATAGCGCCATTGCACTCCAGCCTGGGTGACAGAGCAAGACTCTGTCTCAAAAAAAAAAAAAAAGAAAAAGAAAAGAAAAGAAAAGAACAAAAAGTAAACAGAAGATTTAAAGTAGGCAGAAAAGAAAATAGCAAAATAGAGGACTTAGGAACTGATTGGTTGCAGGTTGACCTTTGGGCTGGAATTTTCTCTGGTGTAATGTGTGCAGCAGTTTAAAGTGTGAACAAGCACAGACATAATATGTAACAGGAAGCTTCTTGTTTGACCTGGCATGCCCTCAAGCTTTTCCCGCTTACACAAATACTTGCAAGTAGAGGAACCAGAGAACCAAAAGGGGTGCCCAAATGGGGGTCGCTCTCTCCGCCTTTCCTCATCCTTACATGCTATGTCTCCCACTTTTATTTTAAAATGAGGAACTAAACTGTGGCCTGGGTTTTAGTAGGGTGGATTGAAGTGTGCTGGCTGTGAGAGGGACTACACTGTGTGTCACCACTGAGTCTTTCTACCCTTTCACGTGTCTGAGTTTCTCTCTCCAGAGGTCTAGACCTCTGACAGGGCTCAACATAGCAAGTGATCAGCTCTTACACCTGTCTCCTGGATGAGCCTCTTAAAATTAATTTTGTTGTGTGGTTCCCTGTAGGGTCACTGCACATCATGGCAGGAGTCAATCCCCCAGAGACTCCCACTCAACCCCTACCACCCAGGGGTGGTTTTTGGCTAGGAGGAGCAAAACTCCCTTTCTTTTCCAAGCTGAGGAGGTCAGCCTCTCGTTTGGCAATTCAAAATTATGCCACAAAAGTGGCAGTTCAGTCTCTCACGCAAATGTACTCACAGGCCAATCGACATTAATTTGGGGGGAAAAGGGCAGTGGAGAAGACCATTTAGAATGCACCACCAAACCTAAAGTAGGATCCTATACAACAACTTCCTAGGAGAAAAATAAAAAGGAGGTAGAAAAACAGCTCAGAATGAACCAAGGACCATCAACCAAATGGAAGGTCCAGAGCTGCAGAGGACTCACCGGTTCCACTGGAGGAGAAACCTAAAGCCAGGGAGGGCTTCCAATGGCCCTGCGGGTAACTTAGCTCCGGGTTCGGGCAACTGCGTCAAGGATTCTGAGTCTTTTCTGAGGCCCCACGTGTAGGGCACCAATTAATGTCCATGAAAAGAGTCAAACTCTGTAAAATATTTGAAAAGAGTTATTCATTTAACCAATGGCTCACGACACAGCCCCAAGGAGGTCCTGAGAACAAGTGCCCAAGGTGGTTGGGTGACAGCTTGGCTTTATACAATTTACGGGGACAGGAGACATCAATCGACACATGTGAGATGTACATTGGCTTAGTCCAGAAAGGTGGGATTCCATTCAAAGTGAGGAACTTCCAGGTCGTAGGTGGATTCCAGGATTTTCTGATTAAAGACCTGTAATTAGTAGAAAGGAAATGTCTGGGTGAGGATAAGGCGTTGAGGAGACCAAAGTTTTTATTATGCACATGTAGCCCGCAGGTAGCAGGCTTCAGAGAAATCAGGTAGTAAATGTTTCTTATTAGACTTAAAATGGTGCCAGACTCTTGCTTAACCTTTCCTGGATCAGAAAAAATAATAATTTCACAGTGGAGAATTCCAACAGACACCACTTAATCCAGGTGATGAAATTTAACATCACCAGGACAGGACATACAGACATCATGCACTCCGTAACATGACACACTGAAAACTTACATCAATTCTGATGATTTTTTTGCCAAAAATGCATAACCTCAGTCTAATCATGAGAAAACACTGGACAAAACCAAACTGAAGGCTGGGCACAGTGGCTCAAGCCTGTAATTCCAGCACTTTGGGAGGCTGAGGCGGGCGGATCACCTGACATCAGGAGTTCGAGACCAGCCTGGCCAACAAGGTGAAACCCCGTCTCTACTAAAAATACAAAAACTAGCCGGGCGTGGTGGCAGGTGCCTCTACTCCCAGCAATTGTGGAGGCTGAGGCATGAGAATTGCTTGAACCTGGGAGGCAGAGGTTGCAGTGAGCCAAGATCGCACCACTGCACTCCGGCCTGAGGGATAAAGGAAGACTCTGTCTCAAAAAAAAAAAAAAAAACTGAAGAACAATCTATAAAATAATTGACCATTACTTAGATTGGATAGTGGAACAGAATCATATCAAATGCATCCATTTATTTTCAACATTTTGTTTGTTTTTAATTAAGCTGCCTCCTACACTACCGTATGTCCGGATTTTATGTTTATTTTCCCATTCAGAAAGCCTATCTTTTTTAAAGGAATTTTAATCCATCCATGTTTATTATGATCATGGTTATATTTGGATTGAGTCCTGCAGTTTCACTTTATATTATTTTCCCTTTTTTACACATATCAGATTTTCTGCTTCTTCGGTGTAATTCTTTCCCACCCACCTCTGATTGCATGAATCAGGTTTTCTTCAATCCACGCATTTCCCATTAAGGCTCTGAAACTTGTACACATCTTTTCTAGTTTTCTGGTGGTAACCACCTTTCACCTGTCAGCACACGTATTTAAGCTTATATTTTCTATCAAATATAAAGATAGTCATTACCTATGTCTTCTTCCCAGACGAAACAAAAACATGAACATATGCTCATTCTCTCTTTCTTCTCTGCTCTTTCAATTACCTCCCATGTGAAATGTTAATTCCAGATTATTTTCACAACTGTGCACTAACACATTCAGACTTTGTTTTATACATTTATTTATTCAGCACTGCTTCCTGTGTACTCTCTTCTTTTTATTATTATTATTAGTAGTAGTAGTAGTAGTATTTTGAGACAGGGTCTTGCTCTGTCACCCAGGCTGGAGTGCAGTAGTGTAGTCATAGCTCACTGCAGCTTCAATGTCCTGGGCTCAAGTGATCCTCCCACCTCAGCCTTCTGAGTAGCTGGGACTACAGGCATGTGCCACTCAGCAATTTTAAACAAATTTTTAGTAAACACTCAGCAATTTTAAACGAATTTTTAGTAAAGATGAGATTGCACTATGTTGTCCAGGCTGGTCTTGAACTCCTGGACCCAAGCGATCCTCCCACCTCAGCCTCCCAAAATGCTGTGGTTACAGGCATGAGCCACTGTGCTTGTCTACTCTCGCCTTTCTTGTATTACATTCCATTTTGCTGGAGTCAATCAACTAACTTTTTCCTCAAAGGTCTTTGAGGGATAACATTTTTGAGCATTTGCAAATTTGAAACCCTCTGTAAAGATCAAAAATGGCACATTCATTTTCTTCAGTCTCTCCATACCTCAGGTGATATGGTTTGACTGTGTCCCCATCCAAAGCTCATCTTCAACTGTAGCTCCCATAATTGCCACGTGTTGCAGGAGGAACCCAGTGAAAGATAATTGAATCATGGGGGTGGTTTCCACTGTTCTCATGGTAGTGAGTAAGCCTCATGAGATCTGATGGTTTTATAAGAGGTTTCACTTGGCTCTTTTTTCTCTCTTGCCTGCCACCATGTGAGATGTGCCTTTTGCCTCCTGCCATGATTGTGAGGCCTCCCCAGTGATGTGGAACTGTGAGTCCATTAAACCTCTTTCCTTTATAAATTACCCAGTCTTGGGTATGTCTTTATCAGCAGCACGAGACTAATACCTGAGGAATATGTTCTTCCTGGCAAACATGCAGGGCAGCAAACACAAAGACACTCTGGGGCTATTTCTTAAATCTCCCTCCTACTACCTTAACAATTCTCCAAAATAATGCTGTGAGTTTTGGAAAATATAATAATGAAGGAAGGGTTTGCTCCCATCACCTCGTTGCCAGCTCTCTGGCAAAACCACAGAAAATCTCTTCTCAGACACCTTCCAGAACTCACGTCTTTAAGGTTCATGGTAGGAGGCTTCCCATGTGGGAGCGTCCCTGATGAAGACTCTGTCTGTCCTTCACTCTCTCTCAATTCCCCCAGTCCTCTGAATATGTGCCTTTTCATGTCCCAGCATGGGATGATAGACAGATCAGGGCAGATGGTTTGAGTAAGACTCCTACTTCAGCTACCTCATGTTTCTTATACATTCATTTAACACCTCTTATTTTGTCAGCATTTTATTTTTATTTTTAATTGATAAATTTTATATATATTATATATAATATTTTATATATAACATTATATATAATATTTTATATATAACATTATATATAATATTTTATATATAATATTATATATAATATATTATATATATTATATATATTTTATATATAATATTATATATATTATATATATTTTATATATAATATTATATATATTATATATATTTTATATATAATATTATATATAATATTTTATATATATAATATATATATTATATATAATATTATATATAATATTTTATATATATAATATATATATATAATATATAATATTATATATAATATTTTATATATATAATATATATATATTATATATATTATATATAATATTATATATAATATATATAATATATATATATTATATATATTTTATATAATATTTTATATATAATATTATATATAATATTTTATATATATTATATATAATATTTTATATATAATATATATATAATATTTTATATAAAATATATAATATTATATATAATATATATTATATAATATTATATATATAATATTTTATATATAATATTATATATATTATATATATAATATTTTATATATAATATTATATATATTATATATAATATTTTATATAAAATATTATATATATTATATATATAGTACCATGGAATGCTTTGATATATGTTCACAATGTGGAATGATTACATCAGGCAAGTCAATAAATCTTTCCCCTCCCAGGAGCAATAAGCTTAGAGATCTATTGCACAGAATGGTGACCATAATAAGTAATAATGCATGGTATATTTTAATGACCACTTCTTCCTAATCTAAGTTCTGGGTTAAGAAAATTCAACCTCAGTCTTTCTTGTAATAAAATAAAATTACTGTCATCTTAAAGTGCTCGTTCCAGCCTCTTGTGTTTTCGCATATTTATCTATGTAATCTTTGCAGCAACTCTATGAAGCATTTGCTATTGTAGTCATTTTAAAGTTGAGACATTGCACTACAGAGAAGTTAAGTGACACTGATTTTTCCCTAGCCAATAATTAGAAAGAACTTGAAAAGCAGACATTCAGTTTTAGACTCTGCATGTTTCAGCACCATTTTTTATTTCTCTAAAAATGCTGAATTGTGGAGGACAGATTGGCTACTTTGACTGTCTGAAATGGACATGTCTGGTTGGTACCTATCTACCATCATATCCCCTGGATTAACATAAAGCAAACCGAGTCTTTTCCTCATGGCCATTTCCTTCTAATGGCTCAAGAAAACATCAATGACAAGTCTCTAGCAAGAACACCTGTGGCATGCTTGAACGCATTGACCGAGTAGTTGAGAAATGTTTTTCTAACGCCCTCTAGTGGCCCATTAGTGAAGTGGGGGCATAATTAATTGGTTCATTTAGGTCAAAGGTTCATTTACATTGCAGTGTGGCTGCAATGCAAAGAGGGATAAGAAATAGCAGAATGGGGGCGGGTGCGGTGGCTCACGACTGTAATCCCAGCACTTTGGGAGGCCGAGGCGGCTGGATCGCCTGAGGTCAGGAGTTCGAGACCAGCCTGGCCAACATAGAGAAACCCTGTCTCTACTTAAAAATACAAAAAATTAGCTGGGTGTGGTGGCGGGCGCCTGTAATCCCAGCTACTGGGGAGGCTGAGGAAGGAGAATCGCTTGAACCCAGGAGGCGGAGGTTGCAGTGAGCCGAGATCGCACCACTGCAGAATTGAATAAAGAGAAAATCATGGATTTGGGGTGATGTAGGACCTGCTAGCTGCCCCCCCCTCCACACACACACACACAAATTTGAGAACAGCATTAAAGACAAGTAATACAAGGGAGCTCTGAGTGAAATAAGTAATCTTCAAACTTCAAAAATTGCAAAAGATGTTGTTATTGCATTTGTTTGTTCGGTCTTTTTTTGGGGTTTTGTTTTGTTTTTGAGAAAAGATCTCCCACTGCACTCCAGCCTGGGCGACAGAGGGAAATTCCATCTCAAAAAAATAAAAATAAAAAATTAATTATGGTAAAATAACACATAACAAAATTTACCATTTTAAATCATGTTTAAGTGCACAGGCTGGTGATATTAAGAACATTCATTGTTGCTGGCACGGTGGCTCACGCCTATAATCCCAGCACTTTGGGAGGCTGATGCAGGTGGATGGCTTGAGGTCAGGAGTTCGAGACCAGCCTCGTCAACATGGTTAAATCCTGTCTCTACTAAAAATACAAAAATTAGCTGGTTGTAGTGGTGTGTGCCTGTAATCCCAGCTACTCAGGAGGCTGAGGCAGGAGAATCACTTGAACCCAGGAGGCAGAGGTTTCCGTGAGCTGAGATCGCCTCCACTGCACTCCAGCCTGGCTGACAGAGTGAGACTCTATCTCAAAATATAAAGTATAATAAAATAAAGAACATTCATTGTTGGCCACATGTGGTGGCTCACACCTGTAATCCCAGCACTTTGGGAGGCCAAGGCAGAAGGATTGCTTGAGCCCAGGAATGGTAAGAAGAAGAAGCAGAAGCAGACAGAGGACCAAACTGAGGACTAGCTAAAACATGGAAGCAGCATTCCATAAGACATGCCTAACAGCATGCCATGTCAGTTTACCATTGCCATGGCAACATCTGGGCATTACTGGCCTCTTCTATGGCAATGACCTGAGCACTCAGAAGTTACCACCCTTTTCCTAGAAATTTCTGCATAAACTGCCCATTAATCTGCATGCAATTAAAAGTGGGTATAAATATGACTGCAGCAGTGCCCTGAGCTCCTGTTCTCTGCAGGAGCGGTCACAGAACTGTGACACTACCTTCTCCATAAAGCTGTTGCTTCCACCACTGGCTTACTCTTGAATTATTTCCTGAGGGAAGCCAAGAACCCTCCCAGGCTAAGCCCCAATTTGGGGCTCACCTGCCCTGCATCCATCTGTAGATCTTTTCTTTGTCTTTTGTAGTCTGCAGTCACAAATGCTTCAAATTTTGGATTTATGTTTGTTTATCCTGCTTTGAATTACTTCCTATGTGTATTGCCAAATGCCTTTCTTCAATTAAATAATTGTTTTAGCCATGTTTCTTTATTTTTTCTTAAATGTTGACTCTTCTTTGCCATTTTTCTTATTTTGTGTTTAAGGAATCATGATTAACTGCAATTGATGATGCTTACAACAACATTTGTAATAATAACATTTATTGACTGCTTATTCTACACAAGGCAATTTCACATTAATTAATGCATGTAATCCTCATAGCTACTCTGTGAAGTAGACACTGGTTTTCCTTATTTTACACATGAAGAAACCAAATCACAGAGACATTTCCACGATGATATAGCTACGAGGAAGCAAAGTCAAGAACTTCAGCCCAGCATTTTTTCTCATAACCAGATGCGTATCGGACAGGAAGAGAAAAGAAGGAAAGAGAGAAAATCAAGAAGTCAAACTGACTATAACAGCACTACTTCAAGTTTTATGTGACCCTCTGCTTCATGAAAAAATTAAGTACTTATCATGATTTATTAGAAAGCTAGCATGCCTGGGTATAGAATCTGCAAGCAGAAGTTTCTAACTTATGACATTGGACCTGATGCTTCCATGAATTCTAGGAACAAAAGCTCTACAAGAATCTGCTGAAGTCACCTTGATTTGCTCTTTTCCTTGGGCAATGGCACAATTATATACTAGAAAAAAATTATACAACAAATGCTCCCCTCCAGGTTCACTGTTATATGGGCCCACTTTAATTTCACCGAGCTCTTGAAAGAACTGATTTCTGAGGATAAAACAATGGGTTGGGCCATCAGTTTTTATCCCAAATGGAATGAATCAGTCAGGTGAGCTCTGCTCCTATGACCATTGTAACAGTAAGTTTGTGGTGGGTAACACGTGGTCCGCATGGTCTCAGGGAGCCATGGGAAGGATGTCATCTTCCTTGTCACACCCACAGAAGGGGAAGGTCCCACAGCAAGGCTGCAGCCATGGTTTCCAAATTGTGTTGAACACAGAGAACTGCTGTGGGACAGGTGTTAGTGTCCTACGATGCTCTCTTATGGCTGCCTCCATCTTTTTGATCACGGAGTCAAATAATGGCTCATTGTCAGGGTTCAGTGGAAGGGCTTCTGAAGGGTCTCTTGAGATGTCAAAGAGGAGTGGTGGGTCGTGGTAGGTTACATCCCCCGAACATGAACATATTCCACTCCCATAGCAGGCACCTGTTCCTTCAGGGTAGAATTTAGGAGTCACATAATGAGCTTTCCACACAGTTGCACCTAAAAAACAAGTTGCATTATGTATGATACCATCTTTGTGGTGATTTTAGGACTCTTTTCGTTAAAGATGTTTTTCTCAAAAGCTTTTTCTAGTGATTGATAATACTCTTCTGCACAGCATTACACAGCAACAGTAGCATTTCTTCAACTCTAAGAACAATGCACAATTTCACTGCAAACTTGCAGACATTTTTAGAAATCTTGTCATGAGAATATTTGGAGATAATAATGATGACCCAGATGGGAATAGGGTAATTCTGGGAATACCAAATTAAAATTCTACCTCAATCTGATTAGGTACAAACAAAATTAAAAATGATCCAAGGCTAAATGCCACTTTCACATCTGAAATTGACAAAAGTAATTTGGCAAAGTTAATCATTCTTTATCCTTTTCTCCCTCCCTCTTCTGTCTCTCCCTCCCTCCTCTTCCCTTCCTCCCTCCCTCTTTCTCACTCTCTTCTTTCCTTCCTTTTTTCCTCCATTTCTGTTTTCTTCTTTTCTTTCTTTCCCTCCTTCCTTCTCTCCCTCCCTCGCTCCCTCCTTTCCTCCTTCCTTTACTTCCCTTCCTTCCCTTCCCTTCCCCTTCCTTCCTTCCTTCCTTTCCTTCCTTCCTTTCCTTCCTCCCTCCCTCCCTTCCTTTCTTCTTTCTTCTGATATGAAATGGTTACCAAATCTATTTTCAGAGATCAATTTTATTTTTCATTTTTTATTATTTACTTATTTATTTATTTTGAGGCAGGGTCTCACTCTGTCGCCCAGGCTGGAGTGCAGTGGCAACATCTCAGCTCACTGCAACCTCTGCCTCCTGGGTTCAAGTGATTCTCCCACCTCAGCCTCCCGAGTAGCTGGATTTACAGGCATGTGCCACCATGCCTGGCTGCAGAGATCAATTTTAGATAGAAAATATAAGCATTCCCCAGCCTCTGGTAAATGAGGATTATACCGAAGTCTACTGGTGGGGTCTTGCAGAGAAGCTGTGCTTTCCTACTAAAATAGGATCAAATCATCTAACTGGATTCTTTACCGCCTTTGGTTTTTTCCCTCCTTACTGCATGGAGTGCAGGTGTGATGCTTGGAGGAACTGCAGCCACTTTGCAACCATGAGGTGAGATGCACAAGAATGAAAGCTAGCATGTCAGAGGTGGCCAAGTAGAAAAAAAGAACCCTGGTCCCATGACCGTGGCACTGAGCACTGTGTCAGCCCCATGCTCCCAACTTCTGAAATTATGATGAGAAAAAATAATAACAAAAAATTCTACTGTATAATCCTCTATAGTTAAATTTGGGAGGCTTGTGCTGTTTACGGGGCTGTTTTATTTATCATTGATCATGTCCTGCACTCATATAGAATCTTAAAAACATAGATTTTTATTTACTTATTTTTGTTTTTTTAATTGTTTTATGTGGGACTATCCACATCAAAATGAAGATACATCACACCACAAGTGACTGATCCCATCAGAGAAAATTCCTCCTGCAAATAAAGTTAAATCCAACCAAGTAAGAATTCTGGAATTTCATGCAATGACTCCAAAAGACCTTTCTTTACAGGTCTAAGGCAAACGATGCTATTTGTTAATTTATATTTGTTTGCATGACTTCCATAGCACGAATGTGGGACAGAAACAATCACTAGGATGTTAGAAAGGAAGGAAGGTGGAGATAAGCAACCACCCGGCAGGTCATGTTGAAGAATTTACTCCTCGTTGCTAGAATAATTACTTCAGTCATCCCTAAGCTGTGGGTATTCATAGTCTCTCTTTCTCTCTTGTTCTCTCTCTCATGTATACATTCACACAAGCTAATGCATACTTACACACACACATTAATCATGTTGTCTTAATTTTCTGTATCCTATAATGTTTTGACTTTTTTTTTTTTTTGAGACAGTGTCTCACTTTGTTGCCCAGGCTGGAGTACAGTGGCACGATCATTGCCAACTGCAGCCTCAAACTTCCCACTCAGCCTCCTGAGTAGCTGGACTACAGTTGTATGCCACCATACCTGGCTAATTCTTTTTTTTTTCTTTGTAGGGACAGGGTCTTGCAATGTTGCCCAGGCTGATATCAAACTCCTGGGCTCAAATAATCCTCCTACCTTGGCCTCCTGAAGTGCTGAGATTACAACTGTGAGCCACTGTGCCAGGCTAGTATTTTGACAGCTTGAGGGGCCTCATAGACTTGGGGAAAGACTGCTCCTCCCAGGACTAGCTGATTCCTAAAAATAGCGATATGGTTTGGCTCTGTCCCCACCCTAATCTCACCTTGAGTTGTAATAATCCCCATATGTCAAGGGCAGAGCCAAGTGGAGATAATTGAATATGGGGGCAGTTTCTGCCATACTGTTCCCATGGTAAGGAATAAGTCTCACGAGATCTGATGGTTTTATAAGGCATTTCCCTTTTCGCTTGGCTCTCATTCTCTCTTGCTTTCCACCATGTAAGATGTGCCTTCCACCATGATTGTGAGGCCTCCCCAGCCATGTGGAACTGTGAGTCCATTAAACCACTTTTTCCTTTATAAATTACCCAGTCTTGAGTATGTCTTTATTAGCAACGTGAGAATGGACTAATACAAATAGTAACAACTCACTTAGGAACACACCCTACCTATGCAAGCATCCACCTCCTTTATCTAACTCTCACACAGTAAGCTGATATTTTCTCTGTCCTAAATCAACCCAGCACCGGGTACCAGGCAGCTAGGGGCAGTCTCTGTTGCTCCAAACTTACTGTAATTACTCAAACTACCAGTGTGAAGCTGTTCACCCTGCCCTGCCTGACCTTTCCCTTGGAAAGCCTAATAATAAAGGCTGTTGCTTGGGCTCCTCATTCCTTCCTGCCTCTGCTTCCAAGCCAAGCCCTGGTGCTTCCCACCGTGAACCTGTGTGGTAGGGCATATCCCCTTCTCTCGGGAAATCTAAGTCATGAAAATATTGCAATGGCATTGGTTTGTCTGTGTCAGCACTCACCTCCCTAAGTTAAAATGCTTTGAGTGGATCGGCTGTGGTGGGTCACACCTGTGGGAGGCCAAAGAGAGAGGATCACTTGAGCTCAGCAGTTCGAGACCAGCCTGGGCCACATAGTAAGATCTTGTCTCTATTTTATAAATATTTTAAAAATTTAAAATAAAACCCTTTGGGCACAAATCTCTCTCACAAACACATCTCTCTAAAATCCTACTGCAGGCCAGGCACGGTGGCTCACGCCTGTAATCCCAGCACTTTGGGAGGCTGAGGTGGGCAGATCGCCTGAGGTCAGGAGTTCGAGACCAGCCTGGCCAACATGGTGAAACCCCATCTCTACTAAAAATACAAAAATTAACTAGTCATGGTGGTAGGTGCCTGTAGTCCCAGTTACTCAGGAGGCTGAGGCAGGAGACTCACTTGAACCTGGGAGGTGGAGGTTGTGGTGAGCCGAGATTGCGCCACTGTACTCCAACCTGGGTGACAGAGTGAGACCCTATCTCAAAATAAAATAAAATAAAATAAAATCCTACTGCAGTGCACTGTTTATGTGGCTTTCTCAGCGAAAAAGAACCATCATAGCTGGGCAATATCTGCACATGGTGCAGCTTCCGCCAGGAGACGAAGGAGACCGGAACCGGGCCCTTATCGTCTTTCCACGTGTCCACAGCCTTCATACTTACAGTCCTTCTGATGCCACCTGACCGTGTGCAGATAGACCCCACAGTAGTGGAAGAGGAACTCGTGGTCGGAGTGGGACGCCCTTCCTTCCAGCAGGGGCATTAGGTTCTGGCCGTCAATCACTCTTGGGAGAGAAGGGGGTGTGTAGAAGGTGATGAGAGAGGCATGGTTCAGTCACGCATTTTATAGCAGAAGAAAGAGGAGGAGGAGGAGGAGGAGGAAAAGGAAGGGGAGGAAGAGAAGGAGGCGAAAGATAAAGAGGAAGAATTTCTTTTTTCTTTTTTTTTTTTTTTGAAATGGAGTCTTGCTCTGTCACCCAGGCTGGAGTGCAATGGTGCGATCTCTGCTCACTGCAACCTCCGCCTCCCGGGTTCAAGCAATTCTCCTGCCTCAGCTTCCCAAGTAGCTGGGATTACAGGCACACGCCACCATGCCCTGCTAATTTTTGTATTTTTAGTACAGACGGGGTTTCACCATGTTGGCCAGGCTGGTCTCGAACTCCTGACCTCATGATCCGCCTGCCTCGGCCTCCCAAAGTGCTAGGATTACAGGCGTGAGCCACGGCGCCTGGCGGAAGAAGGAATTCTTAAAACTTTCTCCTTTTCCCTCATTTTATAACAAAAAGAAAGAGAAACAAAACATTCATTTTCTGAGGTCATGGAAGAAGAGAACAGCTAGAACTATTATCCTGATACCTTGCAAGACAATATGAGTTACTGTTGTGGATTGGAAAAATTAAGCTATTTACGCCCTTTTGATTCCAATAAAACTTCACATTTAATGAATAGATATCACCCCACATACATGGAATTAAATCGTTAAAGCACAGGATGTATTTGTTCATTTTAAAGCTCATAGACAAAGCCAGGCCTGGTGGCTCGTGCCTGTAATCCCAGCACTTTGGGAGGCCGAGGTGGGTGGATCACGAGGTCAAGAGATCGAGACCATCCTGGCCAACATGCTGAAACCCCATCTCTACTAAAAATACAAAAATTAGCTGAGCATGGTGGCGCCCGCCTGTAGTCCCAGCTACTCAGGAGGCTGAGGCAGAAGAATCACTTGAACCCGGGACGCAGAGATTGCACTGAGCCGAGATCACACCACTGCATTCCAGCCTGGCTGACAGGACGAGACTCTGTCTCAAAAAAAATAAATTTAAATTAAATTAAAAATAAGCTCATAGACAAAGTGCAAACCAGAAAGAATAATATCATTTAGCACACATGCAATTACACATACGTGTTTTGTTTTCGTTTTTGTTTTTGTTTGAAACAGGGCATCACCCTGTCACCCAGGCTGGAGTGCAGTGACGAGATCTCGGCTCACTGCAATCTCTACCTCCTGGGTTCAAGCGATCCTCCCACCTCAGCCTCCCAGGTAGCTGGGATTACAGGCACGTGCCACCACACCAGACTGATTTTTGTATTTTTAGTAGAGATGGGGGTTTCACCATGTTGGCCAGGCTGGTCTCGAACTCCTGACTTCAAGTGATCCGCCAGCCTTGACCTCCCAAAGTGCTAGGATTACAGGCACGAGCCACCGCACCTGCTCTAGGCATACATGTTTTTATTCAGTAATCATTTAACACTTAATTGCATAATGGTCTAGAAGCTGTGAGGGATGTGATGATGTATGAGAATCAGATCCCATCCATGAGAACAGTCAAACACACACAGGCATAAGTGTAATATGACAAAGGATATTAAGGTATACTCTAAGAAGAAAACAAAATATTCCACCACGCACCAAGGGGAGAAAGACATCTGGCCCTATGGGCAGAATATTGATAATTAAGTAATATACTATGTACATACACACACACATAGAATTATCAAGTATATCCACTTATGTTCAAATATATCACCCTAGGTTAGGAGCAAACACTGTTTCCATACCTGTCCTGGGACAAGATCCCTCCGCCTATATAAGACAGCGTCGGATAGATGTCCATTAAGCTGGTGGGCTCATTGATCACTCTCCCAGCCTCCAAGACTGACGGCCACCGGAATATCCCTGGCACACGGATACCTCCTTCCCATCCTCCCATTCCTTTGCCACCTAAAACCAAAGATTACGACACAACCAAAGATGAGTTAAAACCCAACCATATTGGCCGGGCACGGTGGCTCACGCCTGTAATCCCAGCACTTTGGGGGGCCGAGGTGGGCGGATCACTTGAGGTCAGGAGTTCAAGACCAGCCTGGCCAACATGGTGAAACCCCGTCTCTGCTAAAAATACAAAACCATTAGCTGGGCATGGTGGTGGGCGCCTGTAATCCAAGCTACGTGGGAGGCTGAGGCAGGAGAATCGCTTAAACCCAGGAGGCGAAGGTTGTGGTGAGCCGAGATCACGCCACTGCACTCCATGGTGGTGCATGCCTGTAGTCCCACCTACTCGGGAGGCTGAAGTCGGGGGATCAGAGACGAGGAAGTGGAGATTGCAGTGAGCTGAGATTGTGCCACTGCACTCCAGCCTCGGTGACAGGGTGAGACTCTGTCTCCAAAAAATAAAAAAGAAAAAGAAAAAGAAAAGAAAAATACAGGTTTTATCCACATTATAATGATCCTTGAGGAACAAGCTAAAAAACTTTACCCCGTGATTTCCCATATAGAGGAAGAAAGAGAGGAGTGTGAGTAGAAAAATGGCCAGAGGCAGAGTTGAGAATCACTTCTTAGACAAAAGTCCCCTTGGGTGTTTCTGAGCACAAAACAAAAATGAAGCCCTTGCCGTAAGATCAATCATGAGACTGAGGCGGTTGTTACAGAATAGAAAAATGGCCCTATGCCAAATGCCAGTGTCAAGACCATATGTCTAGACTCTTTAAGAAAAAATAGGAACCTCTCTGGAGGAAAAGGTCTCTTCCTATGTGAAATTTTCATTGAATGTCTTCTACGTGCGCACCTGTCTGACAGGCAGCATTACAAAGAAACACAAAACCGGAAGCCTCTAGCAGAAAATGAGGTAAAATTCACTGCTGACACATTCACTGATCTAACCAGTCTAACCAGTGTTGAAAGGCAGCTCAGCTTCTTGGCACCATTCTTTTTTTATTTTTATTTTTTTTAATTAAGACACTGTCTCCTTCTGTCACCCAGACTGGAGTGCAGTGGCGCAATCATAGCTCACTGCAGCTTCCAACTCCTGGGCTCAAGCGAGCCTCCCTCCTGAGCCTCCCAAGTAGCACCATTCTTTATTATAAGAAAAACTCGACAAGCTCACTGAACCAAATCTATGTGCTTTTAACATACAATCATAAAGCCATCCTGATGTTTTCTTCATCGTATTTAATAACCTGTATCTTTGTGGGGCAGAGCTGCGAGGTGTAACTAGACTAGAACAAAACCCATTGCTTACCCAGGAGATCTAAATCTCTCTATCCATTGAATTCATCGCTTCACAGGAAGCACCCTGAGAAACAGGCATCCTGTCCCAAAGCCTGAGAAATGCTCACAACAATTTTGCCAGTCCTATTCCAGGGTTATGTGTGCTTTTTAAGGACAGGGGCTTTACACTCACACATACTCATGCAATTATAATAATTATTATAATATATAATAGGTACAGTTGTTAGAATCATCATGACTGTAATAATCACACTTCGTTAGATGGCATATATATGGTGACTCAGATCTGTTCCTCACTTTTTCTACTAGGTTTAGCACCAATTTAGTCTTTGCTAATTAACAGTTATGACTACAGCAAGTCCACATGACAAGCCAGAGGAGGTGAATGCTTTCAGGAGCTCACTTCTATTAATTTACAATATATAATCCAGTATCCACAATCCTATATATATACAATGAATATAGTGAATATATATATAGGATTATGTGTAATATATAATGAATATAGTGAGTACATATAGTGAATATGTGTAGGGTTATGTATACTCTATACAGTGAATATATAGAATTCTATATACTATATATAATTAATATGTGACTATAGACATAGTAAATATATATAGTATTATATATTATATTATATATACTGAATATATAAAATTATATATAATGATCTATACAATAAATATAGTAAATATATAGAATTATGTGTGTATATATAATGAATATAATGACTATATATACATAGTGAATGTGTACAGGATTATGTATATTATATGTAGTAAATATGTAAAATTACATGTATTATATATAATGAATATAGCGAATATATATAGGATTATATGTGTTATGTGTAATGAATATAGTAACTATATATACATAGTGACTATATATAGGATTATATATCACATATGATGAATATATATGATTCTATATTATATTACATACAATTAATACGGTGAATTTATATACATAGTGATTATACCTCCAGGAAAATACATATATAAGACACACACACACAGAACTTTTTAATGAAATATAAGGAAGTTCAAACATTCTGATTTTATAATGATGACGATTTTGATACCCTTTTAGTTTTTTTGTTTTACTTGGAAGGTTAGCGGGTAGGGGGAAAATAGCGAATGCAGAATTCTTTTTTAAATTATTCTTTCTGTTGGCATGCCTTTGGTGATGCCTAAGAGTGGGTGCCATGGAGTTCTTGAACAACCCGGCATGAAGTCTATCAAAGTGAGCTGGAAGAATCTGCTGGCCATGAGGAGCTAGGCACCCCAGTCAAATGAAAAACTCTTTTTTCTGATCCACATAACACTAGTTAAAGCATAATGAATAGCATCATTGGTGTGATTGAATTAAAAACCTGCATCTGAGAATCCAAGTGAGGATTAATCTAAAGGAGCACTTCTCACTTAGAAATGACCTTGTCCCCAGGGGACACTGGGCAATATCAGGAGACATTTCTGGTTGTTGCTGCTCTGCGGTGGGTGCTACTGGCATGTGTGGGTGGAGCCCACAGACGCTGTTCAACACCTACAACGGCACAGGATGCCCCCAGCCAGAGAATCCTCCAGCCTCAAATGTCAATCGTGCGGAGGCTGGGACATCTGCCACAGATGGTCATTGAGATGCTGTGCTGTCTCCTGGGGTTGGCGTTGCTTCAAACATTTTACTTTGAAGCTCTTGGAAACTGCCCCAAAATTTGCAGCTTTTTTTTTTTTTCGGTCTAGCTTAATAAGAGTCTAACTCACATCAAAATATCTGAACATCATGGCAAATGAATTCAAGCAAACACAAAGCCAATAGAGACTACTGATTTAAAATGGACAGGCGTTGGTTCTCTACACACAATCACCTTTGTAGATCCCGTTCCAGCCACCCAGCTGAACAGCCCCGTCCAGGGGCTCCAGGTGGCCCCCGTTGTCAGAGGTGAAGTACACCAAGGTGTGGTTGGCCAGGCGCTCCTGGTCCAGGGCATCCAGGATTTTACCTGGAGAGGGTCAGAGACACAAAGACGTTGACCTCTTGATGCAGATCACCACTGCTTTATTACATATCTGCTACTATGTATTTATTACACATAGCGTTTCAATGTTATTCTGCACTACACGATATTGTATAATTAATCATATAATATTGTAATACATACTATTTTAAACTGTACGTAATATAGTGTATATAATATATATTATATCCAGCAGTTAAAATATTTAATATATAATGTAATAATGTATAATATATGCTATATTTACTATAATACATACTTTTATACATTTGAATTACTAATTATATATTTATTATATATTGTATGATATATAGTACATATTTCTTACAAATACATATTAATATATAACATGATGTATTAAAAATGCATAAAGAATTGTTATATATTAAAATATAATCAATTATGGAATAGAACAAAATATATTGTAATATGTACAATCAATACATACTATGTATTATTATACCATATGACTTTACAATACTAGAAACATATCATTATATAATAGTTTATCATTGTGTAAAAATTGTTATGTAATTATATAATAACATGTAACTATTATTTTATTATATAGTATTTTGTATATCAATGCAATATGTAAAAATATATGTTTATTGACATAGGAAAATATATTAACTATAAGATAAAATATGAGTATATGTAATAAATGTATAATATATAATGAACATATTAAATTTTATAATATATGTCTAATTAATATATTAAATTTTATCATAAATTTATATCTTTATATAAATATATACTATATTATTTTATATAATTGAATGATATGTGTCACATATTACTTTAATTAATTTTATTATATTAATGTAATTATATAAATTATATTAAATATACTAGATACATTAATTATATTAATTTAAAATGTAGAATAGTTCATATACAATATATAAAGTACTGGTTTATTATACAATTTTATTGTATAATGTGTTCATTATTTTATTATTGAATATATAATAAAATCTATTTTATTATACAAATCGTGTAATAATACATAAGGTCATCATTGCCCCAAACGATTCAAATAGACAGTGCCAAGAAGGCCCAGCAGTTAAATAAACCGATGAACATTAATTTAAAAAAATACAGTTTGCAAAATGACACCTCCAGGAACATATGAGCAAAGCCATCCCCGTACTCCAGGGCACAGCACCACCTCCCTTAGAGACTTGCTGTCCTGGCTGCTATCTGAAGTCTACATGGAAATTGCAGGTTATTCTTGCTGTTTGGGTTATGGTTAAGATCTAATGACAATTAATGCTGCGCTAGACTCAGCAGACACTGTCTTTAATGTGTTGACAATCCCTCAGGAGGACAGTTTTTTAAAATAATAAGTAGAAAGCTGTTCTAGCAAAATTCCAAACAACATTCATTTCCTTTCTGATGTCTGTTGAGCATTTGCTAATCAACAGATAACATCGTCCTGGGCCTGAGGTCACACTGCATTTCTAGTTTACACTAGATCATCTCTGTGCTATGCTCTTGTCCCATTCAAAGATAAAAGAAAATGTAACTAGCTTAACTAGCTGCACAGAAAACTGTTTATACGTAAACTCAGTGATTTGTTTTAGAAGTGACATATACTATTTTTTAGAAATGCTATAATTAGAAATTAAGATATTTTAAAGCCCAGGGTTTGTAAGATGAAAGATTGTAAAGGCTTTCTGGGAACAGCATAATTATATGTAAATTATCAATTCACATTAGATCTGGCTATAGTATAAAAAAATCATAAAAGTGATTTGTAATTTATACTGTGCAAATATAGTAGCTGCAAATTCTTTTTCTGTTCCAGAACAAATATATTTGCAAATAATTGTCTGTATAGTGTCTAAAGTGAAAACACACAGATGCATATGAATATATAAATACTAATGGTAATAGGTCACTTATAAGACCTCCTACCAAAGACACCTGGAAAGAAACCAATAATGAAAAGTGATTAAGGTTGGGCCTGGTGGCTCACACATGTAATCCCAGGACTTTGGGAGGCCGAGGTGGGAAGTTTGCTTGAGCCCAAGAGTTCGAGACCAGCCTGGGCAAGATGGCAAAACTCCACTACAAAACACACAGAGACACACACACACACACACACACACACACACAAATTGGCCAGACATGGTGGTGCACATTTTTAGTCCCAGCTACTCACGAGGCTGAGGTGGGAGGATCACCTGAGCCGAGGAGGTCAAGTGTGTGGTGAGCTGTGATCGCACCACTGCATTCCAGCCAGACTGGGCAAAAGAGTGAGACCCTGTGTCTTAAAAAAAAAAAAAAAAAGGACTAAAAGTGTTTTTTAATAGGCACAAGTTTCTTTCATTGGAAAGTTTAAAATGTTACTGAATTCCCGAAGATTCATTAAGTTCATTTTGCACGTTGTATTTGCATTTGCATGAGTATAGCATTGTTATGGCTTATTTTTGAGTAAAGTTAATAAGTTACTAAACCTTTGAGTTTTATACTCATATTGTTAAATAGTAAAATAATACCCACAGAGATACCTGTCTGACTTTCAATATGTCTTTATTTTGGTAGAATTTTTATAAGAAATGACGGAGAAAACTCAGAATATTTGGGAGATGTTACGCAGAAAAATAGCTACTCATCATTTCTCCTGTGTCAAATAATATTAGCCATTTAATAATGCAATTGCTAGCTTTTGTAACACGTCTTCATCATGTATTTACATATACTGTAAAACAAACATAATTATTTCTTAGTGATAAACACTCAGATATAGACTTTAACAGAAAATCCCTTTACGGGAAACTGTCCTTTGACTAAGTACAACTATAGTAAGCGATTTCAAAAGAAGCAGAGAAAAAAAAAAAATCCCAATTATATAATTCCATAAAGGCTACAGTGTTATAGCTATTTTTAACTGTAACACCTTTCAGTGTTTGTATTTCGTTACCAAGGAATTAAACTATATATAATAAATGTGTATATATGCAACATACAGTGCTATGTGTGTATATGTATAAAACATAACTTGTGTATACATATAAACCATATGGGGTGTGTGTATATATATATGTATATAACATATGGTGTGTGTGTGTATATAGCTTAATTCATATTAAATCTGACTATAGTATTATGCATAAAAGTGATTTGTAATTTATACCGTGCAAATAAAATAACTGCAGCTGGGTGTGTATATATATACACACACATACACATCCCACAGCAAAGATTAAATTAAGAAATACAGAGCTTAGCTTTAGTTCAGCAAGCTTCAAAAGGGTTTGGATGTCAGGGTTAGTTCCCTTTAACTAAGCCCATAAGTTTTTCCCTTTAACACATTCCTTTTTTCTCCCCATTTCTGCTTAAATGCCTTACTGGCAGCCTGGCAGCACTGACTTTCCTTGTATTCTTTTTTTTTTTTTTTTTTTTTTTGAGACTGAGTCTGGCTCTGTCGCCCAGGCTGGAGTGCAGTGGCACAATCTCGGCTCACTGCAAGCTCCGCCTCCCAGGTTCACGCCATTCTCCTGCCTCAGCCTCCGGAGTAGCTGGGACTACAGGCGCCCGCCACCGCGCCCGGCTCATTTTTTCTATTTTTAGTAGAGACGGGGTTTCACCGTGTTAGCCAGGATGGTCTCGATCTCCTGACTTTGTGATCCGCCCGCCTCGGCCTCCCAAAGTGCTGGGATTACAGGCGTGAGCCACCGCACTCGGCCTCTTTTTTTTTTTTTTTTTTTTTTTTTTTTTTTGAGACGGGGTCTTGGAGTACAGTGGTGCAATCTCGGCTCACTGCTACCCCCACCTCCCAGGTTCAAGTGATCCACCCACCTCAGCCTCCTAGGTAGCTGGAACTACAAGGCGTGCGTGTGACACCATGCCTGGCTAATGTTTGTATTTTTTTGTAGAGATGGAGCCTTGGTATGTTGCCCAGGCTGGTCTCAAACTCATGGGATCAAGTGATCCTCCCGCCTGAACCTCCAAAAGTGCTGGGGCTACAGACATGAGCCACCACGCCTGGCCCCTCTCTGTATTCTATCTCCTCTTTGGGATTAAATATAGACAGTAAATGTTACAATGGTACCTATAATTAGAGGTAAACACACATAGTGGAAATATACAAGAGAAATTTATCCCATGACAAGATTCCCCTCTTTGTCCTATCCGACACCACTAGTTCTTCAGTAATTTTAACTAGTATTTTATAGCTCACTTAGATGGTGGTTTTCAGAGAAAAGAAAGTTATTTATAATAAAATGTGATTGATTAACACCCCTTAAATGCATTTAAATTAAAATAGCTCTGTTTCTTTCAAAGGCACTCCATATAAGTCAACAGAGGCGGCTGATAACTGGGAGATTGTTCGTTTCAATGGTTCGGCAGAGCACCGTTTTCAGAAGTTTGCACTCAGAAGAAGAAGAAAAGTACTGTATTCCAAAATGAAACACCATCGCTGAGAGGAAGGACAACTCTGTCACGTACATAGAGGCGGGGGTGGGCAAATGCAATTCAACTAGCACAGCTATTTATTATTCTGGAATGCATACAGTAACTCTTCCCACCTGCTCATTTATTATCCTTAGCATTTCTTTATAGTGAACACTATGCCTTTGAAATAAGTTGCTTTAGTTGTGTTAAATCCCCATCCCAATTTTCTATGTATTTCCTGTAGAACTGACTAATCAGAATAACGTTCCCTTTTATATCCATCAAAATAATTGGGAATTGAAATTACAATATTCTTTTTTTTTTTTTTTTTTTTGAAACAGAATCTCGCTGTGTCACTCAGGCTGGAGTGCAGTGGTCTCATCTTGGCTGACTGCAACCTCTGCATCCTGGATCCAAGTGATTCTCCTGCCTCACCCTCCCGAGCAGCTGGGACTACAGGCCCGCATAACCATGCCTGGCTAATTTTTGTATTTTCAGTAGAGATGGGGTTTCACCATGTTGGCCAGGCTGGTCTAGAACTCCTGACCTCAAGTGATCTGCCAGCCTTGGCCTTTCAAAGTGCTGGGATTACAGGTGTGAGCCACTGCGTGCCCGGCCAGGAATTACAATATACTTTACAGTGCAGCTTTCTTTATCTTGCCAATGAGTTTTTCAGAAAAGTGGCTGTCTTTATTTTAAAGATGGGAAAACTTGTATTTACAAACTGTGACTTATCTTGGGGAATATATTTCACTGGTATTGCTGAACAATTAAAAGCCAGCTTTTAATCCAATTAAGGGATGAAACAGATACTTTTCAGGTATCTATGCTATGCAAGGGGCTGGACATAATTTGAGACAGTTAGTACAGATTTGTTTTTCTGTAGCCCGTACTTCAGATATTTACAGTTCTGTTACTGAATACTTACCCACCATCCAATCCATTTCTTCTACATTGTCCCCATACCTGCCATATTTACTGCGCCCAACAAACTTCTTTTTGGAGATGAGTGGAGTATGTACGTGCAGGAAGGAAAAAAAGAGGAGAAAAGGTTCCCTTTTGTACCTAAGGGGTAGAAAGTTACCAAAATTACCTTCACAAATATGAAGTCATTTCCATCATTTAAATGCGATTCTGCACTGATGAAAAGATCTCATAATAGCTGGCGGAGGTTTTCTATGTACTTTAGATGACAATACCACTCCTGTGAGTCGTAAATACCACAAGATTTATGTTGAAAGGATATGAGGAGGAATGAAGGATAACAGAACATTTGTGTTCCCAGTAAAATGTTTCATGTAGCCAGGCACAGTGGCTCATGCCTATATTCTTTGCACTTTGGGAGGCTGAGGCAGGAGCATTGCATGAGCCCAGGAGTGTGAGACCAGCCCAGGCAACATGGCAAGACCTCGTCTCTACAGAAAATACAAAAATATAGCTGTGCTTAATGGCACACCTGTGATCCCAGCTACTCAGGAGGCTGAGGCAAGGGGTTCGCTTGAGCCTGGGAGGTGGAGGCTGCCGTGAGCTATTATCACACCACTGCACTCCAGCCTGGGCAACGCAGTGAGACCCTGTCTTAACAACAACAACAAAAATGTTTAACGCAGTTCATTTTATACTCTCTTGTGTCCAGTTTAGCATCTGACATAAAGTAGCAGCTTAATAAATCTTTTAATCTTTGTTGAATGGGTTAAAAAGTATGAATTCTCCTCATCTATTGTTTCAAAGTGTTCTTTTAGGTATGAGTTCAGAAGAATCATATCTTAAGGACAGACTCAGATGTGCCACAGTAAGGATTTGATGCTCCTTACTCTCCATTTTCCCTTCTTTCTTTCTTCCACCTCCTTCATGGTTCCTGGAACATAAGTCTGATGGCTGGAGCTTTGGCATCTACCTTGGGCCATGAGGCTGCTCACAAAGGATGGCAGAGAACAAGATAACCTCACTGTATCTGTAGCCTGCCTACCCCAAGAGAGAAATAAATTCCCCTCATTTACATCTTGCTTTTTGTGTTCTGCATTTTATGTATTTATTTATTTTGAGACAAAGTCTCACTCTGTTGCCCAGGCTGGAGTGCAGTGGTGCAATCATGGCTCAACCTCCTGGGCTCAAGTGATTCTTCCACCTTATCCTTCCAAGGAGCTGAGACCACAGGTACACGCCACCAAGCCTGGCTAATTTTGTACATTTTTTGTAGAGATGGGAGCTCACTATATTGCCCAGTCTGGTGTCAAACTCCTGGGCTGAAGCAATCCTCCTGCCTCAGCCTCCCAAAGTGCTGGGATTACAGACATGAGCCACCACACCTGACCTTGTGTTTTGCATTTTAATGTCACATGCAGTCATTCTAAAGCTACTCCTTTACACATTTTTCACAACCAGCATAGAAAGAAGGGAAGGAGATGGAGATTGAATATATTCCCAAAAAGATAGCCCAAGCAAATGGGTTGGGACGGGAAGGGCAGGTAAGATGAATGGAGAGCTGAGTGGGTGGCTGATCACTGTTCTCATGGTTGTGTTGGAATAAATAATGAATCTGATGGGCACAGGGGCATATGAGTGAATGATATTCCACTGCATACCCTTCAGCCTGGTGGAGTAACAATATATCCTCCCCTCTCCACTCCCTGCCAACCCCACTAAGGAAGGTGACAAACAGTGTCAATGAGAATCCACACCAACAACTTTAATGTGCCCCTCATTTGTAACCCAGGCTGGGCACAATGGCTCACACCTGTAATCCCAGCATTTTGGGAGGTCAAGGCAGGAGGATCGCTTGAACCCAGGAGTTCGAGACCAGCCTGGGCAACATAGCAAGACCTTGTCTCTATGGAAAAATAATTTTATAAAATTAACTGGGTGTGGTCATGTGCACCTGTAGTCCCAGCTACTCAGGAGGCCAAGGTGAGAGGATCACTGGTGCCCAGGAGTTTGAGGTTTCAGTGAACTATGATTGCACCACTGCACTCCAGCCTGAGTGACAGAGTGAGACCCTGTCTCCAAATAATAATAGTAATAATTTGTAACGTAGGAGTGAGCTGGTATGGGATGATGAGAGCTCATTATAGTTATGCCTGCATAGCTTGTGTTGAACACAGAAAACTTAAAACTAGGTATCTGTAAATACAGAGCCACTATCCAATAGTTTATGGACAGAGAGCTCTTCCGGCTGTGTCTGAGACAGAGAAAAAAAATTTTACCCCCCAGGTTTAATCAATTTACATAACAATCCACACTGAAGCAATATAGATTAAAATATGGCAACTCTAGTTTTCATTTTTAAAAAGGGGTAAGTGGCCAGGCGTAGTGTATCCCCAGTACTTTGGGAGGCCAAAGTGGGTGAATCACTTGAGCCCAGGAACTTGAGACCAGCCTGGGCAATATGACAAAACCCCATTTCTAAAAAAAAAATGCAAAATTTAGCCAGGCATCCTGTAGGTGCCTGTAGTCTCAGCTACTCTGGAGGCTGAGGTGGGAGGATCACTTGAGCTTGGGAAGTCGAGGCTGCTGTGAGCCATGATTGCACCACTGCACTCTAGCCTGGGTGGCAGAGTGAGATCCTGTCCCAAAAAGTAAAAAAAAAAAAAAAAAATTAAAACATTAAAAATGGGGAGGTGAGCAAAATATGTTTTTATGTTTTGTTTTTGTTTTGGTTTTTGTTTTTTTGCCTTTTGAGCATTCAAAATTTGCAGGAAATTTAACTATTTAATTCTACCTAAGAGGAGACTCAAGTCTATCACAAATGTCACCTAAAGTTTTTTTTTCCTCAGCTTTTATTTTCGATACAGGGTCTCCATGTGCCAGTTTGTTACGTGGGTCTATTGCACTCAGGGGGTAAGCAGAGCACCCAATAGGTAGTCTTGCAACCATGTGCCCCTGGTCTCCCTGTCTCCCTCTCTCCTCTAGAAGTTTGCAGTCTATTGTTTCCATGTTTATGTCCATGGAGGCTCAATGTTTAGCTCCCATTATATCCCACAAAATACTACACAGCCATGAAAAAGAATGAGATCATGTCTTTCGCAGCAACATGGATGCAGCTGGAGGCCATTATTCTAAGCAAATTAATACAGGAACAGAAAGCCAAATGCCGCACATTCTCTCCAAGAGACTTTTAAAGGCCCATGTTATCAAGGTGTGATGACCTCCTATGAAATAAAAATAAAATTTCCATGCAGGAAATCAGGCAAGAAATGGCTAAATACCTTTCAATGAAAGCAAGTGCCTCCTTCAGCATGAGGGAAGCTACTTTCTCCTCTTTCATTGGCTGCTGGATAATTTCATGGTTCCTCATAAGGATGCAATTCCAACGTCGAGTAAATCCATAACTAGAGTACCAGGAAGTGAAAAACAGAAAGGCGAGGAGAGCAAAGACAAAGATGACCTTCCATGGCACTGAGAACCAGCGGGCGAACTTGGGAATGAGAAGCAGAAAAGGAACCAGGGCAAGGGCTACCGTGGAGATCCACAGTTTGATCCTGAGCCAGCGGTGCAGTTCTGGTGTCTTGGATGCCTGGCAGTCGCTTAAAAGTCCAAAAGGCACCCCGTAAAAGTAGTGAAAACCATGGTTGAGCGGGTGGTAACAGTGATCATTCCGAGAGGCGCAGCTCAAACCCAGGTGCCATTTGCCTAAAAGTAAAATAAAATCGTACCATGGCAGCATGGCAGCATTCAATGCCGGTCTGTTTCTAGAATGTGGGCTTCCCTTTGGAAAAGTCAAATATAACTTTCATTCTGTTGTCATCATGGTTTTTTCTTGATATCCCCAAATACCTCCCTGGTATAGACATGCCACCAACAGCCTTCTCCCTACAATATGCCTCTTTCAGACAAAAGCCATGCAGCAGGAGCCTCTTTGCTTGCGACAAGGAGAGGAGCCTAGTGTTCATTCAGAAGAAACCTTTTGCTTGGTACCAAACAACCTCATGAACAATGAGAAACTTTCCAGGTATCTGGAGCTTGCTAGGAGGGCAGAATCGATGTCTTGGTTGTTTGGTGGGGACAATACCAAGGACTTTCAGTGCACCTTGCACATTCATGCTTTTATCTAGCAGTGCCTTCCGACCCTCTTATTCCATCTCACTGAAAGGTAACCGAGATTTTATGTATAGATGGAACACCTCTTCTAGGTCCTCAAGCTAGGGATGACAAAGTAGCCAAAGAATTTCATCAAGAACCAAACGATTCTGATAATGCAAGTAATTCCTTTTATCAAGCACATACTCTAGGGGGCCAGGTCACGTTCTGATTTGTCCGCACACATTATTATATTCAACACTTCCCAGACCCTTTATTATGAATAAAAAACACATTGTCTAGATTATTTTTTTAAGAGACAGAGTCTTGCTCTGTTGCCCAGGCTGGAGCGCAGTGGCATGATTATAGCTCACTGTAGCCTCGAACTCCTTGGCTCAAGCAATTCTCCTGCCTCAGCCTCCTGAGTAGCTGGGACTATAGGTGCGTGCCACCATGCCCAGCTAATTTTAACATTTTATTTTTGTAGATCCAGGGTCTTGCTATGGTGGCCTAGGCTGGTCTTGAACTCCTGGCCTTCTTCTGCCTCAGCCTCCCAAAGTGCTGGGATTACAGGTCTGAGCCACTGTGCCCAGCTATCTAGATTTATTCAGAAGCCTGAGTCACATTAATGAATAATAGCAGAGTCAGATCTGAATCCCGTGCTCTAATGATGTAAGAACGCTGCTCAAAGCTAATCTAGAGAATTCCCACTCACAGGACGCTGCTGGGAGTTGCATGGGAATACATGCCCTACTGATAGAAAATTTCTTAACCTTTTTTTTAACTGGGGATATCTCGGAGCTGTGGCTTACAATTCACATTAGGAATCCTCAAAAATAGTGGACCGTACAATGCTTTTGAGTAGCATTTCCCAAAAGGATTTGATCACACAAGTTATTCTTAGAGGACTATCTTCTAGGACTGGAATTCTACAAACTTATTTTTCGGTGAAAGGCTCCCTCACAAGCTCATGTCCCCCCGCCCCAAACCCCCACCCCCGCCAAAAGGGCATAGAATATTAAGTGATCTAAGTCGACCAGCAATTGCCTCCATTTGACAACTCTTAATGCTGTAAGTTTCCCATTTCAACAGTACTTCTCTACAAATTTACTGGTTTTTCTGCTAATAATGGTGTCACAAACATCGTATCCCTCCAACACAACATTCCATTTTAGTGGCAACTTTGGATACACTTGTTTGCTTTCTGTTCTCATTGTTTTTCCAATACTATGCCCTCGATTCTACACATGCTCAATCAATGTGTGATCATTTCCTTCTCCAAGTGTCTTATCTCAAAGAGAAGTCGGTCAAACTGGCGCGCACAAAGCCAACATCCCCGGAAACACCTTAGACACGATGACAGAGAGGCTGCAGGATCACGTTTCCACGGGCAGAGTTCCGGCGCCATACCTATGAGTCCCGTGCGGTAGCCACGGTGCTGCAGCAGCTTGGCAAAAGTCGTTTCATTGGTGGGAAGACCACCTGACCCACCAAGCCACGTGAAGGCACGGTTCAGGTTGTAGGCAGACACCATCCCTAAATTCACAGAAGTCAATAAGTTAGCACCATAGTCTTTGCTAATACCGAATTTATCCCGACATGCTTAAAGTCCTCTCCTCCCGCACCTCCTCAAAGCCATTCTTCCCCAAGTTTTCTGTTGCTTTCTGGCTGTACGTCCTTGACCCTCCTTTTTTCACTTGCTAAATGCAAACATTCCCTTGGAATTAGGGTTGCCAGAATAAATACGGGACACTTAGTTATATCCATTTGAATTTCAGACTAACAACAAATAACCTTCGTTAGTTTTTCATATAGAGGCTGCTAACCTTCAATGTTTCAATAGTATCTGAGGACACTACTGCATTTTAGCTGGGTATAAATACATTTTTAAAAGTATCCTTGAGAATCTGAAATGAAGAAGTGTAGGAGTGACAATTTCTTTTTCATATGTGTGTGTGTGTATATACACATACATATATATATTATATATATATATATATATATATATATATATTTTTTTTTTTTTTTTTTTTTTTTTTTTTGAGATGGAGTTTCACTCTGTCACCCAGGCTGGAGTGCAGTGTCAACATCTCGGCTCACTGCAACCTCCGCCTCCCAGGTTCAAGCAATTCTCGTGCCTCCGCCTCCCTAGCTGGAATTACAGATGTGTGCCACCACACCTGGCTATTTTTTGTGTGTGTGTTTTTAGTAGAGACGAGGTTTCACTATGTTGGCCGGGCTGGTCTCTAACTCCTGACCTCACGTGATCCACCCACCTCAGCCTCCCAAAGTGTTGGGATTAAAGATGTGAGCCACCGTGCCTGGCCTCCATATAATTTTATGTAGATTTATACTGGTGGACAATATTATACACCTATAGTTTAAAAGGAATTCACAAGAAAACCACAAGTGAAGATCAGCAAGAAATAAATAAATGATAATTTCAGGCCGGGCTCAGTGGCTTACGCCTGTAATCCCAGTGTTTTGGGAGGCCAAAGTGGTTGGATCACCTGAGATCAGGAGACCGGCCTGGCTAATATGGTGAAACCCTGTCTCTACTAAAAATACAAAAATTAGCTGGGCTTGGTGGCAGGCACCTGTAATCCCAGCTACTCAGGAGGCTGAGGCAGGAGAATCACTTGAACCTGGGAGGCAGAGGTTGCAATGAGCTGAGATCATGCCATTGCACTCCAGCCTGGGTGACAAGAAGGAAACTCCATCTCAAAAGAAAAAAGTATATTTCAAGGATCCTACCTTGGAAGAAGAAGAAAGTAGACTCTAGATAGTGTCATTGATAGGAAAGAGAAACAGTTTTATTAAGGGAAGCATTAGACCATTATCTTGCTGTTGAACTGTTTTGCTGAAATTTTTGATAAGTAGAATGAATTAAACTGAACCGTTTGTGTCAAATGATTAAAAATATACACATGGCAATGACTTGAAATCTCTCCACCAATCACCTAATTTTTTTCTTAATTTTTAAAAATAAATTTTATTTCACCATAATCAATACTTAAAATTCCCTGAAATTAGGCAGAGCATGGTGGCTCACTCCTGTAATCCCAACACTTTGGGTGGCCAAGGCAGGTGGATCACACATGAGGCCAGGAATTCAAGACCAGCCTGGCCAACATGGTGAAATCCCATCTCTACTAAAAATACAAAAATTAGCCGGGTGTGGTGGTGCATGACTGTAATCCCAGCTATTCAGGAACTGAGGCAGGAGAATCACTTGAACCAGGGAGGCAGAGATTGCAGTGAGCTGAGATCAGACCCTTGCACTCCAGCCTGGATGACAGAGCAAGAGTCTGTCTCAAAAAAAAAAAAAAAGAAAGAAAGAAAAAAAGAAAAAATCCTGAAATCCTGAAATTATAAGTGTAGTTTTTTTTGGAAACTCATACAAATTCATATCTTTATCCCTCTTCATACACGGTACTGTGTTATATAGAGACTGCTTATCTAGAAACCAAACTATTTTGAACAAAATGGAGAACCTTGAATTATGAAAGAAGGTCATTAGGCAACAAAAAAAGATAATAATAAATCAATATTTATGGGACAAAAACTTTTAATGTTTACTCTTAATTTTAGTATAATTCTCATTAACCTAATTAGTTCATTCCTTGAATGTATTGGATGAGAATCTACTACTTAGGAGGAAGAAAATTCATACAGAAAAATTTTTCACTGAAAAATTAAACTGTGAAGGCAGGTATACTAAAATTATGACAAGCAAATACTAGAATTAAACAAAATGCAACAGCATGACACGATATTTCACATAGAGTCTGATAACCATGAACACTTCAATAGTGTCTAAGGGCACCACTATATTTTAGCTGGGTATAAAAATTGTTGTTCATAATATTGATCTTGAGTGGATGTTTGTAGGTATTGATCCTAAGCTAAGCAGCAAAGGAACACATTTAATTGTCGTTATATCAACTTGGTAAGTCTAAATCTTGAAATGATGGGGTCAAGTAAGGGAGTATGTAAAAGTTTCATTTCCTTTTTGTTTTCTCAGTTATACCTTTTTTCCCAACTGTGTCTAGTTTTCCAATCTCATCCACAGAGGTGGATTTGATCCACTTATCTCAGAACCACTGCATGGTCTCTGCTAGCTTAAAGACATCAGGGGTCTCTTGAGAAATCTTAGCACAAGTACCTGAAAATGGGAGTGTTGACCATAAGTTGGCAAATTGCCCCCAAGAGGCCTAAACCCTGTCGCTATATGCACAGAGATGAGCAGGTGCAGTGGTACCTGGTGAGAGGCACACATATTTAAGCTGCCCAGGGATAACAACCACCTTTGAATTTAGATCCCTAATACTCTGAGTGACCTTTTGAGAATTCTTATAAAGATTTGCAAAAACTAATCATTAGAATGCATTCTGGTGAGACTGAAATGTTGCTGCCTTTTTATTGCCTCACCTGATCTGATGGGGTACCGGCCGGTCAGGAAGGCAGCCCGACTTGGGGTGCACATGGAAGCAGCTGCGAGATGCTGGGTAAGCCTCACTCCTTCACTTGCCAGGCGGTCAATATTAGGTGTGCTGCAGACCAAAGAAGAATTCAGCAGGTGAGTTTCTAAAAATTCTCAATACAATGATCAAGGATCAAAGCTATTCTATTTTGGGTCAAGTTGACTCTATTTCTGGTAAACCTAAAATCCATCTTTTTAAAACTTTAATCTGTCTATTTCCTTATATGCATTGATGGTTAGAAGCAAATGGAAACATAAGTTTAAAATATATCTTTAGTCAAAACTATTACAAATGAATACAGGTCACTCGGTATACAGTTTTATGAGTCTGAGAAAAAAATGTATTTCAATGGAAAAATTAGCCAATTTCTTCTTATCAAGGACCTAAAATTAATGGGTAATTTAGATTAAGTAAAATTTTAATGTGTTTCATATTTTTTTAAGAGACAGTCTCTTGCTCTGTTGCCCAGGGTGGAGTGTAGTGGTGCAGTTATAGCTCACTGCAACCTTAAATTCCCTGGGCTCAAGTGATCCTCCCACCTCAGCCTCTCAAGTAGCTAGGTCCACAGGTGTGCGCTACCATGCCCTACTAATTTATTTAAATTTGTATTTAATTTAATTTTTTTTCTGAGACGTGGTCTCACTCTATTACCCAGGCTGGAGTACAGTGGTGCGATCCCAGCTCACTGCAACCTCTGCCTCCCAATTCAAGTGATCCTCCTGCCTCAGCCTCCTGACTAGCTGGGATTACAGGCATGAGCCACCACGCCCAGTGGTATATTTTTAGTAGAGATGAGGTGTCACCATGTTGGCCAAGCTAGTCTTGAACTCCTGACCTCAAGTGATCCACTTTCCCCAGCCTCCCAAACTGCTGGGATTGCAGGTGTGATCCACCACACCTGGCCTTAAAATTTTATGCAGAGATACATGTCTTGCTATTTTGCCCAGGCTGGTCTCAAACTCCTGGCTTCAAATGATCCTCCCACTTCAGCCTCCCATTAATATATATCTTACGGTAAAATTGACCTATTTTATGACCAAATTGTGACATTTTGGAGTTTAATTTATTTCCCATTTTGTTTGTCTAATACATTGCAAAAATTTTGTAAAACTTATAGGTTAAAAAAAAGACGTGCCTGTTCTCCTAAAAGCTAAACCATATCCAATCTTGATCCCATGGGTACAACATTTTTTTTCCATAATCCCACAGAAAGATGATAATGGAGGCTGAGTGTGATGGCTCACGCCTGTAACCCCAGCACTTTGGGAGGCCAAGAGGGGCTGAACACTTGAGCTCAGACCAGGGTGGGCAATATGGCAAAACCCCACCTCTACAAAAACAAAAAACAAAAAAAAAACAAAACAAAAGAAAAACCACAAAAATTAGGCAGGTGTGGGGGCTCATGCCTATAGTCCCAGCTACTCAGGAGGCTGAGGAGGGAGGATCACTTGAGCCTGGGAGGTCAAGGCTGCAGTGAGCCAAGATCATGCCACTGCACTCCAGTCTGGATGACAGAATGAGATCCTGTCTTAAAAATAAAAGGAAAAAAAAGAGATAGAGGAAAGAAAGGAAAAGAAAAAGGGAAGAAAGAAAGAAAGAAAGAAAGAAAGAAAGAAAGAAAGAAAGAAAGAAAGAAAGAAAGAAAGAAAATAAGAAGAAGAAGACCAATGCCTTTCAATCAACAAATATATGCTTAAGATATAGGACTAGACTGTGATCTGCATTCCAAGAAGAAACAATGTTATTTAAATCCACACTAAAAGATGCTATGTATTTTTACAAGAGCCAGATTGGTCTATCGATAGAGAGTAGAGAAATAAAGAGCCCCGGGTACCAGAGACTTTAGAAGTAATTCAAGGAAGATATTTTTAAAACTGTAGACTAATGTGGTGTATGTATATAATGAAAAAGTATTCAGCCATGGAAAGGAATGAAGTGCTGACGCATGCTACAATATGAATGAACCTTGAAAACATCACGCTAAGTGAAAGAAGCCAGTCACCAAACACCACTTACCATATGTTATGAGCTAAATTGTGTCCCTCCCAAATTCCTGTGCTGAAGTCCTAACCCCCAGGACCTCAGAATGTGACTGTATTTGAAGATGGAGTCTTTATAGAGGTGATTAAGGTAGCATGAGGTCGTTAAAGTGGACCCTTATCCAATAGGACTGGGGTCTTTATAAGAAGAGGAAATGAGGACACAGACACACACAGAGGGATGACCCTGTGAGGACACAGGGAGAAGACGGCATCTCCAAGCCCAGGAGAGAGGCCTCAGGAGGAACCAGCCCTGCAGACACCTTGATCTCAGACTTCCAGCCTCCAGGACTGTGGGAGAATCAATGTCTGTTGTTTCTAAGCCACCCAGTCTATGGTATTCTTTTATAGCAGCCTGAAATAGACTAAGACACCTCATAAGAAGAAGAGATGAGGACACAGACCCACACAGAGGGACGACCCTGTGAAGACACAGGGAGAAGACGGCATCTACAAGGACAGGAGAGAGGCCTCAGGAGGAACCAGCCCTGCCCACACTTTGATCTTGAACTTCCAGCCTCCAGGACTGTGAGAGAATAAGCTGATGTTATCTAAGCCAACCAGTCTGTGGACCTTTGTCACGGCAGCCTGAGAAAATAAATACTTTATATGATTACTTGTATATGAAATTCTAAGAAGAGACACATCCATAGAGACAGAGGGTACATTTGTGGTTAACAGGGCATGGGGATAGGATGGGAAATGGGGGTCTTCTTTGTGGGGGTGACGGTTGTCCAACACTGTGAATGTACCAAATGCCACTGAATTGTTCACTTTAAAATGGTTAAAAGGTGATTTTTTTTTTTTTTTTTAAACAGAGTCTCCCTCTGTCACCCAGGCTGGAGTGCAGTGGTGGGATCATAGCTCACTGCAGCCTCAATCTCCCTTGCTCAGGCAATCCTCCTGCCCCAGCCTCCTGAGTAGCTGAGACCACAGACACACGCCACCATGTCCCAGTAGATTTTTTTTTTTATTATTTTTGTAGAGACGGGGTCTCCCTGTGTTGCCCAGGCTGATCGCAAACTCCTGGGCTCAAGCAATGCTCCCACCTTGGCCTTCCAAAGTGCTGGGATTATAGGCTTGAGCCGCCATGCCTGATCAAAAAAGGCCAATTTTTAAATGTAAATTTTGCCCAACAATGAAAACGCCACCACCAACAGCTAGAATCTAAGGAAACTGGGAGGTTAAGTGGTCTCCTGACATTTTGCAATTTTCCCCAGTGACCTCTGCTATTCCTGCCGATAACATCAGACAATGACTTCTCTCCAGAAACCCTTCTCTGCAACGGCAAAGACGTGAACACTGTGGTAAGGGAGACTCCCACATACAGGGAGGGGGTCAGAGTCCATCTTTACCTCACTGAGTTATTACCGTAGCAGCACAAATCCCCCACTCCAAGGTCATCTGCCATCAGCAGGACAATGTTGGGTCTGGCGTTTCTTGTCATAAATGTGCCATCAACACCGCAAAACAAACAGCACAGGGACACTGACAGCCAGCAGCTCCTGAAAGCATTTTTAGAAATAAGCAAACAAACAAGCAAGCAAAAAACCAGGCACTATCAATTAACATTTGCATTTTAGATAACTTAACATATGAAACAGTGATATTCGTTATCAGTTCTCACTGTACAACGTACCTGTGTTGTCTTACTCAGAAACTAGATTAAACAACAACAACAAAAACTAATGTTCTATACCGGGGTCCCCAATCCCCTGGCCATGGACCAGTACTGGTCCGTAGCCTGTTAGCAACCAGGCCACACAGCAGGAGGTGAGTGGTGGGCAAATGAGTGAAGCTTCATCTGTATTGACAGCCGCTCCCCATTGCTTGCATCACTGCCTGAGCTCCACCTCCTGTCAGATCGGTAGCAGCATTAGATTCTCATAGGAGCGAGAACTCTATTGTGAACTGTGCATGCAAAGGATCTAGGTTGTGTGCTCTTTATGAGAATCTAATGCCTGATGATCTGTCTCTGTCTTCCATCACCCCCAGATGGGATCATCTAGTCACAGGAAAACAAGCTTAGGGCACCCACTGATCATACACTACGATGAGTTGTATAATTATTTCATTATATATTATCGTGTAATAATAATAAAAATAAAGTGCACAATAAATGTAATGTGCTTGAATCATCCTGAAACCATCCTGCACCCCCTTCCTGTCTGTGGAAAAACCGTCTTCCACAAAACCAGACCCTGGTGCCAAAAATGTTGGAGACCATTGTTCTATACGAATATGGCATCATATTTTACCAATTCATTTTGCAAGCATGATGAGGTTTAACTCTTATAACATCTTTTGATATTGTTTTAGTGACATCAGAGGCTTAAAATTTATAACAGGGGTTACAGTTGAGGGTAAGCTCTAAAAATTGAATTTTGCCGGGTGCTGTGACTCATGCCTGTAATCCCAGCACTTTGGAAGGCCAATGCGGGTGGATCATTTGAGCCCAGAAGTTTGAGACTGGCCTGGGCAGCATGGTGAAACCCCATCTCTACAAACAATACAAAAATAGCTGGGCATAGTGATGCATTCCTATAATCCCAGCTACTCAGGAGGCTGAGATGAGAGGATTGCTTGAGCCTGAGAGGTCAGGATTGCAGTGAGCTATGAATGCACCACTGCACTCCAGCTTAGACAATAGAGCAAGACCCTATCTCAAAAAAAACTTTTTTGTTTACTTTATTGAATAAAAATGTAACCAAGGCCGGGCACAGTGGCTCATGCCTGTAATCCCAGTGCTTTGAGAGGCCAAGGCAAGTGGAATACCTGAGGTCAGGAGTTTGAGACCAGCCTGACAAACATGGTGAAACCCCATCTCTACTAAAAATACAAAATTAACCGGGCATGGTGACACGCGCCTGTGGTCCCAGCTACTTCAGAGGCTGAGGCAGGAGAATCACTTGAACCCAGGAGGCGGAGGTTGCAGTGAGCTGAAATTGCACCACTGCACTCCAGCCTGGGTAGCAAGAGTGAGACTCCGTCTCAAAAAAAAAAAAAAAGTAATACCATCTGCTCGGGAGGCTGAAGCAGGGATAATTGCCTGAACCTGAGAGGCGGAGGTTGCAGCGAGCCAAGATCGCGCCACTGCACTGCAGCCTGGGCAACAGAGAGAGACTCTGTCTCAAAAAATAATAATAATTGTTCATATTTATGAGGCTTATAGGGGTGTGTGTGTGTGTGTGTGTATGTGTGTGTGGCACCATGCCCAGCTGATTTTTGTATTTTTTTTGGTAGAGATGGCGTTTCGCCATGTTGGCCGGGCATGTCTTGAACTCCTGACCTCAGGTGATCCTCCCACCTCGGCCTCCTGAAGTGCTGAGAGGTGTGAGCCATCGTGCCCAGCCTATAAACAATTATTATTTGTCAATTAAAAATAAAAACTTTTAAAGTTTCCTTTTTAGAAAAGAAACTTTCCAAGGTTTAACTCTGTCAGTATTCACGTATTCTTTTTTTTTTTTTTTTTTTTTTGAAGCTGAGTGATAGAGCTTTAGGGTTTTTGTTTTTTTTTTTTGAGACAGAGTCTCGCTCTGTCACCCAGGCTGGAGTGCAGTGGCGCAGTCTCGGCTCACTGCAAGCTCTGCCTCCCGAGTTCACGCCATTCTCCTGCCTCAGCCTCCCGAGTAGCTGGGACTACAGGCGCCCGCCACCACGCCCAGCTAGTTTTTTGTATTTTTAGTAGAGACGGGGTTTCACCACATTGGCCGGGATGGTCTTGATCTCCTGACCTCGTGATCCACCTGCCTCGGCCTCCCAAGGTGCTGGGATTACAGGCGTGAGCCACCGCGCCTGGCTGATAGAGCTTTATTAAACTATTCTCTCTCTCAAAAAAAAAAAAAAAAAAAAAGTAAGCAAAATGGAAAATCAGAGACTAAGAGCGAGTCAGTTTTGATTTTTCAAGTGTTCAGTTGTACTTTTTAATACATTTTATAACCTCAAAGGTTTTCTCTAAGCCACATGGAGCGGGGTGGGGGCAATTATAACAGAAGCTCCAGTAACTTATTAGATCTAAGCCCAGAACTAGATGCTGAAACACTGATATTTGGGGATGGAACACATGTGTGTATAGAAACTGTTTTCTCCTTTGGTTCATCAAGAACATATGTCCATAGAAGAAATCAGGTGGAAAAAATTCCACTTCAAAAACAATCTAGAAATCATTTAAAATCTATGAAAGAAAATTTAACATTTTTGAGATTCTGCTAAATTTTTTTTGTCAATTAGTTCAATGAAAGGCAGATTTTACTAAATTTTATTTTATTTTTCAATGGGTCAATGTTGGAATAGATCTACTAAGTTTTATTTATTTATTTATTTATTTATGTATTTTTTGAGACGGAGTCTCTCACTCTGTCACCTAGGCTGGAGTGCAATGGCGCGATCTCAGCTTACCGTACCCTCTGCCTCCCAGGTTCAAGCGATCCTCCCACCTCAGCCTCCTGAGTAGCTGGGACTACAGGTGTGCACCACCATGCCTGGCTAATTTTTGTATTTTTAGTAGAGATGGGGTTCGCCATGTTGGCCAAGCTGGTCTCAAACTCCTGACCTCAGGTGATCCACCTGCCTCGGCCTCCCAAAGTGCTGGGATTACAGGTGTGAGCCGCCACGCCCGGCCTAAATTTTAGATTGTAAAAGAACCCTCTTGTAACAGCTGAATTGTACAATATCCTGAAATATTCACAACAGCCATTGATCAAAAATGATCACTATGAATTGAAGACCAATATCCCCTCAGTCAGGTTCCCCAACTCCAAATTCCATTCAATCAATTCCAAGTCCTCCTAATTCAACCTCAAATATTATATCATAAATCCTTTTGTATCCATCCATCTTCCCTTCTATTTCATGTTTATATTTTTATTTTAAAAACTTTTTAAATTGAGATGGGGGTCTCACTAGGTTGGCCAGGTTGGTCTTGAACTCCTGAGCTCAAGCAATCCTCCCACCTCAGCCTCCCAAAGTGCTGGGATTACAGGTGTGAGGCACAGTGTCTGACCTATTTCTTTTTTAAATATTAATAGTAGTTATTTTATTAAATCTCAAGCTCATGTTTTTTTTTAAATAGACTTATTTTTTAGAGCAGTTTTAGGTTCACAGAAAAATTGAGCATAGGTACAGAAAGTTCCCACATATCCCCTGCCCCTACATATGTAATAGCTTCCTCCATTATCAACACCCGGCAACAAGATGGTACATTATCTGATACAATCAATGAACCTACATTGAGAAATCATTATCTCCCAAAGTCCATAGTTTAATTTAAGGGTCACTCTTGCTGTTGTACATTCTATGGTTTTGGACAAAAAGTCCCAGCCTACTATTAAGAGGGTTTAAGGATGAGGATAGGGAGATGATACATTGAAAGATATCTTGGCTAAGAATTTTTCAGGATTGAAGACAGACATAAGTTTTCAGACTGAACCCAGTTAAAAAAATTAAAAACCTCCAGTTAGACCTAGCTCAGTAAAGGGCAATGATGGAGACAGAGGCACTTGGTTTAAACACAACCACAGATAACCTAAAATGGGAGGATAACTGGAATGTCAAGAGACTTCCCAACAGCCACAGTGGATGCCTGATGACCAGGGACCATTGCTTCCAGAGTGCTGAGACAAAAGTCACTCTGAACTCAGAGTTCCAAACCCTTCTAATACATCATTGAAGAATGAATAGGGATTACAGGCATTTGGATTGTACATGAACCCAAAAACTCTTGATGAAAATCTACTAAGGAATATTTTCAGCAAAAGGCAAACTTATCTTAGAAAGAAAGAGTAGACAGGCCAAGTGCAGTGGCTCATGCCTGTAATTCCAACACTTTGGTAGGCCGAGGCAGGTGGATCACTTGAGGTTGGATGTTGGAGACCAGCCTGGCCAACATAGTGAAACCCCTTGTCTACTAAAAATACAAACATTAGCCAGGCATGGTGGCATGTGCCTGTAATCCCAGCTACTAGAGAGGCTGAAGCAAGAGAATCGCTTGAACCTGGGAGGTGGAGGTTGCAGTGAGCTGAGATCACACAACTATACTCCAGCCTGGGTGACAGAGCAAGACTCTGTCTCAAAAATAAATAAATAAAAATAAAAGGGTAGACATAAGAAAAGATGTTGAAAAGAGATAAAACATGTTGATAACATTAAATACGCATTGACAGAAACTATTATTAATTATTATTATTTTGGAAAGGAGTAAATAATTCACTAAGCGGTAATTACATGGAGGAAGGTGGGGCGGGGGGGGTAGGACTGTAGTGTTCAAACATTCTCCAGTCTTTCCTTTCTTCAAAAGGAAGCTGGAAATAGAGATTAACCATCATATTTTGGTAAGTTAATAATGATGTTAATATGATTAAGGGAAACATGAGGTACAGTTACCAGGCCACTTGAGGGGAGAAGGATGGGCCAGTGTATTAGTCTGCTCTCACACTGCTAATAAAGACATACCTGAGACTGGGTAATTTTTTTTTTTTTTTTTTTGAGACAGAGTCTCTCTCTGTTGCCCAGGCTGGACTGCAGTGGCACGATCTCAGCTCACTGCAAGCTCCACCTCCCAGGTTCACACCATTCTCCTGTGCCTCAGCTTCCCGAGTAGCTGAGACCACAGGCGCCCACCACTACGCCCGGCTAATTTTTTGTATTTTTGGTAGAGATGGGGTTTCACCGTGTTAGCCAGGATGGTCTCGATCTCCTGACCTCGTGATCTGCCCACCTCGGCCTCCCAAAGTGCTGGGATTACAGGTGGGAGGGAAAGAGGTTTAATAGACTCAGTTCCACATGGCTGAGGAGGCCTCACAATCATGGTGGAAAGCAAAGGAGAAGCAAAGGCACATCTTACATGGAGGCAGACAAGAGAGCTTGTGCAGGGGAACTCCGATTTATAAAACCATCAGATCTCATGAGACTCATTCACTATCATGAGAACAGTGTGGGGGAAACCACTGCCATGATTCAATTATCTCCACTGGGCTCCTCCCTTGACACGTGGGGATTATTACAATTCAACCTGAGATTTGGGTGGGGTCACAGCCAAACCATATCAGCCAGGAAACAGAGAACCCTTAATGCAGCCCGTAAAAAGCAAGAGGGGAAAAAAGAAAACCACAGGAGAATCTTGAAAATATAAGATAGCATGTAAGATGACAGAAATAAGATCAACTATCTTAATATTTATAACAAATGTGGGTGGGTTTACCTGCCTATTAAAGAATCCCATACTAATTTTTAAAAATCTGTCCTATGTCTTTCTTAAAGGACACACCTAAAACCTAATGACAAACAAAACTTGAAACTAAAAAGATGTAAACATCTAAGTAGGCCAGCCAAGTAGTAATCAAAAGAAACTTGTAACAATAATAACATCAGCCAGAAGAAAATTACAATTGAAAAATCATTAATATAGAATGGCAAGACTATTATAGAATAATAAAAATACAAATCCACAAAGATGATATGAACATCATAAACCAGTGTGAATTTAGTTATGGCTTGAAAATATAGACAGTAGGCTGGGCATAGCAGCTCATGCCTCTAATTCCAGCACTTAGGGAGGCCGAGATGGGAGGATCCCTTGAGTCCAGGAGTTTGAGACCAGCCTGGGCAACATAGTGAGACCCAATCTCTATAAAAAAGAAAAAAATTACATAAATAAATAAAAGACAAAAAATAGAAAGCACAGCTTGAATAAAATATGAGGAATAATTGATAATCCACCCTCATAAAGGACATTTTAAGCACATATTTAACCCAAGTCCTCCAGGATAGAGAAAACCTTGACAAAGAATCCTTCTCTCTAGAAATGGAGAGTGATGAATGTTCGTGAATTTGCCAGCTCACCAGTCATACAGCAATTGCTTCATGGCTTCTTCTTAGATTATCTAAGGAAGAGAAGAATAAAATAAGAGCATCTGCAAAGCAAATGTTTTCCTCATAGCTAGGCAGATAATGGTCCAAAGGCTTAACTAGATTGTTTTGTGGTGACCCAGTAAACCCAGTACATTCTTTTTTTTTTTTTTTTTTTTTGAGACAGAGTCTTGTTCTATCGCCCAGGGTGTAGTGCAGCGACTCGACTCACCGCAACCTCTGCCTCCCAGATTCTAGCAATTCTCATGCTTCAGCCATCCAAATAGCTGGGACCACAGGTGTGCACCACCATGCCCGGCTAATTTTTTGTATTTTTAGTAGAGACAGGGTTTCACCATGTTGGCCAAGCTGGTCTTGAACCCCTGTCCTCAAGTGATCCACACGCCTCGGCCTCCCAAAGTGCTATGATTACAGGTGTGAGCCACTGTGCCTGGCCAGCCCAGCACATTCTTTAAACGTATTTGCAAATAAGTGATATTTGCTCACAAAGAATAAGGCAAAATTCTATGCATGGTCTATGCAGCTCAGGTTAATTCTAATGGCAGAGTTACAAGAAATTACGTTGGTATAGCAACAAAAACCTACTATTCTGGTGTCAGTAAAGTAAATCAGTAATCAATGAATGTGCATATATTCAATAACTGCTTTGTATCAGATCTAATTTATGTGTGGTACTGTTCTGGAAAGCACTTTGTTTTTACACATACTGGATCAACTGTGGTATCTACCTTAAAAAGCACAACAAGAAACACCATAGACCTGTGATAGTCATGGAGGCCAGACTTGTTTGGTGGAGGAAGACATGTTTAGCAGCTGTAATTAAGATATTTTTACAAGAATGCAACCAGTGGTACAATCTGGTGTTTCCCTGCCTAGAATCCTCAAGTGATTCCAAGTTGGTGAGGCTTTATAGGCTGAGGAACTGCCCCACAAGACAAATAATATATAATAAAGATTAATAGCACCGCCATAATGTTAGCAGAGCTTTATAATTCCCCAGGCATTTCCACACACTTGTTACTATTTGATCCTCAAAATATCTCACCCCGCTTGCCTCAAAGGGTTAATGATGACTCTTCCGTTTTCTAGGAGAAGCAATTGGGTTTCATATCGCTTAAAAGACTTTCACAAGGCTGGTAAATTGAAGAGCTGGGATTCAAAATAAGGACTGATTCTCAGGAGTCTGTGTGTGTGTGTGTGTGTGTGTGTGTGTGTGTGTGTGTGTAAATTAGCCAATTCCCCAGGCCATCTTCTCAACTTCAACCCTCCAATATGGCTCTCAAATGTAATATCCTTAAAGACTAACTACCTTGGGGCATTTGGTGAAGCCCACGTTCTAACCGTTTAGTGGTCCATTTTCTCTACCCCACAACTTCCAATTAATACCTCTATATTAGACTTGCCCACAATGTGACATTTAAAAAATATCACATTCTGGTTCTCATGTCTGTAACTCCACTGCCTAATATACTATTTAGTATTCCCATAAAGTTCACACCGAGAAAATCCAGAGTTTCCCAATAGTTAGGTGAGACAGAGACAGAAACATGGATGAATTGAGAATATCGTCTTTTTATTCACCATATTTAGCCATTTCCACCCTCCTTTAATAAGCATCTCTCCAGGACAAGATTAGTAAGGATCACCATGAATGGTCCTAGCCACCAGTGCAATGTTCTCTCCAACTAGCAAGGAATCAAGGTTATTTTTATTTATTTATTTATTCATTTAGAGACAGGGTCTCACTCTGCTGCCCGTAGCCATGACTGTAATGTGAGATTAAAATAGCAAAGATGTGGAATCAACCCAAATGTTCATCAATGATAGACTGGATTAAAAAGTGTGTACTTATACACCATGGAATACTATGCAGCCGTAAAAAGGAAAGAGATCATGTCCTTTGCAGGGACATGGATAGAGCTGGAAGCCATTATCTTCAGCAAACTAACACAAGAACAGAAAACCAAACACCCCATGTTCTCACTTATAAGTGGGAGCTGAACAATGAGAACACATGGACACAGGGAGGGGAGCACCACACACTGGGGCCTGTTGGGGGGTAAGAGTAGGGGGAGGGAGAGCATTAGGATAAATAGCTAATGTATGCTGGGCTTAATACCTAGGTGGTGGGTTGACAAGTGCAGCAAACCACCATGGCACACGTTTACCTATGTGACAAACCTGCACATGCTGCACATGTACCCCAGAACTTAAAATAAAAATTAAAAGTTAAAAGAAAATGAGAGATTATACACACACACGCACACATATTTATATATGTAAGAAATCTGAGATACATATATCTATATCTGGCCATTCTGTGTGTTTTTAAATAAATGTGAGATATATATATATCTGTGTATATCCAGTTTATATAATACACTCACACATGCACTCAGCCAGAAAAAATGAATAAAATCAAGTCTTTAGCAGCAACATGGATGGAGCTGGAGGGCATTATCTTAAGTGAAATAACTCAGACACAGAAAGTCAAATGCTGCATGTTCACTTATAAGTGGGAGCTAAACACAGTGTCCTCATGGACATAGAGAGTGGAATAATAGACACTGGAGACTCAGAAGGGTGGGAAGGTGATGAGGAATGAGAAATTACTCAGTGAGTACAATGTACACTATTCGTGATGTATTCACTGAAAACCTGGTCTTCCCCACTGTGCAATCTATCCATGCAACATAGCCGCACTTGTAGCCCTTTACTTTATACTAAAAAATAAAATAAATGGTCACTGAGGACTGTCTACACATCATCAACTTGATTGAGACTCTTAAGTGGAAAAAAAAAAAAACAGAAGGAAACACTACAGTGGGAAAAGGGAGAAGAAGAAAGATCAAACATCACAAAACCAAATTCTGGGTTCCATTTCAGAATGGTGGACTTTGAACACGGCTGGGCCAAAGTCACAGAATTAGACAAAGATTGCAAGAGCGCAGTCATGCTTTAAAAACAAGAAAGATATGGTTTTTTGTTTTTGTTTATGTTTTCTTTTGTTTTTTTAAAGTCATGCTCTAGAAGAGAAGGAAGACAGATGGGAACCCACAGTAGCTAGCAATGTCAATGCTGGAAGCATCTGAGGGTGCCAGAGAAACACCTATAAGACTGGAGTGAGATGTCACCAGCCAGGACACAGGGAATTTGATGATGGTTAATGATGGCCTATTATGGAGTCACCACACAGTTGGGGTCAGCCAACAGCAATGAATGAGGGAAATTATTTGTGCAGAAGTCCAGTGAATTAGCAGATGACTCAGCGGCTGGGCGCGGTGGCTTACACCTGTAATCACAGCACTTTGGGAGACCAAGGCAGGAGGACTGCTTGAGCCCACAAGTTCAAGACCAGCCTGGCCAACATGGTGAAACCCCATCTCTACTCAAAAAAAAAAAAAAAAAAAGAGCTGGATGTGGTGGCACACGCGTGTAATCCCAGCTACTCAGGAGGCTGAGGCAGGAGAATTGCTTGAGCCCACAAGATGGAGGTTGCAGTAAGCCAAGATCCTACCACTGCACTCCAGCCTGGGTGACAGAGTGAGATCCTGTGACAAAAAAGAAAGGAAGGAAGAAAGAAAGGAAGGAAGGAAGGAAGAAAGGAAGGAAGGAAAGGAGGAGAGAGAGAGAGAGAAAGAAAGAAAGAAAGAAAGAAAGAAAGAAAGAAAGAAAGAAAGAAAGAAAGGGAAAGAATCTTATCCTGAGTCATCTGTTTTTTGTTGTTGTTGTGTTTCGTGCTTTTTTTTTTTTCTTGAGACAGTCTGGCTCTGTCTCCCAAGCTGGAGTGCAGTGGATTCTTTTCTTTCTTTCTTTCCTTCCTTCCTTCCTTCCTTTCTTTCTTTTCTTCTTTTTCTCTCTCCTCTCCCTCCCTTCCTCCCTGTCTTCCTGCCTTTCCTTTTTTACTTTTTTTGTCACAGGATCTCACTCTGTCACCCAGGCTGGAGTGTGAAGTGATGGGATCTTGGCTTACTGCAACCTCTGCCTCCTGGGCTCAAGCCATCCTCCTGCCTCAGCTTCCCGAGTCGCTGGAACCACTGGCACAAGCCATCACACTAGGCTAATTTTTGTATTTTTTGTAGAGATGGGGTCTTACCATGCAGGCCAGGCTGATCTAGAACTCCTGAACCCAAGCCATCTGCCTGCCTCGGCCTCCCAAAGTGATGGGATTACAGGTGTGAGCTACTGTGCCCGACCAGGATAGGACTTTAAAGTAGCTATCTTTAAATTCCTCTGATTAAATAAGGAGTGGAATCTCTTATAGGCTGAATTGTGTCTGCCAAAAAGTTATATGTTGAAATCCTAGCTCCTAGTCCCCCAGGATGTGACTGTATTTAAAGACAGGGCCTTTAAACAGATAATTAAGGTAAAATGAGATCACCAGGGCTGGCCCTAATCCAATCTGACTGGTGTCCTTATAAAGGGAGAAGATGAGGACACACACACACACAGGGACGGCCATGTGAGGACACAGGGAGAAGACAGCATCTCCAAGCCAAGGAGAGAGGCCTTAGGAGGAACCAGCCCTGCCCACACCTGGATCTCAGACTTCTGGTCCCCAGTACCAGGAGAGAATAACTGTCATTTTAAGTCACCCAGTTTGCGGTATTTTGTTACAGCAGCCACAAGAAACTAATATAAATAACTGAAAACAGTTTTATAGACCATCGACAAAGCAAAAAGGAGTTACAGGGAAGGAAAAAATCTCTGTAACATTTCCCTTTTTTTTTTTTTTTTTGAGACAGAGTCTTGCTCTGTCACCTAGGCTGGAGCACAGCGAACTATAGGCTGAAGCAATTTTTCTGCCTCAGCCTCCTGAGTAGCCGGGACTAGAAGTGTGCACCATGCCTGGCAATTTTTTTACTATTTGTAGAGATAGGGTCTCGCTATGTTTTGCAGGCTGGTTTTAAACTCCTTAAGGCCTTAAGTGATCCTCCCACCTCGACCTCTCAAAGTGTGGCAGGCCAGGTCTCACTAACGCAGGCCTCCATGACATCTGTTTCAGCACTGACCGAGTGGTGAAGTTCAATATTAAAAGCTGAGAGAGCCAGCGCCCTTATACAAAGGCTGGAATCTCACAAAAGCCCACCAAGAGTTCTGCCCAGGCCTCTCCTGGGCCTTGAAGCATGACAAGACAACGAAGGCATTCTTAACAGGACCCGTTTAGGATTAAACAGGTTTTATTGGGGGTCTGATGAAACTCCCCAGACCTCCACAAACAAGTTTATAGAGGGTCTGAAAGAACTCCTCAAACCTCCATGATTTAGCGAGAGACAAGATAAGGGTAATCACCCCAGCACCTGGACCCATTTAGATTAAATGAACTTACTGAGGCTCCAGAGGAAGGTCTTCAGGACTCAGACCTTTGTTCTAGATTAGAAGAAGTTCATCACTAATGTCTTTAGATGAGTGCACACTTACTGATAGACACATTGCTTAGCAGGTAGATAAGCTCTAGAAAACTTTGTAACTTTGAGTTGGTCTGGCAATAATTTCTAGGCCTTCTCCCTGTACCTGGTTACAGAAATAAAAACTCCCTTCTCTCTCAGTTCATCTGCATCTCATTATTGAGCCGCAAGAAATAGCAGCCAAACCCTCGGTTTGGTCCAGGAACAGAAGAACTAGGATTACAAGCATGAGCCACTCCACCTGGCCATATTTTCGATAAATAAATTAGAAAAGAGACCCCAAAAATTACAAATTATCAATAGGCACATAAAATATTTTTAACTTTCCCATCAACTAGAAAAAGTAAATGTTAAGGATAATGAGATAGAATGGCTCACTATCAAAACACCAAAAACTTTTAAAGTGTGAAAATATATGTTATAAGAAGAATTCACAGCAAGTTACCTTCAGTTGCCACTAAATATCAAGACTTAAAAGTGAGCCTAAATTTTAGCAAAGCACTCGTGCTTCTAGCCCCACACTCAGTGCAGGGAGCCAGGATGGAGGAAGGATGTTTCATCCAACATTGTCTTTAAGTAGAGTCATATTGAAACCAACTGAAATCTCCCCTCTTTGAAGTAGATTGGCTAAATACATTGGTGTATATTCCTACTATGAGATTCTATGCATCAGATCAAGAGTAAGATAGTTCTATGTCTAGTAATAGCAGTAGATTTCCAAGATACATAGTACAGTATTTTTTCAATTTAAATAAGTTTTCTGAAAATATATACAGTATGATACCTTTTATTTAACGCATTCACACATCAACATTTCCCTTTTCATTAATGTTTATCAAAGTGGGGCAGATATCTGGAAGGAAAAGGCTCATAGGAATTGCAACCCCCAGGTAAAGTCAGGAGCCACAGTGGTGAAGACAGGTTTTGGCCAAGTTGAGCTTTATCTATAATAGTTGTTTAAAATTTAACTTAAAAAAAAAAACCAGAGATGATGCCTGTTTCACATTAATTCAATATGTGGCTTTTGCAAGTCTTCGTACTGAATCTGGAATGCTGTTTCCTTTAAAATAGGGAGACTGGGGCCAGGTGTGGTGGTTCACGCTTGTAATCCTAGCACTTAGGGAGGCCGAGGTGGGAGGATCTCTTGAGCTCAGGAGTTCAGGACCAGCCTGGACAACTTAGTGAGACCTTCTCTCTATTTATTCTATTAAACTAAAAATAGGCCAGGCATGGTGGCTAACACCTATAATCCCAGCACTTTGGGAGGCCAAGGTGGGAGGATCACTTGAGCTCAGGAGTTCAGGACCAGCCTAGGCAACATAGTGAAACCTTGGCTGTATTTTATTGAAACAAAAATATGCCGGGCATGGTGGCTAACGTCTATAATCCCAGTCTTTTGGGAGGCCGAGGTGGGAGGATAGCTTGAGCTTAGCAGTTTGAGACCAGCCTGGGCAACATGGTGAAACCCCATTTCTATTATGAAAAAACAATAATAATAAATTACAAAATAAAATAAAAATAAAAAATAAAATAGGGAGATTAGATAATTTACTGCATATTTCAAAATAGCTAGAAGAAAGAATTGTAATGTTTCCAATACAAAGAAAAGATAAATGAGGTGATAAATATCCTGATTTCTCTGATTGGATTATTACACATTGTATACAGGTATAAAAATATCACATGTACCCTAAAAATATGTATAAATATGATTTATCAATTAAAATGTAATTTTTTGGTGGGGGGGATGGCGTCTCACTCTTTCACTCAGGCTGGAGTGCAGTGGCGCGATCTCGGCTCACTGCAGCCTCCGCCTCCCAGGTTCAAGGGATTCTCCTGCCTCACCCTCCCAAGTAGCTGGGACTATAGGCGTGCACCACCATGCCCAGATAATTTTTGTATTTTTAGTAGAGATGGGTTTGCACCATGTTGGCCAGGCTGGTCTAGAACTCCTGACCTCAGGTGATCCACCTGCCTCTGCCTTCCAAAGTGCTGGGATTACAGGCATGAGCCACTACATCTGGCCTAAGATGTAAAATTTTTAAAATTAAAATAACAAGAGAGATGCCCTCAGTCACTTCGGTTTCCTGGGTCACTTTGATGGTAGAACTGTATAATTCTACAAGGCATTTCCCCACCGCAGGTGAAACCAAAACAATAATTACTTTTATGAGACCTTTCATCTCAGGAAACAGCAACACTACCCGGACATCACCTTCTTAACCTTTCTGTTCTCAATGACGAAGGATGGTAATAACATCAGTGCTCCCAGGTCTATGTAGGTAAATTGGGCTGCATGAGCAAAGTGCTGTTTAAGGTCAACTAATAAAATCCAAAGCAGTCTCTGCATTCATTAAAATACTCCATTAATATTCATTAACAAAAATATTATAGGCACTGAAGCTACTCTTGAAAGTGCCTGTGTTCTCCAGATAAAAAAAAATAAGCTCTTTTCTTCCATTCTCTATACACCTGCAAACTGTGCTGTCCTGAATGAAACCTGCAGTGAATTTTCACCAAGTTATCTTGATGATAGTAGAGTTTAGACAAGAAAGTCTAAGACATAATCACAACCCAGACAAAATTCATCAGGATTCAACAGTTGGTTGAATCCTTTAACGTGGAGAAATGTAATTTGTCACACTTTTCACTGGAATTTCTTCTTCCTTTCTTGGCTCAGGACACAAACCTAGAGAGGGAGTCTGTAAAGGCAGCAAGAGCAGAGGCGATTCCTGAGGATCTATACAGAAGTAAAGCTCCACACGGATGGGGGAGACACAAGGGTGAGAGGAGCTTTGAAGATCTGGGTAAAATGCACTGGACCAGGCTTTTTCCACCTTGGTCCAGCTGACATTTGGAGCTGGATGACTTGGTGGCCACGTGCTTGGTGAAAATTCGCTGTGGGTTCCGTGTAGGACTGCGCGTTTTTCAGGGGTATAGGGAATGGAAGAAAAGAGCTTATTTTTTTTTTCTGGAGGACACAGGCAGCCCTGGGCACCGTAGGGTGTTGAGCAGCGTCCCTGAGCTTCATTCACCAGGTTCCAGGACCACCCACGCCCCACCAATGTGACAACAAAAATGTCTCCAGACATGGCCAAGGGTTTCCAAGGGAACAGAATGACCGCCTCCTCACAGTGAAACAAAGCTAAAATAATGGGAATTTATAGACTAGAACTAGTTATGGTAAAACTAGAATAAGAGGGCCAGCATGGTGGCTCACACCTGTATTCTCAGCACTTTGGAAGGCCTAGGCAGGAGGATTGCTTGAGCCCAGGAGCTTGAGACCAGCCTAAGCAACATAGGGAGACCTTGTCTCTACTAAGAAATAAAACAAAATAAAATAAAAATAGCCAGGCATGGTGGTGTGCACCTGTAGTCTCAGCTACTTGGGAGGCTGAGGCAGGAGGATCATTTGAGCCCCAGAGGTCGAGGCTACAGAAAGCTACAGTCACACTGGTGCACTCCAGGCTGGACGACAGAGTGAGACCCTCTCTCAAAGAAAAGAATAAAGACACCAAACGGTACTTGCAACTAGAATAGGGGGAACTTATGAAAAGTATCTTCTTGGATGACACCAAATGCTGCATTGTATATTAATGAATCAAAATTCTGGCTTTCTCATTCAAAGAGTTATTGATTTGGAATATAAGCTATGCTATCCTTAGCTGATAGTATCTTATTTTTTTAATTAAAATAGTTAAATAATTAAAACTTAGCAGTGCCTTATGTGTTTTATTTTACTCATTCACCGCTGGAAGAAACTTGTTACTAGATTTCTGCTTTCTTATGCGGTTTCTCACCTACACATAGAAGTAATTTTTAAAGATTTCTAAAGAAATTTACACACATTCCCAAACTTCCCACAAATGGTCTGATATTCAATAATTCTTGGAATGTTATTATTATAAAGTAGAAAGAAAAATACTCAGCAGTATAGAAAAACTATAAGTAAGTAACTAAAAACCTTTCTTTTTCTTTTCTAACCATTAGGTTCTTACATTGAATGAGATACATCTTACCAATTCATTATTTGTTTTTTACTCAGAAAGACGCTACCAATAAAAAATAAAGTAAAATAAAATATACCCAGTATGAAAGTAAATGTAACATAAGGAAGTCTGCTCTATAAAGTGGCAAAAATTTGTATATTATACAATGTAAGTCAACATTGGATTTTTTAAAAAGTGAAGAAAATACAATATTCATTTATTCATTGCAATGCTATGAGATGCATAATCCCCTTCAGATATTATAACAAATACCCTCTTAGAGAATTAAAAATAAAATACAAGCCTTTGGGTATTCACACTTACTTGTGTAGACTTCCTAATTCAACCACAAAACAATCTACCTCTGTGGTCTTGGATATGTCTATTTGGTTCTCTTCTCTTCCTGAAATTAGCATCACTAGTCTTAAATAGGAATGCCACCGATGGCTATAAAATCCACTACGGAAAATATGATTTGACACCCAAAGTGTTCATCCACTCACAGGTGAGTGGAAAATCCACTCCGGGACAGCCAGAATCCAATAGAAGTCAACTCGAAAATAACTAGGAATCAACTATTGATATAGGCAAAATATTCATGGATGTCATGAGAAGCCACACAGAACAGTATGTACTGTATTAGCCCATTTAGATAAAAACCTGGAAACATGTTAAAAACAAAAAACAAAAAAAACTAGATAAAACAACTACTCAACTCTTCACTCTCAACCCCATTGTTTACCTAAAATTTTAAGTATGCCCAACTGCAATTACAGGAAACTTAACGTATTTTCCTTACTTACAATAAGTTGATTCCCCAGCTCCTGCATTTGCAGACACTGATTCTACAATTCCAAGATCCTGCCGTAGTCCTTAGTTGCTCTTGTCATTATTATAATTAAATATCTATTAAGTGCCGAGGCTGGACACTGCTCTAGTCTACCAATTATTTTTATATTAAACATAACCTACCATGACAGCTATTACATAGTTATTTAAGAAAGGAATAATTTATCTCAGCCTTTCAACTGACACTCATACATATGGAATGAAGGGAATTCTATAAAATTGAATATGCTTTCCATGAAGATAATTTTTTTTAGAAAAGTTAACCAAGAGCTACAGTTGGGCTTAAAAGGAAGTGAAGAGGGAAGAGAATTCTAACAGGGTGAATTTCAGCATTTGAAATATGACTGCAGACTTTACAGTACAGCTTCCACCTTTGGGTCTAAATGCATCTTACAAGCAGTGCATCATAAAGCCTCAACCTCAACACTCTCCTCTGAGGTGGGTGAACGTTATTACCTGCATTTATATGTGGAAGTATCGAGACGTGCTTCATGCGAGATTAGCTTAGACATTCCTCATGAAGCACTTTTCTCACAAGACATTCTCATTTGTTTTCACCATTGATTAAAGTCTTTTTTTTTTTTTTTTTTTTTTTTTTGAGACGGAGTCTCACTCTGTCGCCCAGGCTGGAGTGCAGTGGCATGATCTCAGCTCACTGCAACCTCCGCCTCTCGGGTTCAAGCAATTCTCCTGCCTCAGCCTCCCAAGTAGCTGGAACTACAGGTGTGTGCCACCAAGCCCGGCTAATTTTTTGTATTTTTAGTAGAGAGAGGGTTTCACCATGTTAGCCAAGCTGGTCTCAATCTTCTGACCTCGTGATCCACCCGCCTCGGCCTCCAAAAGTGCTGGGATTACAGGTGTGAGCCACTGCACCCAGCCTGGTTAAAGTCTTATTATGTGTGTGGTAACTGTGGTTGGGGGAGAGTGGGGTTGTTTTGGGTAAGAGTAGTACGACAAGATGCATATATGAGAAATTTAGTGAAAAATAACTCCAGTTAAAAGTTACAAAAAAATGAGCATCTTTTTAGGACACTGTTAGACTTATATATACTTGCATTTGCCTTTTCAATAAATAACATGCAAACTATGCAGACTGCAGACATAAGAATAATTCTTTTTTTTTTTTTTTTTTTTGAGATGGAGTTTTGCTCTTGTTGCCCAGGCTGGAGTGCAATGGAGCAATCTCGGCTCACTGCAACCTCTGCCTCCCAGGTTCAAGCGATTCTCCTGCCTTAGCCTCCCAAGTAGCTGGGACTACAGGCATGTGCCACCACGCCTGGCTAATTTTTTTTTTTTTTTTGAGACGGGGTTTCCCCATGTTGGCGAGGCTGGTCTCGAACTCCCAACCTCAGGTGATCCGCCCACCTTGGCCTCCCAAAGTGCTGGGATTACAGGTGTGAGCCACTGCACCCAGCCAAGAATAATCCTTAATGATTATATTCCCAACAACATAACAATATTCTCAATGACATTTTAGACCATAAATAGGAGCTTAGAGGAATTCAACTAGTTTTCTTATTTCTTACAATAAATAATTTTAGTGAAAAGTGCCTATATGAGTATTCTAGTTCAGTTAAAGAGCTGATTCCAGCTTTAGAGGAAGCCAGAAATATTTACTCTTTCTTCAAGACAAAAGAGCCAGAGTGGAGGCCAGGCATGGTGGCTCTTGCCTGTAATTCCAACACCTTGAGAAACAGGCAGGAGGATCACTTGTGCCCAAGAGTTCAAGACCAGTCTGTCTCTGTGAAAGATAGGGCAACATACTGAGACCCTGTATCTACAGAAACAAAAGCAACAAACAAACAAAACAAAGGGCCATCTCATGTCAATCAGAATGACTCATATTAAAAAGACAGAAATCAACAGGTGTCGATGAGGTTGTGAAGAAAAAGTAACACTTCTACACTGTTGATAGGTGTGTAAATTAGTTCAACCATTGTGGAAGGCAGTGTGGCAATTCCTCAAAAACCTCAAGGCAGAAATAACATTTGACCAAGCAATCTCATTACTGGGTATATACCTAAAGGAATATAAATCATTTTATTATAAACATACACACCCACATATGTTCATTGCAGCACTATTCACAATAGCAAAGACATGGAATCAACCTACATGTCATCAATGATAGATTGGATAAAGAAAATGTGGTACATATACACCATGGAATACTATGCAGCCATAAAAAGGAACGAAATCATGTCTTTGCAGGGACATGAATGAAGTTGGAAGCCATTATCCTTAGGAAAGTAATGCAGGAACAGAAAACCAAAGACCACGTGTTCTCACTTGTAAGTGGGAGCTGATGGATGAGAACAATGAACAAGTCAGGGGGAACAACACACACTAGGGCCTGTTGGAAGTGGGGATGGGAGGATGGAGAGCATCAGGAAGAATACCTAATGGATACTAGGCTTAATACCTGGCTGATGGAATGATCCGTGCAGTAAATCACCATGGCACACGTTTACCTATGTAACAAACCTGCACATCCTGCACATGTACCCCAGAACTGAAAATAAACGTTGAAGGAGGCCGAGTGCCGTGCCTCATGCCTGTAATCCCAGCAATTTGGGAGGCAGAGGTGGGTGGATTACTTGAGGTCAGGAGTTCGAGAGTAGGTTGGTCAACATGGCAATATCCCATCTCTGCTAAAAATACAAAAAAATTAGCCAGGTGTGGTGGCAGTTGCCTGTAATCCCAGCAACTCAGGAGGCTGAGGCAGGAGAATTGCTTGAACCTGGGAGGCGAAGGTTGCAGTGAGCCAAGATCGCACCACTGCGCTCCAGCCTGGGCGACAGAGTGAGACTCCGTCTCAAAAATAAATAAATAAATAAATAGTTGAAGGAAATAAAAACAAACAAACAAAAAAATCCATGAAGGACCAAGATAGATGACTACTTCCAGGCCTTCAGTGGACATGTAGGTTACTGTGACATTGTCCTTAGGGACATGGATGAAACTGGAAACCATCATTCTCAGCAAACTATCCCAAGGACAAAAAACCAAACACCACATGTTCTCACTCATAGGTGGGAATTGAACAATGAGAACACATGGACACAGGAAGGGGAACATCACACACCGGGGCCTGTGGTGGGGTAGGGGGAGGGGGGAGGGATAGCATTAGGAGATATACCTAATGCTAAATGACGAGTTAATGGGTGCAGCACACCAACATGGCACATGTATACATATGTAACAAACCTGCACGTTCTGCATATGTACCCTAAAACTTAAAGTATAATAATAATAAAATTTAAAAAAAAACATAAAATATAAAATAGTAAAATAAAGTACTAAAGCCCATCAATGTATTGGGAAGGTCAGATACATTCCTGGACTGGAAGATCCAGTGGAAGCCCTGAGGGGGAAAATAGAGTCCAAAGCAGAGCTTATTCTAGAAAGAATTTCTGGAAAGTTACATAGACACACACTTACATGTTACCTTGGAGTCCAAAATGACTCAAAGGCAAAACACACCATGATCTGATTTCAGTGCGGCAGAAAATGTCTTTGTTGTGAGACACTCAATCCAGGGAGTACGTACGGAGTGACAGGGAGGGGCTGGATCATGAGCTACCAAGAATAACCATCAGTCCTCAGTGTTTCTGTGTGTCCCGCTCACCTTATTCAAAGGGTGTTAGGTGTAGTCCCCACAGTGATCTCACCAGTGGGCACTCCAATACCATCCTGCCCAGGAGGAAATCGAGAAACAGAGAGGTTGACGGCACACCTGTAATCCTAGCACTTTGGGAGGTCAAGGTGGGTGGATCACATGAGATCAGGAGTTTGAGACCAGTCTGGCCAACATGGTGAAACCCTGTCTCTACTAAAAATACAAAATTTATCTGGGTGTGATGGCAGACGACTGTAATCCCAGCTACTCAGGAGGCTGAGGCAGGAGAATTGCTTGAACCTGGGAGGGGGTGGTTATAGTGAGCTGAGATAGCACCACTGCACTGCAGCCTGGGTAACAAACCAAGACCCTATCTCAAAACATTAAAAAAAAAAAGAAGAAGAAGAAGAAGAACAGAGAGACAGAGAAGTTCTTAAATTTGAAAAGAAGGAGAAGGAGGAGAAGAAAAGAAGAAGAAGAAGAACAACAACAACAACAACAACAGAGAGATTGAGTAACCTATCCGAGGTCACACAGCTGGGAAGCGCCCTAGCTGGGCACTGATTCTCTAAGTTCTGCCATCGTCACTCTAACTCCATAGCCTCTGCAGTTTGGGATCCCATACTGGAGGAAGTGAGGCAAAGAATGATACCAGAATGAGGTCTGGTCGTAGTGGCTCACATCTGTCATCCCAGCACTTTGGGAGGCTGAAGTGGGAGGATCACTTTGGGCCAGGAGCTCAAGACCAGCCGTGGCCACATACTGAGACCCCCATCTCTACAAAAAAACAAACACAGGCTGGGTGTGGTGGCTCACGCCTGTAATCCCAGCACTTTGGGAAGCCGAGGCAGGTGGATCACCTGAGGTCACGAGTTCAAGAGCAGCCTGGCCAACAAGGCGAAACCTCGTCTCTCCTAAAAATACAAAAATTAGCCAGGTGTGGTGGCATGTGCGGGTAATTTCAGCTACTTGGGAGGCTGAGGCAGAAGAATCGCTTGAACCTGGGAGGCGGAGGTGGCAGTGAGCCTCACACCATTGCACTCCAGCCTGGGCGACAGAGCCAGACCCTGTCTCAAAAAAAAAAAATTTGTTGGGCATGGTGGTCCCAGCTACTCAGGAGACTGAGGCAGGAGAATCCCTTGAGACCAGGAGGTGAAGGCTGCAGTGACCTATAACCACTCCACTGCACCCCAGCTGGGATAACAGAGCAAGGCTGGTCTCTAAAAAATACCACAAAAAAATACCCCAAAAGTCATGACTTATATTAATGTACTGGTCCTTCCAGTACAAAAAAAAAAAAAATAGAGTAATTAGACTTTACCAAAATCTATCACTCTATCTATCTCTCTTATATCCATCTATCTATGTATCTATCAATCTATCCATCCATCTATCCACCCTCCATCTAGCTATCACTCTATCTATCCCTCCATATATCTATCCATCTGTTATCTATCTATCTATCTATCTATCCTTCCTATTGGTTCTGTTTCTCTGGAAAGGGCTTTCCAGATAGATATCCAGATAGATAGGTCTTAGATTTGGTAATAGTTTCTCAATGTGACACCAAAAGTATAAGCAATAAAAGAAAAAATACAGAGTAATTGGACTTCACCAATATTGAAAATCCTTTGCATCAAAGGACACTATCAAAAGAGTGAAGATAATCCACAGCATGGAAGAAAATAACCACAGAGCTCCCGGTGTCAACGCTTCTGAATTTGAGATGCGTCTTGCACTCCCTCCCAGCCAAGGGGCAGCGCAACCTCACTCTGCTGGCATCTCCTGGCAAGATCAGGACAGTGCTGGCCAAGAAGCATCAGTGTTACACAGGAGCACCTCACTGTGTCCACCATCATTATTTCCATTTGGGTTTTGTTCTGCTAAGTTGAGTCAAATGTTTACCACTGCATCATAGTATAAGTAATTTCCATCTGTAGCTTTCTCTCCTTGCTTCACCAGTTTGTGGGTGCAGTGGAATCCTATTGATAAGACACGCCTAAGTTCTCTCCTCTCCTGCTTCCAAATGCCTCCTCGTTAAACTGGGGGAGTCTTTTAGGGACAACTAAACTGCTTGCATATAGGTCTGGTTGATAGCCAAAAGGCCTCCGCGTCTACCAGGTGTCACCATGGCTGCTGTTGGTTCTACATTTGCCCTTCTGAGCAGGCAGGATTTACAGGAACCCATCCCCTAAAATGGGAATTGCATCATTTCTGCTTCTACCTACACAAAGCCTCTGCTTTATCCATCTGGTGTGGGTTGAAGTGTGTCCCCCGACAAAAGACACATTAAAGTCCTAACCCTCATGTATACGTGAGTGTGATTTCATTTGGGAATAGGCTCTTGAGCTGAAGGGGTACTGCAGTAGGGTGGGCCCTAAAGGCAATGACTGGTGTCCTTCTAGGAAGGAGAGAAACATTCATGCATAGCTTCAATATAAATAAACAAATAAGGAAAAAGAAAAGGAGGAACACAGGCATGCACAGAGGGAAACCACTTATGAGAAAATGGAAAGGGTGATTGCAGTGATGCGTCTACACACCAAGGAATGCCAAGTATTGCCGGCAAGCACCAGAAGCTGAAATAGGCAAGGAAGCCTAGTCCCCTAGAGTCTCCAGAGGGAATGTGGCCCTGCCGAACTGGGAGAGAATGCACTCCAAGCTGGGTGCAGTGGCTCACGCCTGTGATCCCAACACTTTTGGAGGCCAAGGCAGGCAGATCGCTTGACAGCAGTTTGAGACCAGCCTGGACAACATAATGAAACTGCCTCTCTGGCAAAAATACACACACACAAAATTAGCCAGGCATGGTGATGCATGCCTGTAGTTCCAGCTGCTCAGGAGGCTGAGGTGGGAGGATCACTGGAGCCCAGGAGGTTGAGGCTGCAGTGAGCCATGATTGTACCACTGCACTCCAGCCTGGGCAATAGAGCAAGATCCTGTCTCAAAAAAATTAAAAAGTGAAGATAAGGTCTGAAAATCTGTGTTTCTAATTAATCAGAGCACTACACTTCAAAATGTTAAGCTCACTGTAAAAATCAGCTCTCAAATACAACATTGAGGCTGAGATGGGAGGATCACCTGCACCCAGAGAGGTCGAGACTGCAGTGAGCTATGATCGTGCCACTGCATTCCAGCCTGGGTGACAGAATGAGACCCTGTCTCTAATAATAATAATAATAAAGGAAACAAAAGAAAATACAGCATTGATGATGTGAATTAAAGATTGTATTCTTGTGTGACAAGACCACTTCTTAGTTTTCATCTCCACATACCTTACTCATGGGATCCACACTTTATGCCTGGCCAGGGGTTCTCAAAATTTAATTTTCATCAGAATTAACTGAGAGGCTTCTCAGGACTGAAGGTTTCTGGAACATTTCCTGCAGAATGCCAAATTCAGTCGGTCTAGAATAAAGCCCAGATAGGAAACTATCAAATTACAAAAGGAGTTTTCTTTTCCCCTTTAAAATATTTTTTCCTTTTCATAGAGTTGGGGGTCTTACTATGTTGCCCAGGCTGGTCCTGAACTCCCAGGCTCAAGTGATCCTCTTGCCTCAACCTCCCAAAGTGCTGAGATTACAGGCATGAGCCACTGTGTCTAGCCTGAAAGGGGTTTTCAAAATATTTGGGGAAGCGTGATGAAAGCTGTTCACTATGGACTACGACTGATCATACTGGGCACTTTGAACCAGAATACATTTATTTTAAAAAATTGTCATACTATAAGTTCAAATTTGAATAAAAGTGGGAAAAGAACAGTACCCAGGCCTCCCATATGCACTTTACATAGATTTTCCCCGATTGCTAACATTTCTAAGCCCTTTGAGAATAACTTGAAAAGAAGATGTCCTATTATAGTGTAATTGTTCAGGGTGTATTTACTACTGTATTAGTCTGTTCTCATGCTGCTAATAAAGACACACCTGAGAATTTCTAAAGGAAAGAGGTTTAGTGGACTCACAGTTCCACATGGCTGGTGAGGCCTCACAGACATGGTGGAAGGTGAATGAGGAGGAAAGTCACATCTTACATGGTGTCATGAAAGAGGGCTTGTGCAGCAGAACTCCCCTGAATAAAACCATCAGATCTCATGAGACTTATTCACTACCATGAGAACAGTATAGGACATACTGCCTCCATGATTCAGTTATCTCCACATGGCCTCATCCTTGACACATGGGAATTATTAAAATTCAGAATGAGATTTGGGTGGGGACACAGCCAAACCATATCATTCCTCCTCTGACACCTCCCAAATCTCACATCCTCACATTTCAAAACCCATCGTGCCTTCCCAACAGTCCCCCAAAGTCTTAACTCATTTCAGCATTAACTCAAAAGTTCACAGTCCAAAGTCTCATCTGAGACAAGGCAAGTCCCTTCCACCTATGAGCCTGTAAAATCAAAAGCAAGTTAGTTACTTCCCAGATACATTGAGGATACAGGCATTGGGTAAATACACCCATTCCAAATGGGAGAAATTGGCCGAAATGAAGGGGCTACAGCCCCCATGCATATTTGTAATCCAGAGGGGTGGTCAAATCTGAAAGCTCCAAAATGATCTCCTTTGACTCCATGTCTCACATCCAGGGTGCACTGATGCGAGAGGGGGGTTCCCATGGTCTTAGGCAGCTCCACTCCTGTGGCTTTGCAGGGTACAGCCTCCCTCCCAGTGGCTTTCATAGGCTGGAATTGAACGTCTGTGGCTTTTCCAGGCACATAGTGCAAGCAGTCGGTGAATCTACCATTCTTGGGCCTGGAGGATGGCGGACCCCTTCTCACAGCTACACTAGACAGTGCTCCAGTGTGGACTCTGTGTGGGGGCTCCAAACACACATTTCCCTTCCACACTGCCCTAGCAAAGGTTCTCTATGAGGGCCCTGCCCCTGCAGCAAACTTCTGCCTGGACATCCAGGCATTTCCATACATCTTCTAAAATCTAGGCAGAGGTTCCCAAACCTCAATTCTTGACTTCTGTGCACCTGCAGGTTCAATACCACATGGAACCTGCCAAGGCTTGGGGCTTCCACCCTCTGAAGCAATGGCCTGAGCTGTACCTTGGTCCCTTTTAGCCATGGCTGGAGGGGCTGGGACGAAGGGCACCAAGTTCCAAGGCTGCACACAGCAGGGGTGCCCTGGACCTGGCCCTGGAAACCACTTTTTCCTCCTAGGCCTCAGGGCCTGTGATGGGAGGGGCTGCTGTGAAAGTCTCTGAAATGTCCTGGAGACATTTTCCTTATTGTCTTGGTGATTAACATCTGGCTGCTCATTACTTATGCAAATTTCTGCAGCCAGCTTGAATTTCTCCCCAGAAAATGGAGCTTTCTTTTCTTGTTGGGTTGCAAATTTTACAAATTTTTATGCTGTGCTTCCCCTTCAATGCTTTGCCGCTTAGAAATTTCTTCTACCAGATACTCTAAATCACATCTCTCAAGTTCAAAGTTCCACAGATTTCTGGACAAAATGCTACCAGTTTCTTTACTAAAACATAGCAAGAGTCACCTTTATTCCAGTTCCCAAACCATTTCCCATCTCCTTCTGAGACCATGTCAGCCTGGACTTCATTGTTCTTATCACTATCAGAATTTTGGTCAAAGCCATTCAACACGTCTCTAGGAAGTTCCAAACTTTCCCACATTCTGCTGTCTTCTTCTGGGCCCTCCAAACTGTTCCAACTTCTGCCTGTTATCCAGTTCCAAAGTTGCTTCCACATTTTTGGGTATCTTTACAGAAGTGTCCCACTATCTGGTACCAATTTACTGTATTAATCAGTTGTCATGCCTCTGATAAAGACATACCCAAGACTGGGTAATTAATAAAGGAAAGAGATTTAATGGACTCACAGTTCCACATGGCTGGGGAGGCTTCACAATCATGGTGGATGGTGAATGAGGAAGAAAGTCACATCTTACATGGTGGCAGGCAGCAGAGCTTGTGCAGGGGAATTCCCATTTATAAAACCATCAGATCTCACGAGATTTATTCACTACCACAAGAACAGTATGGGGGAAACCACCCCCATGATTCAATTATCTCCACCTGGCCCCACCCTTCACATGTGGGGATTATTACAATTCAAGGTGAGATTTGGGTGGGGACACAGCCAAACCCTATAAACTACAGATTAGGATATTCAATGTACATAAACACAGAACACTCACCAAAACCAACAAATTAACAGTCTCCCAGGCCAGGCACAGTGGCTGACATCTGTAATCCCAGCACTTTGGGAGGCTGAGGCAAGTAGATCACTTAAGCCCAGGAGTTTGAGACCAGCCTGGGTAACAGAGTGAGACACCATCTCTACAAAAACTAAAAAGAAAACAAAAAAATGATCACCCAAAATTACTGTCTAATCCACAGACTTCATTCAAGTTTCATTGATGTCCTCAAAAATGTCCTTGAAAGGTCCAGAATCTAATCAAAGATCCTATGTTACATTTAGTTATGTCTCTTTAGCATCCTTCAGTCTTTTCTGGACCGTTTTTTGTTTTGGTTGGATTTTCTTTATTGTGGTAAAATATACATAGCTTAATATTTATCATGTTGACCATGATCAATGTCAATTTATTCTGAAGGAATAAATTCATGATCAATTTATTCTGAAGGAATAAATTCATGATCAATTTATTCTGAAGGAACACTGAGGTTTACAAATCAGTGGCATTAAACACATTCACAGGGTTATGTAGCCACCACCACTTTCTGTACTCAAAGCTGGACGTGGTGGTGTGCACCTGTAGTCCCAGCTACTCGGGAGGTTGAGGCAGGAGAATTGCTTGAACCTGGGAGGTGGAGGTTGCAGTGAGCCAAGATTGTGGCACTGCACTCCAGCCTGGGTGACAGAGCAAAACTCTGTCTCAAAAGAAGAAAGAAAAATATAAGAAAGAAAATGTAAGATTCCATAAACACATGTGAAAAGAAGGGGGGAAAAGATTCCAAACAAGTATGGTCTCGGATTAGCATAGTTACGGGTCAATGGAGCAGAAAGGAGAATTCAAGAATGACACGCTCATTTATGAATTTTTCCACATTGTCGCCAAGGTAAGCAAAAAGGCAGAAAATGGTTTTCCAAACAAATAAAGTGCCAGAACAACTGATGTGAAATTTGACCTTTCTCTCATGCTATTAAAAAAAAAAACAAAACACTCAAAATGTATTACAGACCTAACTGTAAACGTAAATCTTTACAATTTTTAGAAGAAAACTTAGGAGTTTCAGCCTTAGGGGCAGGCAAAGATTACCTAAAAGGACATCAAAAGCACACACTATTTTTTTTAAATGGTATATTGAACTTCATTGAAATTAAAAACTCCTGCTCGTTGAACAATAGTGTTAAGGAAATGAAAAGGAAAGCAACAAATTGTTACAATATATTATCCGTTCATATTTGTGCCAAACATACATCTGATTTCTGGACTATATAAAGAATTCTTACAATTCAATAATAAGAAAATGAACAGCTCAGTTATTTATTTATTTATTTATTTATTTATTTATTTATTTATTTTGAAACAGAGTCTTCCTCTGTTGCCCAGGCTGGAGTTCAGTGGCATGATCTCAGCTCAACTGCAGCCTCCACCTCCTGGGTTCCAGTGTTTCTCATGCCTCAGCCTCCCAAGTAGCTGGAATTACAGGCGTGCACCACCATGCCCAGCTAATTTTTGTACTTTTAGTAGAGACGTGGTCTCACTACGTTGCCCAGGCTGCTCTTGAACTCCTGACCTCAAGTGATCTGCCTGCCTCAGCCTCCCAAATTCCTGGGATTACAGGCATGAGCCACCATGCCCAGCTGTTGAATAGGCCAGACGTGGTGGATCACACCTGTGGTCTCAGCACTTTGGGAGGCTGAGGCAGAAGGATCACTTGAAGCCAGGAGTTTGAGACCAGCCTGGCCAACATGGTGAAACCCTATCTCTACTAAAAACACAAAAAATTAGCCGGGTGTGGTGGTGCACGCCTGTAATCTCAGCTACTCGGGAGGCTGAGTCATGAGAATCACTTGCACCCAAGAGGCGGAAGTTGCAGTGAGCCGAGATCACACCACTGCACTTTAGCCTGGGTGACAGAGTGAGACGACCTGTCTCCAAAAAACAAAAACAAAAAAGTTAAACATACAACTCTCCATGTGACTCAAAAACTTCACTCTTAGGTACTTATCCAAGAGAATTGGAAAATGTGTCCATACACACAAAAAATGTTTATAGCAGTGTTATTTATAATTGCCCCCAAACTGGAAACAATACAAGTTTCTATCAGTTGGGGAAGAACGGATGGATTGATATCTATAGAATCTGCTAGTACTTAGCTATAAAAAGGAACACACTGATAAGGCATGCAACAGGATGAATGAATCCTAAAAATAGTTTGGTGACCGAAAGAAGCCAGACGTAAAATAAATATTTTATATACTTAATGTGACTCCATGTATGTGAACTTCTAGGACAGGTATACCTACAGTTGACCCTTAAAAACTCAGGGGTTAGGGGTGTAGTCAGCACATAGCTTTTGACTCCCCCATAACTTAACGTCTAATAGCCTGCAGTTGACCAGAAGCCTCACTAACAGCATAAACAGCCAATATACCGCATATTTTGTATGCTCTGTGTATTATATACTGTATTCTTACAGTAGAGTAGCTAGAGGGAAAAAATGCTATGAAGAAAATCATGGCCGGGGTCAGTGGCTCGCGCCTGTCATCCCAACACTTTGGGAGGCCAGGGTGGGAGGATTGTTTGAGGCCAGGAAGTTGAGACCAGCCTGGGCAACACAGTGAGACCCTGTCTCTACAAAAAATAGAAAAATTAGCCAGGCATAGTGGCATGTGCCTGTAGTCCCACCTACTCTGGAGGTTGAGGTGAGAGGATTGCTTGAGTCCAGGAGGTTGAGGATGCAGTGAGCCATGATTGCACCACTGCACTCCAGCCTGGATGACAGAGCAAGACCTTCAAAAAAAAAAAAGAAAGAAAAGAAAGAAGGAGAAAAGAAAGAAAGAAAGAACGAAAGAAAAGAAAGAGGAAGGAAGAAGGAAGGAAATCATAAGGAAGAGAAAATATATTTACTGTTCACTAAGTGGAAGTAGATCATCATAAAGGTTTTCATCCTTGTCTTCAAGTTGAGGAGGCTGAGGAGGAGGAAAAGGAGGGCTTGGTCTTGCTGTCTCAGGGATGGCAGAGTGGAAGAAAATTCTTGTATAAGTGGGCACATGCAGTTCAGACCTGTTGTTCAAGGGTCAACTGTAATCTGTAATGATGAAAAAATGATCAGCAGCTGCCAGAAAGTGAGGGATTGGGAGATGGGGTGAAAGAGTTTTAACTGCCAAGGAGCATGAAGGAACATTTTGGGGTGACAAAAATGTTCTACACCTCATTTGTGGCGGTAGTGACTTGGGTGTATACATTAGTTGAAACTTATTGAACTGTGTGCTTAAAACTGATACTTTTATTGTATGTGAAGTATTGATCAATAAAGTTGATTGCTTTTAAACAAAAACTAAATTAAAAATAAGACTCCAGGCAACTCTAAATATTTTTTGGAGGCCGTCCAGTGCTGCTAGCTAAATTAAGTCTCTCTAACTGCATTTCTCAAGCCTACTGAAGAATATGTGTTTATATGTGTATATATATGCATATGTGTATATGTACATGTCTATGTGTATGTCAATATGCATGTGTGTATATTTATGTATATGGTATATATACATGCATGTATATGTATACGTGCATGTATGTATAGGTATATGTGTGTGATATGTGCATATACATTCATTATGTGTATATGTATATGCATGCACATACATATATGTGAGTGCATGTGTATATGTATATGTGTATGGTGTGTGTACATATGTACATGTGTGTTACTTGTATATATACGCATATATATGCATGTGTCTATGTGTGTATAGTATATATATGTTTATATGTATGTATATGGTACTTGTATGTGCATATATGTATGTGTGTGCCTCTTAATAGGTACATGTTTAGATATATGTGTATGGTATAGGTTTTTATATATGTATATGTGTGTATGCATGATGTATGTATATGTGTGTATGTATATTTATATGCATAGGTGTGTATATATGTGTATGGCATATATGTGTGTATATATGTGTATGGCATATATGTGTGTATATATGCGTATGGCAGATATGTGTGTATATATGTGTATGACAGATATGTGTATATCTATGTGCTTGTGTGAATGTGTATGTTTTTGCGTATGTGTATAGCATGTGCATTATATATGAGTAAGGGGACTGAGTGCAGTGGCTGACACCTGTAATCCCAGCACTTTGGAAGGCCTAGGCAAGAGGATCATTTAAGGACAGGAGTTCAAGAACAGCCTTGGCACCATATCAAGACCCCATTTCTACAAAAAAATTTTAAAATATACATATAAATTAGTATGGGTATATGTATGGTGTATGTATACAGGTATATATGTGTACATATATGTATATGCATATATGTGCATTATGTGTGTATATATGCATATATGTGTATATGTCTGGTATGTAAATGTGTAAATGTACATATATGATGTGTATATGTGTATATGTGCATAGTATGTGGATGTGTGTATGTATACATATGGTGTTTATATGTATATGTATATCTATGTGTATACATGTGTGTATCACATATAAATATGTGTATATCTATGTGTGTATGAATGTGTAAATATTTATGCATATGTGTATGGTATATGCATGCATATATGTGTATGTGGGTGCATGTCTATACATATGTATAAGTGTACAGCGTGTGTATGTATACATGTGTATATGTGTGGATGCATACGTATGTGTGTGTGCATGTGTATATATGTATGTGTATATGTGTGTATGGTATATATAAGTGTATCTTTATAAATGTTTGTGTGCAAATGTGTATATATTTATGCATGTGTGTATAGTATATGTATATATGTTTGTATATGTATATGTGTGTGCATTTGCATATGTATAAATATGTGTATAATTCTGAGAAAAGTGCTCTTTTGCAGAATTATACATATATTTATACATATTTAGCAAGAAAAAGCTAAATTAGAGCTGAATGCTGTGACGCATTCACAGTTGTGGTTGGGCACATTCAACTAGACAGATTTTTAAAAAAACAATACTGCATGGAGTCCAAACCTAAATGCCATGGTTCAGACAAGCTGGAAAGGAGGATTGAAACCCACAATGTGAAAAACTGTCTGAGGCAATTCTGGTACAGAGCCAACCTGTAGAAATTCTGACTCACAGGTTTTTTGGATGTTTTTCTTTTTTTCTTTCTTTCTTTCTTTTTTTTTTTTTTTTTTTTTTGACAGTATCTCATTCTCTCACCCAGGCTGGAGTGCAGTGGCACAATCTTGTCTCACTGCAGCATCAGACTCCCAGGCTCTGAGATTCTCCTGTCTCAGCCTCCTGCATAGCTGGGATTACAGGTGTGAGCCACCACACCTGGCTAATTTTTGTATTTTTAGTAGAGACCAGGTTTTGCCATGTTGTCCAGGCTGGTCTCCAACTCCTGGACTTAAGCAACCCTCCCACCTCAGCCTCCCAAAGTGCTGGGATTATACTAACTCTCTCCACGAGAGTTTTTTCTTTCTTGTTTCTCACAAACATGCCTTAGGAGATGCCCCACTTTGATAAAGATAAAATAAAGACGGGATAGGCTAGAGATGAGATAAAAAGCACAGACCAAGGAAGAAGATTTCACCTTTTATCTTACCATTTATGTCTCCTCTTCTATTCTTTGTGGACCCGAGCGGGTATAAATTCAGTGTTGGACCTTAGAAGCAGCATTTAGTCATGCTGATTTGTAGGTTCCTTCCTTATTGTCCTAATGGGACCCTTTACTTGATTTCTTGAAGTTGCCACTCATAGAGTTTGGGCACTTTTCTCTCTCTCTCAGTTTGTTTAACCTTTTTCTACTTCATTTCATGTCTATTTGGTACAGAATGGCTGGGCCCCTGGCTAAACTCCACCCTCAAGCCTGGAACCTCGGACCTAAGTGAAAACAGCTGATCTCGTTTTTCCACCCAAATAGTTGCCATTTTGGCCTGCCCCACCTGCTATCCTGTGTCCATAAAAACCAGACTTCAGCTGGCAGAGCAACACAAGTGGTTGGGGATACAAGCTGCTGAAGGCTGGGATACAAGTGGCTGAGCATTGGAGACTACAGATAGACATGGCTAACTTCAGACAGTGCAGCTTCTGAGAACAGCCCGGCCAGAGACAGCTGGACTTCAGGGAAAGCTAACCATCTTCCCACACCATCCCCTTTCCAACCCCCTATTCCGCTGGCAGCCACATCCATTGCCAATAAAATCTTCCACATACACTACCTTTCAATCTGCTCGTGTGACCAGATTTTTCCTGGATGCTGAAAAAGAATGCAGGTGTCAAGAAGGGCAGGTGCAGGAGGCTGTCACCCTGACCCTTCACTGGGCTATTAACACTTAGCTGTCCAGGAATGGCAGGCTGAGTGAAACAAGCCACTCCAGTTCCTGCCCACAAAGGGGGTCAAGGGAACAATCCTATCTCATCTGGAGGCTCGTCTGGGATACAACAAAGGGTGGGTTAAAATGCGGAATTGTTGGATCTGTCTCTTTTCTGAGACCCTGCTTCCTCTCTCTTTTCTTCAGGAAAAAGGAATGTTGGCTCTGTTTCCCTTCATGAAAGTCTAGCTGGTCTGAACCGGGGGAGGGATGCAGTGGTTAAAGGAACCCATTTCCACAGAGCAAGAGGCTCTTTCCCCAGCTTCCCCCGCCACCATGCACTTTAAGTTGTTTTTCTTCTTTTCCAAGTAAGAGAGTTCTCTGTCTACGTCAGCACTCTGCTTATGATGGGGAAACGACAGAGGGGCATTGTCTGCAGGCTGTTAGCTGTAAATTTGGCAAGGCCTGTTTGGGACTTAATCTAAATAAATCTATGCAGCCCCTGAAATACTTTTTTTTTTTTTTTTTTTTTGGTCTCAAACTCGATTCCAAGCTGCAGGTCGAGGCACTAGAAAGGAAAACCAGATCTGAGCCAGGCAACAGGCACAGTGTAAATAGGCAGGACAAATTCCTGTCCATTAAACCCCTGCTTTACGGAAGGAGGCCATACTCCATGGCATAAATGAGGCCCAGGAAACTCAAAGGTTGTTGATGGTAGGGGAGGTAGAGGCATAGGTGAGTGCAGATAATTCCCATTCTCTGGGTCTTCCCTGCTTCACAGGTGGAAGCTGCATTGATAGCCATGGGTGGCACCTGCCAAGGAACTCAAAGGTTGTCAACAGCAGGGGAGGTAGAGGCATAGGTGAGTGTGAATCATTCCTATTCTCTAGGCTCCCCCGGCTTCATGGGTGCAAGCCACATTGGCACCCATGGGTGGCACCTGTCAAGGTTGCTGGGACTTGGGGATGAAAAGATAGAAGAGGAAAGGAGGATGCCCACTTCCTCTCTCCCTCATACCCCAGGTTATCACTGAAAGGAGAAAGAGAATTGAGGGAAGCCTAATTCCCTGTCTTCAGAATGGGCAACCAACACAATTTTCCACCTCCAGTTTATACTCAGAAACAGACCCTGGGACCAGATAGTACTTTAGAGGACATCCTGAAAACGACCACCTTGGTCTTTTAGACACAAGAAAGAGGCAGAAACTTTACTGCCCGCCGGCAAGCCCATAAGCCTCAGAATTCCTAAGATTCACCTGTTAACTCCGACAGATGTGGCGAGAGCACTTCTCTGGCTCATAAAGTTTAACTGCTCCCATACGAGGTTTAATTTCTTTCACCAGGGTGAGGCAGCTTGGGGTACAGTGTTGTTTTATTTCTTGTTTCTGAGATGTTTTGCACTACATTCTTTCTTTGTATAATACACATGTTTGATCCATGCCTACTTAACCTTGTAAAGCTTGTTTATTCTTTCACCTAGAGGCCATCAAGGCTCCAAATGGGCAGGCAGCCGGAGCCTCGGATGATGGCTCGCCTTTGCCGGGGACTCTTGGGAGACCTCTGGGAGGAATCTAACTGCCATTTTCCCCAAACAACGCCCTCTTTCAGCAGGAAGTAGCTCAGACTGGTCGTCATCCATTTTCTAAGGGCAGTTAGATGTGCCTCTCCAGAGGGGGAAAATGGTACAGAACAACTGGGCTCCTGGCTAAACTTCACCCCCAAGCCTGGAACCTTAGTCCTAAGTGAAAACAGCTGAACCCATATTTCAACCCAAATGATTGCCCTTTTGGCCTGCCCTGCCCCCTGTCCTGTGCCCATAAAAACCAGACTTCTGCTGGCAGAGCAACACAAGCAGCTGATGCAAGCAGTCAGGGATGCAAGCTGCTGAGCGTCGGGTATACAAGTGGCTGAGCAAGGGAGACTACAAATAGAAGCTAACTTCAGATGGTGCAGCTTCAGATGGGAGCCCAGTCAGAGATGGCTGGGCTTCAGGGAAAGATCACCTTCTTCCCACGCCGTCCCCTTTCCAACTCCCCATTCTGCTGAGAGCACATCCATCTGAGAGCCACATCCATCGCCCAGTAAAATCCTCCGCATACACTACCCTTCAATCCATTTCTGTGACCACCTGGATGCCAAACAAGAACTCGGGTGTCAAAAAGGGCAGGTGCAGAAGGCTGTCACTCTGACCCTTTGCTGGGCTGTTAACACTTAGTCATCCATGGACTGCAGGCTGAGTGAAATGAGCCACTCCAGTTCCGGCCCATGAAGGGGGTCAAGGGAAAAATCTCATCTCATTTTTTAAAATTAATATATCATCATTGTACATTTTTTTCATGAGAAAGGGCCTCACTCTTTTGTCCAGGCTAAAGTGCAGTGGCACAATCACAGCTCACTGTGGCCTCGACCTTTTAGTCTTAAGCGATCCTCCTGCCTCGGCCTCATGGGTAGCTGGGACTACAGGTGTGCACCACCATGCCTGGCTGTGTACATATTTGGGGGGTATAGGTAATCTTTTGAAACATTCAAACAATGTGTCATGATCCAATCAGGGAATTTGGGGTATCCATCACATCAAACATTCATACTTTCTTGGTGTTTGGAGCATTACAATTCTTTTCTAGCTGTTTTGAAACATAAAACAAATCATTATTTTGTTTTGTTTTCATTTTAACTTTTGAGACAGGGTCATAGGCTGGACAAATCATTGTTCACTATAATTTCCCTACTGTACTATCAAATACTAGAACTTATCCCTTCTATCCAATGGTATTTTTGTAGCTCTTCACCGACTTCTCTTGATTTATGACATGCAATATAAGTGCAACATAAGAAATGTTTTGCTATTTAAAATTAGATGCATGCTGACATGCACATCTTCAGAATGGGTGAGGGATTAGGAGTCCAAAGAGATTAGAAAAGATTTGATACTTATGAGACACAATAGTAACAGCAACATTTTTATTAAAAAAAAAAATTATTAGAGACCAGGTCTCACTATGTTCCAAGGCTGGTTTCGAACTCCTAGGCTCAAGCAATCTTCTCACATCAGCCTCCCAAAGTTCTGGGATTACAGGCACGAGCCACTGCACCCACCTAACTTTTTGTTAAGTCAGGTTCTGTTCAAAGTAGATGATGATAGTTGAGATAAAAATAGCTTTTCATAGATTTTCTTAAAAATACATCACCGTATATAAGACATTTTCTCATGTGGACAAACCATCCATTTTACCCCCATGGGCGTTTCTTTTTCTTCATAATGTCAAAGCTGAAGCAACTAGTTTAGAAACATGGATTTCCAGATTGTCTTCTTGTATGCAACCCATATGAAAATGTTAAGTTATGTCTGAATATTTTCAAGTATTACCTGTGCAAGGAATATGGAAAATGGTGGCCAGGTAGAGAAGGAATTTGAGGTAGAGAAGGAATTCTGCCCAAAAGGAGTGGCTCCTTATGTCACCCTTTACAGTGACACTTTAAACCATAGCCCAGGATAAATAAATTCCAGCTAGAGTGGAATATGAAGTGGTTGTTTGGGAAAGATGGATGAAACCACCTTTACAGAATTATAAATAATGAGAGAAATCGAACATGACTGATTCCATGTTGCTTCTAACCTCACAGGCTACATTGTTGTTGTTCTTGTTGTTGTTGTTGTCTTGTATTTGTCTTGCTTCTTCTAGCATATGGTGCCCAAGATGACAATGAGACCACTTTAGTTCGTAGTTCAACTTGGAGTCAAGGGAAAGCGAACGTCCGCCTTGTTCAGAGACGAAAGCTCCGTGCAGAAGACAAGGTTAGGATGACGGTGGGGATCTGAACTTTGCTAAAGAATATGTATTGTTAGGATGGGCACAGTGGCTCATACCTGTAATCCCAGCATTCTGGGAGGCTGAAGCAGGAGGATTGCTTGAGGCCAGGAGTTAGCGATTAGAGGGGGCAACATAGCAAGACCCCATTTTTACAAAAAAAAAAAAAGCGATCCACCTGTGGTGGCGTGTGCTTGTGGTCCCAGCTATTCAGGGGGCTGAGGTGGGAGGATCATTTGAGTCAGGAGGTCGAGGCTGCAGTGACAGTGATTGTGCCACTGCACTGCAGTCTGGGTAACAGAGCGAACCCCTGTCTCAAAAAAAAAACAAAAAACAAAAAAAGAGTAAATGACTTTACTTGATGCTAAGAGAGTATCTCTTTTGGGATGCTAGTATTGGAAATGCAGCTGACAAGTACTGTTGTATAACGTTCGTGCTAAGAGTTTCAGGTGTGGAGCTTGATTCTGCTACCAGCTCTGAAGGACGTGGGAGTATGAGAAACAAATTGAAATGGCTCACCCAGCATGATCGTAATTAAGTGTTCTCCAGTCACCTGCAAAGTACGTCCTTAACACCAGTGTTTTCAACCGGAGTGATTCTGCCCCCCCGGGAGACATTGTGCCACGGCTGGAGATATTTCCGGTTGTCACAACTGGGGAGGAGGTGGTGATCACTACCTGCTTCTAGGGAGTGGAGCCCAGGGATTCTTTTCAACATTGTACAATGTACAGGACGGCCCCTACAATAAAGAATCATCCTCCTCAGAGGTCAATAGTAGGGTAGTGGCGTAACCATGCCTCATCCCAGAACATAGAAAGTCAGGCTGAAGTTCAGCCAACCTGGGAGTTCCAATTTGGATCCCGGTTTTATCTCCTTGATGTTCAACTTGTGCAAAAAATAACTGCATGAGTGTTGACAGCCTTCCCTCAAGAGCAACATAACCTAGTAGACTTGGCCTAGAGCGGTAGGTGTTCCTCAGCCCGTCGAGCCTATGCTTTGTTCTTTCTGATGTGTTAAACTCATGAAGAATGTAGGCAGCTGCAGATTTATAAGAGGGCTTATTTGGCAAGCGGGAGTCTCAAATCAAAACTCTGCAATGTTCAGGCTATAGAGACTATAAATGCATTAGGATGAATATTTTTGTGATTCAACACGTAGAAGTGTGCAGACAGCTCTTATTTGAAAAAAAAAAAAAGTCCTTGAAGTGATTCGTTTTACACCTAACGTTGCCTGCAATGTATGCTCTGCTTCAATATGAAAAAAGAAATGCGCTCCCTGGCAAATAGATGAGAAAACACATTGGTGCACAGAGCTAAACGGAAGTGATAGTGACAGAGTCACATAGGTGAGCAGCTATATACATATGGTAATAGTTGCGGCTGTGTACACACAGTCATAGTTGCAACTGTAACCTGAATTGTTTCCTGTCTTCTTTTTATGTTTGAGGCAAATAGCAAAAGGAAAGAAAAAGGCGTGAAATTGAAGGGCTACGGAGTGATGATTCAAGATGAGTTTTAAGAAAACCACTTTTCCACTTTGGGAAATGCACTCTGCCTACATCAAAAGCCCGAAGGGATTCCACCTTCCTGCCATTGAAAAACCCCGCGTTCAGCACCAGATGTCTGGGCTCCTTCCGCGAGAGTGAGGTTCTGCAAATAGAACAGAAGGTCTTTTGTGGACGCCTGAAAGACCCAGCAGTACATTCCTTGGGGACTTGCCTGATCTGTTTCTGGGACAACCTAACTTGGTTTCTGCGGAATTCCTGTTTTTGCTTTTCAGAGTGAATCAGCTACGCACATGCGTGAGCCAGCCGTTCAGTGCCGCCGAGACAGCCAGTGCGTGTCTGTTTTGGCAGGAAGAAGACGTTTCTTCCAAGGAGCAGCCTCCCCGCTACATCCAGCCAGTGTCGCCCTTACACAGCTGCATGTCAGGTAACTGGCCTTCCTGGGGCTTCTTCTTACAGGCCGGCTTTTGCACGTGCAGAGACGCTCCAGGGGATATTCTTTTATGCTAAACTGCGTCTTTTCAAACAAGTCCCTGTCAATGTTTTAAAAGTAATTTGCTTTCAAAAAATAATAATAATCATCAGTGAAAATCTCAAGTACAGATTTTACATGGGAGATTTCCAAACGTAATGCGTAAAAAAAAAGCAACGAGGGAAGATGCACCAAATGGGAGACATTGCATCCACACTAGATTCTTATCTTAGAGATGCTGAAGGCACGTGCACTGAACATCGAAGAGACACCGGAGGTGAAAAGCGAAACTGGGTTTGGGAACAGGGCCCAGGCGAAGCGTTGAACACAGGCTCGCAGCCCGGGGCTGAAGCTCAGGGCGGGAAAGGAGGGCTGGGATTCCTTCTCCCCGGAAGAGAATCAAAGGCTATATTGTCAGTCTTGCATGGGTGTTTCCTCGTCTGCTTCTTTTATCTTTATTTCTATTGCATTGTATTATATTTTACTGTATTCTATATTTTATTATTTTGTTTTATTTTAAATTCAGACAGGATCTTGCCGTGTTGTCCAGGCTGGTCTCAAACTCCTGGCCTCAAGTGATCTTCCCATCTCGGCCTCCCAAAGGCCAGAGTGTGCCAGCTGGGATTACAAGTGTGAGCCACCGCGCCCAGCCTCTTGTCTCTTTCTAAAGATACCTTGTGTCTTTAGAATAAAAAAGTAGAAAGTTTTATTCAGTAGTAAAAATTAAATCTGGACCAAAATGTTTAACATTCCAAGGGTTAAAGTGCAGAGTTCTTTGGAAAAGAAAAATCTGCTTTTATTGTGTCACTAAATACATAAATACATCAGTTCAGAGGTAGGCCACAGACTTGATATCTAACCGTACGTCATATGACTGTTCAAACATGTTTGAGGGTCCTATATTTAGACACCAATATAACCAGCCCGATAAAACAAACACAACCAGTCATGTTCCCCAGGCAAGTCAGAAGCAGCCCATAATATGCTTTTTCCTTGAAAAATCATGTACATATATATGTTATATGCATATATGTACTTGTTTTATATGTATATATGTACTATACATACACACATAAACATTTTTACTTTAAAAAGTACATATATTAACGTTACATGTATATACGTACATGTTTTATAGGTATATATGTTATGTATACATATATGTATGTATATATACATGCATGTACATGTATACATTATATACATATAAGCATACATATATGAACACATAAACATGTATGTAGATGTCTATAGGTACATGTTTATATGTTATATGTTTATATTTATACGTGCATATTATAACATGTATTTATATGTAGATGTGTACGTATATGTACATGTTTTATGTATCTATACATATATGTACATATATATTTTAAAGTATATATTATTTTTGTAAAGAAAAGCATGCATATTTTAATAAAGAAAAATTATGCTTTATTATATATTTATATATTATATTTATATATTTTATTGTTTTGTTTTTTTTTTCTAGAGATAGGCTCTCACTTTGTTGCTCAGACTTAACTTGAACTCCTGGGCTCAAGCAATCCTCCCACCTCGGCCTCCCTAAGTGCTGGGATTATAGGCGTGAGCCACCACACCCAGCCTTATTTACATATTTTATGTGATACATTTATACTATGTATGATGTACAAAAGTTATACTATATTATATATAATAATTATGAATATATAAATTAAAATATAGGTGAAAATATTCCTTTAGGCCCCCTACGAGGAAATGACTTAAGATTTGTTGCCAAAAATCACAAAGTGAAAGCAATTACCATTAGGGCACACACCTGTGGCAGGAAAAGAAAACATTTCTGACACCCCTCCTAATACTCGTTTTGAGACATGCCACCAAAACCGTCCACTTGTAAAAATGAGTCAGGCTGGAGTGTGCCAGCGTGTCAGCTCCTCATCCCAGAAGTAGGGTGGTTTCCACCCCCACATAAGGAGGAAGTGAGATCAGGTAGGCTATGTGACTTCTCACAGACCCAGCATGTGGCTGCATATGAAGTTGCGAAGAGACAGCAGGTGGAACTCTATGAAACCCCGTCCTTGTAGGTCAAGGATGGTTGAATAATAGGGACCATTGCGTAGGGTTCCATTCTACAGAGTAACTTCCCAGCAATGATCATGCAGTGCCTCAGAAACTGCTTCCTGCCCTCTTGGTCTTGTCTTGTCTTTTCTTTTTTGAGACGGAGTCTCACTCTGCCGCCCAGGCTGGAGTGCAGCGGCACAGTCTCGGCTCACTGCAAGCTCCGTCTCCCGGGTTCAAGCGATTCTCCTATCTCAGCCTCCCAAGTAGCTGGGATTACAGGTGCACGCCACCACATCCAGCTAATTTTTGTATTTTTAGTACAGACGGGGTTTTGCCATGTTGGCCAGGCTAGTCTCAAACACCTGACCTCAGGTGATCAGCCCACCTCAGCCTCCCAAAGCGCTGGGATTACAGGCGTGAGCCACCGTGCCCAGCCCGTCTTTTCTATGTTTTTAAACCAAGCATTGCTTGAAAATAATCCTTTTTTTACTTTTTTTTTTGCTTATTTTTTTTCTTTTTATCTTATGTTTATTATTATTATTACTATAATTTTTGAGACAGAGTCTCTCTCCGTTGCTGAGGCTGGAGTACAATGCTGCGATCTTGCCTCACTGTAACCTCCGACTCCGGGGTTCAAGCAATTTTCTTGCCTCAGCCTCCCGAGTAGCTGGGATTACAGGCATGTGACACCATGCCTGGCTAATTTTTCTATTTTTAGCAGAGACAGGGTTTCACCATGTTGGCCAGGCTAGTCTCGAGCTCTTGGGTTCAAGTGATCGGCCCACCTCGTCCTCCCAAAGTGCTGGAATTACAGGCATGAGCCACTGCGCCTGGCCTTTTTACTTCTTTTGTTTGTTTGTTTATTTACTTTAAGAAATGTTTTCTTTTTTATTTTTATCTTATCTTTATTATTTCTTATTTACTTCATTTACCACTCAACAAATAACTTCTTTAAAACATTTTTTTTTGAGGCAGGGTCTTGCTCTGTCACTCAGGCTGGAGTGAAACTGCAGCTTCAACCTCCCAGGCTCAAACAATCTTTCCACCTCAGCCTCCTGAGTAGCTGGCAGTAGAGACACATGCCACCATGCCTGGCTAATTGTTTTATTATTTATAGAGACAGGGTCTTGCTATGATGCCCGGGCTGGTCTCGAAGTCCTGGGCTCAAGCGATCTTCCTGCCTCAACCTCCCCAAGTGCTAGGATTATGGGCATAAGCCACACTGCCCAGCCTAATATTTTTTATTTTTGAAGAGACAGCATCTCACTTTGCTGCCCAGGCTGCTCTGAAACTCCTGGCCTCAAGCAATCTTCCTGCCTCGTCCTCCCAAAGCGCTGGGATTACAGGCATGAGCCACCATGCCAGGTTGGATATGATCATATTATAGCCAGCACCCTGTGTAACAGCACAGGCAATCACTTAAAAACCTAAGGACACTGGCAGAATACGGTGACTCACATCTGTAATCCCAGCACTTCGGGAGGCCAAGGAGGGCAGATCACTGGAGCTCAGGACTTTGAGACCAGCCTAGGCCACATGGCAAAACCCCGTCTCTACAAAAAATAAAACAAAATAAAAACCTAAGGAAACTGACCACTGGTTTGGTAGACGTGGGCGTGGCTTTGAGATTCCCCCATGCTGCGATGTGGGGGGAGTCTGCTCTGTCTGTCCTAACTCTCTCTGATCTTCTGACTTGGGAAAAACAAACTCGAAGTTAATCATTCCCAGCTCAAAGCCTTGTGCAAGTGCTCTCTGCCTTCACGCTTGCTTCCTTTGGGAGAGAACCTTCCTCTTCTTGATCGGGGATTCAGGAAGGAGCCCAGGAGCAGAGGTGAGTCCTGTGAATGTTCATTTGTGCTGGATTTGGGCTCCGTGACCAGGCATGAATAGCGTGGTGAACAAAGAGCTCCCCGTTCCCTTTTCTGTCTCTGAATAATTGCCCAGTTTGTTTTGATAAAGCAGAAACGTACCCGTGACTTACAGGCCTAGGAATGCAGCTCTTTCCTGGAGAAGGGGGATCTGTTTTCTAATCTGCAGGAGAGGCCTTGGGCAGGCCCCATGCTCTGGGTCACCTCAATGTCACAGTTTCCAAAATTAAACTCATTCAAGGCTGTTATCACCATCTCTTTATTTATTTAACGTTTTTCTCCAAGAAAAAATATTCATATTTTTACTTATAAATACATAACATTGCGGGAGAAAGAAAAATTAGGTCGGGCACGGTGGCTCACGTCTGTAATCCCAGCACTTTGGGAGGTCGAGGCGGGTGGATTGCTTGAGCCCAGGAGTTTGAGACCAGCCTGAGCAAAAGAGGAAACCCCACCTCTACTTAAAAAAAAAAAAATCAATAGCCAGGCATAGTGGCATGTGCCTGTAGTTTCAGCTACTTGGGAGGCTGAGGTAGGAGGATCGCTTGAGCCCAAGAATTTGAGGCTGCAGTGAACTATGGTCGCACCATTGCTCTCCAGCCTGGGTGAAACAGCCAGACCCTATCTCAAAAAAAAAAAAAAAAAAAAAAAAAGGAAAAGAAAAGAAAAATTAGAAAAAGAGCACTTTTCCTAAATCTCCACACCCAGAGATAAACCACTGCTGGGCAGGATTGCTGCAAAAACCATCTTCCCCTAGTTTGTGGTGGTTTGGGGTTTTCTCATTACATTTGTACAGTATTTTGCTTTTATTCCGTTTTCTGACCATTGGCAGCATGTCATTGTAGGTCAGAAAGCAATGCTGAGGGTATTAAAATGCTCATTTTGGTTTTCTCTCCATGTACAATTTTAAATCAATCTCTTTCCCGGTGAAGATGCTATTAGGTTGGTGAAACGTAATTGCGTCTTTTGCTATTACTTTTAGAATATGAGAATTGTGTGTGCTCTCTAGGGTAAAACAAACGAACAAATAAACAAAAAAACCTCACGAGCACGGCGTACACCTTATCCCTTCCTTCTGTGTTCTAAACAAAGCACAAATGATATCTAAGGTCTTTTTCTCTTCGACAGACAGAAAATTATTGGAGATGTAGCAATTCAGTGTTAGACATCCATCAATAATGTAAGAAGTGCATTGATTCGGTCTGGAAAGGCCGGAAAACTTGAAGCAAAGGCAGGAAGACTGTAAGCAGGGAGGGGGCTTCCAGGTCACAGATAGGTGAGAGAGGAACAGTTGCCTTCTTTTGAGTTTCTGATGAGCCTTTCCAAAGGAGGCAATCAGATACGCATCTATCTCAGTGAGCAAAGGGGGGACTTTGACTAGAATGGGAGGCAGAGGCCCTAAGCAGTTCCCCGCTTGACTTTTCCCTTTAGCTTATTGACTTGCGGGCCTTGAGATTTATTTTCCTTTCACAAAGCTCATTGTCTTTCTCAGAAGACTGGTTTTGTGCCTGAATCCTGCTAGGAGCAAACACCCCTCCCAGCATCCCCGAAAAGGCGTTGAGGGGAAATCCCTCAACCAATCGCTTCTCTCCCACTCACACCCTGGGGTTTCGCAGCCCTGCGGACCTTGCCCACCCCTCCTCTCTGCCCTCCCCGCTCCCACACCAGCTGTGTCTATCCTTGGTCAGGTTTCACCTGGACAGACACCACGGCCACTTCTAGGCTCTCAGTGCCTGCTGGCTCCAGTGTGTCCTCACTCACTGGCCGCTCGGCCCTTCTAAAAGTGGCCAGGTCACTCCCCTGGTTACTCAGAGGCAGAAACCCAACACATCTGCATGCTCCTGTCTCTTTATCTTCTATGCATGCCCATGTCCTGTCAACGAAAAGAAGCGAACTCTGTAGAATATTTGAAGAGATTTATTCTGAGCCAAATAAGAGTGACCATGGCCCATGACACAGCCCTCAGGAGGACCCAAGAACGTGTGCCCAAGGTGGTCAGGGTGCAGCTTGTTTTATACATTTTAGGGAGGCATGAGGTGTCAATCAAATACATTTAAGATACACATTGGTTTGGTCCAGAAAGGTGGAACAACTCAAAGTCAGGGGGCTTCCAGCTTATACATAGATTTAAACATTTCCTGGTTGACAATTGGTTGAGTTCATCTAAAGACCTGGGATCCTAGGAGGCTGAGGCAGGAGAATCACTTGAACCCGGGAGGCGGAGCTTGCAGTGAGCCAAGATCGCGCCATTGCACTCCAGCCTGGGCAACAGAGCAAGACTCCGTCTCAAAAAAATAAAAAAGAAAGATTAAAAAAAAAAAAAAAAAACCCTGGGATCCCTAGAAAAGAAATCTTCAGGTTAAGAGAAAAGATTGTGGAGACCAAGGTTATTTTGAAGTCTTGTAGCGGCTGCCCTTAGAGACAATAGATGACAATTGTTTCCTATTCAGACTTTTAAAAGGTGCTAGAGTCTTAGTCAATCTTTTCAGGATTGGAAGGGTCCGGTAGAAAAAGATGTGAATATCTATGTGAATAGAGATTCTTTACATCTTTACAGATGCAAATTTTTCCCCACAAAGGACAGCTTTGCAGGGCCATTTCAAGATATGGCAAAGAAACATGTTTTTGGGTAAAATATTTTGATTTTCTTATTGGTCTCATGTTATGCCAGAGTCAGATTGGAAAGTAAGTCACAATATATAGTTAAATGAAACCCTTCTGATGAGAATTTTTGGTTTGTAGGGCATGACTCTCCAGACCCCTTAGATAGGAATTTGGGCAAGATAAAAAGAAAAATCAGAGCTTCGTCCTCAGTCCCATGCACAAGCCACATGGGGTCAGACCACTGCAGTACCCTGAAGGTGACCTCTTGCTGCCTGCAACTCTAATTGTTATCTTCCATCTCATTCCTTTCCTGCTCTACACCCTGGGCTCTCCCTCACTTCTCGGCGAGACTGAGGGGCCGCCCCTCTGTGCTTTGGGGGTCGCCCGTTTCCCTCTGTGGACAGAACATTTCCAAGTGTGGGCAATGGTCGCCCCCTCTCCCGGCAGCACCTACCCCTAGCAATGAAGGCGAATGCGTCTCTCCTTCATGCAGCACTCAGTGCCTGCAGAGTCCTCTAGGCCTTTTTCCTTCACACTGACACTCCCAGTTCTGTTTTCAAGTCTGGACCTCCTGGGCTCAAGCAAATCCTCCCACTTCCGCCTCCCAAAGTGCTGGGATTCCAGGCATGAGCCACCACGCGCAGCCTCTCATTGTATTTCTGATCTTCATACCCTCTACTCAGATTCTTTTGTGTATCATCCAAGCTTTGATCTTTCCCCGCTTCCCCCTTCCAAATCAGGACTCTCTCTCTGCATTTCTGGACATTAGGAATCACCCCTGCCCTGGGCTCGGGAAGCAGAAGACAAAATAATCTGCTTCCGGACACTGGGATTCTCTCATCACTTTGTGATCACTCATGGGCTATGAAAGCTGATAAAGGGGATGGAGACCCTATGACCACTTTCTTCCTCTTTCTCTGAAGACCATCTGGCTGTGTATTGAAACACGTTTTACATTCTTAACATAGTATTAAACATTTTTGAAGCCTTTTCACTCGGGAAGAGCATTCCTTTATAGATTTTGATCATTGTTTTAAGATATTTTTGCTATTGATATCATGAACGGGAATCAAAGTTCCCCTAATTACTTACTTACTGTTTTATTTATAATCAGGTCAATTTCTGCTGTCAATGTGATTGTGGACATCTTTATGTCTTACAGGAAGTAGAGAGAGAGACAACATGTTACATCTGCACCATTCTTGGTAAGATACAATTATATGCACTCATTAGTAGTCTCCTTTCTTTCTTTCTTTCTTTCTCTTCCTTCCTTCCCTTCTTTCTCTTCTTTTTTTTTTTTTTTTTTTTTTTTTTGAGACGGAGTCTCACTCTGTCGCCCAGGCTGGAGTGCAGTGGCGCGATCTCGGCTCACTGCAAGCTCCGCCTCCCGGGTTCACACCATTCTCCTGCCTCAGCCTCCCGAGTAGCTGGGACTACAGGCGCCTGCCACCACGCCCGGCTAATTTTTTGTATTTTTAGTAGAGACGGGGTTTCACCGTGTTAGCCAGGATGGTCTCGATCTCCTGACCTCGTGATCCGCCCGCCTCGGCCTCCCAAAGTGCTGGGATTACAGGCGTGAGCCACCGCGCCCGGCCTCTTTTCTTTCTTTCTTTCTCTTTCTTTCTTTCTTTCTTTCTTTCTCTCTCTCTTTCTTCCTTCCTTCCCTTCTTTATTTTTTTTCCTTTCTTATATAGAGACAGGGTCTCACCATGTTGCTCAAGCTGGTCTTAAACACCTGGGCTCAGGCAATGCTCCCACCTTGGCCTCCCAACGTGCTCAGATAATGGGCATGAGCCACCACGCCTGACCGCTTCTGGATCTCTTGATGGTGCTTTCTCAGAATGCACTGATAGTGATTTATCCTGCATCTGGAGAATGAAGCATGAGACCCGTGATTAATAGATGTGCTCCAGGCTCCCTTGATTTGATGTTGCCCCAGGCAGCCTCAGAAGGAATTGTATTTCATTCTCTGCAAATCAGGTGGGCATCAACCGCTACCATCGGCCAGGTGTCTGGTTTTCCAGGGAAAATCAGGGTTTCCCCTACTACAAACCTTGGAGACTCAGATTACATCTTTACTGCATCCCACTGGGGATTGGGACACTATGGCCCTGCTGTCCATGTGCATTCCCAGGGTGGCATCGATGAAAGAGGCAGCAATGATAGTGGCAGGCTGTATGTCACCAACCCCTGCGGAAATGTTCCCTCATGGTACGCAACTACCAGGGCTTTCTCCTCCAGGCTGGAACCTCCTTCACCTCCAAACCCACTTCTCATCAGATACCAGTGGGCTAAAGAAGTCAGTCCTGGGTATTTTCATCTGTGTGCTACAATGAACAGAGGGTTTTCATAGACTCAGAAGTAGCAGCTCACTGTGTTCTCACCTTGCCCCAAGCTTGTGTCTCTTCCTTGCTCTGCTGGGTGGTCCAAACCCTAACCCCAGCCTCCATTCCCTATGTTCAACACAGTTTGCTTAAGGAAGAACAATGAAGAAGAGGGAATGGAGAAGGGGCAATAGCTGTTCTGGGGACCCGATCCATCCAAGAAACCATGACTAAGGCAGGCTTTCTGGCTGTTTTTGCTTTTTCTTGTTGCTGTTGTAGTTTTGAGACAGCCTTGCTCTGTTGCCCTGCAGTGGTGCGATCTCAGCTCGCTGCAGCCTCAACCTCCCAGGCTCAAGCGATCCTCCCACCTCAGCCTTCCCAGGAGTTGGGACTACAGGCACGTGCCACCACGCCCAGCTAAGCTGTGTATTTCTTGTAGAGATGAGTTTTCACCATGTTGCGCAGGCTGGTCTTGAACTCCTGTGGTAAAGCAATCCACCCGCTGCAGCCTCACAAAATACTGAGATTACAGGAGAGAGCCACTGCACCCCACCAAGGCTTTCTGTTAATCATGAGTTTAATCACTTAACAACAGACTTTACAGCATCAAAAAAAACCCAAAAAACTTCAAGGCCAAATAAAGCCATCAACGGTATCAGTTAATTGTAACCAGAGAAAAACAATCAAATGCCTAAGAGATGTCCTCAAAGCTATTCTGAAATGTGATGATAATATCAATACCTCTTAAAATAGTGATGCCAACTTCCCCCATACACAAGTTCTGCAAATGAGATGGACAGGAGCATGACGCAGTCTCTGACAGTTTGTGTTTCAGGAGCTGGCTGCCAGCGATGCTCGCTGTACTGCTAAGTTTGGCACCATCAGCTTCCAGCGACATTTCCGCCTCCCGACCGAACATCCTTCTTCTGATGGCGGACGACCTTGGCATTGGGGACATTGGCTGCTATGGCAACAACACCATGAGGCAAGGGACAGAGAATTACTCACCTGGTGCCCCCAATGCAGACACCAGAAGAAAGAGAAGCCACTGAAAATGCATATAACCCTTGATCTTGGCAGTTCACACTTCAAGAGTTCTGCACTTCTGCGTTTTCTAACTCTCCCTAATGTTACTTTCTTCCCATGCCAGCACTAACCTCACCTCAATCCATCCTACATATGACTGCTCATTTCATTTTTATTTTTATTTATTTATTTTTATTTTTTATTTTTCTCTGAGACAAAGTCTTGCTCTGTGGTCCAGGCTGGACTGCACTGGTACAATCACAGCTCACTGCAGCCTTGACCTCCCAGGTTCAAGTGATCCTCCTGCCTCAGCCTCCCGAGTAATTCTGGGACTGCAGGTGCCCACCATCATGCTTGGGTAATTTGTAAGTTTCTTGTAGAGGTGGGGTTTTGCCGTGTTGCCCAGCCTCGTCTCGAACTTCTGGGCTCAAGTGATCCACACACCTCAGCCTCCCAAAGTGCTGGTATTGCAGATGTAAACCACCATACCTGGCCTCATTTCTTTTCTTTTTTTTTTTTTTTTTGAGACAGAATCTCACTGTGTTGCCCAGGCTGGAGTGCAGTGGTGCGATCTCGGCTCACTGCAACCTCCGCCTCTGCGATTCCAGTGATTCTCCTGCCTTACTCTCCAGAGTAGCTGGGATTACAGGCGCCCGCCACCATGCCTGGATAATTTTTCTATTTTTAGTAGAGACAGGGTTTTGCCATATTGGCCAGGCTGGTCTCGAACTCCTGGCCTCAAGTGATTCACCCGCTTCAGCCTCCCAAAGTGCTGGGACTACAGGTGTGAGCCACTGTGCCTGGCCTCATTTCATTTTTTAAATATGATTTTTATCCACCCAGTACATAATGGACAATGCTTTAGAAATGCTATCAGCCGGGCATGACTGTAATACCAGCCCTTTGGGAGGCTGAGGCAGGAGGATCACTTAAGGCCAGGAGTTCAAGACCAGCCTGGGAAACATAGTGAAATCCTGTCTCTAGAAAATATAAACATTAATTTTTTTTTTTTGAGACGGAGTCTCGCTCTGTCACCCAGGCTGGAGTGCAGTGGCATGATCTTGGCTCACTGCCAGCTCCGTCTCCCGGGTCCACGCCATTCTCCTGCCTCAGCCTCCCAAGTAGCTTGGACTACAGGCGCCCACCACCACACCCCGCTAATTTTTTGTATTTTTAATAGAGACGGGGTTTCATCATGTTAGCCAGGATGGTCTCAATCTCCTGACCTCGTGATCTGCCTGCCTCAGCCTCCCAAAGTGCTGAGATTACAGGCGTGAGCCACCACGCCTGGCACATTAATTTTTAAATTAAAAAAAAAATTAGCCAGGCATGATGGCATGCACCTGTAATCCTAGTTATTCAAGAGGGTGAGGTGTGGGAGGATCACTTGAGCCCAGGAGTTTAAGGTTGCAGTGAGCTGTGATCAGACCACTGCACTCTGGGCGACAGAGACCCTGTTTCAAAAAGTAGGCTGGCCGTGGTGGCTCACGCCTGTAATCCCAGCACTTTGGGAGGCCAAGGCAGGCTGATCACTTGGAGGTCAGGAGTTCGAGACCAGCCTGGCCAACATGGTGAAACCCCCGTCTCTACTAAAAATACAAAAATTAGCTGGGCATGGTGGCGGGCACCTGTAATCCCAGCTACTTGGGAGGCTGAGGCAGGAGAATCACTTGAACCCGGGAGGGGGAGGTTGTAGTGAGACTCAAATAGTGCCACTGCACTCCAGCCTGGGTGACAGAGTGAGACTCAGTCTCAAAATACAAACAAATAAACAAACATACAGGAGAAATCAGTGTCGTTGCCTGTAAGCAGAAGACCAATATTGATCTCTGTCTCACTCCCAACCCTATCCATCTAGCCAAGCCCAGCACTTATGCGGGATTTCAATCCTCCCCTGCTGAAAAGCTCTGCTTCAGACAGACAAGTCCACACCCTCCTAATGCCAAAATATGGCGTGTCCATCTGTCAAGAGCTAGAGCTAGTCCGTCCTCCTGTCCGAATTCCAGCCTTCCACCCTCATGTAGTACTTACAGTGTGTTGGCGTCCATGAAGTCAAACCTTCCCATGAACACTGTGAGCTCCAGAGAAGGTGCCCTGGGCTCTCAGTTCTGCATTCCCTCTGAGGTCGGTCTCTCAGTACCAACAGTGCCTTGTGGAAACTTAGTCACTCTATCTACTCATTCATTTATTTATTTTAGAGACAGGTTGTCTCTCTGTCACCCAGGTTGAAGTGCAGTGTTGCAATCACAGCTCACTGCAGCTTCAAACTCCTGAGCTCAAGCAATCCTCCTTCCTCAGTCTCCCAAGTAGCTGGTTCTACAGACATGCACCACCAATCCTGGCTAATTTTTCTATTTTTGTAGATTTTTTTGTAGAGACAGGGTCTCGCCATGTTGGCCCGGCTGGTCTTGAACTCCTGGCCCTAAACGATCCTCCCGCTGTGGCTTTCCAAAGTGCTGGGATTACAGGCATGAGCCACCGCGTCCAGCCACTCATTCCTATTTAAATGAGTTGATGTTTCCTCGAAAGTTCAGAAGACATTAGAAATCTTTGACATTACCTTTGGGTCATTCCTGAGAACATCTTGAAGCACTCAGCGATGACCAGCAGACCTTCTATGAAGTAGCATGTAGCTATGCTTATGAAAAGCCTGTCTAATTTTAACAAGTAAAGCTGTTAATTTGTCCCTCCATAGGACTCCGAATATTGACCGCCTTGCAGAGGACGGCGTGAAGCTGACCCAACACATCTCTGCCGCATCTTTGTGCACCCCAAGCAGAGCCGCCTTCCTCACGGGCAGATACCCTGTGCGATCAGGTCAGTCTCTCTTTACAACTGCACTAGGGTGCAGCCTGGTGTATTCGTCACAGTTTCTAGTTCTTACATTTTGGTTTTTTTATTTTTTATTTAAATAGAGACTGGGGGGTGTTCTCTCTATCTTGCCCATGCTGGTCTTGAAATGCTGGGCTCAAAAGATCCCCGCTCCTTGACCTCCCAGAGTGCTGGGATTACAGGCATGAGCCACCGTGCCCAGGCAGCTTTTATATTCTGATGCTTTGACATCTTAGGGCTTTGCTGACCTTGGCAGGACTGGCCCTCCCAGGGCTAGCCAATTCTTAGAGATAGCAAACAAGTCACCTGGGAGTGCACCTTTCATGCATAAACCAAACAGTCCAGAGCCCACACCCCCAACCATCACTTTTATGAGATTTTCATATATGGGGCTACTCTCTCCTTGCCCTAATCCCCCCAGAATCAGGTACCAGCTTTCTAGGGACAGCCCCTGCAGATGAAAGCCCACGGAAATTGTACAACCTGGCCAGTCTTAAGCCGGCTTACCCTACCTTGCCCATTACTTTCCAAAAAAGAAAAACAATAAATAAGAAAGGCTTTTTCCATGCTTTCCCCTCACTCCCTCTGCCTCCTGACCAACCCTGGAGCTTCCCCATATAGTCACACAGCATGGCTCACCCCTGCGTCCTCTTGAACTGTGAGTAATAAACTATCAGAAACTGTGAGTAATAAACTATCTCTCCAATGACAGTCATCTCCTGATCTGTTGGCCTTGCCATAGCTGAATGATAAAACCTTAATAATAATAATACATAACACCTACATTTTAAAGCACTTGGGTAGAGGCTGGGCACGGTGGCTCATGCCTATAATCCCAGCACTTTGAGAGGCTGAGGCAGGCAGATCACCTGAGGTCAGGAGTTCAAGACCAGCCTGACCAACATGGGGAAACTCCGTCTCTACTGAAAATACAAAAATTAGCTGGGCGTGATGATGAGTGCCTGTAATCCCAGCTACTTGGAAGGCTGAGGCAGTATAATTGCTTGAACCCGGGAGGCGGAGATTGCAGTGAGCCGAGATGGCGCCACTGCACTCCAGCCTGGGTGACAGAGCAAGACTCTGTCCCAAAACAAACAAACAAACAAAAAAACCCTTGGGTAGAGATTTGGAATGTCTGGAGAGCAGAATAAAATTTTATCAGTGGCTACCAACCTTGTCAGTACGTTAGAATCATCCAGAGGATATTCCCACCATCCCAAAGCCCAAGTTCCACCCAAGACCAATGAAAATTAGCACCCCTGGGGTGATAACCAGGCGTCAGAATATTTTGAAGCTCCCCACACGATTCCAATGGGCAGACAACTTTGAGAACCTTTAGATTATATCAAGAGTTTGATGAAATTATAAAATCATTTTTAGTTCAGGCACAATGGCTCATGTTTCTAATCCCAACACTTTAGGAGGCTGAGGTGGGAGGATTTACTTGAGTCTAGGAGTTCAAGACCAGCCTGGGCAACATAGTGAGACCCCGTCTCTGCCAAAAAATTAAAAATATTAGCTAGGCATGGTGATGAGCCCCTATAGTCCCAGCTACTTGAGAGACTGAAGTGGGAGGATCAGTTGAGCCCAGGAGTTCAAGGCTGCAGTGATCTATAGTCATGCCACTGCACTCAAGCCTGGGTGACAGAGTGAGACCCTGTCTCTGCAAAAAATTTAAAAATTAGCCAGGTGTGGTGGTGCACACCTGTAGTCCCAGCTACTCAGGTAGCTGAGGTGGGAGGATCGTTTGAGCCCAGGTGGTTGAGACTGCAGTGGACATTGATTACACCACTGCATTCCAGCCTGGACGACAGAACAAGACCCCATCTTTAAATAAATTAATTAACAAACAAAAAACCATTTAAATTTTTAGTCCTTTTTCACTGAATTATATTGCTTATAACCTGCACATAACAGGAAAGTCCATCTTCTCGCTAAGGTTTTCAATAAATTAATCATTTACTTTGCTGCCAAAAATGCAATCCACTAGGCAAAGTCATATAGGAAGTCCATTTTCAATTTAATTTTAAGTAAGAGAGATTTTTACCAAGTGTTCTATTTTTGAATAAATAATAAATAACAAACAGGAAAAAAAATGTGGAACAGTAATTCTTTCTCTTAATAATTGCTCAAAGGGATGGTTTCCAGCATTGGTTACCGTGTTCTTCAGTGGACCGGAGCATCTGGAGGTCTTCCAACAAATGAGACAACTTTTGCAAAAATACTGAAAGAGAAAGGCTATGCCACTGGACTCATTGGTATGTACGTTTTTAAAAGTGGTAAGCACATGACTTTTATATGGAAGGGACATTCAGCTAAAGAGTTTGGAAAGGAAAGTGGGTGAGGTGCTGTGGGATTTCCCACTAGACAGAAAGCTGCATGTATCTAGGAACCATGTTCCTTTCCAGGTTGTTTTCTGCAAAGTAGATACTCAAGAAATACCAGCTCAGGCAAGGTGGCTCATGCCTATAATCCCAGTACTTTGAGAGGCCGAGGCGGAAGGATTGCTTGAGCCCAGAAGTTTGAAACCCGCCTGGGCAACATAGCAAGACCCCACGTCTACAAAAAAATACATAAAAATAAATTAAAAAATAAATAAAATGTGCTCATGCCTATGGCATATGTTCCAAGCTCCATTGCACAACACATAATTGCTTCTTTGTTCTGTGGGATCCTCTCCCACCCTTCACATGGACTTTTTGTCTTAGACATGAATGTCTTAGACTGAACACCTTCAGCTCTTTTCTGGTTGGTTTATGGATCAACTTGGCTAGTTTAGTGCTGCCATCTAAATGTTTGTGTCCCCCTAAAATTCCTATGTTGAAACCCTTACCCCCCAGGTGATGGTGGCAGGAGGTGAAGCCTTTGGGAAGTGATGAGGTCGTGAAGGTGGAGCCTCATGTGTGGGATTAGTGCCCTTACAAAAGTGACTCTGGTCAGGCGCGGTGGCTCATGCCTGTAATCCCAGCACTTTGGGAGGCCAAGGTGGGTGGATCGCTTGAGGCCAGGACTTTGAGACCAGCCTGGGCAGCATGGCGAAACCCTGTCTCTACGAAAAAGAAAAAGAAAGAAAGAAAAGGAACATCAACTTAATGAAATATTTGGCATCTCAAACAATGTTCTCGTAGGCCATGATAAAAAAAAATAAGAAAAAATATATTCTTGCATCAAAAATTTCTGTAATGCTACCTATTTTTCCCCTTGGTGTGTATGAAAATGTCTTTACTAGATTTAGTACCTCCCTGTCAGCTTCCATAACTAACATGGTTATTTTTCTACAAGTCAACAAACATGTCATGTATTGGATGAAAAATAAAATTAATGACAACAGTTCCTTGAGAGGAGACCAAGTTGCCATTATCATTATTGTGTTATAGTAATGATTGTTATCAACAGTTCCATTTATTGATAACAAACAACATGACTAGTGGATACAATGAGTATAAAATTCAATAAACTATATTTCTAAAAATTAAAAATTATAAAATGTTCTTTGTTTAATTTTTTACCAAAAAAAAAAAAAAAACAAATTCTGGGGAGATTCAGTCATCGCTGTCAAACAAAGGTGTATTTTTTCCAATAGACTTTTTTTTTTTTTTTAAACAGGGTACTCACTCTGTTACTCAGGCTAGAGGGCAATGGTGCAGTCACAGCTCACTGCAGTCTCGACCTCCCAGACTCAAGTGATCCTCCCACCTTAGTCTCCCAAGCAGTTGGTACTACAGGCTTGCACCACCATGCCCGGTTAATTTTTTCTTTTTTTTCTTTTTTTTTTTTTTTTTTTTTGTAGAGATGGGGTCTTCCCATGCTACCCAGGCTGGTCTCCAGCAATCCTGGGCACAAGGAATCCTCTCACCTCGGCCTCCCAAAGTGCTGGGATTATAGTTGTGAACCACCATGCCTGGCCAACTATAATTTTTCTAAGACAGAAGAGTCTATCCTTAAGGGATATCCATTGGGAAATCATGAGGTTTTCCAGATGGCAGACAGCATTGGGGTGGTTGACATCTCTTTGTCAACACCATAGTAGTGGCTACATGGAAGCAAAGACTATATTCCTTTGACTGAATTTGAAAGGTGTGCCTTGCAAAACCCACCACCCACTTCAACCATGGCCACTATGATAGTGGTTTCTCAAAGAGAGAACAATTCCAAAGTCCAGAAGTCTTTTGCCCATGCTGCTGATATCACATGGTGCTTTCCGGCCTTCATCATTGCACTGCAAAACAAGGTGCAATAGACTAAATAATGGTCCCAGAGATGTCAGGCCCTAACCTCTGAATCTAGCAAATATTAGCTTATATGCAAAAAGAGTCTTTGTAAATGTGATTAAGTGAACAATCTTGAGGTGAGAAGATGATCCTGAATTATCCAGCTGGGCCCACTGTGCAAGGACAAGGCTTCGTTTAACATGGAGGTAGAGGAAGATTGGGCCACAGAGAGGAGAAAGCAGTGTGATTAAAGTGAGGCGACCACAAGCCAAGGGATAGCTGGAGCCACCAGGAGCTGGGAGAGGCAGGAAGGATCCTCCCCTAGAGCCTCTGGAGAGAGTATGTGTGTGTCTGTGTCCTACTATCCTCTTCTTATAGGACACAAGTTCTATCAGATTAAGGCCTGTATTAGTCTGTTCTCACGCTGCTAATAAAGACATACCCAAGACTGGGTAATTTATAAAGAAAAGAGGTTTAATGGACTTCCAGTTTCACATGGCTGGGGAGGCCTCACAATCATGGTGGAAGGCAAAGGAGAAGCAAAGGCATGTCTTTCATGGCGGCAGGCAAGAGGGCATGTGCAGGGGAACTCCCATTTATAAAACCATCAGATCTTGTGAGACTCATTCACTACCATGAGAACAGTGTAGGGGAAACCACCTCCATGATTCAATTATCTCCACCTGGCTCCACTCTTGACACATAGGGATTATTACAATTCAAGGTGAGATTTGCATGAGGACACAGCCAAACCATATCAGTGCCCAAACTAATGACCTCATTTTACATTAATTATCCTTTGAACACCCTGTCTCCAAACACAGTCACATTCTGAGGTCCTGGGTGTTAGGGCTTCAACTCATGAATTTGAGGCAGGCCAGGATCCAGCTCACAATAGAGTCATTGCAGATATAATCAAGTAAAGATGAGGTCTCTACAGTGGGCCCTACTGCGATGACTGCTGTCCTTATGAGACAAGAGATTAGGTCGCAGACACACACAGAGGACAACGCCATGGAAACATGGAGATGGAGACTGGAGTGATGCGGCCACAAGCCCAGGGAGGCCTGGAGCCCTCAGGAGCTGGGAGAGGCAGGAAGGATCCTCCCCTAGAGCCTCCAATTTGAGTGTGGCCTGGAGACACTTTGATCTCAGACTCCTGGTCTCTAGGACTGGGAGAGGATAGATTTCTGTTGTATTAAGTGAACAGTTTTACAGTAATTTGTTCCACCTGTCACGGGTAACTAATATTTTGGTTAAAGCTGACACATGGGGTCCTCATTCCCCTGAAACGATGAGGCCAGATTGTGGTGCAAATAACAGCTAATGCTGCCCACACTTCTTTGCAATCTCCTGGCCCCCCAGTGTCTAACAGAGTATCAGGAATGTGACAAACAGTCAATATCGACATGTCCAGTTATGCTCAGATGCTTGTCACATCAACATCCTTTTTGCCTCTCAGGAAAATGGCATCTGGGTCTCAACTGTGAGTCAGCCAGTGATCATTGCCACCACCCTCTCCATCATGGCTTTGACCATTTCTACGGAATGCCTTTCTCCTTGATGGGTGATTGCGCCCGCTGGGAACTCTCAGAGAAGCGTGTCAACCTGGAACAAAAACTCAACTTCCTCTTCCAAGTCCTGGCCTTGGTTGCCCTCACACTGGTAGCAGGGAAGCTCACACACCTGATACCCGTCTCGTGGATGCCGGTCATCTGGTCAGCCCTTTCGGCCGTCCTCCTCCTCGCAAGCTCCTATTTTGTGGGTGCTCTGATTGTCCATGCCGATTGCTTTCTGATGAGAAACCACACCATCACGGAGCAGCCCATGTGCTTCCAAAGAACGACACCCCTTATTCTGCAGGAGGTTGCGTCCTTTCTCAAAAGGTCAGCAGAAAAGGGTCAGCTTCCTCCAAGCACTCAGCTTTGGAATGAAAACGCATCCTAAATAGTCTTCTTCAGTCAGGCATGGTGGCTCATTCCTGTAATCCCAGTGCTTTTGGAGGCTGAGGTGGGAGGATCGCCTGAGGTCAGGAGTTCGAGACCAGCCTGGCCAACATGGTGAAACCCCGTCTCTACTAAAAATACAAAAATTAGCCCAATGTGGGGCTTTACAGGTGCATGCCTGTAATCCCAGCTACTCGGGAGGCTGAGGTGGGAGAATCCCTTGAACCTGGGAGGTGGAGGTTGCAGGGAGGTGAGGTCACATCACTGCACTCCAGCCTGGGTGACACAGGGAGAACCTGTCTCAAAAAAAAAAAGTCGTTTTCTTTAATTGACGTTTGAAGAATGGGATAGCCATGACCTAGAAGGACAATTTTTTGGTAAGAATGGGGCATAGATGAGGGTCAGTGGAGCCCTGTGACTTGCCTTGTGTCCATTAAAACATTGTTACAGCTGAGCTGGGCATAGTGGTACACACCTGTTATCCCAGCTACTCGGGAGACTGAGGCAAGAGGATAATTTGAGGCCAGGAGTTAGAGACCAGCCTGGACAACACAGCAAGACCCCATTTCCACAAAAATTTTAAAAATTAGCTGGCTGTGGTGGCATGGACTTGTAGGCCCAGCTACTTGGGAGGCTGAGGCAGGAGGATCACTTGAGCCCAGGAGGTTGAGGCTATGTAGTGAGGCTATGAAGGGAGCCTGGGCGACAGAGCAAGGCCTTGTCTCAAAAAGAAATTGTTACAGGTCAGCTGGAATTTGCTACTACTCTGGGGTCAGTCTTATTCCATTAGCATCCTCGGATCACCACAGACACTATTTAAGTAACCTGCATCACCTGAAGGGCTTTATAATCAATTATAAACTTAAAAAAAAGTCTATCTTCAGAAGTCAGATGTCTTTTGGCAGAATTCAGCCTGCGGTCAATTTTATGGCAAGGAAAATTCCTGTGTGGGACCAGGAGAAATGGGATGAAACTAGTTCTCAGTACTACACAGCTATTTTCATGCTCCCCAAGGGCATTCTAGTAAAGATGGTAACACCATCAAAAGTCACCTTACCTGGTGACAATGAGGTTGTCATCATCTCCTACAACATTCTTAGATAATTTTTTTCTTTTTTTTTTTGAGACAGAGTCTCGAGCTATGGCCCAGGCCGGACTGCAGTGGTGCAATCTTGGCTCACTGCGACCTCCGCTCCTGAGTTCAAGCAATTCCTGTACCTCAGCCTCCCAAGTAGCTGGGATTACAGGCATGCACCACCATGCTCAGATAACTTTTATATTTTTAATAGAGATGGGTTTTGCCATGTTGGCCAGGCTGGTCTTGAACTCCTGACCTCAAGTGATCTACCCGCCTTGGCTTCCCAAAGTGCTGGGATTACAGGCGTGAGCCACTGCATCCAGCCTCTTAGAGAGTTCTTCATGGCAATACCTAATGTATGACAGAAAGGACATTGACAATTAGCTTGCAAATTAAAGCAGGGTAAGACTGTTGTGTTCTTTTTGATTTTAAATGTGACAGGATCTGGCTATGTTGCCCAGGCTGGTCTCGAACTCCTGGGCTCAAGTGATCCTCCTGCCTCAGCCTCCCAAAGTGCTGAGATTACAGGCATGAGACACCATGCCCAGCCTGACGTGTTCTAATTAAGGCTAACACCTTCACCATTGCTCTTAGGCTTCAAGGATCTAGATTAGACCATGAAGGCCGGGTGAAGGGAGGGAGAAGCTAAAACACTGCTTTCAAGGAGGACAATGGAAATAATATGAATAACCCAATATGCCTCATTTGTAAAGTGTGTTTTTTATAACTATTTTATGTCCTAATCCTCACTACGTGATAGCAATTATAAAGAAAATGGAATGTGTGGCACCACTTATTCTATAAGCTAAAGCTTGAGGTTAAAAATAGATATTGAAATAATTGAACAAAATAAAAGTCATGTCAGTAACCTACAGTTCTTTTAACTTTGCATTAAGCAGTAGAGTTAGAACATTATAATATTCGGGGGGGAAAAGATGCATTAGATCAGTGTGGGTTTTTATTTATTTATTTATTTATTTTGAGACAGGATTTCAATCCGGTTGTCCAGGCTGAAGTGCAGTGGCGCAATCTCAGCTCACCGCAACCTCCTCCTCCCAGGGTCAAGCAATCCTCCCACCCCACCCTCCTGAGCAGTTGGGAGTACAGGTGCATGTCACCACATCCCGCTAATTTTTGTATTTTTAGTAGAGATGGGGTCTTGCTATGTTTCCCATGCTGGTCTTGAACTCCTAGGCTGAAGCAATGCTCCTGCCTCAGCCTCCCAAAATGCTGGGATTGCAGGTGTGAGCCACCACGCCTGGCCCAGTGTGGATTTTTAAATAGATTTCAGAAGGGAAGGGAAAAGTCATGATGTTAAAGAGTCTTAAACAAGACGTGTGTTGTGGTGCATGCCTGTGATCCCAGCTACTTGGGAGGCTGAGGCAGGAGAATTGCTTGAACCTGGGAGGCAGAGGTTGCAGTGAGCTGAGATCGTGCCACTGCACCCCCGCCTGGGCGACAGAGCCACAATCCGTCTCAAAATGAAAAACAGAGAGAGGTAACAGACCAGAAAGGCATGGTGGCTCACGCCTGTAATCCCAACACTTTGGAAGGCCGAGATGGGCAGGGGCAGGTCACTTGAGCCGAGGAGTTCAAGACCAGCCTAGTAAACATAGTGAGACCCTGTCTCTACAAAAAAAAAAAAAAAAAAAAAAAAAAATTAGCTGGGCCTGTTAGCACATGCCTGTGGCCCCAGCTACTTGGGAGGCTGAGGTGGGAGGATCACTTGAGCCTGGGAGATTGAGGCTGCAGTGAGCTGAGATCATGTCACTGCACTCCAGCCTGGGTAACAGAGCAAGGCCCTGTCTTTAAAATAGCCAAAAAAAAAAAAAAAAAAAAAAAAGGAAGATTGTTAAATATAAGAATTAATTTTCCGTTGAAGAAGAGTTTTGAGTGTTTCTTTTTGGTGAGCAGAGTTGAGAAGACATTTGAGTAATGATGTGACAAGTGAGATCCGTATTTAGTATCTACAGGACTTCAATCTCTGTTTTACCAAAAAAGTCACCTTAATTGCTTCGTATTTATTTTTAGGAATAAGCATGGGCCTTTCCTCCTCTTTGTTTCCTTTCTACACGTTCACATCCCTCTTATCACTATGGAGAACTTCCTCGGGAAGAGTCTCCACGGGCTGTATGGGGACAACGTAGAGGAGATGGACTGGATGGTAGGTAAGTGCACTTCCAGGGAAAATGGGCTGCTTCCCTTCCAGCAATAGAAGCAGGAAAGGAAACAAAGAATGAGAAGGTTAAAGACAGAAGATGCAGAATAGCGATTGCAGTGCGATTGGATTTTAAGAGTGCAAAATATTATAGCACAGATCTTCACTGCATTAGCAGAGGGTGAATTCCATAACACATGCACGGGAGGCAATGCGATTCGGCCAAAGATGTCCACATCTTAATCCCATGTGGCAGAAAGCTGTCCACTCCCTAGACAGAATAATGGCTGCAGAGACATCCACGTCCTAATCTTGATGTGGTAGACATAAAAATGGCCCCAAAGATAGCCACTTTCTAATCCCCATGTGGGAGACAGAATAATGGCCCCAAAGATGTCCACATCCTAATCCCCATGTGCTAGACAGAATAATGACTCCAAAGATGTCCACGTCTTAATCCCCATGTGTTAGAGAGAATAATGACCTCAGAGATTTCCACGTCTGAATTCCCAAGTGGCATACAGAATTTTGGCCCCAAAGATGTCTACGTCCTATTGCCATGTGGTAGACAAACAAAAGAAAGAGCAGATAAAATTCCTCTCCGCTGTAGAGTGGCTAGTGGCTCCACTGCACTGAAAATAGGACTAAATTTCCTCCTATCACCTACAAAAGCCCCATGACCTGCTGCTGCCCAGATCCTAGTCTGACCTCTACCCAACCCCCTTGTCCTCCCCACCTGCTGCATTCTGGCCACGTGGACGCCACACAGTATCTTTCACATTTGTCCCCTGTCAGGGCTTCCACACCTGCTGTTCCCTCCTGGAATGCTTCCTCAGGCTTCACTGGCTCCTCTTCAGAGCCTGCCCTGACGCACCCCTAAAGTAGCTCCTCCCCAATCATCTTCTCCCCCATTCTCCTGTGGTCCTTTTTTGTTTTGCCTTTGTTTTCCTCCTCCTCTTCCTCCTTTCTCCTCCTCCCCCTCTTCTTCTTCTTCTTCTTCTTATTCTTCTTCTTCATATTCCTCCTCCTCCTCCTCCTTCTTCTTCCTCTTCCACTTCTTCCTCTTCTTCTTCTTTCTTCTTTCTGTCTTCTTTCTTCTTTTTTTCCTAACACAGCATCACCATTGCTTCTCTTCGTGACCATGTGTTAGGTAGGTTGATTTTCCATTTCCCCCAGGGGAATATAAACTCCTGTGGGGCCGGATTGTCTTGCCTCATTCCCTCATTATATTTCCTGGGTTTAGAACAGGATGGAAGGGGAATATTGCTTGAGTGAGTCAGGGCTGGGTGAGCACCTGTATATGGGCACAGCACATCCCTGCCTCCCAAAAAAGAACTTAGGAACCGCAGGGTTTAGGTGGTGGTGGGCTGCGAATCCCAGGATCCTCAGAATAATTGCCATCAGAGATTTGGGTGAACGACGTATTTAAAAAAAAAAAATTGTTTCCTCAACAAGCTAGGCATGGAAGGAGAAAAAGTTAATTGTGTGTGTGTGTGTGGCAGGGTCTCACTTTTTGTTTTGTTTTTTTTTTTTTGTTTTTTTTGTTTTTTTTTTGAGACCGAGTCTCACTCTGTTGCCCAGGCTGGAGTGCAATGGCACGGTCTCAGCTCACTGCAACCTCCGCCTCCCGGGTTCAAGCAATTCTCCTGCCTCAGCCTCCGGAGTAGCTGGGTTTACAGGCACCCGCCACCATGCCTGGCTAATTTTTGTACTTTTAGTAGAGATGGGGTTTCACCATGTTGGCCAGGCTGGTCTCGAACTGCTGACCTTGTGATCCGCCCGCCTCAGCCTCCCAAAGTGCTGGGATTACAGGGATGAGCCACTGCGCCTGGCCGACAGGGTCTCACTCTTACCCAGGCTGGAGTGCAGTGGTGCAACCGTGGCTCACTGCACCCTGCCTTCCCAGGCTCAAGCAATCCTCCCACCTCAGCCTCCCAAGTACCTGGGACCACAGGTGTGCACTACCACACCCGGCTAATTTTTTTATTATTTGTAGAGACAAGTTCTTGCTGTGTTGTTCAGGCTGGTCTCAAACTCATAGGCTCAAAGAGCCTCCCACCTCAGCCTCTCAAATTGCTGAGATTTCAGGCATGAGCCACTGTGCCCGGCCAACTGTGAGTGACATTAATGACATGAGTTCCCTTGTGTGTGGCTGCAAGAAGCTCAGGGTCACTTTTGAGGACTGGTCTGCATTTTCAGTCTATGCTTTCTTCTCAGGAATATTCACATGCCTCACTTTTTTTTTTTTTTTTTTTTTTTTTTTTTTGAGACCGAGTCTCACTCTGTCACCCAGGCTGGAGCGCAGTGGCGTGATCTCAGCTCACAGCAATCTCCACTTCCCGGGTTTAAGCTATTCTCCTGCCTCAGCCTCCCAAGTAGCTGGTACTACAAGCATGTGCCACCACGCCCGGCTAATTTTTGTATTTTTAGTAGAGATGTAGTTTCATCATGTTGGCCAGGCTGGTCTACAACTCCTGACCCCAAATGATCCTCCTGCCTCGGCCTCCTAAAGTGCTGGGATTACAAGTGTGAGCCACTGTGCCCAGCCTGCATGCTGCACTTTTAAGTTTTTGATATTTTGTCCTTGTACGTTGCCTAAAATTCTGACCAAAGGATGGGGTGCATATAAAGTCATACATCAATCTCCAACAAAGGATATCAAAATTATCCAACAGCTGACTTCCATTATGCGTTAAAACTAAGGCTTCATTCTTGTGGCTAGCCCCCGAATGCTAAAGCATACACTTCAGAGCTGCATTTCTGATATTTTTCCATTTCGACGGCCCCAAAAACATCTGTTCTTTGCAGGACGGATCCTTGACACTTTGGACGTGGAGGGTTTGAGCAACAGCACCCTCATTTATTTTACGTCGGATCACGGCGGTTCCCTAGAGAATCAACTTGGAAACACCCAGTATGGTGGCTGGAATGGAATTTATAAAGGTAAGACTGAGATGCTCCCAGATCTTCATCTTGCAAGTTTATCTCTTCCCTGCAATTCCCAGCAGGGCAATCTATTCCAGGAGGGTCAATATTATTGCTCAGGGACAGTGATTTTTCCTATCCAGGGCAAAAGTGGTAATTTGACATACTCCAGTTTGAATTTTTGTTCCTGGACCAAACTGAGGGTCAGGCTGCTTATTCTGGTGGTTCAAAAATGAGATGCAGATGAACTGGGAGAGGAGGGAGTTTATTTCTGTAACCGGTTACAGGGAGGTCTGGAAATTGTTGCCAGACCAACTCAAAATTACAAAGTTCTCCAGAGCTTCTATTTCTAAGCTGTATGTCTGCGTGTAAGTGTGCACTCATCTAAAGACATTAGTGATGAACTTCTTCTAATCTGTAACTAAGGTCTGAGTCCCGGAGACCCTCCTCTGGAGACTAAGTAAATTGACTTAATCTAAATGGGTCCAGGTGGCCGGGCACGGTGGTTCATGCCTGTAATCCCAGCACTTTGGGAAGCCGAGGTGCGTGGATCACCTGAAGTCAGGAATTTGAGGCCAACCTGGCCAACATGGTGAAACCTCGCCTCTACTAAAAATACAAAAATTAGCCGGGCATGGTGGCACACGCCTGTAGTCCCAGCTACTCAGGAGGCTGAGGCAGAAGAATCGCTTGAACCTGGGAGGCGGAGGTTGCAGTGAGCTGAGATCGCGCCACTGCACTCCAGCCTAAGCAATAGAGAGAGTCTCCATCTCAACAACAAAAATAATAAAATAAATAAATAAACAAATAAATAAATGGGTCCAGGTGCCAGGGCTGATTACCCTTACCTTGTCTCCTGCTAAATCGCGGAGGTCTGGGGAGTTGTTTCAGACCTCTAATAAAACTTGTTTAATCCTAAAAGGGTCCTGCTAAGAATTCCTTGGTTATCTTGTCACGCTTCAAGGCCCAGGAGAGGCCTGGGCAGAACTCCTGGGGGGCTTTTGTGACATCCCGGCCTTTGTATACAGGCGCTGGTTGTTTCAGCTTTTGCTATTTAACTTCACCACTCGTCAGTGCTGAAACAGTTGTTACGGAGGCCTGTGTTAGTGAGACGTGGCCTGCCACGTTTTTGTGCACAATTAAGGAATTTTTAGTAGATTATCAGAGTTGTGTAACCATCATCATGTCGATGAAAAGAGCTAAACTCTGTAAAACATTTGAAGAGGTTTATTCTGAGCCAAATAGGAGTGACCATGGCCTGTGACACAGCCCTCAGGAGGTCCCGAGAACGTGTGCCCAAGATGGTCAAGGCGCAGCTTGGTTTTATACATTTTAGGGAGGCATGAGACAGCAATCAAATACATTTAAGAGACACATTGGTTTGGTCCAGAAAGGTGGGACAACTCAAAGCCACGGGGCTTCCAGCCTACAGGTAGATTTAAACATTTCCTGGTTGACAATTCGTTGTTTCTCTAAAGACCTGGGATCAACAGAAAGGAATGTCTGGGTTAAGATAAAGGATTGTGGAGGCCAGGCACAGTGGCTCACACTTGTAATCCCAACGCTTTGGGAGGCCAAGGCGGGTGGATCACTTGAGGTTAGGAGTTCGAGACCAGCCTGGCCAACATGGTGAAACTCTGTCTCTACTAAAAATACAAAAATTAGCTGGGTGTGGTGGTGCGTGCCTGTAATCCCAGCTACTTGGGAGGCTGAGGCAGGAGAATCCGTTGAACCTGGGAGGCGGAGGTTGCAGTGAGCCAAGACTGTGCCACTGTACTCCAGCCTGGGCGACAAAGCGAAACTCCATCTCAAAAAAAAAAAAAAAAAAAAAAAAAGATTGTGGACACCCAAGTTCTTATTTGCAGAGGAAGCCTTCAGGTACTAGGCTTCAGAGACAAGAGGTTGTAACATGCTTCTTATCAGACCTAAAGGCTGTGTGGATGTTAATGCCAGAGAGGAATCATGAGGCATGTTCGACTCCCGCTTCCTGTCACGGCCTGAAACAGCCTCTCAGGTTAAGTTTTTAAAGAGCTCTGGGTGAGGAGGAAGTCCATTCAGATGGTTGGGGGTCCTTAGAATTTTATTTTTGTTTTACAATCACTATTTTCATTCGTAAAATTTATTGTTATTATTTTTATTTATTTTTATTGAGACAGTCTGGCTCTATCTCCCAGGCTGGAGTACAGTGGTACGATCTTGGCTCACCGCAACCTTTGCCTCCTGGGCTCAAGTGATCCTCCTGTCTCAGCGATCATAAGTAGCTGGGACTACAGGTGCATGCAACCACTCCTGGCTAATTTTTGTATTTTTGTAGAGATGGGGTTTTGCCATGTTGCCCAGGCTGGTCTCAAACTCCTCACCTCAAGTGATCCTCCCACGTTGGCATCCCAAGGTGCTGGGATGACAGCAGGCATGAGCCACCACATGTGGTCCACCACTGTTTATTTCAGAACATTTCATCACCTCACAAAAAAATCCTCTACTCATAGCAGTCACTCCCTTTTCCCCCGTGCTAACATCCATCACCCAAAAACTTATTTTTGATTTGTTTATTATTTAATTTTTAAAATTATCTTTTGTAAAGATAGGGTCTTGTTATGTTGCCCAGGCTGGTCTGAAACTCCTGAACTCAAGCAGTCCTCCCAGCTGGGCCTCCCAAAGTGCTGGGATTCCAGGCGTGAGCCACCATGCCTGGCCACAAAATTATTTTGTATCATTGTATATTTTCCTACTCTAGACATTTATGTAAATGAAATCATGCAATATGTGGAGTTTTTTTGTTTTTACTTAGCATGATGCCTCTGAGGTTCATCTGTGTTGTGGAAATGTTTCATTCCTTTCCATGGCTGAATATATTCCATTGTGTGGACTCAGGTTTGAATTTTACCTTCAGACAATGCATCCAAGAAGGATAAGGCCAGGCGCAGTGGCTCTCACCTGTAATCCCAGCACTTTGGGAGACCGAGGCAGGCAGATCACTTGAGGTCAGGAGTTTGAGACCAGCCTGGCCAACATGGTGAAACCTCATCTCTACTAAAAATACAAAAATTAGCCAGGCGTGGTGGTGCACGCCTGTAATCCCAGCTGAGGAGGCTGAGGCAGGAGAATTGCTTGAACCTGGGAGGTGAAGGTTGCAGTCAGCTGAGATTGTGCCACTGCACTCTCGCCTGGGTGACAGAGTAAGACTCTGTCTCAAAAAAAAAAAAAAAAAAAAAAAAGGTAGAAGGGTAGACACCTAGCTGGCCACATTATATTCAAACCTGTATTCCATTGTTTCCAAACACGCCATTCTTTCGTGTACCACAAAGATGCTAAAATGTGCTGCCCCGTGTACATGACTTCACACTGTTGTGCTTACACATTTTGTCTTCTCCCTGCTTAGAGAGCTTTATTTTTCAGTCCTTGAAAGAGCCTTTTTAGGCTAATATTGGCAAATATACCTATGATGTATATTTGCTTTGAAGTAGATGGATCCATCAGTCTAGTACATATGTAAAACGGGATATATAAATGCCAACTACATCCACTAATGCCTTCCCACAACAACTTCACATTGAAGGCCTGACTCCTCAGAAACCTTCTTTATCTCATTGCCATTGACGTTAATGTATCCTCTACCCAATCTGGTTCTCTGTGCCATCAAGAATGTCAGTATTATAAACTGGCGGAGCTTTAAACAACAGGAATTTATCCTGTCCCAGCCCTGGAGACCAGGAGTTTGAGATCAACGTGTCTCAGGGAAATGTTCCCGCCAGAAGCTCTAGGGGAGGCTCCTCCCTGCCTCTGCCAACTCCTGGGGGCCCCAGGTGTCCCTGAGCTTGTGGCCACATCACTCCAGTCTCTGCCTCCGTCTCTATGTGGCCTTCTCCTCTGTGTCTGTGTCTCCTCTTCTGTCTCTTAGAATGCTGTCATTGGACTTAGAGTCCATCCTTCTCCGCGACGATCTTGAGATACTTAATTGCATCTACAAGGACCCCTTTTTAAAATAAGGTCCCATTCACAGAATCTGGGGATCAGGGTGTGGATATATGTTTCAGGAGGACTAAAGTGCAATCCATTGCAATTGAATCCACTTCTTTCTGGATGCTCTAGGGGAGGCTCCTTCCTGCCTCTCCCAGTTACCGGGGGCTCCAGGCATCCCTGGGCTTGTGGCCGCATCACTCCAGTCTCTGCCTCTGTCTCCACGTGACCTTCTTCTCTGTGTCCGTGTCTCCTCTTCTGTCTCTTAGAAGGACATCTGTCATTGCATTTAGGGCCACCCTAATCCAGGATTATCTCAAGGTCCTTAACTTGATTATATCTGCAAACCCCCTATTTCCAAATAAAGTCTCATTTATAGGCTCTGGGAGATATGACATGAACATGTTTTGGGGTCACTGTTCAATACGTTATAGTTGTATCCACTTTCTTCTTGAGGCTCTAGGGGAGGATCCTTCCTGCTGCTCCCAGCGCCTGGGGGTTCCAGGAGTCCCTGGGCTTGTGGCCACATCACTCCAGTCTTTGCCTCCGTCTCCACATGGCCTTCTCCTCTGTGTCTGTGTCTTCTAAGAACAAGAGTCATTTGTAGTGAAGGACCTAACTTAATCCAATGCACACTAACCAATAACAAGGTTAATAAAAAATATAAAATCAAACCTCTACAGGGGAACTACATGAGATTGAATGTTTTAATGTCACTAAAACAGAGAGAGAGAGAGAGAGAAATTGAGAGACTCAGGGAGAGAGAAACTTCAAACAAGTGAAACAAGCAGAAAAGTTAAATCAGCCAGGCTGAGCATCTATTTCTGGTTTTTAACCACTTTCTTTTGTTTCTGTTCAAACCCAGGTGGGAAGGGCATGGGAGGATGGGAAGGTGGGATCCGCGTGCCCGGGATCTTCCGCTGGCCCGGGGTGCTCCCGGCCGGCCGAGTGATTGGCGAGCCCACGAGTCTGATGGACGTGTTCCCCACCGTGGTCCGGCTGGCGGGCGGCGAGGTGCCCCAGGACAGGTACAGAACAACCCAAAGAAACAATTCAGCTTTGCACAGACACAGCAACACTTATGGCAAATGAACATGTCACTTTGGCTTTGCAGTAAGGCGTCCCTGAAATTGTTCCCCGACCAAACCGAGGGTCGGGCTGCTTATTCTCATGGCCCAATAACGAGATGCAAATGAACGAGGAAAGAAAGGAGTTTTATTTCTGTAACCAGATACGGGGAGAAGGCTGGAAATGATCACTAGACCAACTCAAAATTACAAAGTTTTCCAGAGCTTCTATACCTTCTAAGCTGTATGTCCACATGTAAGCGTGCATCCATCTAAAGACATAAGTGATTCAACTTCCTTTCATCTAGAACTAAGGTCTGAGTCCTGAGGACCTTCCTCTGGAGCCTCAGTAAGTTGACTTAATCTAGATGGTTCCAGGTGCTGGGGTGATTACCCTTATCTTGTCTCCTGCTAAATCATGGAGGTTTGGGGAGTTCTTTTAGACCCCCCAATAAAACTTGTTTGTGGAGGTCTGGGGAGTTCCTTCAGATCCCCAATAAAACTTGTTTAATCCTAAATGGGTCCTGTTAAGAATCCCTTCATTATTTTATCGCGCTTCAAGGTCCAGGAAAGGCCTGGGTAGAACTCTTAGTGGGCTTTTGTTACATTCCAGCCTTTGGGTGCTGGCTCTTTCAGCTTTTTTTTCTTCTTTTTTTTTTTTTGAGACTGAGTCTCACTCAGTTGCCCAGGCTGGAGTGCAGTGGTGCGATCTAGGCTCACTGCAACCTCCGCCTCCTGGGTTCAAGCGATCCTCCTGCCTCAGCCTCCCGAGTAGCTGGGATTACAGGCACACACCAGCACACCTGGCTAATTTTTGTGTTTTTAGTTGAGACGGGGTTTCACCATGTTGGCCAGGCTGATCCCGAATTCCTGACCTCAGGTGATCCACCCGCCTCGACCTCCCAAAGTGCTGGGATTACACGCACGAGCCACTGTGCCTGGCCAATTAATTACTTTTTAGCCAAAGGTGACGTTTGGTGGTGACTAACGTGGGCAGCTGCTGCATTCTTCTTCTAAGCGTGCTAATGCACACACATGCCTTCCATCCATCTGCGTTCACACCCAGACTTTCCCTCCACTGATACAACATAAGGAGAGTGCACCACCTGGGGCTGGGACTGGTGGATGCTGGAGGGACAAATGTCCAGAGTCCCTGTTCCAACCCTGAGCCATGCCATGTTCCTTCCTGCAGAGTGATTGACGGCCAAGACCTTCTGCCCTTGCTCCTGGGGACAGCCCAACACTCAGACCACGAGTTCCTGATGCATTATTGTGAGAGGTTTCTGCACGCAGCCAGGTGGCATCAACGGGACAGTGAGTAGGGGAGCCCCTTCCTAACACCCTTAGGGAAAGAGTCCCTCTGTGCAGGAAAGCACCATGCCCTAGAACAGGCTAGGGATGGAGCTGCATTCCAGAGTCCATCTCCATGTCTCCGCACTTCCGTTTTTCTCCACGAGCTTTTTAAATTTAGTTTTTGTCAATATGTGTCCCTCTCATTCCAGCGACATGCCTTCTGAGATCACCTGCCAATCGTCTTAAAACGATGGGGAGTCGTTACCTATAGTTTCAGCACCATGTATGGGCTATATTTCATTCTTTCTTCCCTGCACTATATGAAGTGCAACTTTTATCATCATCACACACACGTATGTGCATGCATACACACACGCACGCACACATGCTTGCACACACATGTGTTCAAGACTTTTCTAGTCTCTTTTTTTTCTTATTTTTTTGTAATTATTTTTTTGAGACTAGTCTTTGTCGCTCAGGCTGGAGTGCAACTGCAGTCTCCCGGGTTCAAGTGATTCTCCTGCCTCAGCCTCCTGAGTAGCTGGGATTACAGGTGCCCACCACTACACCTGGCTAATTTCTTGTATTTTTAGTAGAGATGGGGTTTCACCATGTTGGGCAAGCTGTTCTTGAACCCCTGGCCTCAAGTGATCCACCCTCCTCGGCCTCCCAAAGTGCTGGGATGACAGGCATGAGCCACCACGCCTGGTCTCCAATTTTTCTTTATTAAGTTGAAACAAGGTCTCAGTATGTTGCCCAGGCAACTCCTGGGCTCAAGCAATCCACCCATCTTGGCCTCCCAAAATGCTGAAATTGCAGGTGTGAGCCACCACGCCCAGCCTTTTGTAGTCTATTTTATGCATCTAGATGTGCTTCCAAATGTTTTAATCACCTGACCTTAACACGACTTCATCTTCTTTGTGAACAATTACAGGCGCACTCCTGTAATCCCAGCTACTTGTGAGGCTGAGGCAGGAGAATCACTTGAACCCAGGAGGCGGAGGTTGCACCACTGCACTCTAGCCTGGGCGACAGAGCAAGACTCTGTCTCAAATAAAAAAAAAAAAAAAGAAAAGAAAAGAAAAGAAAAGAAAAAACTGACTGAGTGCAATTCACAGGCACTTCGTGCTTTCACAGTGTTGTGCAACCTCCACGTCTATGTAGCTCCAGAACATTTTCATCACGCCAAAAGCAGACACTGTTCCTATCAGCAGTCACTCTCCATTTCACACCCTGCAGACCCTGGAAACCACTACTCTACTTCCTGTCATTATGTGTTTCCCTATCCTTGACATTCAATGTGAATGGAATCATGCAATGTGTGCTCTTTTGTAACTTCTTTCTCTGAGCGTAGTATTTTGAAAGTTCGTTGATGTTGCAGCCTGTGTCATTGTGTCATTCCTTCTCATAGCTGCAGAGTATGCCATGTAAGATGTACCATGTTTTGTTTATCTGTCCATCCATCGATGGACGCTTGGGTTAGGCCTACCTTTTAGCCCTATGAAGATGCCATTCTCCAGCAAGGCACCCTATTTCTCTATGCCAACTCTGTAATGATTATCTTTCCACCAGGAGGAACAATGTGGAAAGTCCACTTTGTGACGCCTGTGTTCCAGCCAGAGGGAGCCGGTGCCTGCTATGGAAGAAAGGTCTGCCCGTGCTTTGGGGAAAAAGTAGTCCACCACGATCCACCTTTGCTCTTTGACCTCTCAAGAGACCCTTCTGAGACCCACATCCTCACACCAGCCTCAGAGCCCGTGTTCTATCAGGTGATGGAACGAGTCCAGCAGGCGGTGTGGGAACACCAGCGGACACTCAGCCCAGTTCCTCTGCAGCTGGACAGGCTGGGCAACATCTGGAGACCGTGGCTGCAGCCCTGCTGTGGCCCGTTCCCCCTCTGCTGGTGCCTTAGGGAAGATGACCCACAATAAATGTCTGCAGTGAAAAGCTGGAGCCCCGATTCCTAAATTTTGTCACTCAAATTGAAACAAACCAGCTGGCCATGGTGGTTGTCATCCCAGCACTTTAGGAGGCCACCACAGGAGGATCACTCCCGTGATCAAAACCAACCTGGGCAACATGATGAAACTCTAGCTCTACAAAACAAAAATAAAAAAAAAATTAGCCTGCATGGTGGCACACGCCTGTAGTTCTAGCTTCTCAGGAGGCTAAGGCAGGAGGATCATTTGAGCACCGGAGTTGGAGGCTGTACTGAGCTATGATTGTACCACTGCACCCCAGCCTGGGCAACAGAGCAAGACCCTGTCTCAAAAAAGAAAGAAAACAAAAAAATGAAACAAACTTCAGTGTCATGTTAAGATATCTATTTGCATAAGGATGAATAGTTTCCCCCTGTGAAAAACAAAGGAAAAGGCAAGAGAAAGTAGAAATGAACAATAAACACTGGCCAGGCGCAGTGGCTCACGCCTGTAATCCCGGCACTTTGGGAGACAGAGGCAGGCAGATCACTTGAGGTCAGGAGTTCGAGACCAGCCCGACCAACATGGTGAAACCCTGTCTCTATCAAAAAAAAAAAAAAAAAAAAAAGCAGCAGCAGCAGCCAGGTGTGGTGGCACACGCCTATAATGCCAGCTACTCAGGAGGCTGAGGCAGAAGAATTGCTTGAAGCCGGGAGGCAGAGGTTGCAGTGAGCTGAGGTCGTACCACTGCACCCCAGCCTGGGTGACAGAGCAAGACTGTCTCATCAAAAATAAATAAATAAACAAACAAACATTAATAATGCACCGTTGAATGATCACTCAGACACCAAACTGGAGAGGCAAAGTATCTCCTGCAGTCGGGGAGGAGTCTGTCAATGGACCCCAGCTCAGTCTGGAAGAGGCTGCCCTGTAGCCCAAAACAGCACAAGTCCCAGCAAAGGTGTCTCTGTGACCTACAGGTTTGCACATGAACAGGAGATAGGCCCCAAAGATAAAAACTGGCACTGATGTGGCTTTGTCTGTGGTGCCCATTTATAGTGTTTGTTTATCGTTTACGGCCACAAGGATGAGCCGTGCTTCCCGTTGGAACTGTTTTCAAGTGGTTTTCCTTTGTCTCCAATGCCCCAGGTGATTTGGGCAAACTCTGGCTGTGGAAGCCGCGCTGTGCAGGAAGTGTTCGCCCCAGCTCTGAGCTGCAAGGTCATTGCATAATCAGGCTGCGCCTTAATTGTCTGGGCTGCTAGAATGAAAATACCATAAACTGGGTATCATCAAGAATATTTCTTTCTTGCAGTTCTAGAGGCTGGATGTCCAAGACCACGGCGTGACGGAAGCTGTGTCTGGGGAGAACCTGTTTCTCGGTTCACAGCTGCTGCCTTCTTCCCATGTCTTCACACGGTCATCCCTCTGTGCCTGTCTGTGTCCTATCTCTGATTCTTGTTTTTTGTTTTTTGTTTTTTTTTGAGATGGGGTCTTGCTCTGTTGCCCAGGCTGGAGTGCAATGGCGTGATCTCAGCTCACTGCAACCTCTGCCACAGGTTCAAGTGATTCCCCTGTCTCAGCCTCCCGAGTAGGTGGGACTACAGGCGTGCACCACCATGCCCGGCTAATTTTTGTATTATTTAGTAGAGGTGGGTTTTCACCATGTTGCCCAGGCTGGTCTAGAACTCCCGACCTCAAGTGATCCGCCCACCTTGGCCTCCCAAAGTGCTGAGATTACAGGCGTGAGTCACTGCACCCGGCCCTAATCTCCTCTTCTTATAAGGACCCCACTCCTATTGGAATAGGGCCCACTCTTGTGACCTCATTTTAAAGGATGAATAAAAACCTTATTCCTGTGAGTTTGAAGGCAACACAATTCAGTCCCCAGCACATTCTCCCCTGGGAGTAAGGAGGTCTTTCCAATAGCTCTTTCTGTCTCCAGATTCAAGCAACAGGTCCCTCCTCCCACTCTTCCAAGCCTAGGTATGTGACGAGCAATGCCCCACCTTGTCACCGCCTCAAGAACATGTCCTCAAATTATCCAATCCACATCAGCCTCCAAGAATTCAGGCTGTGCATACAGACCAAAAAGTCAAATCCATCTCCAGCCAATTCTCTTGGGTCAAGAAAGAAATAGTAGGCCAGGTGCGGTGACTCACATCTGTAGTCCCAGCACTTTAGGGCACTAAGATGGCTTGAGGCCAGGAGTTTCAGACCAGCTGGGGTGACATAGCGAGACCCTGCCTCCGCATAACATTTAAATAATTAGGTGTGGTGACACGTGCCTATAGTCCCACCTACTTGGGAGGCTGAGGCGGGAGGATCACTTGAGCCTTTGGCCTCCCAAAGTGTCCAAGGCTACACTGAGCTGTGATCGTGCCACTGGGCGACAGGGCGAGACCTCATCTCTAAAAAGAAAGGAAGGAAAAAATGGCAGGAAGGAAGGAAAGCAAAGAAGCAAAAAGAAAAAGGAAGAAAGGGAGGGAGGGATGGCAGGAAGAACCAGTTAACCCCTATGGCTTTCCCCATAGCCATGGCTTATGGAACAAGACCAGCACTTTGGGTCAGCTGTGCCCGATGTTCCCGGCCCACAGAGTCACCTTTAAGTTCTTCAGCATCCACTGGGGAGAGTCACCTCTGTCTCCACACTTGCCCACACTCTTGAGCTTGATGGCTTTGAAGCCAAAGTCCCCATGGAGGCTCCATGTGCTGAAAGTCATGTGAGACCCTCAGGGTCAGGGCTTACCCACCCTTTCCATCCCCACAACCTCCCGCAAATATGACTTCTGGAGCACCAGCTCCTACTGCCCCCAGGCCCCATTTCCAAATCCTGGGCACCCAAGACAGCTCAGTGTGTTTACATAATTTACCTAAGGGCACCCAAAGTTCTTTTCTCTCTAGTTCTCAGGAATCTCAACTCCCAGCAGCATAGGATTTCTTCCAAGGATCAAATCTCCGCGCCACCCCTGCTAAACCTCCTTGCAGAACTGCTTCTGGGCTGTCTCCTGCCCCCCTCCTTCCAGGCCTCGGCCTGGCCTTCTCCATCTGCATGACAGAGGCTCAGCAAGGAATCCCAGTTGGGAAGCCCTCAAAGATAAAAAAGTTCTTTTTTAAATTTTTTTAGAGACAGGGTCTTGCTCTGTCACCCAGTCTGGAGTGCAACGGTGCAATCAGCTCACTGCAACCTCAAATTCCTGCACTCAGATGACTCTCCCACCTCAGCCTCCCAAATAGCTGGGACTACAGGCACACCACCATGCCCGGCTAACTTAAAAAAATTTTTTTGTAGAGACAGGGTCTCTCTGTGTTTCGCAGGCTGTTCTCAAACTCCTGGTTTCAAGCAATCCTTCCCCCTCAGTCTCCCAAAGTGCTGGGATTACAGGTGTGAGCCACCAAGCCTGTCTGATAAAAGCTATTTCAGAGTAACAGGGCAAAGAGAGAAGCAATAAACAGTGCTCAAGAGCTAGCTCCAGACAGATGGCCAGCGTAATAAATGTAAATGAACTAAATTTGCCAATTAAAAGTGAATGGTCTTTTTTCTAAATAGAATTCCCAGCACCATTTTGGGAGATTCCAATTGAATAAATTTAGGGAGTAGGGCTCCTGACTGTATTGTCTTGAACAAGCACCCCCATCATCTCATCCCAGGGGAGTGTGGGGCAGCTCCCTCATTTATGAAAATCCTAACTCAGTGAATTTAAGGAGGGGCTTCTGAATCTATGTTTTCAACACAAACTTCCACCCCGCCTCCCCTACCTTACTGATTCCATTTGGTAAGCATAGAGAACTGAGTTGCAAAGGAAAAAAAAATGGCATAAATGTTGGAGGCAGAATAATGGTGAGGAGGACCTGGATATGCTTCCCACCTACACACCCAACATAGAGTCTTGTGGCTGGTCAGGCACAGTGGCTCACCTGTAATCCCAGTACTTTGGGAGGCCAAAGCAGGAGGACTGCTTGAGGCAAGAGTTTGAGACCAGCTTAGGCAACATAGTGGGACCTAGTCTCTAGCAAAAAAATAAATTAACAAAAATGTGTCAGGGGTGGTGGTGCACACCGGTAGTTCCACTTCCTTGGGAGGCGGTGACAGCCTCACCCTTGACAGCCTCAGCCTTGGAAAAAGAAAGTACTGTTAATCTTGAAGACTATGGAATCATTTTGTCCCTGACCAGTGGAAGAGGACCTAAGCAACCCCCTTTGAGGGAAAGTGGGTCACCTGGGCTGGAGGTAGGGATGTGATATTGTTTTGTAAGCTAGCATTTCCTACAAAATATGAATTTATACTTTGACCAGATCTTGCATTGTGAGGGGATGTGAGGGGATGAGGTAAGACATGAAGGGGCTTGAGAGAATCAGCGACTGGAGGTCAAGAGAGTTAGACAAAAACAAAGGCTCACTGCAGCCTCAACTCTCAGCCTTGATCTTTCTAGAGGTCAAAAGAGTTAAAAACAAAACAAACAAACAACAAAGGGAGAGCCAAAGATACAAAAAAAGCATTACGTGAGAGGGTAATGAGCAAAATAGCATCATTCAAAAACAAAAGGATGAGTCACAGAAAAGATGGGGAGGGGTCCAGGGCACAGTGATTAATCAAAAGGAGTAATTTCAACAGCAGTCTGATGAAAGAAACAAAGATAAAAATAGCAATTGGAATTAGCCGGGCGTGGTGGCACGCGCCTGTAGTCCCAGCTACTCGGGAGGCTGAGGCAGGAGAATCGCTTGAACCCAGGAGACGGAGGTTGCACTGAGCCGAGATCGCACCACTGCACTCCAGCCTGGGCGACAGAGTGAGTCCCTATCTCAAAATAATAATAATAATAGTAATAAAAGCAAAAAAAAAGGGCCCATCTAGCATTCCCCGTCCCAGACTTAGAGTACAAGTCCAGCATCCGGAACAGACATTTCAAACACCAAGCTTTGAGAAACTGAAATCGCAACTTGATTGCTCTGGGTAGGTCCTAAGACCCTTCCTGACAAAAAGAAAAGGGGCTCCCTGTGCTCAAGCCTAACTGGGTTTATTTTTTATTTTTATTTATTTATTTTTTGAGACGGAGTGTCACTCTGTCGCCCAGGCTGGAGTTGCAGTGGCGCGATCTCAGCTCACTGCAACCTCCACCTCCCGGGTTCAAGCAACTCTCCTGCTTCAGCCTCCCGAATAGCTGGGACTACAGACGTGAACTACCACACCCAGCTAATTTTTGTATTTTTAGTAGAGACGGGGTTTCACCAGGTTGGCCAGGCTGGTCTCGAACTCCTGACCTCAGGTGACCCACTCGTCTTGGCCTCCCAAACTGCTGGGATTCCAGGCGGGAGCCACCGCGCCCGGTCAATCGTAACTGGGTTTAATCAGCTCCTTAGCCCAGGCCTTCCCGTGTGACGACCTGGGAAAACCTGTTTCCACGCGCAGGTCCCGGAGGTCCCGAGAGCCAGGAGATGACGCGGATGAAGGAGGGGCGGGCGCCCGGCCCAGATCCCGCAGCTGAGAGGGCGGAAGCCTTGGCACTAGCGGCGCCCGGGCGCGGAGTGCGCAGGGCAAGGTCCTGCGCTCTGGGCCAGCGCTCGGCCATGCGATCCGCCGCGCGGAGGGGACGCGCCGCGCCCGCCGCCAGGTGCCTGGGACCCCGGGACGCGGCCCATACTAAGGCCTAGGGTGGGGGCCTGGGGAGGGGGTCGCGAGCACGGCGAGGGGCGCCCCGGGCGAGCCTGGGCCCCTGTAAAGGGCGTGGTTGTGTCCGGCGCCTTGTAGTCTCCAAAATGTAGCTGGAGGCGCGTTCTGTGCCCGGGAAAGACGCCAGACAGCAGAGCCCAGGGATGGGGGGCGACTGAGGGGACGAAGGGCGGGTGGAGGAGACCGAACTGAAGGGAAGGCGGAAGGGCAGGGAAAGAGAACAAAGGAGGAAGGGAAGGGAGGGCGGAGGAAGGCTGGCCGGGACCCGGAGGGAGCGGAAACTGGGCCGGTCACGCCCTGCTGGGTCCTCCGCCTTCCACGCCCAGCTACACCGCTGCCCGGATTCGGCCTTCAAAGGCTCCCTAAGACCCGCCCCGAACCGCGCCCCCCGCTCTGCCCCACTAAGACGCGCCCCGTCCCGCCCCAAGGCTCCATCCCCCGAAGCGTAGCCTTGCCCGCCCCACTTCCTAAGAGGCACCCCGTCCCGCCCCCAACCCCCCAGCTCGATGCCTTCCAGCACGGCCGTGTTCCCCGGGTCCACTAAGACGCTCCCTGTCCCTCCCCAACGCCCCGTCCTCCCGAGCACAGCTGTGACGCCCTCCCGATTTCTAAGAAGGCCCCTTCCCGCCCCCCGCCTCTTCGGCCCCACCATGACATGCTCCATCCCGCCCCCCGGCCCTTTGCCTTCCCAGCACGGCTGTGCCCTCCCCCTCATCCCACTAAGACGCGCCCCGTCCTTCCCCCAGACCCCATCCTCCCAAGCACGGCTGTGACTCCCCCAACACGCTCGGTAAGACACGCCCCTTTCCCCCCCGTGGGCTTCATTGGGCGCCCTCCCCCCAGCACCGCCGTGCCTACCCCGGTCACCCCCCAAGACTTCTCTGTCCCGTCCCCATCTCCACCACAAGCGCGGCCGTTACTTCCCTCTGGCCATCCCCCGGCGCCTTGGCCTTGTGCCGCCTCCATGTCCCCACCCTCTAGCACCGCCATGCCCCGCTGCACTTCCTCAGATGCGCCGGGTCCTGCATTCCCAGCTTCATTTGCGCCCCAGTGCCACCGGTAGAGGGTCGTGACTGCAAGTTGTCCAGGTTCTTGGCGTTTTGAACAAAGAATTGGACAAAACGCCCAGCAAAGAAAGAATGAAGCAACAAAAGAAGGAAAGCAGGGATTTATTGAAAACAAAAGGACACGTCACAGTGTGGGAGCCGACCAAGCAGCGGCTCAAGGGCCCGGGTACATAATCTTCTTGGGTCCAAATACCCCCTAGAAGTTTCCCATTGGCCACTTCATGCTCACCTCATGTAACTGAAGTGGTGGCCCGCGATCAGTCTGATTGGTTGCAGGCAGCAGCCAACCAAAGGGTGAAGTTACAAAGGTCACACTCCTGTGCAAACATCTGATTGGTTGCAAAACCCAACTAATCAGAGACTAGGGTGAAGTCACAAAGTTGCACACGAAGACTAGACCCGAAATCAGTCCGATTGGTTGCAGACAGCCAGTCTACTATCTACCCAATAGAAAAGGTCAAAGGGAAGCCTTCGGTCCTTTTGTTACTTAGGCATGGAAAGTTAGGATTTTCCCGCCAGGCGAGGTGGCTCATGCCTGTAATCCCAGCACTTTGGGAGGCCGAGACGGGTGGATCACCTGAGGTCAGGAGTTTGAGACCAGCATGGCCAATATGGTGAAATCCCGTCTCTACTAAAAATACAAAAATTAGGCCGGGCCTCTACTAAAATTACAAAAAAATTAGCCGGGCGTGGTGGCAGGCACCTGTGATCCCAGCTACTCAGGAGGCTGAGACAGGAGAATCGCTTGAACCCTGGAGGTGGAGGTTGCAGTGAGCCCGGATCATGCCATTGAACTGCAGCCTGGGCGACAAGAGTGAAACTCCATCTCAAAAAATAATAATAAAAATTAAAATTAAAAAAAAAAGGAAAGTTAGGATTTTCCTTTCAATTTACTTCTAGGAAGTCGGCATGGAAAGCCTTAGGTTCCCTGCCTCCAGACCCTATTCTCCTGCCTCAGCAGCACTGCCGTGCCTCTCGCCACCCTCCAAGACACGCCCCGTCCTGTCCCCTTCCGCGGCCATTGCCCTGCTGGCCACACCGGATCCCTCCCCATGGCCTTATTCCTCCCCTGCCCCCCAGTAGAGCCGTGTCCCCTCACACACCCTGAGACACACCCCTCGTTCGCGTCCTCCCCGGAGAGCACAGCCACGATCCCCCAACACTAAGACACCACCTATCCACTGCAGTTCAAGGACTGCTTGAATCAATCCTCCCACCTCAGAATCAGGCAGAGGTTGCTGTAAGCCACCATCATGCCACTACAGCCTGGGCAGCACAGCAAGACCCCATCTCAAAAAAAAGAAAAAAAAGAATAATAAAGCAGATTGGTTGTTTCAAAGTTACTTTTCTTACAGGGTTAAAGCACGGGAGACTTTGTTAGCTCAGATGAACTACACATCTTCTTCTTGCTTACTCAAATCTTCTGTTTTTTGGAAAACTGACCTGTTTCCCTGTTCAGCTTGACGATGTGGCAGTTAACACAAGTGACTCCATTCCAGTTTGTTCTGACCTGTATGGTCTAGTGTGGCAGGCCAGGTCTCACTAATGCAGGCCTCCGTAACAACTGTTTCAGCACTGACTGAGTGTGAAGTTACATACTAAAAGCTGAAACAACCAGCGCCTTTATGCACAGGCTGGGATGTAACAAAAGCACACCAAGAGTTCTGCCCAGGCCTCTCCTGGGCCTTTGAAGCATGACAAGATAACGAAGGAATTCTTAACAGGACCCATTTAGGATTAAACAAGTTTTATTGTGGGTCTGAAGAAACTCCCCAGACCTCCACAAACAAGCTTTGTTGGGGACTAAAGGAACTCCCCAGAACTCTGTGATTTAGCAGGAGACAAGATAAGGGTAATCACCCCAGCACCTGGACCCATCTAGATTAAGTCAATTCACCGAGGCTCCAGAGGAAGGTCTTCAGGACTCAGATCTTAATTACAGATTAGAAGAAGTTAATCACTTATGTCTTTAGATAAATGCACACTTACACTTAGACATATAGCTTTGAAGGTATATAAGCTCTGGAAAGCTTTGTAATTTTGAGTTGGTTGGGAGAGAATTTCCAGGCCTTCCTCCTGTAACTGGTTACAGAATTAAAAACTCTCTTCTTTCCCAATTCATCTGCATCTCGCTATTGGGTCACAAGAAATAGCAGTCTGACCCTCGGTTTGGCCCAGGGACACCAGTGCAGGAATTCAGGCCAAGACAATAACCTCCCATAAAGCTGAACGTCTTAATTTAGTGGTAAGACCTTCGCCTTCCCAGCGAGCTGCCTTGAAATGCCTACTTCCCTTGCCAAATTGTAGATAGTCATTTCTGTGTTTCGCTTTTCTCTCCAGGGACTCTTTGCCGGTGCTACTGTTTTTATGCTTGCTTCTGAAGACGTGTGAACCTAAAACTGCAAATGCCTTTAAACCAAATATCCTACTGATCATGGCGGATGATCTAGGCACTGGGGATCTCGGTTGCTACGGGAACAATACACTGAGGTACAGTTGGTTGTTGCTATTGGTGATGATGTTATGTGAGTTTGACGGAATGGTGCATTTAAAATCTGCCTGGAGAAATTAGGAAACTCCTTAGGGCCTCAGAACTCAACAAAAAACTACCAACAGGTAAAAAGGCCCTTTTAAACCATGCGGAACTGCGGTGAGGGGGTGAATGTATTACTACCACAAAATGGGTAGCTTAAAACAACGGAAATTTGTTCTCCCAGGTCTGGAGACCAGAAATCTTAAATCCAGGTGTGGGCAGGGCCGGGCTCCCTCTGGGGGCCCTATGGGAGGATCCTTCCGGACTTTCCCAGCTCCTGGGGGCTCCAGGTGTCCCTGAGCTTGTGGCCACATCACTCCAGTCTCTGCCTCCGTCTCCACGGGGCCTTCTCCTCTGCGTCTGTGTCCTAATCTCCTCATCCTATAAGGACACCGGCCATTGCAGCAAGGCCTGCCCGCTGTAAAGATCTCATCTTCTGTTGATGACGTTTGCAAACAACGTCTGTTGTGGGCCAAATTCTGGCCTCCTCCAAATTTGTAGGTTGAAGCCCTAACCGCCGGTACTTCAGGGTGTGACCGTTTTCAGAGATGGGGTCTTTGAAGAGGTAATTAAGTTAAACTGAGGTCCTTAGGGTGAGCCCTAATCTGATATGGATTACTAAAAGAGGAGATTAAGACACCAACAGAGCTCCCTGAGAGGCTGTAGGGGAGGACCCTTCCTGCCTCTCCCAGCTCCTGGGGGCTCCAGGCATCTCTGGCTTTGTGGCCACATCACTCCAGTTTGTGCCTCCGTCCCCATGCGGCCTTCTCCCCTGTGTCTGTGTCTCCTCCTCTGTCTCTCAGAAGGACACTGGCCATTGCATCTGGGGCCCTCTCTAAACCAGGATGATCTCATCTCGGGATACCTAATAACAACTCCAAAGACAGTTTTTCTAAGCAAGGTCTCACACACAGGTTTGGGGGGTCAGCACGTGGACAGATCGGTTCGCAGACCCCCATTCAGCCCACTGCAGTGGCATGTGCAAACACAGAGTAGTAGCCTCTATGCCAACCTTACCAGCAGAGCGCTTGAGTGGTGCTCACGTGCTTTCTGCAACAGGAGAAAAGGTGAGAAAGCTCCTTATTCCATTTGGTGGGCTTTTCTCCTAGAAGGACCGCCCCAGAATGCAGGCTGCATCTGCTTTTCAATAGCTGCCAACCTCAGGAGCGGTCCCCGCAGAGCAGGGCCTCCCTTCTTTGCAGTGAACATTGCAGCACCTGCAGCAGTCTGCCCTGTGTGGGCCGGGCACGGTGGCTCCCGCCTGTCATCCCAGCATTTTGGGAGGCCAAGGAAGGTGGATCACTTGAGCCCAGGAGTTTGAGACCAGCTTGGGCAACATGGCAAAACCCTGTCTCTATGAAACATACAAAAAATTAGCCAGGTGTGGTGGCGCATGCCTGTAGTCCCAGCTACTCAGGAAGCTGAGAGTGGAGGATGGCTTGAGCCCGGGAGGTGGAGGTTATGGTGAGCTGAGGTTGCGCCACTGCATTCTAGCCTGGGCCACAGAGCAAGACCCTGTCTCTAAGTCAATCAATCAATCAATCTGCCCCCTGTCCAGGGATCCCCTTTCGAACACCCTGAGCAGGCCTGGTTGTAATTCACAGAACATGCGGTTCATCTGTTTACAGTGTACAGTTCAGGGACTTTTATTCTATTCATGGAGCTGTGCATCTGTCACCACAAACCATGTTAGAGCATTTGCATACCCCCAAAGAAACTCTGCATCCCCTTAGCCATCACCTCCAGCGAGGAGCGAATCTGTGTCCCCTAAACGCCTACGTCGAAGTCCTGACCCCCAGGACCTCAGACTGTGACTCTATTTGGAGACTGAGTCTTTAGAGACGTGATTCAGGTAAAATGAGGTCACTAGGGTGGGCCCTGATCCAATAGGACTGGGGTCCTTATAAGAAGAGGAGATGAGGACACAGACACACACAGAGCAATGACCACCTGAGGACACAGGGAGAAGATGGTGTCTACGAGCCCAGGGTGGTGGCCTCAGGAGGAACCAGCCCTGCCCATGCTTGATCTCAGACTTCCAGCTCCCAGAAATGTGAGAGAATAAATGTCTACTGGGTTTGTTTTTCTGTTTTATTTTGTTTTGTTTTTTGAGACAGGGTCTCACTCTGTTGCCCAGGCTGGAATGCAGTGGCATGATCACAGCTCACTGCAACCTCCATCTCCTAGGCTCTCACCTCAGCCTCCTGAGTAGCTGAGACTACAGGCACATGCCACCACGCCCAGCTAATTTTTGTATTTTTTGTAGAGACAGGTTTTCACTATGTTGCCAAGGCTTGTCTCGAACTCCTGGCCTCAAGTGATCCACCCACCTTAGCCCCCCAAAGTGCTGGGATGACAGGCGTGAACCACCGTGCCCAACCAATATCTGGTGTTGAAGCGGCCAGGTGTGTAGGACTTTGTTATGGCAGCCCCAGCTAACACTCCTCCAACTCTCTCAGCACCCTAACCCTCAGCCTCTGGCAGCCACTAATATACTTTCCATCTCTATAGATTCCCCTGTTAGGGACATTTCATACAGATGGAATTATGTAACCTGTGGTCTTTTATGTCAGGAGGCTTTCACAGTACCGTGCCTCACGCCTTGCAGTGGCTGAGTCATATTCCATAGATTCCATTCTATGTGGATACCTCTTTTGGCTCCTTTTCTTTCTTTCTTTCTTTCTTTCTTTTCTTTTCTTTCTTTTTTTTTTTTTTTTTTTTTTTTTTTTTGAGACACGGTCTCACTCTGTTCTTTCACCCAGGCTGGAGTGCAGTGGTGCAATCTCGGCTTACTGCAACCTCCGCCTCCTGGGCTCAAGCGATTCTCCTGTCTCAGCCTCCCGAGTAGCTGGGATTACAGGTGTGCACCACCTTGCCTGACTAATTTTTGTATTTTTTTTAGTAGAGACGGGGTTTTACCATGTTGGCTAGGTTTGTCTTGAACTCCTGACCTCAAGTGATCTGCCCGCCTAGGCCTCCCAAAGAGTTGAGATTACGGGCGTGAGCCACCGTGCCCGGCCCTCACAGTTTTTTGATATCTGATGATGAAAGCTTTTAAGCCTCTTCTGTCTGTGTTCCCCATCTGGACAAGCAGATAAGAAAGCACAGGGACTGTCTCCTTTGGTGCTGATGGCAGATTCAGACCATAAACGCCCCCACCCTTGCATGGGAACCCTCATCTCGGCCCCACACCCTCACCACAATTGAAAACATAAATCTCCTTTCCTTGCTTCCTTATTTCACATGAGCTTGGAAGGCCTGCCCTGCTCTCCCCAGAAAGCCTCGTTATATGAGTCATAAATTGTCTCATATACTTTGTGTGTGTGTGTGTGTGTGAGAGAGAGAGAGAGAGAGAGAGATGTCATCCATCTCAACATCAACACCAAACTTAGGATGGGGTCAATCTACCGCTGCAGGAGACCATAATGCAACTAATTCTGAAATCCGGTGAAGTCCTTGCAGCTATTCCTGTGCCTTTCAGAGCAGGGATCTGCTTAAGCCAAATGCATGTCTCCCTTCCAACAATGACATTTGTGTGCTTTGCTCAGAACGCCGAATATTGACCAGCTTGCAGAGGAAGGTGTGAGGCTCACTCAGCACCTGGCGGCCGCCCCGCTCTGCACCCCAAGCCGAGCTGCATTCCTCACAGGGAGACATTCCTTCAGATCAGGTTGGTGTCACGGAGATGATGGAGAAATGGGTACATCTGTGTGCACTCATTCTGTCATCTGTAACAGTTGAGTACTGATGGTGAAGATACAGGGGCAATGGTACAAAGATCACCTGCAATTCATCGTCTTCCTTGTATTTATGTAAGGAATATTGTATTGTGTGCATACACATAAAAGTTGTGATCATTAGGATGTGAACAGAAAAACCAAGGTCTGTGGAATATTTTAAAGAGGTTTATTCCGAGCCAGTATGACTGATCACAAGACCAAGTGTCTCTTAGAGAGAGCAAAGTTTCCCCAAGTTGAGAATCATTGTGATATAGATAGATGATAGATGATAGATAGATAGATAGATAAATTGACAGCTAGATACATGCTAGATGGATGATAATGATAGATAATGGATGATTGATAGCTAGATATCTAGATGATGATGATACATAATGATAGATGATTGATCATGACGTGATAGATGATTGATAGCTAGATAGCTAGATAAGAGATGATTGATAGATAATGATAGATGATAGATAATGATGATAGAAAGATAAGTGATAGACAGATGATAGATAATGATAGCTGATTGATAGCTAGATGATTAATGATAATGACAGATAATAGATACATAGATAGATGGATAGATATAGATGATAGATGATGGATCCATATTGAGATAGACAGGTGACAGGTGATAGCTAGGTAAACAGATAGATAGACATATGATAGATCACATGGCGTCTGTCATCCTAAGGTGGGGTGTCTCTGTTTTGGCATGAGGGACATTTGGGGCTAGATGATTCTCTGTGGTGGGGCTGTTCTGTGCACTGTATGTAGGGTCTTGAGCAGCATCACTCGGCTCCACGCACCCGATACGAGTAGCACCACACACCACCCTTTCTGAGCTGTGACACCACAAACATCTCCAGACATTGGCCATGCTTATTATTTCGAGAATAGTGTGATAGGTCGGTAGGTAGGTAGGTATGTAGGTAGGTAGATAGATGACAGACGATAGATGGGTAGATAATTGATAGCTCCATACATGATAGATGGATGATAGATAATAGCAGCCTGGCTCGGGTGCACAAATCCAGATCTCAGACACCAAATCCCTCTGGTTGAGAAGTGCTCCTCTAGAGAAAGGAAAGTAAATTCTTCCTGTCTTCTCTGCCCCACAGGCATGGACGCCAGCAATGGATACCGGGCCCTTCAGTGGAACGCAGGCTCAGGTGGACTCCCTGAGAACGAAACCACTTTTGCAAGAATCTTGCAGCAGCATGGCTATGCAACCGGCCTCATAGGTGTGGATATGTGGGAGCCTCACATTATACGGTGGTTGGGAATATTCGTGATAAAAAAGATCCCAGGCCAGGCGTGGTGGCGCACGCCTGTAGTCCCAGCTACTTAGGAGGCTGAGGCAGGAGAATCGCTTGAACCCGGGAAGCGGAGGTTGCAGGGAGCCGAGATCACACCACTGCACTCCAGTCTAGGTGACAAAGCGAGACTCTGTCTCAAAGAATAAAAAAAAAAAAAAAGATCCCGTTTTCCTGCAAAGGAAAACAATCCTGTGTCCTCTGAATCAGAAGTTGGTGCCTGGTCCATCTCATGCCTATTGGATTGTCCCCAGTTTTTCATGAGTTTTTTTTTCTTCTTAAATTCAAAATCCTAGGAGATTGCCCTCTTTTCTTCTCTGGACCTATCAGTCTTCAGCTTGTCCCCATTTATCACGACCTTCTTCAGACATTATCCTTCTCTACATGGCCACTCACCATCTCAAAAGCCCCAGAGTTAACAAACACTGCCTTCCTTTAGACAATAAACCCCGGCAGGGGCAGAACACCCTCTTTATAACAGACAGCATGTCAGGGGTCTCCAAGAGCACCCTTAAGTTCAGGAAGTTGCTAGGAGGATTTGGCATGCAGTTGTGCTCATGGGTGATTTATGACAGTCAAAGGAGGTGAGGCAGAATCAGTGATGGGAATTACACGGAATGAAGCCCAGGGCAAACCAGACACAAGCTCCCAAGAATCCTCCCCCAGTGGGATCACACAGGATGCACCATATTCCTCCAGAAATGAGTTTCAACAACACGCAAGGAATGCTGTCTATTAGGGAAGCTCCCGGGAGAATCAGTGCCCAGGGGTTTCTGTTGGGGGCTGGTCCTGCAGGCACTCACTGCCTGGCACCCACCCGAATTCCAGACTCCCAGAACCAAAGGAGGTGTTTAGCATGAACCACGTTGCTTTTGCATATAGTTTAGGCACAGTCAGCTTATTATTTTAATGGTGTGACTTCTCCATTGGAAATCCAGATCTCAAACACCAGCCACGGGGAATCTTACAAGCCAGCCTTTGTAAGGGGCACTAGCTCAGGCCTGCCCCTTAAACTCCTTTCTGCACGGAGAGGAAAGGAGGGAGATGTTGGTTTATGCCGCCAAGCACCAGGCAGTCTGCTGGTTACCTCCTTCATTCCTTACCCAGCCTGTGTGTTTAGAGGTGCTGTCCCCGTCATACACATGAGAACGTGGGAGCGCAGTGGTGAGGCCACCCGCCCCGACCTGGTGGTGGGATCTCTGTGCAGGGTCCCCAGTTCCCCTCTGTGCTTTTCTCACACTCAAAGCCACTGTCCCATTCACAGGAGCCGCAACACCCTAACTTGTCCGAAGCTGTGGTTTTCTAAAGGACAACCATTGTTCCTCCTTTTCAAGTTTCCTGCCACTTTATTTTTATTTTGAATTTTTTTAAAGTTTTTTCTTCTTTTATTTATTATTTATTTTTATTTTTTTGAGATGGAGTGTTGCTCTGTCCCCTACACTGGAGTGCAGTGGCACGATTGCAACTCACTGCAGCCTCCACCTCCTGGGTTCAAGCGATTCTCCTGCTTCAGCCTCCTGAGTAGCTGGGACCACAGACATGTGCCACCATGCCTGGCTAATTTTTTTTGCATTTTTAGTAGAGCCAGGGTTTCAGCATGTTGGCCAGGCTGGTCTCGAACTCCTGACCTCAAGTGATCCACCTACCTTGGCCTCCCAGAGTGCTGGGATTACAGGGCCAGTGCTTTATACTGTAGAAGTCTGTGTGTCTCCTACTCTGAGGGTGGATTTATTCTTTCTTTCTCTCTCACTTTTTTTAATTTTTACTTTTATTTTCATTTTTGTTTTTTGAGACGGAGTCTGGCTCTGTCGCCCAGGCTGGAGTGCAGTGGCATGATCTCGGCTCACTGTAAGCTCCGCCTCCCAGGTTCACGCCATTCTCCTGCCTCAGCCTCCCGAGTAGCTGGGACTACAGGCGCCCGCCACCTGTATTGTATTTTTTTAGTAGGGACGGGGTTTCACCGTGTTAGCCAGGATGGTCTCGATTTCCTGACCTCGTGATCCGCCCGCCTCGGCCTCCCAAAGGGCTGGGATTACAGGCGTGAGCCACCGCGCCCGGCCGAAAGTCTTAAACCTTTAATCACTTGCCAAGGGTTCTGACATGGATGCATTCGTTAGTCTTCACGGATCAGAATGCGTTCATTTAAACACAGGTATCCAATCCATTCATTGCCTTTCCATTTCCAGTTTTGCTCTTTGCAGACTTTTCTTTTCCTGCCGACGCGGAATGATTCCGAGGTTCTTTGCAGCAGACAGGGCTGCTTCAAAGCGGGTCTCTGTTGAACATTTGCGTTTCTTTTAGGAAAATGGCACCAGGGTGTGAATTGTGCATCCCGCGGGGATCACTGCCACCACCCCCTGAACCACGGATTTGACTATTTCTACGGCATGCCCTTCACGCTCACAAACGACTGTGACCCAGGCAGGCCCCCCGAAGTGGACGCCGCCCTGAGGGCGCAGCTCTGGGGTTACACCCAGTTCCTGGCGCTGGGGATTCTCACCCTGGCTGCCGGCCAGACCTGCGGTTTCTTCTCTGTCTCCGCGAGAGCAGTCACCGGCATGGCCGGCGTGGGCTGCCTGTTTTTCATCTCTTGGTACTCCTCCTTCGGGTTTGTGCGACGCTGGAACTGTATCCTGATGAGAAACCATGACGTCACGGAGCAACCCATGGTTCTGGAGAAAACAGCGAGTCTTATGCTAAAGGAAGCTGTTTCCTATATTGAAAGGTAAGCAACCATCGCATCTTAAAGAGGAGATGGGGCCGGACGCGATGGCTCATGCCTGTCATCCTAGCACTTCGGGAGGCCAAGATGGGAGGATCTTTTAGCCCAGGTGCTTTAGACTAGCTTGGGCAACATAGGAAGACAGGTTCTACAATAAATAAAATCATTAGCCGGGCATAGTGGTGTGTGCCTGCAATGCCAGCTACTCAGGAGGCTAAGGTGGGAGGTTCGCTTCAGCCTCGGATGTCGAGGCTGCAGTAAGCAATGATCACACCACTGTACTTCAGCCTGGGTGACAGAGTGAGACTCTGTCGCTAAAAAAATAAAAATAAAGTTTAATTTAAAAAAAAGACACGGTAACTGCTCAGAGCATCTGAGAGTCCCCTTATAATCTTTGGGATCTCAGACACCAACCCTCGGAGGAGACGGCTTTGCAGAAGCCAACCTTTTCATGTGGCTGGGTTTCCCATATGAGAGTCTCGAAGTGGATGTCATGTGATGGCTCGAATAGCATTGACATACACGCCATTGGATTCTGTACATTTTTATTGACAGTTTTTTAAACTTTTTTTTTTGCATTCTTTGTAGAGATGGGGTCTCACTATGTTGCCCAGGCTGGTCTCAAACTCCTGGGCTCAAACAATCCTCCCATCTTGGCCTCCCAAAGGGCTAAGATTACAGAAGTGAGCCACTGTGCCTGGCCTTTTTCTAATGTCTCATTTTTTTTTTTTTTTTTTTTTGAGACAATGTCTCACTATATGGCCCAAGCTGGTCTTGAATTCCTGGGCTCAAGCCATCCTCCCACCTCTGCCTTCCAAAGTGCTGGGATTATAAGCGTGAGCCACCGTGCCTGGCCCTTACTTTTTAATTTGTACAAATGTATGGGGTATGTGTGAAATTTTGTTACATGTATACACTGAATAACGATCAAACAGCATACTTACAGTGTCCATCTCCTGAGTACAATACATTTTGTTAGCTTTGGTCACCCTACTCTGCTATCAGACGTTGAATGTACTCCTTTAAGCTTACTGTATGTTTGTACTCTTTAAACCACTTCTCTTTGTCCTTCACCCTTCCCAGCCTCTGGTCTCTATCATTCTATTCTCTATCTTCATGTGATCGATTTTTTTTTAGCTCTCCCATATGAGTGACAACATGCAGTATTGGTCATTCTGTGCCTGGCTTATTTTAGTTAACATAGTGACCTCCTGTTTCATCTGTATTGCTGCAAATGACAGGATTTCATTCTTTTTGATGGCTGAATAGTATTCCATCACGTACATATACCAGATATAACCTTTTTTTCTGAGACAGCGTTGGCTCTGTCACCCATGCTGGAGAGCAGTGGTGTGATCATGGCTCACTGCAACCTCTGTCTCCAAGGCTCAGGCAATTCTCGTGCCTCAGCCTCTTGAGTGGCCGAGATTACAGGCACCTGCCACCCCACCCTGTTAATTTTTTTATTTTTAGTAGAGATGGGGTTTCACCATTTCACCATGTTGGCCAGGCTGGTCTTGAAATCCTGACCTCAACTGAGCTGCCAGGCTCAGCCTCCCGAAGTGCTGGGATTACAGGCTTGAGCCACTGTGCCCAGCCTCCATTCTTTTTTATGGCTGAATAGTATTCCATTGTGGACATATACAATATATTCTTTTTTTTTTTTTTTTTTTTTGAGACAGGGTCTGGCTCTGTCACCCATGCTGGAGTGCAGTGGTATGATCATGGCTGACTGCAAGCTCCACCTCCCGGGCTCAAGCCGTCCTCCCACCTCGGCCTCCCAAGTAGCTGGGACCACAGACTCAAGCCACCACGCCCAGCTAATTTTTCTATTTTTGGTAGAGATGGCATTTCACCGTGTTGCCCAGGCTGGCCTTGAACTCCTGGCCTCAAGTGATCCTCCCGCCTCAGCCTCCCAAAGTGTTGGGATTACAAGCATGAGCCACCACGCCTGGCCCACCATTTATTCTTTCTGTGTTCACCCACTGATGAACTCAGAAGGTGATCCCCTGCCTTGGCTCTTGTGAATAGTGCTGGAGTGAACGTATGGGTGCAGGGGTCCCTTTGGTGTACTGTATATTCTGTGTATTCTCAAGGAAGTTTTCTTCTTTCAGACACAAGCATGGGCCATTTCTCCTCTTCCTTTCTTTGCTGCATGTGCACATTCCCCTTGTGACCACGAGTGCATTCCTGGGGAAAAGTCAGCATGGCTTATATGGTGATAATGTGGAGGAGATGGACTGGCTCATAGGTAAGTCAAGGTACCATGGAGCCTCACTCCACCCTCGGCCTCAGGTTTGAACATAGGGCGTAACAGACTGGCCATCTGAATATGAACCAACTTGCAATAAAGAATAAGGGCGGTGGCTCACGCCTGTAATCCCAGCACTTTGGGAGGCCAAGGCGGGCGGATCACCTGAGGTCAGGAGTTTGAGACCAGCCTGGGCAACATGGTGAAACCCTGTCTCTACTAAAAATACAAAAACTAACCCGGTGTGGTGGTGCACACCTGTAGTCCCAGCTACTCGGGAGGTTAAGGTACAAGAATCGCTTTAACACGGGAGGCAGAGGTTGCAGTGAGTTGAGATCGCACCACTGTGCTCCAGCCTGGGTGAAAGATCAAGACTCCGTCTCAAAAAAAAAGAAAAAGAATAAGAGTTACTCTTAGCACTTTGGGAGGCCCAGATGGACAGATCACTTGAGGTCAGGAATTCAAAACCAGCTTGCACAACATAGTGAGACCCCATCTCTACAAAAATAAATGCTTAGCCAGGCATAATGGTACACGCCTGTAGTCCCAGGTACTCGGGAGGCTGAGGCAGGAGGATCGCTTGAGCCTGGGAAGTCAAGGCTGCAGTGAACTGAGATTGCACTGCTGTACTCCAGGCTGGGCAACAGAGTGAGACCCTGTCTCTTTAATAATAATAATAGTACAAAGAATGGGGGCAGAACACACTCCCATATCATTTATTTGCTTCTTCAGTATTCCCAATTACTTGGTCTAATTCTGCACAAAATCAACCTTCTACACAGCCAGTGACTTCATGTCATCATCAGAAGTTACCGAAAGTGAAGCGATAAAGTTAATGTTCAGGACAATGCAGACACGCTGTCTTCCTTCTATGGCCTTCAAGAAACCCTGGAGAGGACCAGTGAGGCTGCAGATTCTTAAAAGAGCATAGACATTAAAATTCTTGCAGAATCTGAATGTGTCTCCTGAGACAAGCATCGTGATAGAGTTCACAGTCTTAAAAGTCTGCATTTTCAGGTGGGGCAAGGTGGCTCATGCCTTTAATCCCAGCATTTTGGGAGGCTAAGGCAGGGAGATGGCTTGAGACCAGGAGTTCAAGACCAGCCTGGGCAACATAGTGAGACGCCCCCCCCCCCCATCTCTACAAAAAATTTAAAAAATTAGCCATGGTGGTGTGCACCTGTGGTCCCAGCTACTCCAGAGGCTGAGGTGGGAAGATCATTTGAGCCCAGGAGGCTGAGGCTGCAATGAGCTATAATTATTGCACCACTGAACTCCAGCCTGGGCCACATAGCAAGACCCTGTCTCCAAAAAAAAAAAGAAATAAAAGACGAAGAATAGGGAGAAAAACTTCTCTCATATCATTTATTTGGTCCTTCAGTATTTCTGATTACTTAGTCTAATTTTGCACAAAATCAACTGTATTAGTCCATTCTTGCAAAGAAATACCTGAGACTGGGTAATTTATAAAGAAAAGAGGTTGGATTGGCTCACGGTTCTGCAGGCTGCACAGGAAGCATGGCAGCATCTGCTTCTGGGGAGACCTCGGGGAGCTTTTGCTCATGGTGGAAGGCGAAGGGGGAGCAGGCGTCTTGTGGCAGGAGAAGGACCAAGAGAGGAGAGGAAGAGCCGCACACTTTTAAACAACCAGATCTCGTGAGAAGCTACTCCCTCCGCAGCACCAAGCGGGGGATGGTGCTCAACCATTCATGAGAACTCTGTCCCCATCATTCAGTCACCTCCCCCCAGGCCCCACCGCCGATTCTGAGGATGACAATTCCACATGAGATTTGGGCGGGGACACACATCCAAACTATATTGTCAACCTTCTACACAGCCAATGACTTAACAGCCTCATTAGAAGTTACAGAAACTAAAGCAATAAAGTTCGGACAATGCAGAGAGGTCACCTTCCTTCTATGGCCTTGAAGAAACCCTGGAGAGGACCAACGAGGCTGCAGATTCTTAAGAGAGTGTAGATATTAAAATCCTTGCAGAATCTGAACATATCTCCCGAGACAAGCATAGTGATAGGGCGGGATTGGTTCACAGTGTAAACCAAAAATAAATTCGAAGGCCCCCCACAACCATCTGAATGGATTCCCTCCTTTGCCAGGGCACCCTAAAATTTAACCTGAGAGACTGGTTCATGCCATAACGGGAAGAGGGGGTTGGGCTTGCCTCATTCTACCCCCCGCAGCATGAACATCCACACAGACCTTAACTCTGATAAGAAACATTTACAATCTATTTTCTCTGAAGCCTGCCACCTAGAGGCTTCATCTGCATGATAAAAGCTTGGTCTCCACAACTCCTTATCATAACCCAGACATTCCTTTCTATTGATAACTCTTTCAATCAGTTACCAATGAGAATATGTTTAAATTCCCCACTTCCAGTTGTTCCACCTTTCCAGCTCAACCAATGTACATCTTACATGTAGCGATGGATGTCTCATGTCTCCCTAAAGTATACAAAACCAAGCTTTGCCCCAGCCACGGTGGGCACATGTCATCAGGGCCTCCTGAGGCTGTGTCATTCTTAACCTTGGCAAAATAAACTTTCTAAATGGATTGAGACCCGCCTCAGATACTTTTCAGTTTACAGCAGGCTTCAAAGTCTGCATTTTCAGAGCTACAGATGACCTTGTGGTTTATATCATTTTGACTTTCAGTGCTTTCAATGACCAGTGGCCTCCAGGGATAAAGCAACTGCTTGGTTTGCAGGGCGTCCTCTGCGCTGCTGAGCCATCAGCCTCCAATACGCCAATGCCCATAGATGCTAGTTACAGCCCTGCTTCCTCCTACATAGGGTTCTGTCATCACTGAGTCTCACCATTTCCCTCTCCCCAGTGTCTTTATTATGTGACACACACACACGGCACTATGTTTAAAAAAGCGTGCTCACTGGCAACCTCTTGGCGTTGTGTGTTCATTCTGTGTTTTGTATTGGTGGTATCTTGGGGTCGACCGAAAGAGTCAAACTCCGTAAAATATTTGGAGAGATTTATTCTGAGCCAAATATGAGTGACAAGTGGCCTGTGACACAGCCCTCAGGAGGTCCTGAGAACATGTACTCAAGGTGGTCGGCATGCAGCTCAGCTTTATACATTTAGGGAGACATACGGCATCAATCAGCACGTGTAAGACGTACCTTGGTTCAGTGCAGAAAGGCAAGACCACTGAAAGGGGGGCTTCCAGGTCAAAGGCGGATTCACAGATTTTCTGATTGGCAGGTGGTTGAGTTATTATCTGAGAATCAATAGAAGGGAATGTCTGGGTTATGATAAGGGGTTGTGGAGGCCAAGGTTTCATAATGCCAAAGAAGCCTCCAGGTAGCAGGCTTCAGAGAGAATACATGGTAAATGTTTCTTATCAGACTTAAAGAGTCTGTTCTATCAGTCTTTTTTTTCTTTTTTAAACAGGGTCTCACTCTGTTGCCCAGGCTGGAGTGCATGGTGTGATCTTGACTCATTGCAGCCTTGACCTCCCAGGCTCAGGCAATCCTCCCACTTCGGCCTCCCGAGTAGCTAGGACTACATACAAGCATGTGCCACCATACCTGGCTAATTTTTGTATTTTTTGTAGAGACAGGGTTTCACCATGTTGCCCAGGCTGGTCTTGAACTCCTGAGCTCAATGGATCTTCCTGCCTCGGCCTCCCAAAGTGCTGGGATGACAGGCATGAGCCACTGTGCCTGGCCTTCTCTCAGTCATAGGTCTCTGTTTCAATGTGAATGCTGGTCAGTTGTGCCTGAATTCCAAAGGGAGGAGGGTATCATGACGCATGTCCACCACTCCCCCCGCCCCCACTACTTTCCAACATGGCCTGACCTTGTTTTTGTTTTTTGTTTCTTTTGGTTTTTTTTTTCTTTTTTTTTTTTTTTTGAGATGGAGTCTCACCCTGTCGCCCAGGCTGGAGTGCAGTGGTGCGATCTCGGCTCACTGCAAGCTCCGCCTCCTGGGTTCACACCATTCTCCTGCCTCAGCCTCCCAAGTAGCTGGGACTACAGTCTCCCGCCACCATGCCTGGCTAATTTTTTGTGTTTTTAGTAGAGACGGGGCTTCACGGTGTTAGCCAGGATGGTCTCAATCTCCTGACCTCGTAATCCACCCGCCTCAGCCTCCGAAAGTGCTGGGATTACAGGCGTGAGCCACCACACCTGGCCCTCTTTTGGGTTTTTTTTGAAACAGTCTCACTCTGTCACCCTCGCTGGAGTGCAGTAGTGTAATCTCACCTCACTGCAACCTCTGCCTCCTGGGTTCAAGCGATTCTCCTGCCTCAGCCTCCCAAGTAGCTGGGATTACAGGCGTGCACCCCCCACACCTGCCTAATTTTTGTGTTTTTGGTAGAGATGAGGTTTCACCATAATGGCCAGGCTGGTCTTGAACTCCTGGCCTCAGGTGATCCACCCACCTCAGGCTCCCAAAGTGCTGAGATTACAGGTGTGAGCCGCCAGGCCCGGCCTGACCTAGTTTTTCAGGTTAACTTTGGAATGGCCTTGGCTGAAGGGAGAGTCCATCAGTCGGTTGGGGGGCTTCGAATTTTATTGTTGGTTTGCATTGTAAACAGTCCTGTGGTATCACAGTGATTAGCTATGTCTTACACTTTGGGATCACATTGTAACCACGGCCTCCGAGTAAGTGTGGTCTCTTCTTATGACTTCCTGGCAAGAGGTGTCTCCTGCAGAAAGGAAGAAGCGCATTGAACTAGTGGATGCTGCTTTGTTTTCTTGGTCCTGAAACTTTCCATTTTCTGTAAAGGTAAGGTTCTTAATGCCATCGAAGACAATGGTTTAAAGAACTCAACATTCACGTATTTCACCTCTGACCATGGAGGACATTTAGAGGCAAGAGATGGACACAGCCAGTTAGGGGGATGGAACGGAATTTACAAAGGTGAGTTGTGGACATCGGGGACACATATGCATTCGACCAAATATCTGCCACCACTGAGGGTCCCAGAACAAGTTGAACTGAAAATGAGTTTGCTCATTTCAAAAAGAATGCATTGAGCACCTACTGTAGTACAAGTTCTACCTAGATGAGCAGGACAGGCAGATAAAAAGTCACATCCCCTTCCTTTAAAGGGTTTACATTTTAGTAGAATACAGAGAGGTATAAATAAATAATTCAGATAAAATTAAAATTTATTTTATTATAGTCTTAATTTTTAAATATTTAATAAATTTATTACTATTTTAATATTTTAAATGCATCAATTAATATTGATGCATAATAATACATATTTTAAAAATTATTGATAGTTAACAAACATTTTTAAATTATTAAATTTAATGAATATTTTAATACATTATTTTATTCTAAATAAAGGTAGCATAGATCGACTAGAACAGTTGAATCAGCCACAGCGACCCACCGATATTCAAGAGGCCAGGGAGTAGCATGATTCTGGAAATATTGCTGTGGCTGTTTTTGGGAAGCTGAGGCTGCCCCAGTGTGCATGTGTGCATCCGGGTGGCTGTGCGTATTCACATACCTATGCACAAATACATCCAGATGTGTGTACAGACTGGGCAGTTTCCGGCAAAATCCTAACGATGTCTTCTACTTACAGGTGGGAAGGGCATGGGAGGATGGGAAGGTGGGATCCGCGTGCCCGGGATCTTCCACTGGCCGGGGGTGCTCCCGGCCGGCCGAGTGATTGGAGAGCCCACGAGCCTGATGGACGTGTTCCCTACTGTGGTCCAGCTGGTGGGTGGCGAGGTGCCCCAGGACAGGTACGTGGAGATAAGGCTGCCTGTTCCCTGATTTTTTTTAATTGTTTTTAGTTTTTTTTTTTTATTTCAATAGGATTTTGGGGAACAGGTGGTATTTGGTTACATAAATAAGCTTTTTTTTTTTTTTTTTTTTGAGACAGAGTCTCACACTCTTGCCCAGGCTGGAGTGCAATGGCATGATCTCGGCTCACTGCAGCCTCCGCCTCCTGGGTTCAAGCAATTCTCCTGTCTCAGCCTCCCGAGTAGCTGGGATTACAGGCATGCGCCACCATCTCCTTTACCCATGTGGCCATGTGTCTTGGGGTCTGTTATGATTAAAAAGTAAGGACAGGTCGGATGCAATGGCTCATGCCGATAATCCTAGCACTTTGGGAGGCTAGATGGGCGGATCCCCTTAGGTCAGGAATTCGAGACCAGCCTGGCCAACGTGGTGAAACCCCATCTCTACAAAAAATACAAAAATTGGCCGAGTGTGGTGGCTTGTGCCTGTAGTCCCAGCTACTCAGGGGGCTGAGGCATGAGAATCACTTGACCAGGAGGCAGAGGTTGCAATGAGCTGAGATTGTGCCACTGCACTGCAGCCTGGGTGACAGAGCAAGACTCTGCCTCATAAAAAAAAAAAAGTAAGAAAAGCCAACCTAGGAATGTGGGCTGTCCAGCTGGAATTTGAAGGCTTTGTGTTGACCTCCAAGGTGACAGTGCTGTGTGTTGGGGTGTGTGTGTGTGTGTGTGTGTGCACTCTGCTTATGCAGTGCTGCATAACAAATGACCCCAACACTTAGAGACACTGTGTCTTGAAATAACCACATGTATCCTGCTCAGCAACCTGTAATCTGAACAGCGACTGGAGAGACAGCTCATCTCTGCTCCATTTGCTGGGGAGCCTTGCATTCTGGGAGATGTGTTCCCAGGTGCAAAAGGCTGCCTGGGAACCCGTGGTCTGACTCTGCTCTGTGTTCTCTTCATGAAATCAGGGTGATTGATGGCCACAGCCTGGTACCCTTGCTGCAGGGAGCTGAGGCACGCTCGGCACATGAGTTCCTGTTTCATTACTGTGGGCAGCATCTTCACGCAGCACGCTGGCACCAGAAGGACAGTGAGTACCTGCTGCCCACAGCCAGGGTTGTCCAGAGAAACAGCCAATAGGATGTGTGGATATGTGGATGGATGGATGGATGGATGGATGAATGGATGGATGGATGGATGGGTGGATGGACAGATAGCTATAGAAATAGAGATAGATAAACCGATGAGTAGATTATAGATAGATGATGGGGGGGGGAGAGAGAGAGAGAGAGAGATGATAGAGACATAATGGATAGATGATGGATAGATAGATAGATGAGATGGATGATGGATAGATAAGATAGATAATGGATAGATAAGATAGATGATGGATGGATAGATGATAGATAATGGATAGATGATGGATAGATATTTAAGATACATGATGGATGGATAAATATATAGATATGTAGGATAGATGATAGATAAGATACATGATTGATGGATAGATAAGATAGATGATAGATATATAAGATAGATGATGGATAGATAAGATAGATGATAGATAGATAGATAGATAAAAAGTAGAATCAGTTCATGGATGGATGAATAGATGGATGGACAGATAGATGGATGAAAGGTAGATAAACAGAGATAGATGATAGGTAGGTAGATAGATGATCGATAGATAAATAGATAATGGTAGATAGATGAGATCGATGGGTAAGATAAATGGATGGATTGATAGATAAATAGATAAATAGGTAGCGATAGATAGATAAGTACCCAATCATGCTGTTTAAAATATCATGGTTGTTTCTGTGTAGAAAGGTAGTAGATCGACGCTGAACAGTTTCAACACAGGGGAAAGGGGAAGAATTAAGGAACCTCTATGATTCTGATTTCTGAAAGCAGCCACAGTGAGCGCTCTGCAATGAGTCCCTTTGCCTGGGGCATGCAATGCAGAGACACAAACGGACACACATGGGCGCACGCGCGCACACACACATGCTCTGACTTTGCAAGCTGAAGGCTGTGATTGTGTGGACTGCCTCGTGTCCCTCCTCCTTTTCACTGAATAGGGAGGTTCATGCTGATACCACAGGGCCGACACCTGCGTTCTGCGTTCACACCTGCGTGGATTTCTGCCACCCTGACTCCCTTCTTGTCTGCATCCAGGTGGAAGCGTCTGGAAGGTTCATTACACGACCCCGCAGTTCCACCCCGAGGGAGCGGGGGCCTGCTACGGCCGAGGCGTCTGCCCATGCTCCGGGGAGGGCGTGACCCATCACAGACCCCCTTTGCTCTTTGACCTCTCCAGGGACCCCTCCGAGGCACGGCCCCTGACCCCCGACTCCGAGCCCCTGTACCACGCCGTGATAGCAAGGGTAGGTGCCGCGGTGTCGGAGCATCGGCAGACCCTGAGTCCTGTGCCCCAGCAGTTTTCCATGAGCAACATCCTGTGGAAGCCGTGGCTGCAGCCGTGCTGCGGACATTTCCCGTTCTGTTCATGCCACGAGGATGGGGATGGCACCCCCTGAATGCCAGGACTGTGAGAGAGGATCCAGGAGAGCCTGACTGCGTTGCAAACAAAATTCTCCAAGCTTGGTTCTATCTTCAGCTTCCCTTTTTGCAAGGAACATGCCCTGGACTGAGAGTGGGTCCCCACTTTCTTTCTTTCTTTCTTTCTTTTTTGAGACAGAGTGTCGCTCTGTCCCTCAGGCTGGAATGCAATGGCACGATCTCTGCTCACTGCAACCTCCGCCTCCCGGGTTCAAGCGATTTTCCTGCCTCAGCCTCCTGAGTACCCAGGATTACAGGCACCAGGCACCTGCCACCATGCCTAGCTAATTTTTGTAGTTTTAGTAGAGACAGGGTTTCACCATGTTGCCCAGGCTGGTCTCGCACTCCTGACCTCAAGTCATCCACCTGCCTCAGCCTCCCAAAGTGCTGGGATTACAGGCACGAGCCACTGCGCCCATGTAGGGTTTCCCTTTCCTGATTTGTGAAATAAGACTGTCCCAGTAGGCACCCACTGATGCCTCCTCTTCCTCTTCTAAATCTCAGGGTTCGTCATTGTGCCAATGCCCGATGTTTTCACCCCTCCGTCTTAAAGCATTGTTGCAATTTCATCACCTAGATGACATAACAGCCTTACAAAAGGACAGGGAGGAGTGTCTGTTCCTACTCTCACATAGCGGAGGAAAGTTAGAGCCTCTCAGTCTCTGTTTATGAGGACTCATTAATCTCAAATAATTGATGCATTTTTCATACATTAGGGTCTCTGTCCATGTGTCTTCCTGATATTGTTATAGAAATGGCTTCAGGCTGCTGGTAACAGATGCTGCGGAAAAAGAATGCCTTAAACAAAGCCAGGCACGGTGACTCACACCTGTAATCCCAGCACTTTGGGAGGCTAAGGTGGGAGGATCACTTGAGCCTAGGAGTTAGACACCTACCCAGCCTGAGCAACACAGTGAGACCTCATCTCTACAAAAAACAAATAATTAGCTAGATGTCGTGGCGCACAGCTGTAGTCTCAGCTACTTAGGAGGCTGAGGCGGGAGGATTATTTGAGCCTGGGAGGTCAAAACTGCAATGAGCTAAGATTGCACTACTGCACTCCGGGCTGGGAGACAGAGTAAGACCCTGCCTTAAAAAAAAAAAAAAAAAAATGCCTTAAAGAAAATAATAAGAGAAGGGTGTGTTCTCTTCCAAGTAATGAGCCGATCAAGGGGAAGCAACCCAAGGCTAGCAGGCTCTTTTCAATTCCCAGCTCTGCCACTCTTAGCATGGCAGAGAGTTGGCCTCATTATGCCAGTATGGCTGCCACAGTGTCAGACATCACATTCCAGGCAGTGGAAAGGAGAAAGAACCAAAGGGCATCCCTTTCTCTTGAAGCAGTCCCTGTGAGGGGGGATTATCTGGAAGCCCCAACCCAATTTCTGCTTCCAACCATTATCCATAGAAACAACTGGAAGTTGAGAAGTGCAGTCTTTTAGGTGGGCACCTGGCTGCCCTGTATGAAACCAGAATTAGGTTGGTCAGCAGGAAAACAAGAAAACACTTACTGTGTTGACTGAGGTTTTTGACGCATCGCTTTATTGTCAAATTAAACAACTCTATCTCATTCTGCACTGAAACACGTACTACCATTGCCTATAATTGGAAAATGATCCTCAGAGGCACAGAAGATGCCCTGATGGAAAGTTTGCCCCTTGGGCAAAGAGACAGCCATGGGAACCTTCAGACATAGAGAGAGAAGGTGGCTTTTCTCCCTACATTCCTCAAATAGCTAAGATTTGGCCAGTGTGTTTTCTAAGTCAATTCTAGTGTGTTTCATCCTCACCTCTTCCCTCTGTGGCTTTGATGATGGAAGTGTAGTCCTAACCTACTGCACAGCTGGGACCCCCTGCCCCTAGATCCCAATACTGGGGATGGGAGGACCTTGCACTATTCCCCTCAGTCCATCTATCGAGGTCTTTGCAGGAAGCATACTGGGAATTGAAACGAGAGCCTAAATGACATCTAAGAAAGGCAGTGTTCAATACCAGGTATTAGGTGAGGATGGGATTCTAAGGACATCAGTGGGAGGCAGGGAGCCACCTTCAGACCTCAGCATGGAAGCTTCCAAGATCCAGAGGAAGAGGCAACAGCACTGAGAGTCATAGGTAGAAGAATCATCACAGCCCTGCTAACCAGGCAGCTGATGCCCCTCTCCCCTGGCTCCCTGTGTCCAAATCCTACAGGGGCATCTGTTGGCTGAACTCAACCTGAAGCCAAAGAGAAGATGAGTGGAGAGAGGCAACATTTATAGAGCTCAGGTTTCTAGGGCTGGAGAGGGATCTGGAGGGACACACAGGAGACACCTGGCATAACCAAAAAATGATTAAAAAAAAAAAAAAAAAGAAACATCTATGGAGCATGGGACACGGGGAGTGGAGGCAGCTAAAAGCCATCTCATCTTTCACCGTATTCAACAAGCCCATTATAACAAGTCTTTCACGCTCAACCATTCAAACAATCCCAACAATCCCAGCCTAAGAATTTCCTGGCATTTGATGAAAATGGCTGTGGGTTTTGCTATCTTTAAGCTCCCTGGGAAGCAGGATATAAGCCCAGGGCTGGCAGGCTCTTTCTAGCTACCTGCTCTTGCACATAGAGTTTGCCTCATGGTTGCAAGAAGGCTGCCATAGCTCCAGATGGCACATAGACATTCCAGGCAGCAGGAAAAAGGAAGGAGCACTTAACCGAAGGAGGTCAGGGAGTTGGTTAGTCTCCACCTGAAGAAGAGAGCCATGAACCAGCTTCAGTTGACTAACGGGCTCCTGTGAGTGCATCTTTGGACTTTTCTGGAGGTTGAAATCTAGATGTGGTATGTGTCTTAAAGCAGCCACCAACTCCTCCCATTACCTTCCAAGTGAGCCCAACTACACGATGGAGCCTCTTCCCTGCCCTTGGATCTGGGCTGAGCCTCTGACTTGCGTTGACCAACAGAATGCAGTGAAAGTGATGCCGATACTACCCTCCCTGCCCTAGACTTGGGATACCTGGCAGCTATATTCTTCCATTCCTCAGGACTTGCAAAAACGGGTCTCAGCATGCCTTCCCAGAGCCATGAGGTGTTTCTTTGCCCATTCATTGATCTGAGAAGTGAGTGTAAGGAGTTTAAATCAACCTCTGTTCTGTGCTAGTTAAGGTAATAAAGTTGCTGCAGTCCAGGGGGTAGGTACCTGTGGACGGCTCTGCGAATAGGACAGTTGCATTTCTTGGGAATCAAGTGCATCCCTAGGCTGGCAGTGCAGCAGAAATACTGAATAAAATGTGACAAATCTCCCTGGATGGTGTCATTTGTTTGTTTTTATTTCCCATCCTCAATCCTACTTTTCCACCTCCACCCCTTCACCCCCCAGCTTTGAAGGAACTCACCTGGCATTGCTATTCACTATTCATGGAGAGAGGACTAAACAATCCAAACTCCCCCGTTCTGAAAAACTTAAGTCACAGTCACAAGTGTACTCCTGTGCTTTTAGGGTTATACAGGGGAGAGAGGGCGACTGGGAATAAGAACGCCTTAAACAAGAGAAAGATGTGTTCTCTCCCAGGTAATGGGGGTCACAGAGGAAGCAATCCAGGGCTGACAGGTTCTTTCCAGCTTCCTGCTCTTGCACATAGGGTTTGCCTCATGGTCACAAGATGGCTGCCATAGCTCCAGGCAGCATGTAGACATTCCAGGCAGCAAAAAGGAGGAAGGTGCAGTTAACTGAAGGATGTCAGGGAGCTGGTTAGTCTCCACCTAAAGGGGGCAGCCTTGAGCCAGCTTCAGTTGACTAACTTGGGCTGCTGTTGGTGTATCTTTGGACTTTTCTGTAGGTTGAAGTCTAGATGTGGTACATGTCTTACAGCTGCCAAGTCCTCCCATTACCTTCCAAATGAGCCCAGCTACAAGTTGGAGCCTTTTTCCTCCCCTTGGATCTAGGATGAGCCTCTGATTTGCATAGACCAACAGAATGCCGCAGAAGTGATGCTGATACTATCCTTCCTGCCCTAGACTTAGGAGACCTGGCAGCTTCTGACTTCTCTCTTATGGACTCAAGAGCCCCCATGTAAATAAAAAGTTCATCTGCCCTTCTGGAGAGAACAGATGGAGAGAAAGAGAATGAGAGAGAGAGAGATTGAGAGAAAAAGAAGAAGGAGAAGGGAAAGAGGAGGAGAAGAAAGAGAGAGAGAGAGGACCTGAGGTTAAAAGACCATTAAAGGAGTGTATGAGTTTGCTATTGGTGCTGTAACAAAATGTCACAAACTTAATTGCTTAAAATAACACAATTTTTCTTATAGTTCTGGTAATCAGAAGTCGAAAAATCAAGGTGTCAGCAGGCTGGTTCCTTCTGGAGGTTCCAAAAGAAAATCCATTTCCTTGAGATTTCCCTCTTCTAGAGGCTGTGGTATTCCTTGGCTTATGGCTTCTTCCTCCATCTTCAAAGCCAGCAGCACAGTATCCTCCAGTCTCTCTCTCTCTCTCTCTGACCTCTGCTTCCCTCTTCACATCTCCTTCTCTGACTTTGACACTCCTACCTCCCTCTTATAAGGACTCTTGTGATTACTTAGAACCCATCAGGATAATCCAGGATCATCTCATCTCAGGATTCTTAACTCATTATAGCCGCAAAGTCCCTTTTGCCATGTTAGCTAACATTTACCGTTTCTAATGTTTAGGACATTATGGAACTACAATTCAAGATGAGATTTGGGTGGAGACACAGCCAAACGATATCACCCATCTTGGTACCAATCATTATGGCTGAAGGACTTGGCCGTTCCTGGATTAAATGTCCACCCATGGTTGGAATGGGATCTCCACCCTAGAATCCCATCCTAATCTAATCACATGGAGTTGCCATGGCTGTTCCAGAGAAAAGGACGTGTCCAACAGACCAAAGGCAATCCATGGCCACAATTAGAACCGAGCCCTGCCAATGGCTTAATAATGATCCCTCATGCTGTTCAAGATACAGACATCAGAATCCCTGGAGTCTATGAATATGTCTGAATTAGTTTTCTGTGGCTGCTATAACAAGTTACCACAAACCAGGGGCTTAAACAACAGATACTTATCCTTACCCAGTCCTGGAGTCCAGGAGGCTGAGATCAAGGTGTCTCAGGGCTGTACTCCCTCAGGAGGCTATAGGGGAGGATCCTTCCTGCCTCTTCCAGACCTTGGCAACTCCAGGTGCTCCTGGGTTTTTGGTTGTATCACTCCAGTCTCTGCCCCATGGTTTCATGGTGTTCTCCTCTGTGTGTGTCTGTGTCCAAATTTCCTCTTTTCATAAAGACACCAGTCATGGGATTACAGCCTATCCTCCTGCAGGATGACCTCATCTAAACTAATGACATCTGTAAACACTGCATTTCCAAATAAGGTCACATTCACAGATGGAGAGGGGATAGATCTTCCACATATGAATTGTGGGGGAAGAAACACCAGTCAACCCTTAACCACCTTGTATAATGTCACCTTGTATATTAGTCTATTTTCACACTGCTGATAAAGACATACCCAAGCCTGGGCAATATACAAAAGAAAGAAGTTTAATGGACTTACAGTTCCACATGGCTGGGGAAGCCTCAATCATGGTGGAAGGCAAGGGGGGGCAAGTCATATCTTACAAGGATGGTGGCAGGCAAAGAGAAAAGAGCTTGCGCAAAATCATCAGATCTCGTGAGACTTATTCACTGTCACGAGAACAGCATGAGAAAGACTTATTCACTATCACGAGATCAGCATATCACGAAAGACTTATTCACTATCACGAGAACAGCATGAGAAAGACGTGAGACTTATTCACTGTCACGAGAACAGCATGAGAAAGACCTGCCTCCATGATTTAATTACCTCCCACCGGGTCCCTCCCACAACACTTAGGAATTCAAGATAGATTTGGATGGGGACACGGCCAAACCATATCACACTGCATGGCAAAACAGACTTCTCAGATTTCATGAAATTAAGTGTCTTAATATGGGGAGGTGATTCTGGATTATTTGGGTGGGCCTAATGTAATCATAAAGTCATTTTTTGTTATCTGAACAGTTGGTTCTGAGGGTTTTTTGTTTGTTTCTTTTGTTTTGTTTTGAGACAGGGTCTTGCTCTGTTGCCCAGGCTAAAGTGCAGTGGCACCATCACAGCTCATTGCAGTCTCAACTACCTGGGCTCAAGCAATCCTCCCACCTCAGCCTCCCAACTAGGTGGGACCACAGGCATGTGTCACCACTTCCAGCTAATTTTCTAAAATTTGTGTAGAGACTGGGTTTTGCTATGTTGCCCAGGCTGTTCTCAAATTCCTGGGCTCAAGCAATCCTCCCACCTCAGCCTCCCAAGCTCCCTTGGGACCACAAGCGCACACCAACACACCCAGCTAATTTTTGTATTTTTCATAGAGATGGGGTCTCACTATGCTGCCCTAGCTGGTCTCAAACTCCTGGCTTCAAGCAGTCCTCGCATTTGGCCTCCTAAAGTGCTAGGATTACAGGTTTGAGCCACTGTGCCAGGCAATTTTTAAAACTTTTAACTTTTATGAATATATCAGAACTGCACAGATCTATGGGATTGGTGTGATATTTTTGATACAAGCATACAATGTGTAGGCATCCAATCTGGGTAACTGGGCTATCCGTTACCTCAAATATTTATCATTTATTTGTGTTGGGAACATTTCTAAATATACTCTTCTAGTTATTTTGAAATATACAATTGGCCAGGCACAGTGGCTTATGCCTGTAATCCCAGCATTTTGGGAGACCAAGGTGGGCGGATCACCTGAGGCCAGGAGTTCCACAGTGGCCAACATGGTGAAACCCCGTCTCTACTGAAAATACAAAAATTAGCCGAGCATGGTGGCGGGCGCCTATAATCCCAGCTACTCAGAAGGCTGAAGTGGGAGAATTGCTTGAACCTGGGAGGTGAAGGTTGCAGTAAGCTGAGATGGCACCATTGCACTCCAGCCTGGGTGACAGAGCAAGACTCTACCTCAAAAAAAAAAAAAAAAAAAAAAAAAAAAACCCAATAAATTATTGTCAAAAAAGCAAATGTTTGACTGGGCACAGTGTCTCACGCCAGTAATCCCAGCACTTTGGGAGGCCAGAGCGGGTGGATTACTTGAGGCCAGGAGTTCAAGACCAGCCTGGCTAACATGGTGAAACCCTGTCTCTACTAAAAATACAAAAATTAGCTGGGTGTGGTGGTGCACACCTGTAGTCCCAGCTACTTGGGAGGCAGAGGCAGGAGAATCACTTGAACCAGGAGGCGGAGGTTGCAGTGAGCCGAGATCATGCCACTCCAGCCTGGGCGACAAGAGCAAGACTGTGTCTCAAAAAAACACAAAAACAAAAACAAAAAACAAACAATCTGCAAACATTTTAAAAGGAAGAAAGCCTTGAGGTTAAAGGTCATCTCCAGGCTGAATACCTCACCCTCTGTCCTTGGCCTCCACGTCACCCCATGCCACTATCATGCTATCCATTAAAAAAAAAAAAAAAAAAAAATCACATTCCCTTAGACCATCGTGAGAACCTGGAACAGAAGGATGACATGTTTTCTTCTTTGTTTTCAGAAACCATAGCACATTCCCCACCCAGAGAACATGCTCAAAAGGAAAAAAAAGAAGATTCAGAAGTGTTCATCTTCTTTTTTATATTTTTTTAAATTTAAAAACCTCAACTTTCCTCCATACCTGTAAGACCTATGACATGAGCAGACATGCTTTAAAGGTAGAGGTTCTGGCTGGCTTAGAAGCACCCAGGATTTCTGCAGAAAACCTCACTGGGGCTTTTAAAAAATACATTCTTTAAAACTTTCTTGTATGGCTCTTTGCTTTTGTTTTTTATTTTGTTTTGTTTTGTTTTTGGAGACAGGGTTCCGCTCTGTTGCCCAGGCTGGGGTGCTGTGGTACAATCACAGCTCACTGCAGCCTCCAACTCCCAGGCTTAAGCGATCCTCCAGCCTTAACCTCCAGAGTAGCTGAGGCAAGAGACGCAAGCCACCATGCCCGACTAATTTTTCTTTTATGTATAGAGATGGGGTCTCCTATGTCGCCCAGGCTGGTCTCCAACACCTGGGCACAAGCAATCCTCCACTTTGGCCTCCCAAAGTGCTGGGATTATGGCTCCTTGAGAGTTAGGTTCCCTTTGAGTCAAACTGTGGCAGGCCAGGCTTCCATTAGCAGCCGGAGCAACCAGTTTTTCCACTAACGCTTTATTATAATTCTGATGATGCACAAGTTAAACACGTCATACCAGGGCTCACTGAAGATTAAGCGTCTAGAGAAAACTTCCCAGACCCCAGACCCTAGTTAAAGATTAGACAGGAACCGAATGAAATACTCCCGCTCGTAGGTGCAATCCTACACGTGGGCATAGAGCTTAAAATGCATAGAAACCCTGGAAAAAACTTGTCACTTTGAGCTGACCTGGTGAGTTAATCTGACCTTCTCCCTGTAACCCGTTGGAGAAATAAATCCCCTTCTCCCCAGTCTGTCTGCACCTCATTGTTGAGCCCCAAGAACAAGCAGCCAGCACTCGTTCATTCGTCCGGGAGCAAAACCTTTGTTAAAGAAAAAACTATTCAGTGATACTAGGTTGGTAATTGCAGTTATTACTTTTGCACGAACCTCGTACTTGGGAAAGCATCACCAAAAAGATAACGAAGACATTATCCAGGCTTATCGTGTGAAGTACAGGGACCACTGCAATGGCGGTTCACAGTGCAGGAGAGGCTGGGCTCAGCTTCCAATATGAACACAGCAAGGGCAAGTGGGAATGTACAGCCACGGGGGCAGGCAGCGGGTGTACAGATGGCAAAGCACTAAAAGGAAACATCAGAGGTGAAGCGGGTCCTGGCTAAACCAACCTGGCTTGTTAAAGCCAGCCAAGGGGGTTAAACATCAACCAGGGGTGGTGGACGACGAGGAACATGATATCAAGAATGGTGGCTTCTCGCCAAACTGACTTAGCCGGTACTTTGCTGAAATCTAATTCTATAAGGAAACGCACCACCGGGCCTGGGAGGGGCTTCAGGAGCCTGGCTACGGTTTGGCCAGGCAGAGACTTTTTGTCACATCTCCTTCTCACCTAAAGGTGTCCGCGGTGAATTCTTGCATCATTTCCTTTTCATGCATTTCCCCAGTCATGTGTTGCAAACCTAACCCTGAAAATACCAAGTATGCAGCCGGTCTGTGAGCTGAGGGAATATGCAGAGACCTGCAGAGAAGCAGCATTGTCTGCAGATTTAAAGAGGAAGGAAGCAGGACTCGGATAAGGAGGGGGCCAGCCAGAGGGGTGGAGGAGAGCTGACTTACAGCTGCCCTGCAGAGGGCCTACCTTTATCTTGGGGGATGCCTTCAAGTCCGGTCTTTGACTCTTGTTCAAGATAAGGGCTGGGATTTATGACGCGCTAGTTACAGTTCAAACCTCCCCCCTGACCCCAGAGTCTGTTTCTTTACTTAAGGTTTGCACATTTGCAAGTGGCCTAACCAGTTAGACAGCCTGGATGCACTGAATGAGCGGAGTGGCAACCGCCTCCCCTACCTCCTCAAATGTCTGGTTTGAGGCCCCCTGAAACCAAGATTCCTCTCACTGTCCTTCGTGTGCCAACCATGAGACAGAACAAATGAGACCCTGGGAAGCTCCTGCCCGGGATGTCTCCGAAGCTCCAACGCTGGCTGCATGCTCTTTCTCTCCTCGCACTCTCTCACAATCTTACACGAAATGAGCATGCTGTGTGGGGGCTGGGAAGTCCACTCAAATATCCAAACTAGAAACTGGCCGAGTGCAGTGGCTCATGCTTATCATCCCAGCACTTTGGGACACCGAGGTGGAAGGATCACTCAAGCCCAGGAGTGCGAGACGAGCCTGGCCAACACAGTGGGACCCCGTCTGTACAAAAAATATAAAATCAGGCAAGCGTGGTGGTGCACACCTGTGGTCTCAGCTACTTGGAAGGCTGAGGTGGGAGGATCTCTAGAGCCTGGGACGTCAAGGCTGCAGTGAGCTGTGATTGCACCACTGTACTCCAGCCTGGGTGACAGTCTCAAAAAAAAAAAAAAAAAAGAAAAGAAAAGAAAAACTTTGCGGGAAATTTTTCATATATTGACCTATTAGAAATCCAACTTCATGTTCCGTGAATGGAAAACCCTGCACCAAAATTAACTCAAAGTGGATCAGAGACCCAAATGTAAGTGCGATCTCTATAACATGTGCAGAAGAAAACAGAGGAGAAAGTCTTTTTCGTTTTGGGTTAGGAAAATAAGACACCAAAAGCGCGACCCATTAAAAAAATAAATAAATAAATAAATAAACTTGATTGAGTTTACCAAATTTCGGCTGGGTGTGGGGTGACTCATGCCTGTAATCCCAGCACTTTGGCAGGCTGAGGCAGGCAGATCACGAGGTCAAGAGATAGAGACCAGCCTGGCCAACATGGTGAAACCCCGTCTCTACTAAAAATACAAAAATTAGCTGAGCGTGGTGGCACGTGCTTGTGCTACTCGGGAGGCTGAGGCAGGAGAATCGCTTGAACCCGGGAGGGGGAGGTTGCAGGGAGCCAAGATCGGACCACGGCACTCCAGCCTGGCGACAGAGCAAGGCTCCATCTCAAACAAACAAAACAAAACAAAACAAAAATTTCTTTTTTTTTTTTTTTTTGAGATGGAGTTTTGTTCACTCTTGTCGCCCAGGCTGGAGTACAGTGGCATGATCTCGGCTCCCTGCAACTTCCACCTCGTGGGTTCAAGCAATTCTCCTGCCTCAGCCTCCTGAGTAGCTGGGGTTACAGGCATGAGCCACCACACCCAGCTAATTTTTGTATTTTTAGTAGAGACGGGGTTTCACCATGTTGGCCAGGCTGGTCTCGAACTCCTGACCTCAGGTGATCAACCTGCCTCAGTCCCCAAAAGTGCTGGGATTACAGGCGTGAGCCACCATGTCTGGCCTAAATTTCTCTTTTCAAAGGGGAAATTTGTACTTTATTTTTAGCTGTCGAGGAGCAAGTAAAGAGCTCCTCTTGTATTAGCTGGTTCTCAGTGTTTCAGCTCAAAGTAATGGGTATGTTGGGCTGGTATATTCTGGTTGCCAGCAGTCATGTTTGGGGACGTGTATCCTGAGGTCTGACACTATAAAGCCTCCTCTACTTGTCTTTCGGTCCCTGCCAAAATGCAAAGGGTGATGTCTGACTCCCTTACTAGGGCTAGCTCTGAATAAGTGGCCTCTGCTCATTTTCATTTGGGACGAAAACATTTGGGATGGGGGACGTCTCATTTATTTCCACTTGTTCTATTTATTTATTTATTTTGAGACAGAGTCTCGCTCTGTTGCCCAGGCTGGAGTGGAGTGGGGTGATCTCAGCTCACTGCAACCTCCACCTCCCGGGTTCAAGCAATTCTCCTGCCTCACTCAGCCTCCCGAGCAGCTGGGATTACAGGCATGCGCCACCATGCCTGGCCAATATTCTGTGTGTATTTTTGGTAGAGACGGGGTTTCACCATGTTGGCCAGGCTGGTCTCAAACTCCTGACCTCAGGTGATTTGCCCACCTCAGCCCTGCAAAGTGCTGGGATTACAGGCATGAGCCACACACTTGGCTTTTTTTTTTTTTTTTTTTTTTTTTTTTTTTTTTTTTTTTTTTTGACACAGGGTCTGGCTCTGTCACCCAGGCTGGAGTACAGTGGCACAATCTTGCTCACTGCAACCTCTGCCTCCCAAGCTCTAGTGATACTCCCACCTCAGCCTCCCAAATAGCTGGGACCACAGGCGTGCACCACCACGCCCATCTAATTTTTGTATATTTTATACAGAGGAGGTTTTGTCGTGTTGCCCATGCTAGTCTCGAGCTCCTGGACTTAAGCAATCTGCCCACCTCGGCCTCTCAAATTGCTGGGATTACAGGCATGAGCCACTGTGCCTGGCCAATTTTCACCTGTTCTAAAGCAGCTGCTTAGAGGGCATGAGCTTGCAAAGACACAGCCCCTGAGCAGACTTCTCTATATGCACATAAGAAACAGCTAATGCACTGCCATCCCAATCCACAGCCAGACCTCGTATAATGGATAATCACCCTTCTCCCTGTGCCAGGATGTGGCCTCAGGGTAAAAATAATGAGTACAGCTGTGACATTTATTGAGTCCTTGACATGAGCCAGGCCTTGCTCTCCGTGCTTTGCAGATCACAGCTTCTACAATCTTCACAGCAATCGTGGCTCTTTCGCAACTGCAACTCCGTATCTTGGGGCATTTTGCCAATTTAGCCATTAGTCTATGAACAAAGCCACATTCTGATCAGGCTGAAGAATCAGGAAGGGAGAATGTGGCGGTGGGCTTTGTTCTGTATGTCACACAGCAATCTCGCTCTTTTACGGACATCACCTCACGTGGCTATGGCTCTTCTACTTCCCTACAGGGGACAAGGTGGGATAGTAGATCAAGGTGTTCTGCTCTCCCCGATCCAAGCCAAGGAGGAGCCAGGGTCTCAGGCTTGGATTCTCCCACGTTCACCCTGAGCATCTCACAACAGTAATCCCATAAAGCCACCGCTGCATGCTGTCCACAGGCTGTTCTTGATTTCGCCATTTTATAACACTAGCTCTTCTACGTTCCTTACTCTTCGAATGACCCCACACACTCACCATGCCTGGATGGTGTTGTTTAAGCAATCCAGGTTCATTTATGTTGCTTGTGAGGGGTTTCAGGACGTGCCGCCCCAAAACATGGCCCCTTGGCATTGGAGAAAACAGCAGAAGCGGGATGGTCTCTCTGACCTTCCTCTCATCTTTCTCTCCTGAAGCAGGTCAAACCACCCTCATTTGAAAGGTGCCTTAATACCCAGAGGAAAGAAACATCCTTAATTTCTTTTTAAAAAATTTTTAAATTGTTTTGTTTCCATAGGTTTTTGGGAAACAGGTGGTATTTGGTTACATGAGTCAGTTCTTTAGTGACAATTTGTGAGATTTTGGTGCACCCATCACCTGAACAGTATACACTGAACCCAATGTGTGTGGTCTTCTATCCCTCACCCCCTTCCAGCTCTTCTCCACAAGACCCCAAAGTCCATTGTGTCATTCTTACACCTTTGCATCCTCATAGCTTAGCTCTCACTTATGAGTGAGAACACACAATGTTTGGTTTTCCATTCCTGAGTTACTTCACTTAGAATAATGGTCTCCAATTCCATCCAGGTTGCTGTGAATGCCATTCATTCATTCCTTTTTATGGCTGAGTAGTATTCTATCATCTATATATATATACACACACACACACACACACACACACATATACACATATATGTGTGTGTGTATATATATATATATATATATATATAGATGATAGAATACTACTCAGCCATAAAAAGGAATGAATATATGTGTGTGTGTGTATATATATACATATATATGGGTGTGTGTGTATATATATATACATATATGTGTGTATATATATATATACACATATATGTGTGTGTGTGTATATATATATGTATCACAGTTTTTTTAATCCACTCATTGATTGATGGGCATTTGGGCTGGATCCACATTTTTGCAATTGTGAATTGTGCTGCTATAAACATGCATGTGCAAGTATCTTATCTTTTTCAAATAATAACTTCTTTTCCTCGGAGTAGGTACCCAGTAATGGGATTGCTGGATCAAATGGTAGGGAACATCCTTATTTCTGAAGATACAGGGATGCAGAAGAATCTGAACTATTAAATCAAACTAAAATCTGGCCTGAGAATGTCTCTGTACTCTCATACTTGAGTCCTTGTGGGTGAACCGTAACCTAACTTGGCAGGTAGGCGGGCGGACTGAAAAGCTAAGGTATTAGTCTGTTCCTGCGCTGCTGTAAAGAACTACCTGAGCCTGGATAATTTAGAAAGAAAGGAGGTTCAATTGGCTCATGGTTCCGCGGGCTGTATAGAGATCATGGCTGGGGAGGCCTCAGGAAACTTACAGTCATGGCAGAAGGCAAAGGGGAAGTAAGCGTGTCTTACCATGCCTGGAGCAGGACCGAGACAGAGTGGGGAGGTGTCACACACTTTTAAACAACCCGATCTCGTGAGAACTCTAAACCATTAGAAACCGCTGCCCCCATGATCCGGTCATCTCCCACCAGGCCCCACCTTCAACACTGGAGATTTGTGTGAGAACACACATCCAAACCATATCACCTAACTTAAGAGTATGCTTCTGTAACAAGCGACATCTCCACCAATCCCAGCAGCCATACTTCAACCACTCACAGGGAGCCAACTGTTCTAACCATGTTCAAATAAGGCAAACGCTGAGCTGTAACCAGTGGAATGTTTCTGTGTGTCTCTTTCATTTTCATTTTCTTTCTTTCTTTCTTTTTGATTAAACCTCTTTCTCTTCTGCAGCCCTGAGAGTTGGGGTACAGACATGCTGCATGCAACGAACCTATTATGGTTACAGTTTAGCCTGGACCAGGCAACAGAAGTGGGTCCTCAGAAGACACTGAATCTGCCATTCCTTGACCTTGGACTTCAGCCTCCAGAACTGTGAGCCACAAATGCTGGTTGGGGTAAGCCGTGTAGTCTATGGTGTTTTCTTATGGCAGCTTAAATTGACTAAGACAGCTGGGGAGCAATTTGGCAGGTAGTCTCTGAGGAATGGCTATTACCCGTGATGTCCCATCAACATCTTTGCCTGAATTGGTCCAGGTTTACGTGATTTCCATCCATCACAATGGCTCACCTTTTTAATTTTATTTTATTCATTATTTTATTTTTAATTTAATTTAATTTTATATTTTGAGGCGGAGTCTTGCTCTGTCTGTCACCTAAGCTGGAGTGCAGTGGCACAATCTCAGTTCACTGCAACCTCCGCCTCCTGGATTCAAGCGATTCTCCTGCCTCAGCCTCCCAATTAGCTGGGATTACAGGTGTGTGCTACCATGCCTGTTTTTGTATTTTTTGTAGAGATGTGGTTTCACTATATGTTGGCCAGGCTGGTCTTGAACTCCTGACCTCAGGTGATCCAGCTGCCTTGGCCTCCCAAAGTGCTGGGATTACAGGTGTGAGCCACCTGCTGTGCCTGGCCTGGGGTCCCTTTTATAAGGACACTTATCCCATTGATGAGTCTAGACCCCTAATTGTTTCCTAAAAGCACCATCTCCTAATACTATTGTCTTGGGGATTAAGTTTCAACACATGAATGTTCAAGGCACACAATGTTCAAGGCAAGCATTGAGACCATAGCAACAGCAAAATCCACAACACTGCCAAAGAATGCCCAAACAGCTGCCATTGTCTTCTACAAGACTCTACGCAACCTCCTAAAAGGCAGAATGCCTATACTGGCCTCTGCCAGCCATCAACAAGATTCCCGCTTTCCAGGCTCTCTGCCGACTCTATCCTATGAATTCTGGCTGGCCTTTGACCCTTCACTTCCCCAATGGACTCCCCTCTGAGAGAAGAAATCCATTTGAATGCAAGATCACTGACCAGTGTACAAAATGACAAATAAGATATCTCAGTGTTCTTGGACAGAGGCCAAGTCACCAAGTCACATGACCCGAACTGGGGTAGAAGACAGTAATGAAGGAAGGAAAGAGAGGTTCAGAATAGCCCATGAGCTGGATGAGCCCTCCTGAAGCTATTTCAATCTTGCTGTCAGAGGCTTTCGAATGAGAGCCACTCCATCTTGAATAGGGCCTGGGTAAAATGAGGCTGAGACCTGCTGAGCTGCATTCCCAGGAGGTGTGGCATTCTAAGTCACAGGATGAGATAGGAGGTCAGCTCAAGATACAGGACATAAAGACCTTACTGATAAAACAGCTTGCATGAAAGAACCTGGCCAGAACCCACCAAAACCAAGAGGTGACAAATGTGACCTCTGGCTGTCCTCACAGCTCATTATATGCTAATTATAAAGCACAGAATACTAAGAGACACTCCCACCAGCGCCATGACAGTTTACAAATGTCATGGGAATGTCAGGAGATTACCCTATATGGTCTAAAAGGGGAGGAACCCTCAGTTCTGGGAATTGCGCACCCCTTTCCCAGAAAACTCAAGAATAATCCAACCCCTGTTTAGCATCTAATCAAGAAATAACCATTAAAAAAGGCAACCAACAGCCCATGCTGCTGCTCTGTCTATGGAGTGGCCATGCTTTTATTCCTCTACTTTCTTGATAAACTTGCTTTCACTTTACTCTATGGATTCGCCCCGAATTCTTTCTTGCCGCAAGATCCAAGTGTAATGCCCAACCTGGTTTTTACTAACCTGTTTTTAGACTCTCCCTTTTCCTCTACTCACCTAGCCTTCTTTCCACCTGAATGGACTCTCCCTTAGCTAAGAGAGCCAGCCAGACTCCACCTTGGCTCTTTCACTGGCAGCCCCTTCCTCAAGGACTGAACTCGTGCAGGCTGACTCCCAGCACATCCAAGAATGCAGTTAACTGATAAGATACTGTGGCGAGCTACATCCGCAGTTCCCGGGAATTCGTCTGATTAGTAACGCCCAAAGCCTCGCGTCTATAATAGTCTTAAAGCCCCTGCACCTGGAACTGTTTACTTTCCTGCAACCATTTATCCTTTTAACTTTTTGCCTACTTTACTTCTGTAAAATGGTTTTCACTAGACCCCCCGCCCTCCCCTTCCTAAACCAAGATCTAAAAGTTAATCAAGCCCCTTCCTCGGGGCCGAGAGAATTTTGAGCGTTAGCCGTCTCTCGGTCGCCGGCTAATAAAGGACTCTTAAATCGTCTCAAAGTGTGGCGTTTTTCTAACTCGCTCGGGTACAACACAAGAACCCTCTCTTGGAATCTAGATAGGGACCCGTCTCCAGTAACATTGCCATTTTAATTTTTCACCCCTGGGTTTTGTCCCATCAGGGTCCATCCATTGGGTTATAAAATCTTTACAAGGAGAAATTCCTGTGAAGTCATTTTCCTGCAGAGCCGAGAGTTAGGGCACTGTGAGAAGTGCAGCAGGTCCTGGAGAGCATTCGTGGGAGAAGGGAAGCAGCAAGTGGTGCAGGAGGAGAAGGGGAGGAAAGGAAGAACCGCGAATGCGCCTGATTGGTGAGAACAAGATTTGGGGGTGCTTCTCCCATGGGGAAGACTTCTTGGTTTTAGCTTTCAAGAGCTCCTCATTGGAATTGGACAAGATGATGCCGATAAAGAGTAAAACTCTAAAATATTTGAAGAGATTTATTCTGAGCCAAATGTGAGTGAGCACGGCCTGTGACACTATCAGAGGCACTGGAGGCAGAGCCACTCCATCTTGAATAGGGGCTGGGTAACATGAGGCTGAGACCTGCTGGGCTGCATTCCCAGGAGGTGTGTGAGGCATTCATAGTCACAGGATGAGACGGGAGGTCGGCACAAAGCCCTCGGTGATAAAACAGGTTGCAGTACAGAAACCGGCGAGATCCCACCCAAACCAAGATGGTGACAAGAGTGACCTCTGGTGGTCTTCACTGCTACACTCCCACCAGCGCTGTGACAGTTTACAAATGCCATGGGAACGTCAGGAAGTCTCCCTGTATGGTCTAAAAAGGGAAAGAATGAATAATCCACCCCTTGTTTAGCATATCATCAAGAAATAACCATAAAAATGGGAAACCAGGAGACCTCGGGGCTGCTCTGTCTATGGAAGAGCCATTCGTGTATTCCTTTTCTTTCTTAAAAAACTTGCTTTCACTTTATGAACTCACTCAGAATTCCTTCCTGCACGAGCTCCAAGGACCCTCTCTTGGGGTCTGGATCTGGACTCCTTTCCAGTAACACAGCTATTAACATTAAAGTGTTAATTGACTGCAAATGCCAGGGAAAAGAGATGAAATGGTGAAGTATGAAGTATGACCTTCCGGGAGCCTCCACCAGAAAAGGAAGAAAGTCTCAGACCGGCATTCGTACAATCCCTAAACACACCGCACATGCTCACTTTCCAAGGGTAAGGAGGGCACTGCTTATGTGGGCAGCCCACCCCAAGGGAAGAATCATGGGTAAGAAAGAGGCCAGCACGTAAACTCCCAGGATCAAGGTTAGACTCCCTCGCTCTCGCTCTCTTTGACCTTCAGGCATGCACTTGCATCTCTTCCAGGAGTACCTTCCTTTCCTCCTGTTCTAAGGCTTTTTAAAATAAACTTCCACTCCTGCTTTGAAACTTGCCTTGGTCTCTTTTTCTGCCTTACGCCCTCAGTCAAATTCTTTCTTCCAAGGAGGCAAGTATTGAAATTGCCGCAGACCCCTACAGATTCGCCACTGGTAACTCAGGGTAACTCGGATCTCCCCACTGCTATCAGGCACAGAGTTTCAGTTTTGCAAGATGAAAAAGTTTTGGAGACCCATGCACAGCAATGTGATTAGACTTAACTCTACTGAACTCTTAACTCTACTCCCCCCCTTTTTTAAATTTTGGTATTTTTTTTGTAGAGACGAGGTTTCATCATGTTGCACAGGCTCATCTCCATCTCCTGAGCTCAAGAGATCCACTCACCGTGGCCTCCCAAAGTGCTGAGATTACAGGCATGAGCCACCGCAGCTGGCCTGAACTGTACTCTTGAAAATGGTTAAGATAATAAATTTAATGTTTTGTGTTTGCACTACAATAAAACATAGAGAGACCCCAGTTTATGTTGCTTCAACTCTTGCCTCCTTTTCCTATATTTTTCTCTTCCGTTTTCTCCTCTCCTCCCTTTTTGTTACCCCCACTTTCCCCTGAACCTTGACATATTGCAAAGCCTTGCAAAATAAACTGTTCTGAGAGTTGCTGAAAAGGGATTGCACCCATAATACCATGAAAGAGGTATTGAAACCACAGCAACGACAGTCTCCAATGGACACGATGCCAGGTTTTGCAACAGCTGAAGATGAAGAAAAGTGTAATTTGTTTTTTGGTTTTTGTTTTTTTTTTTGAAACAGAGTCTTGCTCTGTTGCGCAGGCTGGAGTGCAGTGACACGATCTCGGCTTACTGCAACCTCCGCCTCCAAGGTTCAAGCGATTCTCCTGCCTCAGCCTCCTAAATAGCTGGGATTACAGGAGCACACCACCACGCCTGGCTAGGTTTCATATTTTTAGTAGAGATGGGGTTTTGCCATGTTGTCAGGTTGGTCTCGAACTCCTGACCTGAAGTGATCCACCCGCCTCGGCCCTTCAAAGTGCTGGGATTACCAGCGAGAACCACTGCGCCTGGCCAGAAAAGTGAAATTTGGGCCAGTCCTCAAAAACATGTACCCCTCTCTCCTCATCTTACAAAACTCAGATCCTGCTGTGCCACAGTGAATCAATTATCTGTGCACAGGGGCCGTCTGGTGAGGATCTGCTGAATAAAAGCCCTTAGCTGTATTCAAGTCATTTCTTTTCCTTGACCACCTGTTCAAGCAGAATTAATGAACAGGCGTCTACCATGTTTACTAATATTTCTAAGTTTTTTTTTTTTTGAGACAGGGTCTTGCTCTGTTGCGTAGGCTGGCTAAATTTGTAAACGTCATACACAGTCATAAACATTTTTTATCTTAATGGTAATTTTTTCTTCTTCTTCTTTTTTTGAGACATAGTCTCACTATATCACCCAAGCTGGAGTGCAGTGGCGTGATCTTGGCTCACTGCAGCCTCCACCTCCTGGGCTCAAGCAATATAATTTTTAAAACCCAAGTTATTGGCAGTATCTCTAAAGATCTCAATAAGGCCAGGGACGATGGCTCACACCTGTAATCCCAGCACTTTGGGAGGTAGAGGTGGGCAGATCGCTTGAGTCCAGGAGTTCGAGACCAGCCTGGGCAACATGGCGAAATCTGTCTCTACTGAAAAAAAAAAAAAAAAATTACCTGCGCATGGTGGTGCAAGTCTGTCGTCCCAGGTACTAGGGGGACTGAGGCAAGAGGATGACTTGAGCCTGGGAGGTCAAGACTGCTGTGAGCCCTGACGGTGCCGCTGCACTCCAGCCTAAGCAACACGGTAAGACCCTGTCTCAAAAACAAGATTTCAATCGGATGTTGACAATGAGAGCAGCAGCTCATGCTTTCATGCTTAATTGTTCCCACAGACTGTGCTAAGAGCTTTATGTTTATTGTCTCGTTTTATCCTCAGAAAATTCCCATGAGCATGTGGTATTGTAATCCCTCTTTTATAGATAAGGAGAGAAGATGTGGGGCTTAGCGTTCATTTGTTACAAAGATGTTTTTAAACTACTGGCTGCGTTTCCCTGAGGAGGTGTGAAGTCAATTTAGAACATAAAAATTGGCTTGTTCTTAAAAATAAGACCTTGGAGAAATGCCTGGCCCCAGGTGTGAGGGGAGAAAATCTATGATGGTTCTGGAGAATCTCATTTTGCCAGGAAGCAAGGAAGTGATCAAAGACTAATGGGGGCCAGGTGCGGTGGCTCACACCTGGAATCCCAGCACTCTGGGAGGCCAAGGCAGGCAGATCACTTGAGGCCAGGAGTTGGAGACCAGCCTGACCAACATGGCGAAACCCCGTCTCTACTAAAAACACAAAAATTAGCCAGGCGTGGTGGCACGCGCCTATAATCCCAGCTACTCGGGAGGCTGAGGCAGGAGAATCACTTGAACCCGGGAGGTGGAGGTTGCAGTGAGTTGAGATCGTGCCACTGCACTCCAGCCTGGGTGACAGAGCGAGACTCTGTCTCAAACAAAAATAAATAAAAATTTAAAAAGACTAATGGGATTAGTTCATAGACTTAAGAATCCATCTAAAGTGAGGAGAGTCCCACTGGTAAATCTGGTACAATTTGAGCCAGACATGGTGGCTCTTGCCTGTAGTCCCAGCCACCTGGGAGGCTGAGATGGGAGGATCAGTTGAACCCAGGAGGTTGAGACAGCAGTGAGCTATATGATCATGCCACTGCACTCCAGCCTGGGCAACAGAGTAAGACCCTGTGTCGTTTAAAAAAAAAAAAAAAAAGGAACAGTTTAAACATTAAAAAAATAATAAATTGGACTGTTTTACACGTTGAACAATCAAAACATAGTAGTGATAGTCAAGAGGAGTGTGCTAGGGAGGGAAAGAGAAACAGAAAAGCTCTTTTGTGCAGCTGAGTGTTGGGCCATGAATGCTGCAATAATGACAGACTCACAGAGCATCAGCATTTAGCAACTATGCAATGGAATCCAGACAAGCATCCTCAAGGCATGCTACAATCCCGTGTAAAGTATATTCTTGCACAGTACATGTCACATACTAGGTATAGCTGGATTTGCACGAATGTGCTTCCAACAGATATTGTCTGTGCCAATAAAAACTTCATTTTGTTTCTTAGGATGATGGATAGAGCAGGGATAGAAGACATCAAGTTTGTAAACCTATGCAACTCATTTGATCTATTAAAAAAAATGGGGGCCAGGCACAGTGGTTCATGCCTGTAATCCTCAGTACTTTGGGAGGCCAAAGCAGGAGGAATGCTTGAGGCCAGGAGTTGGAGACCAGCCTGGGCCACATAGTGAGACTCCTATGAGACCCTGCCTCTACAAAGTTTAAAAAAATTAGCTGGGTGTGGTGGCACATGCCTGTAATCCCAGTTACTTGAGAGGCTGAGGTGGGAGGATCACCTGAGCCCTGGAGTTGGAGGCTGCAGGAAGCGGTGATCGGGCCACTGCACTCCAGCTTGGACAAGAGTGAGACTCCGTGTCAAAAAAATAAAAATAAAAAATAATAAAATAATTAAAATAGATGATTTAATTATTTTATTTTTCTTTCTTTTTTTTTTTTTTTTTGAGACAGAGTCTCACTCTGTTGTCTAGGCTGGAGTGCAGTGGTGTGATCTCAGCTCACTGCAACCTCCACCTCCTGGGTTCAAGTGATTCTCCTGCCTCAGCCTCCTGAGTAGCTGGGATTACAGGCATGCACAACCATGCCTGACAAATTTTTGTATTCTTGGTAGAGACGGGGTTTCACCATGTTGGCCAGGCTGGTCTTGAACTCCTGACCTCAGGCGATCTGCCCGCCTTGGCCTCCCAAAGTACCAGGTACAGGTGTGAGTCACTGTAATCGGCCAAAGATACATAAATAAATAATTTTTAAAATGGTACTGTACACTAAAGAGCAGAGGCCTATGAAACCAGAAAGAATTGCTCTGCTTTTCCTAATTCAAGGGTGGTGGTCAGAAAGAAACCCCTTTCTGCTTCAAACTACAGTTCCACCCCAAAACGCGTTAACACTAGGACCTGTTTCGTGCTTCCAAGCATCAGCCAAAGGTTTTGGCAGGATTCGACCAAGTGGCTTTGAGGAACAAAAATACTATAACTTATTCCTGTGGATCTGTAGGCATCAATCCACCCTGCCAATTCGACAGATCTAGAAATCCTTTCCTTCCCACATCATTTCCACTTGCCACAAGATAATAATCTCATAATATTTATTTATTTATTTTTAAATAATTTCAACTTTTATGTTAGGTCTAAGGGGTACACGTGCCGGTTTGTCACTAGGGTATTTTCTATGGTAGTGAGGTACCCCCACCCACGTACTCAGCACTGTACCTGTGAACCCTGAAAATCTGAGACAGGTCTCAGTTAGTTTAGAAAGTTTCTTTTGCCAAGGTTGAGGACACACACCTGCGACACGGCCTCGGGAGGTCCTGGCGACATGTGCCCAAGGTGGCCAAAGCACAGTTTGGTTTTATATATTCTAGGGAGACATGAGACGTCAATCAACATGCCCATTTTTAACGACACTCTCGGTGGCCCCTGACAGCCACCCAGTGAGATACACAGCATATTGTGCCCATTGAATGAAGATACTTCTGACAATGAGGATTTCTCGTGGAAAAAAGTGTATATTCCCAAACTTATGGTGTATTGATTTGTCCCATGTCACACAGCTGGGTATAAAGAGAGCACTCAATAAGCATATGACGAATGAATGAATGAAACTGACAAAGCAAAGTTCAGAAAATGGGTACCTTTCCTAAAGAGATCCTGCAAGATCGCAAAAAGTTAGAAGTAAACAGTTCTATGCATTTCACTGTGACCAGCAATTCTGAAAAATCCATCTGATAATTTAAATTTATTGTTGGAACTGACTCCTCCTATCTAGCTGTAATTTTGTACCCTTTAACAAATCTCTCCCCATCACCCCTTCTCCCTACCCTTCCTGACCTCTGGTATCCTCTGTTCTAGTTCTTACTTCTATGAGATCCAGTTTTGGGTTTTTTTTTTTTAAGGTAGTTCTAGTGTTCTATAGCAGGGGTCCCCAACCCCTGGGCTGCAGACCAGTGCTGGTCCATGGCCTATTAGGAACTGGGCCGCACAGCAGGAGGTGAGTAGCGGCGAGTGAGCAAAGCTTCATCTGTATTGATAGCCGCTCGCCATCGCTCCCATTACCACCCGAGCTCTGCCTCCTGCAGATCGGCGGCCGCGTAAGATTCCCATAGCAGTGCAAACCTTACCGTGAACTGTGCATGTGAGGGGATCTAGGTTGCGTGCTCCTTATGAGAATCGAATGCCTGATGATCTGTCTCCTGTCACCCCTGGATGGGACTGTCCAGTTGCAGGAAAACAAGCTCAGGGCTCCCACTGATTCTACATGATGCTGAGTTGTATAATTATTTCATTGCATGTTACAATGTAATCATAACAGAAATAAAGTGCACAATAAGTGTCATGCACCTGAATCATCCCAAAACCATCCCCCCAGCCTGGTTTCTGGAAAAATTGTCTTCCATGAAACTGGTCCCTGGTGCCAAAAAGGTTGGGGATCACTGGTATATAGCACTATAGGATGACTACAGCTCAAAATCATATATTATATAGTTTCAAATATATATATAGAAGGAGAATACTGAATGTTCCCAACACAAAAAATGGTACAGGTTGGAGATGATGGATATGCTAATTCCCGTGACCTGATCAGTAGACATGACGTGTACTGCAACTTTACTACATGCCCCATAAATATGTACAATTATTACATGACAGTTAAAAAACATTTTAAATCAAAAATAAAATAAAGTATGTTTATTGTTTACTGTTAAAATTTTACCTTGCAATTCCAGCTCAAATAATGCTTATTATTATTATTATTATATTTTATTTATTTATTTTTTTGAGACAGATCCTCACTCTGTCGCCCTGGCTGGAGTATGGTGGTGTGATCTCAGCTCTCTGCAACCTCTGCCTCCCCAGCTCAAGCAACTCTTGTGCCTCAGCCTCCCCAGTAGCTGGGATTGCAGACGTGTGCCACCATGCCCGGCTAATATTTTTGTGTTTTTGGTAGAGACGGGGCCTCACCATGTTGCCCAGGCTGGTCTTGAACTCCTGGCCTCACGTGATCCACCTGTTTCAGCCTCCCAAAGTGCTGGCATTACAGGAGTGAGCCACCACGCCCAGCCCGATGCTTACTATTTTAAAAACAAAATACAATAGAAAAGGCCGAAAATAAAATAGAAAGGCCCTACCCTTGGTTTAATATAAAATATAAGCCTGATATCGCAGGAAATAGGCAAACACACACTGGAAGGAGGCCACATGGCTGTTTTTTAACATTTTAATTTCAACGTGCCAGCATTTGTCCAAATGAGATGATACAGGCTAGAATGCACGGCGGAATTCCAGACTGGACTCACTCCATAAGCCAACTCATCACTGCCCGTGAACATGAATTCTGGTCCTCAGAGAAGCTGACATTGTTTCCCTGAACATTCCCGTGGTCTCCTTCTGAAAGCCGATGACCATCCAACCCTGACTCACCTGAAATATCCTACGAGCCTCGCCCTCCGAGACTGACGATTATTAACCACCCACACGGAAAAAGAAACAGCCCCTCCATCACCCACATCTTGTACACAAAAAAATGCCACCACTAATGCCATAAATTCAGGCAGGTTCCTCTATCCAAAGGCTAAACTGCTTCAGGTGACCTAAAAAGTGGCCACGCCTCTCCACGTAAACACATCCAGCTGACACAGGCTAGGATCGAGTTCTCCCACGGCCTTCCTATCCCGTCTCTAATTTACTCTCTGCTTTTCCCTGGAATGTGCATGAGAAATAAACCTTCCAAACATTTCAAAAGTCGCACTTTCCTCCTTTATTACAACCATGCCCATTTTTAACGACACTCTCGGTGGCCCCTGACAGCTACCTGGTGAGATACACAGCATATTGTGCCCATTGAATGAAGATACTTCTGACAATGAGGCTTTCTCGTGAAATAAAGTTTCCCGTCTCATAAAACTGAGAATTCTCTGGAAAGAGCTGAGTGGAAATGGCTTTGAGGAGGGCAGTGATTCACTAAGTTATTGAGAACTGAGGTAGTGAGGGTAGAGACCAAGCCAAGAGCAGTCAAGGGTGGACCGACTGCACCCTGACTTTTGTTGTCAAGCAGAGAGCATCTCTAGATCCTGTTATCCTCTAAACGATTTAGAGCAAGCCCTCGTTGCTTCTCAACCAGGAAGTGAATCGGTTTAGATCCTCTAAGCCACCCACATTCCCCAAGCCACCTACAATCTTTCTTCCCAACGTCCACGAGTAGAATTTCTGTCAACGCTCTAGGAAGTCCTGTTAGGATTTAAAGCAGAGAGACCACAGCCGAGGTGTTTCTCAGATACACTTCGCCAAGTCCAAATGAAAGTCAGTCACCACGTCTAAATGTTTCCTTAGCCCTACAGAAATGGGTCTCCATGGCAAAGCCTCAGAGGTGCTAAATACGTATATTAGTGTTGTTAGCTTCGTGATGGGAGGAAATTTGCAGTGAGGTTTAATTCTGAATAGGGTAGGTCTCACAGCACCTGTACAACACAGCTCCAGCGTACTTCAGAGGTCCTTCGGGCAAGAGCGGAGACCACCATCGAGAGTCTACTAGAATGTTATTACTGCTCGCTTTTGCCGACAGCTTCAAGGGTAGAAGTGACCTCTGAAGAAAGCCCAGAAGGCGTTGGTGGAGAAGTTGGGGCGAGGGGCTTTAAGGTGGATTTCTATACTCTACGTTTTTTGTGTGAGGCACTCAAATGGATTAAGCATAAATAGAGGCACAAGGTTCAACAGCGTTTCCCTTTGAAAGGACCAGAGGAGATCTCCACGCAACAGGACCACCCAACAGGACATTGTCTAACTACACACAACGCCCACCAGCTGCCGGATTACTGCAGGAACCGGTCCAGCTTCTCCTGGATGCGAGCAAACGCGTCCTTCCCCATGTAGTCGATACGGCCTTCCTCCCACTTCCTCCTCTCTTCCTCGGGGCTCAATTCCTTCACCTTCTCTTCGATGGAGATCTGGGAAACAGAGACGGCCAGGTCGACCTAGGGAAGACAGTCAGTGGGAGATGGTTTTTGCAGCTGTCCATTATCGAGGGAAAGACTGCTAAAACCCATCCAGTGTAGGGTCCCGCAGAAAGATGCATCTCAGTTCTCAAAAAGAGATTGCGAATCACTAGCACTTTGTTTTTAATGAGACAGGGTCTCTGTCGTCCAGGCTGGAGTGCAGTGGTGCAGTCACAGCTCACTGCAGCCTTGACCTCCTGGGCTCAAGAGATCCTCCCACATCTGCCTCCTCAGTAGCTGGGACTACAGGGCACATCACCATGCCCAGCTGATTTTTGTATTTTTTGCACAGATGGGGTCTCATTATGTTGCCCAGTGTGGTCTTGAATTCCCGGGCTCAAGCAATCCTCTTGCCTTGGCCTCCCAGTGAGCTGGGATTGCAGGTGTGAGCCTCCACACCCAGCAGCACTTTTCTTTTGAGCTAAATATACACTAGATTTAGTATAATATGCTTAGAAGATAATTTTTTTTGCTTAAGTGTTTTGAAATTTTATAAAATGTAATTGTATATGTTCTCTTTTTCTGAAGAATTGTTTTCATTTCTAGCCACTAAACCATTTTAAACACACACATGCACACATGCGCATGTGCACACACACACACACACACACACACTAATTTAATACTCTCACCCACCAAAACTTCTGTTTTGTATGACAGTGAATAACCAAACTACGTTAAATGAAAAAACAACTCACCTCCTGTAAGTAAAGCCTATAAGAATTTGGACTGCTTGGCAAAGGAATTTAAATAATAATTCAGATAGTTTTTTCAATGGCAGAGTTCCTGCCTTCTTAAGGGTCATGTGAAAAAACAGATGAAAATGCAAGTGTGTAACAACACACACACACACACACACACACACATTTTGTTTGGCATTCAGATGAGTCAACAAAAAGAACAAATACATTTGCTTTAAACACTTCTTACCAAGAACTAGAAAAAGACTCTTAAAAATTTAAAGATGGTAACAATAATAGACACACACACATCTTTCTATCTATCTATCTATCATCTATTTATCATCTATCTCATCTACCAACCATCTATTATCTATCATCTATCTCATCTATCTACCTATGTTCTATCTATCCACTCATCCATCCATCCATCCATCCATCTGTCCATCCATTCTATTTATCAATAAATCATCTGTCATCTATCACTCCATCATCTATCTACCTATTTATCTATCTATGATCTCTACCTACCTATCTACTTTCTATCAATCTATCTATCCATTTATCCATCCATCCATCCATCCGTTCTATACTCTATCATTTATCTATTTATCTAAAATATCTCTCTACCTATCTACCTATCTATCATCTATCACTCTATCATTCATTTATCTATCATCTCTATCTACTACCTATGTTTTATCTCTTCTATATCTATGTATCTATTATCTAGATGTGAGGATGAATGGATATATAGATGAGATAGATGATAGAAAATAGATAGATAGCCGGGTGTGGTGGTTTATGCCTGTAATCCCACTTTGGGAGGCCGAGGCAGGTGGATCACTTGAGGTCGGGAGTTCGAGACCAGCCCGGCCAACATGGTGAAACCCCATCTCTACTAAAAATACAAAAATTAGCCGGGCTTGGTCGTGGGTGACTGTAGTCCCAGCTACCCGGGAGGCTGAGTCAGGAGAATCACTTGAACCCGGGAGGCGGAGGTTGCAGTGAGCCGAGATCACGCCACTGCACTCCAGACTGGGTGACAGAGTGAGACTCCATCAAAAAAAAAAAAAAAAAGAAAATAGATAAGAGGTAGATAGATAGATACATGATATGTATAGAGATAGATATATAGAAAGATAAATTTGAGTTTTTACACCATAGGCATATACTACTTTCTTCTCTAATTACTTGCCGCAGTGTTTTTAGAAGGTTTTTACATATAAGATTCTGCCTTCTACACTCATTCCCATATATTATATTTTATTTAAAGACAGCCATCCTATTGATTAAGGTGATAGCAAGAGTTAACAAATAAATTAAAAAGTCCACTTCAGGATACTGCAGCATTTCTCCCCTCTAAGAGCACTTGCATTTAGATCCATTCAGTTCCTGAGAATGAAATGTTTCTGGAATTAACAGGACCTACAGCACCCAACCTTATACTAGTTTTCAAGACAAAACAGCACAGTGATTGTGACATTTCTGCTAACAAGAGATGAGTATCCAAGAAAACAACAAGCTGCTCCAATGTTATGAATTAGGGTATTATACAAGATACTAAATAAAGTTCCCCTAGAGGACAGTGTGGACACACAGGAGGTCAAAGTGCCCCGGTTTAGCAAATCAATGACCGAAATCTTCCTCATCTTTATGAGCCAAGCACTAACTAGGGCTTTCCCTATACCACTCTCCTTTTTAATACCCCTCCTTCCAATTCTGTGAGGTGGGCAACCCAGTCTCCACCTCATGAACACTGAAGCAAAGTAATGAACTCAGGCTGGGCGCGGTGGCTCATGCCTGTAATCCCAGCATTTCGAGAGGCCAAAAAAGGAGGATCACTTGAGGCCAGGTGTTCGAGACCAGCCTGGACAGCATAGTGAAACCCCAACTCCACAAAAAATAAAAATAAAAAATTAGCTGGTTGCAGTGGCCCATGCCTGTAGTTCCATTTCCTTGGAAGGCTGAGGCAGGAAGACTGCTTAGCTATGATCATGCCACTGCACTCCAGCCTGGGCTACACAGCAAGACCCTGTCCCTAAATAATAATAATAATAATAATAATTTTTAAAAAGAAAAAGTAATGAACTCATCCAGGATCCCAAACCTACCACATGGCTGAGCTGTCCAACGTAGGTCTTACCCAACCTCACACTGATGCCCTGTCACTCACTAATAACTACAGATTCAATTCACAGAGCCTCAAATGATGACCACAAGGATGGAACATGCTGAAGGGATACATTCACATGTTTATAAGAAACCTGGACCTCAACCAACAGCTCTAGAAATTAAGTTCAAAATGCTGCATTTGAACAGTAACCAAGTAAGAATGAGAAAAACAAGTTCACATTTTCTCCAAGGGTGACTGTCCAGGGAAGGCATTTAGCCAACACAGTAGGTCACACTCTAAACATGCGTTCAATACCAACTTTCAGTCTAGACCTAAACCTAGCTCTAGAGCTGTATTGATTGTTACTTAAAGACCAAATGGCATTATTAGATCATGCTTAAAGAGCAAGAGAAAACGTTAGCAATTGCTTTCATTAAATGCATCAATGGAGAGAACGTAGTTGAAGATGAAAACATCTCTAAGAGGAAGGAACAGAAAGCATGCATCTCTCATTTCATCCTGAAAGAAGAAATTATTTGCATGCCCCATTTGGATTCGAACATTAGCATGCCCCACTCCCTCCAATTTTCAGCTTTTAATCTCTTCATTTCAGAAAATGGATTGCTACGCATTAATTTCCACAGTCCCTCAACTTCCCTCCTGATCCCTTCTGCAGAACAGCTTTTAAAGAGAGAAAAAGCGTGATGATCAGACTTGAAGATGGCAAAAGAGAGTCGGCCGATCACCCCAGGCAAATGCCAGAGAGAAGACAGAAGAATCAGAGGCAGGGGAAGAGGGAAGCCGATTCTTATTTTTTGTTAAATGAGGCTGAAAAATTAACAGCTGTTGTGTGCATGCAGTTGACCTCAGTGACGGTGGATGGCCCCCACCGGGAGCCTTGGGCAAGGGGAAGAATTTGGATACCACCTCCAGTGCATCCTGCAGACTGGGGTCCCTGAGAGCCTCAGCAGGGAGTTCCTGGCTTGGTTCGAAGGTTTCCTCGGATGAGACACTTTCGACTTTATTTGCTGGCTGCTAAAACATAACCATTCCATCATTAGTCTGCGGTGGGCTGCAGGGAACTGTAGCCCTAACCTAAATGATGGAGAACTCTTTATCCTGGGGTAAAATAAAATCAAATTATTGGGTTGAGGCCAGGCGCGGTGGCTCATGCCTGTAATCCCAGCATTTTAGGAGGCCAAGGCAGGAGGATTGCCTGAGCCCAGGAGTTCGAGACCAGCCTCGGCAAAATAGCAAGACCTCATCTTTATTATAACTTTTTTTTTGAGACGGAGTCTCACTCTGTCGCCCAGGCTGGAGTGCAGTGACGTGATCTCGGCTCACTGCAAGCTCCACCTCCCGGGTTCACGCCATTCTCCTGCCTCAGCCTCCGGAGTAGCTGGGACTACAGGCGCCCACCACCACGCCCAGCTAATTTTTTGTATTTTTAGTAGAGACGGGGGTTTCACCGTGTTAGCCAGGATGGTCTCGATCTCCTGACCTCATGATCCGCCCGCCTCGGCCTCCCAAAGTGCTGGGATTACAGGCGTGAGCCACCGCGGCCGGCACTATAATTAACTTTTTTAAAAAAACTGATGGACTGTACTCGATCTTCTTTTCTGGGAATGCTAAAAATAGCTCAGCTTCTCTCCCCTCACTTTTTCTGAGCCATCCACCAAGTCTCAGACAAGAGGAGATGCTACAAGTTCTTATGCAATTCATGGAAGTTAAATTTTCAGAGAGAGATTTGACTTGTTTATACCAAATGCCTACAGAAGCATTTTACTAAGATAGTCTCTTTGAGAGTTTAAAAACAGGGGGGTGTCCATAAAGCCAGTTTTCTGATGATATGTGGCAATAAAAGCCCAGATTCATAAGGGTAAACTTAGAGAAAAAAAGAATTAAAATAAAATCCATAGTCATGGAATATTGATTTTAGACATGGTGCAAGTCCTATCAAAAGTTTAAAAAAATTAATGGAGACATAGATGCTATATAGACGCTGTATCTTTTTCTTATTAATTTTTTTAAGCAAAGTGGAAGAGAATAACAAAATGACGAAAAAGAAAACCCCACAATAAGTTCGAACAGACAGCCAGATTCCTTATCCACCTGGATAATAGAGAAATAGACTAATTATAACACAACTTATTCCAGGTGGGAGAAACCACTCAAAAAAAAAAAAAAAAAAAAAAAAAAAAGGGAGGAATTTTTAAAAGCCTATGGCGCCCCCACTGGTATGTAATGGGGATAGACCCTGTGAGAAAATAACAAGCAATAAGAGAGCTGGCCATGTGTAGGTCATATAGATGAGGAATACCAAGATGGTTTCAGTCTCTGTGAAGTCTGCAGGCTGAGGGGAAGGCTGGGACAGTGGGTCACACGTTATCACGGCAGGAGTCTCAGTTTCAGGACAAGCTATCATCTGTTATAAAGAAAGAGCAAAGGCAAGTTAAGTCAAACCTTCGTGCAAATAAATGCAACTTAATTGAAAATACCCACTCCATTTTTTTCTGCCTCTATGGTGCAAATACAACTTGATATGGGATAGGACTGGGGCAAGGTGATATGCTCACCAATACCTGTGTTTGTTTCTTCTTCTTCTCGGGCTAATGTCTAAGTGCATTTTGTGACCTCCTTGCACCTGGACAGGACCATGGAAGTGATTCCCACAAGCAGATTGAGTGAATGTGAGGAGGTGATGTGAGTGAATGTGAGGAGGTGATGTGAGTCACCTCTGGGCTGGGCAACGAGAGGAATAAGATATTCCTATCCTCTCTTCTACCACCAGCCAGGTGAAAAACAAGATCCCTCCACCCTCTCTGAACTGGGCCTCCATAAGAAAATAAAACCAAACAGAGAACAAATCAGGTGACTCTTTTCTCAACTCTCCCAAGGATGGTCCATATCTAACACCATGCTAGATGGGGAGGAGATTACTTAATGCATTACGTACAGTGGCTGCCGTCAGCAACAGCGCCTAATCCTCCCAAGGAGTCTCACTTGAGAAGAGCTGCCCTAGAAGGTGGTGCACAACAATAGGAGCATCCTGGATCCCTGAAAGGCTGCATGGGGTAGAGGATACCTTGGCCACCCCAGCTGGCTGTGATACAAATGAGAAATAAACTTTTACTTATTTGGGGGCTGTTTGTTATAGCAGCTAGCCTACCTTGACAAATACAGGGTCAAGAAGCAAACCTGTGTCCAAACACTGGGGCCCCCATCAGGTCAGGTCACAAAGCAGTTAGCTTAATGAGTGTGAGCAACAGAGATAAGAGAACACTGACATCCTCACTGAAAACACACTGTGGAATTCTTGGGGGTGGATGGGGTTGAGCCTCAACATGAGCCCCTCTTGCCTGCACCAGGCCAACTTCAGAGAATTGTAATCCTTCAAATGCAGACCCGCAGGCCATGATCCCAGAGATTTTGAGTGATGTCAGCTGGGGTGGAGATCAGTCACTCGGATACTCAGCTCCCAAATTTCTGATCCTAGCATTCCCTTTTAGGAGAATGTCCAGTTCATTCTCCTAATCGAGGCATGAATGTATGCATTTCACAGGTGTTTATGGAGAGGTAGGTAGTGAAGATTAAACAGTGGCCTACACAGATATGATCTGCACCTTCATGAAGCTTACTGTCAAAGAAGACAGAAAATCAACAAATAACAAATACAAAATGGCAAGCCATGAGAAATTCTAGGAAAGAAAATGGTTATCAATTCTAGGAAAGAAAATGGTTATCAATTCTAGGAAAGAAAATGTTATCAAGAGACCTCACCTGGTCTAAAGGGGGAGACACTCCTAGGGAAGTAATATCTAAAATGAAGCCTGAAGGCTGAGTAGAAGCCAATGATGTAGAACGACTGGAAATGAAGTAAGAAGAAGAACATGCTGAAAAATGCACGTGAAAGCAGATCAGCATGTGCAATGCCCTAAGGCAGAGGAACAGGAGCACAGAAAGAAATAGAAAAAAGGTATCTATAAAAACTGAACACCCCCAAAAGTCATTATTAGTGAGATTTACTGAAACTTTAAGATGTAAAAGAGAACACTGTAATCATGAACCTTTTTTTTAATTTGACTATTCTAACTCATAATCACGAAAGTGCAATTGATTTTATTTATTTATTTATTTTATTTTATTTTTGAGACAGAGTCACCCAGGCTGGAGTGCAGTGGCATGATCTTGGCTCACTGAACCTTCTGCCTCCTGGGTTCAAGTGATTCTCCTATCTCAGCCTCTTGAGTAGCTGGGATTACAGGCATGCATCACCAAACCCAGCTAATTTTTTTTGTGTATTTTTTCGTAGAGATGGGGTTTCACCATCTTGGCCAGGCTGGTCTTGAACTCCTGACCTCAAGTGATCTGCCTGCCTCAGCCTCCCAAAGTACTGGAATTACAGGTGAGTCACCATGCCCAGCCTCCGAAAGTGCACTTTAAATAACTCACAGAAGAATAGAGTGGAACAGTAGTTGCCAGGGGCTGGGGGCGGGGTGCTTAGAATGAAGACATGTTGGTGAAGGAATGAATATGAAGTTTTAGTTACACAAGATAAATAAGTTCTGGGGATCTAACATACAGCATGGTGACCACAGTTAACAATATAGGATTGTGTACTTAAAATTTGCTATGAGAGTAGATCTTATGTGTTCTCATTACCAAGAACAGCAGCAGGAGGAGGAGGAGGAGAAAGAGGAGGAAGAGGAGGAGGAGGAGGAGAAAACAGCATTTATGCGAGGTGATGAAAATGTTAATTACCTTGATACAATGATTGTTTCACAATGTATACATACAGCAAAGCATCAAATTGTACTCCTTAAATACACACCAATTTTTATTTGTCAGTGGTACCTCAATACAGCTGGAGAGAAATTTTTAAAAATTAACATTAAATAAAATATGGGCTTCTTCTTTCAGATCTCAGCTATGTATGTAAAATCCAAATATAAAATTAAGTTCTAAGAATTATGGTGTAACACAAAATTATAAGTTGTCAAAGATATCAGACAACCATGATAACAGGACTCCTTTTTTAGTGGCTGCTCATGGCTGGCTGCTGAGTGACACTCATAAACTTCTCAGCCCTGATTCCTTTTAATCGCGACAGCCCTATGAGGCAGACAGGTTGAGCCTTCCCTCTTACTGCTGCAAAGTTTAATCTGCAGACAGAGATACTGCCCAACATACGAGAACTAGCAAGTGAGAGAGCGGGATTTGGGTATGCGCCTTGCAAAACACCAAAATGAGTCTTGGGAAAAAATGACGAATGCAATAACTGCATTATCATAAACCATATGAATCCCATAAAAATGAATAATTTCCTTCTTCAACCAGGGCTGGTAGAGGGATGTCCTGGATTTGAATACTGACCCATCAAGGAAAAGGACCTGCAGAAATGACTCTCTGAGTCATGGGGCTTTCAGTGAGATGTCACACAGACACTTATTGTGATGGATAAATGAAGCAGCCAGACAGGCAAAGAATAAGTGCTCAAAAAACCATTCCTGGAAATGGATTAGGGAAAATGTCAATCTGTTTCTGTCATCTAATTTCTCCCAACGATAAACACATAAATAAGTTCCACGGGGCCGATCATGAAGTATAATCCTTCCTCGGAAGGGATTTAACTCGGGGTTATATGTTTGATTACAGAGGATGAAATAATGATGCAAGTTCTCAGCTTGCCTTCTGCAGATGTGTTAATCTTACGAATTTAAACGAGGAAGAGAAGTTCAGTCAGCCCTTGCTAATGTTTCTAATCAAGACCCAGAGGCTTACTTAACAAGTAATATTAACAGCCGAAACATAAACCAACTTTTATGAATAAATATGGCCATTATTTTTACTAGTAAAAAGTAGACACTTCCCCCTTGCATATCATGCAGAGAGAAATTTTAAGATGAGAATGCAGCAATCTCAAAGTCCGCTCTTAAGAACATTTTTGGCAAGCTTGTGAATGCATGAATATAAAATGTGACTTTTACAAACTGCATTTCTTTTTATCCTTAGGTAATAACTATTCTACTGATGTATCCCCTAAAAGCCTGACTGAAGATGGGGTCACCTTGAAAGAAGGGACTCTGAAACTGGAGGCAGGCCAGAGAAGAATTCTCAGGTCATTGGAAAGAGGCTGAGATATGCAGAGATGCTTAAAACAAAATGCTCTGTGTGGGAAGATGAAAGCTGAGAGAGGACATCGTAAAGGCAGACGAGGCAGGGAACAGATAGACAGCAGACACAGAATGTTCCAGTACACAATCCAAGGAGATAACATTTACAGCAAAAAAGGAAGCACTCCTTTGCATTATGGGCTATAAATTTGTGAAAGTTATTACTGCTGGAGGTGGTGAATGCTAAAAATACAAATATATATGTATCAGCTCAGGAACTGAAATGAGATTTTTTCCACTTTCAGCAAATGGTGAAGCTGTTGTTTCACACTAAGTCTTCTGCCAAAAATACCTAAAAAGGCTGCACAAATAATGTATATAGAATTTTATTTATTTATTTATTTATTTATTTATTTATTTATTTATTTATTTGAGACGGAGTCTCGTTCTGTTGCCCAGGCTGGAGTGCAGTGGCACCATCTCGGCTCACTGCAACATCTCCCTCCCAGGTTCAAGTGATTCTCCTGTCTCAGCCTCCCGAGTAGCTGGGATTACAGGCACGTGCCACCATGCCTAGCTAGTTTTTGTATTTTTAGTAGAGATGGGGGTCTCACCATGTTGGCCAGGCTGGTCTCAAACTCCTGACCTCAGGTGATCTGCCTGCCTTGGCCTCACAAAGTGCTGGCATTACACGTGTGAGCCACCACACCTGGCCTAGAATTTTTTTTTTTTTTAAGTGCATCAGAGAGCTACTAAGGCAGCACAAAATTAAGAGTGAAGATACCAGAGACAAACAGAAGAGGTAAATGTCACATTTGGTACCTTACTTCCACTCAGGGCAAATAAGAGGCTGGGAAGCTGAGAAACTGAGTAGAGTTGCCAGCAGTGCTAGGAGGCTGAGGGGTCCATAAATATTAATAATCAGGACCAATGAGGGACCCTGGTACACACCACAAGCTTTCTTTTGTGACCTCACTGAGAGGAGAACCAGAAATAGACTGGTCATCACAAACACTGAAGCCCAATTTCCCTCCAGCTCAGCCCCAGATAGGGTCTGGGCAAACTACCTCAGGGTATGGACAAATCACATCAAATCACATGAATTAAAAAAAAAAATCCTCTTTGGGTTATGATAATATGATTCAGAGCTACAAATTGTCTTTGCAATTCTTTTTCATTTACCATGTCTGGCTGTCAATTAAAAAATTAACTATCATACAACAAGAAAAGACCAAATGAGTGAAAATCAAGAGCAAGCAAAATTAAACAACAAAACCAAACCCACCTGAAACCCAGATATGTAATTTATCAGACATGGACTATAATTAAATGTGAGAAATACTTTAAATAAGATGGGGAAAAAGATAAAAATTTTCAAGGTAGTATTGAAACTACATTGATGTTATTTGAACTAAAAATCTGATGTTAATTTGAACTAAAAACATAATAACTGAAGCTAGAATGTGGGTTTAACAACAGATTAGACATAGCCAAAGAGATCAGTTAACTAGAAAATAGGTCAGTAGACTGAAGTATGGGGAGAAAGATTGACAGAAAATGCAGATAACTGTGTCATAGATATATGGGACACAGTCAACGGTTCTACTAATGTTAGTAGAGGCCGGGCGTGGTGGCTCATGCCTGTAATGCCAGCACTTTGGGAGGCTCAGGCAGGTGGATCACCTGAGGTCAGGAGTTCGAGACCAGCCTGGCCAACATGCTGAAAACCCGGCTCTACTATAAATACAAAAAATTAGCCAGGTGTAGTGGCGGATGCCTGTAGTCCCAGCTAGTTGGGAGGCTGAGGCAGGAGAATCGCTTGAACCCAGGAGGCGGAGGCTTCAGTGAGCCGAGATCGCACCAGTGCACTCTAGCCTGGACGACAGAGCAAGTCTCTGTCTCAAAAAAATAAATAAATAAATAAAAAAGTAAGACATACTTCAACAAAAAGGTGTATTATGAATAAAATAAGATGCACTACAAAAAGAGTAAAAAAACTTGATAGCTTAAAAAAAAAAAAACTGAAGGACATCTGTAATCTTTTAATTAACTACATTTCCCTACCCCAAATACTAGAAGACAAAACGCTGGAGAAGATACTAATTGCAACTTTTTCCTTAATACATTAATGTATGTGGAAAAAATTAATATTCAGCTTTACTTTAAAAAACACAGATCTGGGGCAGGCACGGTGGCCCACGCCTGTAATTTCAACACTTTGGGAGGCCAAGATGAGCAGATCGCTAGAGCCCAGGAATTCAAGAGTAGCCTGGGAAACATGGTGAAACCCATCTCTACAAAAAATACAAAATATCAGCCAGGTGTGGTGGCACCTCCTGTAGTCCCAGCTACCTGGGAGGAGGTGGGAGGATCACTTGAGTCCAGGAGGTCAAGGCTGCAGTGAGCCGAGATTGTGCCACTGCACTCCAGCCTGGGCAACAGAGCGAGACCCTGTCTCAAAAACAACAACAACAACAAAACCAAAACACGTCAACCTTGCCATCATTATATATACCAAAGTAGCTACTGGACTAAAGAGCCCCAGACGCACACTCAGCTTTTATGACATTATTGCGATTTATGAAAATAAACTTTTTTTAAAAATCTGTGTTTCAGCTCCCCTAAATAAAAAACCCAGAGTAACTCACTAAATGGACAGCAGGTGACAGTGATGTTGCACGACTCATTTCAAAGACCACCGGGAGTACGAATTAATGAAATGGAATTTCTCCTGATATCCATGGAGGATTGGTTCCAGGACCTCCTGGTTATACCAAAATCCACGGATGCTCAAGTCTCTGATACAAGATGGAACTGTCTTTGCATATAAGCAATGCACATCCTCCCATAGACTTTAAATCATCTCTAGGTTAATTACCATACCTATTACAATGCACATGCTATGTTGATACCTGCTATGTCGTATTGTTTAGGGAATAATAACAAGAGAAAAAAGTCTGTGCATGTTGAGTGCAGATGCAATTTTGTTTCCCCAATATTTTCGATCCAAGGTTGGTTGAATCCACAGATATGGAACCCATAGATGCGGAGGGTGAGCTATATATCAGATACCGTATGGACAGCATCCCTCTTTTTTTTTTTTTTAAGATGTTCAGAAATATTTATTGATTTATCCAAAGTCACATAACTAGTATACAAAACAGCTCAAATTTTCAACTCCTTGTTCAGTGTTATCAAATATTATCTTGGAAAATGTGACCGTAATATAATAATCTCCAATCAATCAACATACCTTTTGTTAAAAAGAGTTTTGTTTTGTTTTGCTTTTACTTTAAATTCTGGGATACGTGTGCAGGATGTGCAGGTTTGTTACACGGGTATACGTGTGCCATGGTGGTTCGCTGCACCTATCAACCCGTCACCTAGCTTTTAAGCCCCGCATGCATTAGCTATTTGTCCTGATGCTCTCCCTCCCCTCGCCCCCCAATCCCTTCCTTTTAAAAGCCTGAAGACTTCATTGCTTTTAGAAAAATACCCTCATCAGAGAATATATAGACCATAACAAATTTTTTTAGGTCAATTTCCCCGACGCAGTATTCACCGACCTTAGGATGGAGAGGTGGGGAGAATAGGGGGTGAGATCGAAGGATGAAATTATGTGGACACAGGAACTCCAAAATACCTTTTTTTTTTTTTTTTTTTTTGAGACGGAGTCTCACTCTGTTGCCCAGGCTGGAATGCACTGGCACGATCTCAGCTCACTGCAACCTCCACCTCCCGGGTTCAAGCGATTTCCGGCTAATTTTTGTATTTCTAGCAGAGACAGGGTTTCACCGTGTTGGCCAGGCTGGTCTCAAACTCCTGAGCTCAAGTGAACTGCCTGCCTCAGCCTACCAACATGCTAGGATTACAGGTGTGAGCCACCGTGCCCGGCCCAAAATACCTTTTTGGTTAGAATTCTTTTTATTCTGTCAGGGTTTTTCGTATCTGTGTTGCAGTCAGCCAACATAACGCTCCCCAGTTATTTAAGTTTATGCTTATATTTCTATTTCTTTTTCTTTTTTTGGGACTGAGTTTTGCTCTGTCACCCAGGCTGGAGTGCAGTGGTGTGATCTCAGCTCACTGCAACCTCCGCCTCCCAGGTTCAAGCCATTTTCCTGCTTCGGCCTCCCGAGTAGCTGGGATTACAGGCGCACGCCACCAAGCCTGGCTAACTTTTGTATTTTTAGTAGAGACAGGGTTTCACCGTGTTGGCCAGGCTGGTCTTGAACTCCTGAGCTCAAGTGATCTGCCAACACTTGGCCTCCCAAAGTGTTGGGATTACAGACGTGAGCCACTGCACCTGGTCTAAATGCATTTTTGACTTAAGATATTTCAGTTTACGATGGGTTTGTTGGGATGTAAACCAATTGTAAATCGAAGAGCATCTGTATTTAAACAGCTTTGATTTCACCTCCATCCCTTCCTCCCATTCCTGAATCTCTCTATTCGAATTTCTCTTCCTTTCTGCTAAATATTTAAGCATGTCTCGCAGTCGTCTACACAGTGGGTCTCCAATGCCTGGGTGTCCCCTCCTTTCCCTAGGACCTATGCAGGCGTCCCCCCTCCGGCTGTAACTAAACATTTCAGCGTCCAAGTCTGAGGCCAGCATGACCTCTCCCTGCCTCCCCTTCACGCTGTGCCTGGGGCCGCTTGCAGGGCTGACAGATCCCTTCTTCACTTTATCACTTTCCTTCAGATCAAATTCCATCTGAGCTGGATCTGTCTGTTTTCCCCTCCCTTGCCGCCCCCTCTGTGATGTACAGTTTATTCATGTAAGGGCCTGCAGTTGGGCACTGCACTATCATCTTCCATTGATGTTTTGAAGCCTAAGCGTGGGCATGACAGTGGGGTGGAGGGAGGGGTGAGGCTGGGCAGAGTCCCTGAGATGGGAGATACAGGTTCTGCAATCACTTTTGAGAACTGCTTAAATACCCTAAACAAAGTACGCTCAGCCCAGCTGGGGGTCATTTCCCCTCATCTTACCCTTGGCCTTGAGCTCATGCTCAGACAGACAGCAGAAGGGCCACCTACTGTCCCCAGCACTACCCAGACAGGGACAGCTTCTACCTGCAAGGGTGATCTTCATCTCCTCCTGGGTCTTGTTCTGGGCCCTGGAAACCGGCGATTCTCCAATTCTTGAGATTTTTTTCCCACCCTCCTCCTTTCTGCAATATTGCCCCTTGAGGATGGGGTGGGGATTTGGAGCCAGCAATCTCTTGCTGTGGATGAAACCAGCTGATGACCTTCTCGTGGCTGCTGGCTGTTGAACATACTTTTTTTTAAAAAAAAAAAATTTACTTTTTAAAAATTGACACATAATAATTGTACATATTCATGGGGTACACAGGGATGGTTCAATACCTACAATATTCAGTGATCCGGTCAGGGTAATTAGCATATCCCTCATGTCAAATATGTACCATTTCTTTCTTTTGGGAACATACAATATCCTCCGTCCAGCTATTTGAAACTATAGATTACTGTTGGCTATAGTCATCCTACAGGGCTATAGAACATGACAACATATTCCTCTTGTCTAGCTGTAATTTTGTATCCTTTAACAAATCTCTCCCTATCTTCTCCTTCCCCCACCTTTCCTAGTCTCTAGTACACTCTCTTCTACTGAGACAGGGTCTTGTTCTGCTGCCCAGGCTGGAGTGCAGCAGCGTGATCTCGGCTCACCGCAGCCTCGACCTCCCAGGTTCAAGCGATCCTCCCACCTCAGCCTTGCGAGTAGCTGGGACCACCGGCAAGTACCGCACACCCAGCTAATTTTTGTATTTTTTTGCAGAGACAGGGTTTTGCTATGTTGCTCAGGCTGGTCTCAAACTCCTGATCTCAAGCAATCATCCTGCCTCAGCCTCCCAAAGTGCAGGGATTACAGGAGTGAGCCACTGTGCCTGGCCTTACTTTTCACTTCTGTGAGGTTAAATTTCTTTAGCTCCCACAGATGAGTGAGAACATGTGGTGTTTAACTTTCTGTTTCTGGCTTATTTCACCTACCATAATGTCCTCTATTTCCATCCATGTTGCTGCAAATGATGGATTTCCTTCTTTTTTATGGTTGAATAGTATTCCATGGTATATCTATACATGGCATTTTCTTTACCCATTCATCCTTTGGCAAACACTTGGGTTGAATCTGTATCTTGCCTGTTGTGAATAAACTGCAAAAACATGGACGGGGGGCAGATGTCCCTTCAATATACTAATTTCCTCTCCTTCGGATAAATGCCCAGTGGTGATGGCTGGATCATGTGGTAGTTCTATTTGTAGTTTTTTGAGGAACCTTCATACTCTTCTCCATCCTGGCTGTGCTTATTTTTAATCCCCATCAACAGTGGAAAAGAGTTCCCCTTTCTCCACATCTTCACCAGCAGTGGATATTTTTTGTCTTTTTGATAATAGACACCACCTAACTGGGGTGAAATGAGCGTGCTTTTGTGTCCTTGCTTACCTCCTTGGGCATCAAGGCAGGATGATCCTCAATTCTGTCATCACGATTCTCTCCATGAGCTTTCCTCAGAAGCCCCAATCCCTCCACGGGAAAGTCTCTCCTAGGTTTGGCTTGACTGGCTCTGATTGAAAGGTGGCTCACGGACGGACAAACACGAAGCTACATATCTATTGTTTAAGTTGCCACCTCATCGACAATTATGAATCCAAAGTAAAAGTAGAAGTGACTTATGTCAAGAAAAATCCACGGCAACAATTCCATCGAGATTAATATGAATTGAACATGACGGGCGCTGTTTTAGAGAAACCAGAGTGCTAAGTGCTGTCACTCTGGAAATGGTTCTGTTTTTGCAGAGATTGGTGTGGCTACAACTTGGGCTGGAGCTGGGACTGGAGCGTCCTGACTGTTTTCCCTTTTGGAGTCTCTGGAAAACCACTGTTTGCCCTGGGAAGCTTGTTTTCAGGGGCTGTGACAATCCGTGGAAATCCCTCCAGGGGCTGAAGGGTGGAGAATACACACTTGCTTCTGAAAGAGGGTGGCTGCCCTTACGAATGAGGGAGTGCTCACTGTGGTTCAGAATAAACTGTTAAGAATGTTTTTAATAGCCAGGCATGGTGGCTCACACTTGTAATCCCAGAACTTTGGGAGGCTGAGGCAGGTGGATCACTTGAAGCCAGGAGTTCAAGAACAGCCTGGCCAACATGGTGAAACCCGGTCTTTACTAAAAATACAAAAATTAGCCAGGTGTGGTGGCTCATGCCTGTCCACCTACTCAGGAGGCTGAGGCAGGAGAATTGCTTGGACTCGGGCGGTGGAGGTTGCAGTGAGCTGCTGAGATCGCGCCATTGCACTTCAGCCTGGGCGATCGAGTGAGACTCCATCTCAAAAAAAAAAAAAGAAAGAAAAAGAAGAATGCTTCTAAGATCATCTGCAAAAACACAATCCTTTAAAATGATCCTTATTCAGAGAGACCTCAGGCCATAGTTTGCAAAACCACTAATGTACAAGATTCAGTGACGGAATAAGATTAAAATTACGCAACCGGAAATCAGAAAGATGGTTTGAAAACCGTTTTCTGAGGACTCAATAGAGTCTTGTGAAGAAAGTAAATCTTGGAACCCCAATATCAGTAAGCAGGGAAAAGTCCAGCTGGGAGCGGAGCTGCTTAGGGCCTCTGCCTCCCATTCTATTCAGTCCCCCCTCTGCTCACTGAGATAAATGCATATCTGATTGCCTCCTTTGGAAAGACCAATCAGAAACTAAAAAAAAAAAAAAATGCAACCATTTGCCTCTATCTACTTATGACCTGGAAGCCCCCGCCCCACTTTGAGTTGTCCCGCCTTGCCGGACTGAACCAATGTACTTCTTACGCATATTGATACCTCATCCTCTCTAAATTGTATAAAAGCAAGCTGTGCCCCGACCACCGTGGGCACATGTCGTCAGGACCTCCTGAGGCTGTGTCACGGGTGTGTCCTTAACCTTGGCAAAATACACTTCCTAAATTTATGTTTTCGAAGCATTCGATAATATTTCTTTTTTAGGCTAGGAGTTTGAGCATTCAATTATTTTCAATACACATCAACAGGGGATGGGAGTTCCCCTTTATTGGCCTTAAGGTGCTGTAATGCACATAAAAGCATGAGCCTTGAATGCCACAGCATTCTTGGATACTCTTTGGTTTACAGTCTAAACTTGGTTGCCTACTAAACATTTAATGTAAATGCGATTTTTCCTTAGACATCCTGAAACGAGCATGGCTCAGCACAATTGCAGCCGTTTTGCACATCATGTAAGGGCTCCACTGATGGAATTCTTCACATTCCAGCAGGAACAAGCAGAGGCTCTTGACTTGACTCGCATGAGGCACGTCCTGGGGCCAGGCCCAGGCTATGGTATGCTCAGGGCACACCATGAGGAATGAAAAACCAGAAAAGCGCATTTTACACCTCCTCAGTCTTCACCATCTGAACCTAAACATCTTTTCAATGTGTTTGGGTCAATGTGAAATCACCACTCCGACATTCTTCATGCATAAAGTTGCCAGAGCATAATTTACGCCAGAGTACAGTGAAGCGTGTGGTGTCTTCCAGAGCAATGTGTGCAAAATCTAAAGGTCACTTGTTTATAAGCAACAAGAAACGGCTCTCCCGGAGCTATCTGAAGTATACAGAAAAGAATCACTTTCCTTCAGCCCAGTCCCCAGATCCTTCCCTAAGTATGATCTCAAAATAATTCTGTTGAGAAACTTGTTAGGATCAGTGGTAAAGATTTAAAACAAGAAATCTTGCCGGGCGTGGTGGTTCACGCCTGTAATCCCAGCACTTTGGGAGGCCGAAGCAGGCGGATCACAAGGTCAGGAGTTCGAGACCATCCTGGCTGACACAGTGAAACCCCGTCTCTACTAAAAATACAAAAAATTAGCCGGGCGCGGTGGCGGGCACCTGCAGTCCCAGCTACTCGGGAGGCTGAGGCAGGAGAACGGCGTGAACCCGGGAGGCAGAGCTTGCAGTGAGCCAAGATTGGGCTACTGCATTCCAGCCTGGGTGACAGAGAGAGACTCCGCCTCAAAAAAAAAAAAGATTTCTTTTTTTTTTTCTTTGAGACAGTGTCTCGCTCTGTCACCCAGGCGGGAGTGCAGTGGTGAGATTATAGCTCACTACAGCCTTGACCTCCAAGGCTCAAGCATTCCTCCTGCCTCAGCCTCCCAAGTAGCTGGGACTACAGGTGCACACATCCATGCCTGGCTAATTTCTTGACTTTTTTTTGTAGAGATGAGGTCTCAGTGTGTTGCCGGCTGGTCTCGTACTCCTGGGCTCAAGCAATCCTCCCACCTCAGCCTTCCAAAGTGTTAGGATTACAGGTGTTGAGTCACCGTGCCTGGCCCCAGGAAATCTTTAAACACAAGATATTATTCCAAAGTATTCACCTAGAAATTGGAGCTGGAGAAATGACGGCCTCCATTATTTGTTTTGCAAGTAAGGTGTATTTTCATTTTTCTTCGATGGGGACAAAGTGCTGCAGACTCGGCCTCAGCAGACACCACTGTGCAGGTCAACATTCATTTGAACATTGAACCCCGGCAGGAATTCATCTTCACTTCAACCACTGTTCAAGTCAGGGGTTCGGCTGAAACCTCTCAGGATGCACGGCCAGGCAGTTGGGTTGAGGGGGCACTGACGGAAGCCTCCCTTTTTGAACCTGAAAGAGCTCTGGCTCCCCCAGAATCTGTAAACTGCGAGAGACTGAGCATCTGTCTCCTTGTGGCATCAGATTTTTGAGGCTGCTATGTAAGAAACAGCCACAAACTGGGTGGTTTACACCAAGGCAGACTGACCATCTGATAGTTCTGGGGGCCAGAAGTCCAGTGGATTAAAATCAAGTTGTCGGCAGGGTTGGTTCCTTCTTGGGGACCTAGGGGAGAATCCATTTCCTGCCTTCTCCAGCTTCTGGAGGCCACCATATTCCCTCGCTCGTGGCCTCCTCTTCCATCTTCAAAGCCAGCAGCCCAGCGTCTTCCAATCCCCTCTCTCTCTGGCCTCTGCTTCCAGCTTCACACTCCTTCTCTGACCTTCACACTTCCACCTTCTTCTTTGAAGGGAGGTTTGTGATGACTAAGAGCCCACTCCCAGAATCCAAGACCATACCTCCCCAGCTCAGGGTCCCTCATTTAATCACAACTGCAAACGCCCTTTTGCCACACAAGGTGACATTCACAGGTCCTAGGGATTGGGGCATAGACATCTTTCAGCAGGTGAGCTTGATTCGGTGTGCCGTAATGCAAAAATAAATGCAGAGCCTTGAATGCCACAGCAAGCCAAAGACCAGCCCTTCCCCTCCATCTCCCCTCCCCAGGGAGCCAGGGAAGCCGGCTCTCTCTGCTCTCTCACTGCGAGCCAGCGTCTGACTATCACACCTGTGAGGAATGCAGGTACTTACATCTTCTGAACGGCGTCCTTCAGGTAGGGACAGGGTCTCATCCACTATCTGGGTCGGCTCCGGAAGGCCCTGAGCAGGCTGGTTAGAACCCAGTGGTGAATTTGCACACGGCACGCCCGCACTGGGTGTTGAATTTTCACACGGCTCTCCAACACCAGAGGCTGAATCCGCACACGGCCCCCCCACATCACTGTGGCAAAGCTGCACAAAAACACACACGTGGAGTGAGTCTTCCCTATGTCTCCTCAATTCACCTGCTGTCCTGGGGGGCGGGTGGGGCCCTGTGTAGCCAGGGCTCCCAGCTCCCATCTGCCAATCATTAAATAATTGTCCTAAATGTTTTCTTTCTCAGGACCGTTTGACACTAAGCCTTAAAATTCCCTCCTATGCAATCCAGTACTTAGTAATCCAGTACTTAGTAATCCAGTACTTAATAATCCAGTACTTAGCAAAACGCCCAGCAGGAAATATGTGACAAGTCAATGTTTGTGAAGTGAATACAAATAAACGTCCATTGCTAGTGTCACTCGGTGAGAGAAATTTTCAGCAGTCCTTAAAAAGCAGCCTAGATCCACCCAAATAAAAAACCATACTAAAAATTAAAATAGGGATTCTTTTCAATTTCCCAGGCAATGCATGTGCTGATAGCAGACTCTGTTGTACTAGCAAATGCTCTAGTTAAAAAAAAAAAAAGGCCGGGCTTGGTGGCTCACGCCTGTAATCCCAGCACTTTGGGAGGCTGAGGCGGGTGGATGACTTGAGGTCAGAGCTTCAAGACCAGCCTGGCCAACGTGGCAAAACCCCGTCTCCACTAAAAGCACAAAAATTAGCTGGGCGTGGTGGTAGGCACCTGTAATCCCAGCTCCTTGGGAGGCTGAGGCAGGAGAATTGCTTGAACCCAGAAGGCGGAGGTTGCAGTGAGCCGAGATCATGTCACTGCACTCCAGCCTGGGTAACAGAGTGAGACTCTGTCTCAAAAAACAAACAAACAAACAAAACTCTAGTTTTCTTTACTCTAGTTAAAAAATACTCTGGTACTCTAGTACAAATGCTCTAGTTAAAAAAAAAAAAAAAAAAAAGCTCAAGTTTTTTTTTACTTTAGTGAAAAAAGCCATTAGGAATAAGAAGTTTCCTGAGTCCTAATTGCAAGAGGTCTTCTGCAAGGCAGATGCAGCCTACATTCAGCACACTGCAGATACTCCACCATTTAGCACACCGAGGGGCTGTCATTATATTCTTTGCAATCAAATTGGTGTCAATCAAAACTTTACAAAATCCTCTTCAGACACTTCCTCCAACTGCTATCTCAAATGATGGTTTCAAGTGGAAAGTGTTGACCCGAATGACGTCGTAATCAGTCATTGTGAACCACTTGTCCATGAGTGTCTCTTACTCTGATGAGGATGGCTAATTTCAATAACCTATTTCTGCACCAGGCCTACACATCAAAACAGGATCTCCAGTCATTAGGCATTCTCTATTTTGAGCTAAAACTTAAAAATTTTTTTAACAGGTGCTTGCTTCTCAGTATTCTTTTCCATGAAATACAGTATTTAGACAAAAAAGGGGCATTTCAAAAAAAAACCACGCCAGACCTTGGTGACAAGGATGTTCTCCTCGTCCTCAGCTACGGGTTTTAAGGGAATCCCCCACTTACTGTGTGACCAGGAGACGCGCGTGCTTCCCCCGCTTGGACGCTTTTATAAAGGGGCAGCACGTTGTTCTGGTAGACCGTCCACCAGAGATGAAGGAATGCCGCCTGGTGCTGGCTGCTGGACGCTGAGCCTTGCTCCAACACCGAGCCACTCTGTGGATTGTACTTGTAGTTCCAAGGTTTCATGGACCCCAAAAAGTGGACGACCTTTGCACTGGAACCGAATCTGAGAAGGAAACAGAAGGGATTCTGATTTCCACTCAGATGTGATAAAAGACACCCAGAAAGCATCCACCTACCATGGGGCTCCTCAAAGACAGCCTCTGAAGGACTTGTCCCAATGGGTTTCCATTATTGATTATTATTACTGATGATACTACTACTATCAGCATAGTAACCAATATATAATCAATAATAATACACTACTACTTCCAATGCAGTAATCAATATATGACCCATAATAAGATTACTACTATCAACATAGTCATCAATATATAATCAATAATAATACACTACTACTATCAATGCATGTAATCAATATATGATCAATAACAATATATTACTATCAATGTAGTAATCGTTATGTAATCAATACTATGCTACTATTATCAACATAGTACTCAATATATAATCAATAATAATCTACCACTATCAATGTAGTAATCAATATATAGTCAACAATATACTACTACTAGCATAGTAATCAATATATAACCAATAGTAACATACTACTACTATCAATTCAGTAATCAATGTGTGATCAATAATAACAAAATACTATCACTACTATAGTAATCAATATATAATCAATAATAATATACTAGTACTATCAATGCAGTAATCAATATCTGAGCAATACTAGCATACCACTACTATCAAGATAGTAATCAATATATCATCAATAATACTACTCCACTGCTATCAGCATAGTAGTAGTAGTTTCATTTGCAGTTATTTTGCATAAAGATATATTTTTTAAATCACAGTTTTTGCAGTTATTTTATTTTCTATATATCAAAAAACATAATCGTAATCCATTGACATTTTTTCCCAAAACGGGAAAAATAAATCAGTTTTGTAAAAACGTGAAGTACAGCAGCCCAAATCATCATATCCTTAAAACGACAGGGGCAAAAAAAAATAGCTTTTACAGTGGCTAATGCAAGCGGCAAGGCAATTGGCTTTTTTTCTCTTTTACAGGATTCTAAATGTTCCCCTTGCCAACTTTTTTGTTGTTCATCATCACCATCCTCCAGGAGCCTTTTTAAACTTTTTTTTCGTGGATCACCTCCTCATGAAATATGAACACAAAAGTCACATGACATATCTATGTTCTGTACATTACATCTGTGATTATACAGTAAAAAATAACAAGATTTCACTCCCAAGAATCAATTTCTCTTCCTTAGGGACACCGTGTCCTCTGTAGAGAATGCAGACTCTAGAATTATTCATTCCCAAGGTGATTCTCAGATTCTCTATTTTCATTTATAGCCATATCTTCTGGAGCAGTGAATTTCACAGCCTCTGGTCCCCTCACCCTTGACCCTTTTAGGAACCCAAAGAGCTTTGTCCGTGTGGATTCTTTCTTTTTTTTTTCTCCTGAGCTGAGGCTTGCTCTGTTACCCAGGCTGGAGTGCAGTGGCACGATCTCGGCTCACTGCAAACTCCACTTCCCAGGTTCAAGTGAGCCTCCCTCCGCAGCCTCCCGAGTAGCTGAGACTAGCGGTGTGCGACACCACATTCGGCTAATGTTTTGTTTTATTTTTTCGTAGAGACAGGGTTTCATCATGTTGCGCAGGCTGGTCTCAAACTCCTGAGCTCAAGTGATCCGCCCACCTCGGCCCCCAAAGGGCTGGAATGACAGGCGTGAGCCACTGTGCTCGGCCATGTCCCTGTGGATTCTCTCTCTCCATATTTAGAATAATCGATATTAAAACTGAGAAATTAGAAAGCATATTTATCAATCCCTTTAAAAAAAATCAAACCATTATGCAGTAACATAAATTTCATAATTTTTCATTAAAAAAATTTCTATATTAAAAAAAATCATTGTGAGAAGAGTGCCATCCATTTTCCCAAGAGGCGACAGCTGGTTCTTCCTAGCTCCATCTGTGTTCAGGGTATTACCTTATCACATGCCATGTAGTGTCTGTAAACTCTCAGCATAGATGCATGAGAAAATGGCAGCAAAAAGGGAAAAAAATCACATCTTCAAATTCTTTTTTTAAAGTAGTTATGACTTTGAAGACACTTGAAAGAGTTGTGGGGTCAGGGTTCCTTGGGCCACACTTTGGGGATCATTGTCGTAGAGCCTTGGCTAGCTATCATTTACAGCAACAAGCAAGCAGGAAACGAGATGTGTGTGTGTGTTTCTGTGTGTGTATATACATATATAAAGACGTATATAGATAGATACATCTATGTATTAATATATAGATAGATGTCTAGATCTACATAGATGGATAGATGCCTATATAGAGATCTAGATCTAGATACATAGATCTATATAGAGAGAGATCTAGATCTAGATACATAGAGAGATATATAGATCCATGTATATACATAGATATCTAGATAGATCTAGATAGATATACAGATATAGATATATAGATCTATGTATATAGATAGATATCTGGATCTAGATAGATAGATATAGATATCTATATGGATGAAGATCTAAATCTAGATGGATATCTAGATACATAGATATCTAGTTCTAGATAGATAGATATAGGTATCTATATAGTGATGTAGATCTAGATAGATAGATAGATAAGATGTTTATAGATAGATATCCAGATCTATCTGAATAGATACATATGATAGATGATAGATTAGACAGATAGACAGATATCTAGGTCTAGATAGATAGATATCTAGGTCTAGATAGATAGACATCTAGGTCTAGATAGATAGATAAATATCTACATAGATATAGAGATTAGATAGATCAATGTATATAGATATCTAGATCTAGATATAGATACATATATAGATATAGATATATAGATCTATGTATACAGATAGATATCCAGATCTAAATAGATAGATATGGATAGATAGATAGATAGATAGATAGATAGATAGATAGATAGATAGATAAACAGATGTCTAGGCCTATATAGGTAGATAACTATATAGACAGATATATATCTATATAGATAGACATAGAGATCTAGATACACAGACACATAGACATAGGTATCTATCTATACAGATAAATAGATATTTAGATCTACCTAGATAGAGGTGATAGATAGATAGATGATAGATAGATGATAGATAGATAGATAGATAGATAGATAGATAGATACATAGATAGATAGATGATAGATAGATAGATAGAGTTTTTAAATATGCCGACAGCTGGTATGTCTTCCAGGAGGGAAGGTGGATCGGTAGTGGCAGATCTGGCAGGATTCGCCAGGGTGGAGAACTTACTGCTTGAAGGCAGGGCTGTAAGTGTACATCGTGTTACTACTCAAGTTATAGATGAACGGCAGGTGCTTGTGGATGTCTGTGGTCGACCAGTTCCTGAAGAAACTATTCAGTAAGCCTTGGTCTGCCCCTACATAATGAGCAAACACAAAAGCAGGTTAGCAAAGTATGGCTTGGTTCACTCCAAGAATGCGAGATGTGCCTGAAGCTCTCAACATAAACACTTGCCTTCAGGGTTACTAATTCCATTTCTTCTGTCTGCCAGCTGCACACATTCTCTTGGTTCTCAGAAAAGACTGATAACCCAAGCCATTGATAAAAATAAGTGCATATTCCCTCCAAAATTCTCCACCAGGAGTCCCCAGAATGAATGCTAAAATTGCATATGGAGTCCAAAGCATTCCACTGGTCCCCTAATGAATTCTCCCTGGTAGTGACAATGCTTTTCCCATCATTTTTGCCAGTTTCATTAACTTCCCCTTTACCTAGAGGCAATTCTTCACTGCTCCAGTATTTTCTTTTACTTTACAAAAATTCCAGCACATTTCCTCTCTACTGACGCCCATTTCAACAAATACTCGGCTTCAGGTTGCCTCCTTTTAATTCTCCCTATATTCTACCATGGGTCAAGCAACTACACACTGTGCATGTTTTTATAAATAAAGTTTTATTGGAACACAGCCATGCTCTTTTCTTTTTCTCTGAGACAGGGTCTCACTCTGTCAACCTGACTGGAGTGCAGTGGTGCAATCATAGCTCACTGTAGGCTTGAGCTCCTGAGCTCAGCTGCTGCTCCCAACTCAGCCTCCCAGGGCTTGGGGACTACAGGTGCCAGCATCACATCCAGCTTATTTTTGTATTTTTTGTAGAGATGGGGTCTTGCCACGTTGCCTAGGCTGGTCTTGAACTCCTGGTCTCAAGCCATCTGCCCACCCCGGTCTTGAACTCCTCGCCTCAAGCAATCTGTCCGCCCTGGCCTCCCAAAGTGCTGGGATTACAGGCATGAGCCACCACGGCCAGCCCATGTTCAATGCCAAGTACAGTCATGCAACACATAAAAGTGCTTCGGTCAAAGACAGACCATACATCTGACGGTGGTCCCATAAGATTTTATACTGTATTTTCACTGGACCTTTGTGATGTTTAGGTATGTTTAGAACACAGATACCTCCCATTATGTTACAGTTGCCTACAACATTCAGTGCACTCCCATGCTATATGGGTTTGTAGCCTAGAAGGAATAGGCTGTACCCTCCAGCCTAGGTATACAGTAGGCTACATCATCCAGGTGTGTGCAGATACACTCTGGGACGTTCATACAATGACAAAATCACTTAACAACACATTTCTCAGACCGCATCCCTGTCGCTGAGCGAGGTGTGACTGTATGGTCAACGGCTGACTTCGTGTTACATCTGCAGAGTTGAGTGTGTGCAACAGAGACCCTAAGCGTCCGGGCTGCCCTGACTTACCGTCAAAGCTGCCGTGTTCCATGGCGTGCTGTAGCAGGAGTTTATGCGTGTGGAGAGAAGGCTGGAAGACAAACACCCCGCTATTGAAGCAATCCGGCCATCCGGGGTCCGGGGCCGCAGAAAACTCTCCCCTGTCAAACAGCTCATCGACATTGGACAGCACCTGGTGAAGCAAAACACGCAGAACCCGCCGCAATGCTTCTTTTACCAATGCTTCTGTTTTTGAGACAGAGTCTTGCTCTGTCGCCCAGGCTGGAGTGCAGTGCTTCAGTCTCGGCTCACTGCGGCCTCCGCCTCCCGGGTTCAAGCGATCCCCCCACCTCAGCCTCTTGAGTAGCTGGGATTACAGGCACCTGTTACCATGCCTGGCTAATTTTTGTATTTTTAGTAAAAACGGTTTCACCGTGTTGGCCAGGCTGGTCTCAAACTCCTGGCCTCAAGTGATCCACCCATCTCAAGCTCCCAAAGTGCTGAGATTACAGGCATGAGCCACTGTGCCCAGTCACAAGTTTTTTCCCTCATGATTCTATTTTGTGCGTGTAAAATACTGTGGTTATAATTCATTCCTGGGGTAGGAACATGTCTTCCAATCCCCTGTTCTCTTCAGCAGGGTCTAGCACAGTGCTCGGGGGTATGTTATGCCTGATTATAATAGACTGAACATCTGTGTTAGAAATAGAAATGCACATGGCCTCACAGGAATCTACCAGTAAGAGGTGACAGCCCGGCCAGCATGGCGAAACCCAGTCTGTACAGAAATACAAAAATTAACCGGGCATGAAGGCGGGTGCCTGTAATAGCAGCCACTCGGGAGGCTGAGGTGGGAGAATCACTTGAACTCAGGAGGCGGAGGTTGCAGTGAGCCGAGATCGTGCCATTGCACTCCAGCTTGGGTGACAGAGCGACTGTGTCACACACACACAAAAAAAAGTTGACAGCCTGCTTAAGGATAGAGATGTGGTCTTGGAGGGTTTCCTATCAAGCAGAGAGTCTTCACTCACCAGAGTGTCTGCATCCAGGAAGACACACTTGCTGTAGTGAGTGAGAGTCCAACAGTGAAGCTTGGTGAGGGTGAGCCCGAGCTCAGGTCTCTTCAGAAAGGCCAGGTGGATGTAGTCGGCACTATCGATTAGATTCACTTCAATGACTTCATCGAACACCTTCGAGAGGATGACCCTGGAACAGACATGTGCCAAATAGTGGGACAGCGGGTGAATATTCAGCACAGAACCACCTCCTCCTTCAAGAGGGTGCTGTTTTGCTGCTCACAAACGTGGAATGCAAAGAGAATCCCCACAGCCCTCACTGCGGTCTCCATGTTCAGAGCACATTTCCACGGATGGCTTAGAGCTGTGCACACCGTCCACTTGTGCCCAAAAGCCTCTGCATGCTTGAATGCAAATGCCAATGGTGTGAAACCCCACTGTACCGGTAGAATTAATATATTACTTTAGTAATGTACCTGAGCTAAATGACGGAAGCTTTAGAGGTGCATAGAAACCACCACAATTTGTATGACATTTTGAAGTGAATTAAGCATCTTTGAACATGCTTCTTTGATAGCCATTGTTATATTTTTCAATCAACACAAAGCACAATGATTACTCTAAGTTCAATATTTTCATATTCATATATTTAAAGTCATGCAAGGCCTGGCGCGGTGGCTTATGCCTGCAATCCCAGCACTTTGGGAGGCCGAGGCAGCCGGATCACTTGAGGTCAGGAGTTCAAGATCAGCCTGGCCAGCATGGTGAAACCCCTTCTCTACTAAAAATACAAAAATTAGCCAGGTGTGGTGGCGCCTGTAGTCCCAGCTACTCAGGAGGCCGAAGCAGGAGAATCGCTTGAACCCGGGAGGCGGAGATTGCACTGACCTGAGATCGCACCACTGCACTCCAACCTGGGCAACAGAGCGAGACTCTATCTCAAAACAAACAAGCAAAAAAACAAAAACAAACAAACAAAAAATTTAAATTAGCCAGGCGTGCTGGTGGGCGCCTGTAATTCCTGCTACTCAAGAGGCTGAGGCAGGAGAATCACTTGAACCCAGGAGGCAGAGGTTGCAGTGAGCCGAGATGGCACCACTGCCCTCCAGCCTGGGCGACAGAGTGGGACTCTGTCTCAAAAAACAAACAAAAAAATAAAGTCATGCAAGCTGCAACTTCCCTGTCAAAATTACTGGCTGCCAAATTTATACCTGTTTCTTCAGCTGTACCTTTTGATATTTAGAATTTTTAAATTTCTGTGAAGTAGATTTTGTAGAATGTAATGTGTTCACTGCCTTTGTGAAGCGATATATAATTGCATAATTTCTGTGTGTAAACTGAATGCTTGGGCTTTCAATCTAGTATTCATATATAGTAATAAATATTAATATTATGAAAAAGAAATGCATGCATACTTGAAAAATGTGACAAATTGAACAGAACTGTCTTAAGATGCATGCACTTGGGCCAGCTCTTAGGAAGACAGTTTCCCTCTGTAAGCTGCAGAGGCAGAGAAATGTAAATGCTGAGCTGGTAGAAACTAACAGATGTCCATAACAATCTCTATCAATTTTTACTTTCTGTATTCAAAGCTTACATTGTTAGTTGCATACAAGTTTGAGACTCGAAGCTTGAAAGACTGTCCATTTTATCAAAGTGAAATTTGCTCTGTTCCATTTATTTATTTATTTTTGCTTAAATCCCACTTCATCATAGTCTGGAACATATTGGGATGACAGAAAAATTAAGCAAGTGCTAGAAAAGGATGGGGGCATATTGAAAGAATACAGGGGGCCAGCTAGGGGAAGCACCCAATTGCCAAAGCTGAAATAATGTAATCAATAACAAAAAACAACAAGCCCAAAATATGAAATAAATATTCATGAGCCTACACTAATATAAGTTTTCTTTTTGATACAGGGTCTCACTCTGTCACCCAGGCTAGAGTTCAGTGGTGCAATCATAGCTCATTGCAGCCTCGAACTCCTGGGCTCAAGTGGTCCGCCTGCCTCAGCCTCCCAAGTAACTGGGACTACAAGTGCATGCCACCATGCCCGGCTAATTTTTTGTATTTTTTGGTAGAAATGGGGTTTCACAATGTTTATGAAGCTTGTCTCAAACTTCTGGGCTCAAGCAATCTGCCTGCCTCAGTCTCACAAAGTGCTGGGATTACAGGCATGAGCCACCACGCCTGACCTAATATAACTATTGAATAAACAAATATGTGAGAAAGAAAGGGCAGGTTTAATTTAGAAGATAATTCCAAGTAATTGAAATAGAAGGAATGAGGGAAGTAGAAAACCACGATTAGGCAAACACTATAGTAACAACTGTTGCAGACAAGACTCACTGATTTTTAGAGAAGAAACAGGCTGTTTGTATAATGTCTATGCCAAGATATTTTCCATTACTAAAAGAAAAACATAATAATTTCACAGTGGAGAATTCCAACAGACACCACTTAATCCAGGTGATGAAATTTAACATCACCAGGTCAGGACATACAGACATCATGCACTCCATAGCATGACACACTGAAAACTTACATCAATTCTGATGATTTTTTTGCCAAAAATGCATAACCTCAGTCTAATCATGAGAAAACACTGGACAAAACCAAACTGAAGGCTGGGCACAGGGGCTCATGCCTGTAATTCCAGCACCTTGGGAGGCCTAGGCAGGTGGATCACCTGACATCAGGAGTTCGAGACCAGCCTGGCCAACAAGGTGAAACCCCGTCTCTACTAAAAATACAAAAACTAGCCGGGTGCGGTGGCGGGAAACTAATCCCAGCTACTCTGGAGGCTGAGGCATGAGAATTGCTTGAACCTGGGAGGCAGAGGTTGCAATGAGCTGAGATCGTGCCACTGCACTCCGGCCTGGGCGACAGAGCGAGGCTCTGTCTCAAAACAACAACAACAACAACAAACAACTGAAGAACAATCTATAAAACAATTGACCATTACTTAGATTGGATAGTGGAACAGAATCATATCAAATGCATCCATTTATTTTCAACATTTTGTTTGTTTTTAATTAAGCTGCCTCCTACACTACTGTATGTCCGGATTTTATGTTTATTTTCCCATTCAGAAAGCCTATCTTTTTAAAAAGGAATTTTAATCTATTCATGTTTATTATGATCACGGTTATATTTGGATTGAGTCCTGCAGTTTCATTTTATATTATTTTCCCTTTTTTACATATATCAGATTTTCTATTTCTTCAGTTTTCACTCCCGTCCGTGTGAAGAGACCACCAAACAGGCTTTGTGTGAGCAACAAGGCTGTTTATTTCACCTAGGTGCAGGTGGGCTGAGTCCGAAAAGAGAGTCAGCGAAGGGAGATAGGGGTGGGGCCGTTTTATAAGATTTGGGTAGGTCAAGGAAAATTACAGTCAAAGGGGGGTTGTTCTCTGGTGGGCAGGAGTGGGGGTCGAAAGGTGCTCAGTAGGGGAGCTTTTGAGCCAGGATGAGCCAGGAGAAGGAATTTCACAAGATAATGTCATTAGTTAAGGCAGGAACAGGCCATTTTCACTTCTTTTGTGGTGGAATGTCATCAGTTAAGGCAGGAACCGGCCATCTGGATGTGTACATGCAGGTCACAGGGGATATGACGGCTTAGCTTGGGCTCAGAGGCCTGACATCAGTGTAATTCTTTCCCACCCACCTCTGATTGCATGAATCAGGTTTTCTTCAATCCACGCATTTCCCATTAAGGCTCTGAAACTTGTACACATCTTTTCTAGTTTTCTGGTGGTAACCACCTTTCAACTGTCAGCACACGTATTTAAGCTTATATTTTCTATCAAATATAGTCATTACCTATGTCTTCTTCCCAGACGAAACAAAAACATGAACATATGCTCATTCTTTCTTCTCTGCTCTTTCAATTACCTCCCATGTGAAATGTTAATTCCAGATTATTTTCGTAACTGTGCACTAACACATTCAGACTTAACTCTGTTTTATACATTTATTTATTCAGCACTGCTTCCTGTGTGCTCTCTTCTATTTATTATTATCATTATCATTATCATTATTATTATTATTTTGAGACAGGGTCTTGCTCTGTCACCCAGGCTGGAGTGCAGTGGTGTAATCATAGCTCACTGCAGCTTCAATGTCCTAGGCTCCAGTGATCCTCCCGCCTCAGCCTCCTGAGTAACTGGGACTACAGGCATGTGCCACTGCACTCAGCAATTTTTAAAAATTTTTTAGTAGAGATGAGACCCCACTATGTTGTCCAGGCTGGTCTTGAACTCCTGAACTCAAGCGATCCTCCCACTTCAGCCTCCCAAAATGCTGTGGTTACAGGCATGAGCCACTGTGCTTGGCTACTCTCGCCTTTCTTGGATTACATTCCATTTTGCAGGAGTCAATCAACTAACTTTTTCCTCAAAGATCTTTGAGGGATAACATTTTTAACGTTTGCAAATTTGAAAAGTCTTTGTTTTGCTTTCAAATTACGGTACTAAAGCTGAATACAGAACTTTCATTTCAAAGTTATCTTGCACCAGAATTTTGAGACATCAATTGTCACAACCAGATTGATACAGAAAGGCATTTAGGATTTTTCTTCATTTTTGCTGCTCTGAAATTTTACCACTTGGTGTCTACATTTGAGCTTTCTTCATCCACTCTGCTCAATATCTGGAACACTTTCAATCTAAACTTTGTCTCAGAGCTGAAATATAATAGGAGTTACTTCTTTCTTTCTTTCTTTTTCTTTCTCTCCTATTTGACAGATATTGAAGCTCTCGGACCTTTTCTATCTCTTAGCATTTCTCTTGGACTCGACATTTATTTGTAAGATTTCACTGCTCTGTATTTAAGGTAACTATTTCTCTGAAAAAGTACCCTTCCTTCAGCAAATCTCCCTCTGCTTTTGGCCCAGTTATTTATGGAATTTATGGCATCTTCACCACAGTTGCGTAAAGATCCGGGCTGGGGGGAGGGCAAGAGAAACAGCACTCCACCTCACTACAAATGGCACTGCCATTTATGTCCTTACATCTTTTTGTTCAGCTCTGCTCATTTCCCTAAAATAAACTCCTGGAAGCAGAATTATGTTTCATGAATACAATTAGTTTAAAGCAGGTTTCCCTGCAAGATCACTCCATAACACGCTTGTACCACACAGCCTGGGGGAGGGGCGATCTCCCACCACCCACACCCCTGGTCATTTACGGTCATTGCTCACTGCTCGTCTTCCACTGCCCTGACCACCGCAGAGCGCCATCCCTCAATTCTCCCCATGACTACGAAACATATAATAAAAGGTCCCACAAAACCTCAACCCGACTTGCAACACTGAACCTTCCCACGATTTCTGCCATGTTGTTTCTGAATATTTTAAAGTTCCTCTTGAGTGAACCTTAAGTCTACTTTGACACAGGCAGGAATAAGTAATAATCACATGATGGAAAATGCAGTATCCATCCCCTCAAGCATTTATCCTTTGTGTTACAAGCAACTCAATTACACTCTTTAACAGCATTTTTCTACCCCGTCGCCCCCGCCGGCTTTTAAAATAAAACACGGAACCTGCTGGATGTGCTATGTGTACCTTTCCACTCACTGGTGCATTTTTGGACCTTAATATAGTCAGGTTTTTTTTTTTTCCCTTCTTTTTTGACAGAGTCTCGCTCTGTCACCAGGCTGGAGTGCAGGTGGCGCGATCTGGGCTCACTGCAACCTCTGCCTCCCAGGTTCAAGCGATTCTCCTGCCTCAGCCTCCCGAGTAGCTGGAATTACAGGCGCCACCACGCCTGGTTAATGTTTTTTGTATTTTTAGTAAAGACGGGGTTTCACCATGTTGGTCAGGCTGGTCTCGAACTCCTGACCTCAAGTGATCCGTCCACCTCAGTCTCCCAAAGTGCTGGGATTACAGGCGTGAGGTACCACACCCAGCCAGTTGCTCGTGTTTAATACCTATTTTTGTATTTGTCTGTCTATCTTTGCTTCTGGCGTGCTAGAGACGAGCCCGTGCAAACCCCTAAAGTGTTTTCAGAGTTCTTTGTACGTGATGGACAATAAGAACCTCTCCATTATAATATTTTAAATGTGGCCCTCAGTTTGTTTTATCTTTAACACATAATATCTCTGACACACAGCAGTTCTGGTGTCCTCTTCCATCTTGTTTAATTTACACCAGCATTTCCAGCTTTCAGATGAACAAAACATCCACCTTCATCAACATGTGGAGATATTTTTAGTTGTCACAACTGCCAACTCCTGCCGGCATCTGGTGGGCGGAGCCCAGGGACGCTGCTCAACACCCTGCAGTACACAGGACACCCCACCACATGGAACCCTCCAGTCCCAGATAGCAGCAGTGCTGAGAAACTTTCATCTACTTTCTTCTAAGATTTCTCTATGTTTTAAATGTTTACCTCTATATTTATAATCTATGTGGATTTTTATTTATTTATTTATTTATTTATTTATTTATTTATTTATTTATTTTGACAGAGTCCTGCTCTGTCACCCAGGCTGGAGCACAGTGGTGCCATCTCGGCTCATTGCAACCTTAACCTCCCGAGCTCAAGTGATTCTCCTGCCTCAGCCTCACCGAGTAGCTGGGATTACAGGTGCCTGCCACCACACCCAGCTAATTTTTTTTTTTTTTTTTTTTTGTACTTTTAGTAGAGACAGGGTTCACCATGTTGGCCAGGCTGGTCTCGAACTCCTGACCTCAAGTGATCCACCTGCTTCAGCCTCCCAAAGTGTTGGGATTACAGGCATGAGCCACCGTGGCCGGCCTGGAATTCTTTTTGTTATATGTTTAGTTTTTATTTTAAAAGGATCTTATCATTGACTTTCTCTAACATATTAATGTGTTGAATGATATTAATAGGTTTTAAAATAATAACCTATCTTTGCTTTCTTAGTGTAAGCACTATTTATTTCTTTACTACAGGGCTAGAGTTGCCTTATTAACATCCTGTATTTGAGGGCTTTCTCAATCCAAATGTAAACACAATCAAACCTGTAAATCAAGTTTGGGTGTCAAGATTATAACAGTTTCTTAAAATAAGTGAACATATTCATCTTTTGCTAGGCTCTGTGACAGTTTATGCAGCAGGGAAATTAATTCATCATGAGCAATTTAACAGAACTTCCCTTAAAATTGCCCAAACCAGGGCCTTTCTACAAGATAAGCCTTTGGTAACATTTTCAGTTTTTCTCATAGTTATTGTCAAACAAAAGGTTTCTATTTCTTCTGATGACAACAACCAACATCTCACCGATTTCCCTAGAAGGATCAAGCACTTCTTCAATACTCCCAGTGTCACTACTGTAAAGGGTTCTATATACTATTTGCTTTTAAAACTGCCTCCAAATGACTTCTTTCTAATTTCAATTTTGTACATTTATGTTTTCTCGAATAAAAGATTCATTTTTATTTGTTATTTTTATTTTTAGAGAGAGGAGCTCACTCTGTTGCCCAGTCTGGAGTGCAGTGGTGTGATCATAACTCACTACAGCCTCGAACCTCTGGGCTCAAACAATCCTCCCATCTCAGCCTCCTGACTAGCTGGGACTATAGGTGCGCACCACCACACCTGGCTAACTCTTTTTATTTTTTGTAGAGATAGGGTCTTGCTATGTCACCCAGCCTGTCTTGTCAAACTCCTGGCCTCATGCAATCCTCCCACCTTGGCCTCCCTGAAGATTTGTTAACCTAATCCTTGAATTTGTTTCTTGTTCCCAATTATTAGTTTTGTCATTTTATCTTTATGAATTTTTTACTGCTGTTTGCTTTTTTAATATTATTATTTTAAAAATATTTGGGGCTGGGCACGGTGAGTCACACCTGTAATCCCAGCACTTTGGCACTTTGGGAGGCGGAGGCGGGCAGATCACTTGAGGTCAGGCGTTCGAGACCAGCCTGGGCAAAGTGGTGAAACCTTGTCTTTACTAAAAATACAAAAATTAGCCGGGCGTGATGTTGGATGCCTGTAATCCCAGCTACTTGGAAGGCTGAGGCAGGAGAATCACTGGAACCCAGGAGATGGAGGTTGCACTGAGCCAAGATCGCGCCATGGCACTCCAGCTTGGACGACAGAGTGAGACTCTGTCTCAAAAAAAAAAAAAAAAAAAAAAAAAAAAATATATATATATATATATATGTGTATATATATGTGTGTGTGTATATATATGTATATATATACATATATGTATATATTTTTTTAAATTTAAATCAGTGAAGAAATTATCCAAGTCAAATATATATATGAAATATATATATTTGAAATTATCCAGTTCAAATATGTGTGTATATATATTTTAAATTTAAATCAGTGAAATCCAGTTCAAATATATATATTTTATATGTATATACATATACATTTGAACATATATATACACATACACATGTATATATATACATACACATGCATATATATACATACACATGCATAAATAAATATACGTACACATGCATAAATATATGTACATACACATGCATAAATAAATGTATGTACATACACATGCATATATAAATGTATGTACATACACATGCGTATATAAATGTATGTAAATACACATGCGTATATAAATATATGTACATACACATGTGTATATATACACATGTGTATACACACGTGTATATAAATATACATACACACGTGTATATAAATATACATACACACGTGTATATAAATATACATACACACGTGTATATAAATATACATACACACGTGTATATAAATATACATACACACGTGTATATAAATATACATACACACGTGTATATAAATATACATACACACGTGTATATAAATATACATACACACGTGTATATAAATATACATACACACGTGTATATAAATATACATACACACGTGTATATAAATATACATACACACGTGTATATAAATATACATACACACGTGTATATAAATATACATACACACGTGTATATAAATATACATACACACGTGTATATAAATATACATACACACGTGTATATAAATATACATACACACGTGTATATAAATATACATACACACGTGTATATAAATATACATACACACGTGTATATAAATATACATACACACGTGTATATAAATATACATACACACGTGTATATAAATATACATACACACGTGTATATATACATACACATGTGTATATAAATATACATACACATGTGTATATAAATATATTTGAACATATATAATACATGTATATATAAATATATACATACATGTATATAAAAATATATAGTTGAACATATATACATACAGGTATACATACATGTATATAAATATAAACACATACATGTGTATATACGCATACCTGTACATATAAATATATACACATACATGTACATATACACATACGTATATATAAATATATACACATACATGTATATATATATGCATACGTGTACATATACACATACGTGTGCGTATACACATATACGCATGCGTGTGCGTATACACATATACGCATGCGTGTGCGTATACACATATACGCATGCGTGTGCGTATACACATATACGCATGCGTGTGCGTATACACATATACGCATGCGTGTGCGTATACACATATACGCATGCGTGTGCGTATACACATATACGCATGCGTGTGCGTATACACATATACGCATGCGTGTGCGTATACACATATATACGCATGCGTGTGCGTATACACATATATACGCACACGCGTGCATATACACATATATATGCATACGTGTGTGTATATACATATATATTTGAACTGGATAATTTCTTCACTGATTTAAATTTTCTGTCTTGTACCACTGTAGTTGCTGTCTTTGCTTTGTATAGGTAGCACTCACATTGCAGTGATTTTCTGAAATAGTACATAATTCAAGCTTTCATTTGTACCCGGATTGAGTTATTTCATTTAAAACTTCCAGTTTCAAACGTCTGAGGACACACTGGTTGGTTTTTTATTTGTTCTCTTTTTAGTTTAGCTATTAATGTCTGGATTTATTATTTCATTGTCAAAGAATATGACATTCAATTCCTGCTACATCTACCATATTAAATGCCTCCTCGTCCCATTCGTATAAAATCAATTTTTTTAAGTGGTCCATGGTTGATGAAAGAAAAAGATTATTGCTTACATAATGTATGACATTTAAGAGAAGCCTTATGCTTTATTCATTAGACGCATTTATTTATGTATTTGCTTTATTTGAGAATTAAAGACAAAGAGAATTATAAAAGGAAATTATAAGAAAAGACTCCTTGGCTGGGTGCCATGGTTCATGCCTGTAATCCCAGCACTTTGGGAGGCCAACCTGGGTGGACTGAGTGAGTCCAGGAGTTCAAGATCAGCCTAGGCAACGTGGCGAAACCCTGTCTCTACCAAAAATACAAAACATAAAAATAAAAATAGCCGAGCATGGGGGCACATACTTGTGGTCCCAGCTACTTAGAAGGCTGAGGAGGGAAGATCGCTTGAGCCTGGGAGGGAGAGGTTGCGGTGAGCCAAGATGGTACCACTGTACTCCAGCCTGGGCGACAGAGCGAGACCCTGTCTCAAAAAACAAACAAACAAAAAAGAATTGAATTTTCAGTTTCCATGGTTGGGAGAATGAACTGTAACCAAACCCAGTATTGTTTTTTAAAGTATTGTGAAGCCGATCACACGCCTATATTTTCACATGATTCGAAGGTTCCTTACAAACGTCAGATGCCCATCATGACTGCCGGCCATCCAGGCCTATGAAGAAGGGCAGTCAGTCGTCAGAATAACTCCTAGGACCTCTTAGGGGAGAGGTGACCCTCCTTCTATAGGACCCAGCTGGGCACAAGCCGCATCTCTGAGCCTTACCTGAGCAGGCTGGACACCTGAGGAGTGATCAACACCACCAGCTTCCTCGTCAGCCTGTGTCTCCTCAGTGACTGCCCCAGGACCAGGGCGCCCTGGCAGTAGATGTCATTGGTGGCTAGTGTGACAAAAGCCTGATCAGTCACTGTGAAAATCAACAGAAACACCAGAGTTACACTCCTGAGGGACAGCAGGGGTGACGGGGCCATAGTCACCTCCTCTCCTCTCCCAAGATTCATGGCTTGGGCCAGACGTGATGGTTCACACCTGTCATTCCAGCACTTTGGGAGGCTGAGGTGGGTGAATTGCTTGACCTCAGGAGTTCGAGACCAGCCTGGGCACCATGGTGAAACTCTGTCTCTACGAAAAATACAAAAATTAGCTGGGCGTGGTGGCAGGCCTGCAGTTACAGCTACTCGGAGAGGCTGAGGTGGGAGGATACTTGAGCCTGGGAGTTTGAGGCTGCAGTGAGCCGTGATTGCACCACTGTACTCCAGCCTGGATGACAGAGTGAGACCCTGTCTCAAAAAAAAAAAAAAAATCACGACTTGCAGTGAATATTCAGTATTCTAATTCGCATACATGCTTCCTTTCATTCTAAACAAAACAAAACACAGGAGGAGTATGAAGGAACCTTAAACAAGGGACAAAGTCAACCCAACTGCTATGCCCATTTCCTGATGCTGCAATGCCATGGAAACTCATAGCTACTATCCCTTATTTTATGTTGTGTTTGACTCTTGAAAACTCACCCAAAGTGTTTAGATCTTAGGTGAAAACAAAAGGCAAAAAGTGGAAGTGATGGCTTGATGACCTGAGTTACAGCAAAGATGTAACCCAACTCACTCAAAAGAACTGTGCTTTGGGCTAGGTGCAGTGGCTCATGCCTGTAATCCCAGTGCTAGGGTCGAAGAAGGGGGATCATTTGAGCCCAGGAGTTTGAAACCAGCCTGGGAAACACAGCAAGACCTCATCTGTACTGGAAAAAAAAAAAAATTAGCCAGGCGAGGTGGTGCATGCCCGTAGTCCTAGCTACTTGAGAGGCTGAGGCAGGCGGATCGCTTGAGCACAGGAGGTCAAGGCTGCAAAGAGCCATGATCACACTACTGAACTCCAGCCTGGGCAACAGAGTGAGTCCCTGTCTCTGAAAAAAAGAAAAAAGAAAAAAGAAAGAAAGGAAAGAAAAGAATCGTGCTCCATAAAGAAGCAGCCAAACATGTTATTTAAATTCTGGACAGACCATTTCTTACAAAGACTTCAAGTTCAACTCAGGGATGTATGAGGCGGTAGAGACAACATAAGGAAAAGTACATTGTTTCATTAGGTAGAATGGATTCAATTTCCTAATGCCTCAGTATGAGAGGAAGGAGCTCTCACAGCAGATATAATTTACAGCAGTTTTAATTCTCTGTGCACAAGACTGATGTGAACTTTGGTAATGACTTTTAAACCACTTGATTCTTGGGCACCCAAGCCCCTGTTGCCAGGAGAAAGACAACAGTCAGGAGGGCAGCCAGCAATGCCGAGAAGTCCCATGCAGTGTGCAGCCCAGTGTACTGTCTATGGAAATTAAAATGCTCAGCATGTAGGCGACCACAGCGCCTTTCCCGGAAGCAGCACTCCAAGCAAAGCCAACCCACAATTCGCACTAAATATAACAAACACAAGCGTCCCAGACGTGTGGTACAGGGCTGCCTCCTTGACCTTTACATTCCAATGGGGTAAATTCCAAAATGTGCCTGTTACAGCTGCTCCTGTAGACTCCTCCTCCCCACCCTTGAACGAAGAAAGAACGAGAATTCCTGACATCTCCATTGGGAGTGAGAATTACAGACAGCAAACTTTACAACTTAATTCTGTAGAACAAAAGATACCTTTCATCAGTCCATATCTATCCATCTACCCATCATCCATCCATCCATCCATCCGTCCATCCATCCATTCATCTATTTATCTATCATCTATCTATCCATCCATCCATCATCTATCTATCATTGGATAATATCTATATTATCCATCTACCTATCTATCATCTATCTATCCATCCATTCATCCATCCATCTACCTATGATCTACCAATTCTCTGCACATCTATTATTTATTATCTATCTTACTATCATCTATCTCTATCTATCCATCCATCCATCTATCCATCTATCTGTCATATATCCATCCATCCATTGTCTATCTATCCCTATCTATCATCTATACATCCATCCATCTATCATCTATCTATCCATCTATTCATCCATCCATCCATCATCTACCAATTCTCTGTACATCTATTATCTATCTTACTATAATCGATCTATCTTTATCATCTATCTATCCATCCTTCTATCTATCTATCTATATCATCTATTCATCTATCTATCATATATCTATCTATCCATCCATCCATCATCTATCTATCCATCTACCTATCATCTATCCATCCATCTATCCACCTATCATCTACCAATCCTCTTCACATCTATTATTTATTATCTATCTTACTATCATGTATCTCTATTATCTATCTAGCTATCTAATCCATGTATCTCTATCATCTATTTATCATATATCATCTATATCTATTTATCTATCATCTATATATCTATCATCTATCATCCATCTATCTCCATCATCTCTCTACCTATCATCTTTCTATTAGCCATCCATCTATCTATACCTACCATCTACCTATCATATATATGTCCTCTATGTATCTACTTATTTATATCTATCAATCTTTCAATCATCTACCTATCTACCTACAGTCTATAGATTATAAATTATCTCTACCATTATCTATAATCTATCTATAGTTTTCTTAGTTACTAGCTTTAAAATGATAATAATGGTGATTACTACTTCTTTAGACATTTCCAAAGGCCTGAGCTCTGATCAAAATTACTTCCCAAGAACAGGCGTAGCTGTCATGGACCCATTCAGCTGTCTGTAAGGCTTCTTTTGTCTCTAAGCAGAGGACAGAGTTGGGAGAGGAAGCAGGCATTCGGGACTGGCATCTGCAAAGCCCAGAGCTGGCCAAGGTAAAGGTACTGTGTGAGCTTCACCCACAGACCTCGAAAATCACACAATGCCCAAAACAGAGCCAGAGATCCAATCCCCTACCCCGTCCTCACCAGGGTTTCTCTGACCCATATCTTGAAAGAGTGTGGAAGCAGAAAGAATTACCAAGTAGAACCCCCAGTGCTGAGCCCTAAGTGTGAACATATTTCTAAGCAGCATAATGGGTATCCCCACACCTAAACATACGACCTGCTTAGAGCTTCACCTTTCCATGCAAACTCTCAAAAAATTAACGGGAAATTAACATAACATAAAACAAACCATTTTAAAGTGCACAAGTGACTCGCATTTAGTCCATGCGCAATGTTGTGCAACCACTAACTCCAGGCAATCCGAGGACATTCTCACCACTCCAAAAGGAGGCCCTGTACCCATTACGCAGTCACTCCCCATTCTGGCAACCATGAGTCCGCTTTCTGTCTCTACATTCCTATTTTGGATATTTCCTATAAATGGAATCAAACACTATGTAGCCTTTTGAAAATGGAATAATTTCATATTTCCTTTTTATTTATCACAGTAAATTTCACATGACATAAAATTCGCCATTGTAAAGAACACAATTCATCACAATGTTGCACATCCACCACCTCTATCTAATCCTGGGACATTTCATCACCCCAAAAAGAGACCCTGCACTCATTAAGGAGTATCTCCCCTTTCTCCCTTCCCTAGCTTGTGACAACCACCAATCACTTTTTATCTCTGTGGATTTGCCTGTTCTGCATATTTCATGTAAATGGAATTAAGCATCATATGGCCTTTTGTGTCTGACTTCTTTCCATCAGCATGATGTTTTCAAGGTCCATCCATTTTCATCAATTCAATCACGTAATTAAAAGTGTAAACCAGGAATCTTCCAAGCAAAGATGGTGGATGTGGAGCTCCTAGTTTCTCTTTCCTTCTTTCTGAGATAAAAGGAGAACAGACTAAAAAGTGTGCTAAGGAAGGCAAGTGTGAACCCCAAGCCAACAAAGAGGCAGGAGAAAACCATCAGCCAATAAGAGAAACTGGAGAAGTCACTGAAATTCTGCAGAATTCTCAGAGGCCAAATATACCCATCACCAGGGGCAAAATCAGATGATAGGATCTATTCTAAAGGAAACAAAAAGCCCAAGAAAAAAATAATTACCATCACACAGAAGTGGAATTCCCAACCTATAGCATAAGCTTGACAAATTCAGACGAGTCGGCAAGTGGGTACAGCTCAACCGACATTCCTCATTTTTATACATATAGATATAAACCATTACCAGATATTTGAAAAACACCTTCACCACAAAAGAGAAAACTGAAAAGTTATGGGGTGGAATGGGAAGAACCCCAGAAATACCAGACATTTCATGGAATAGAAGTTCAAGGAACAGACAGGCAGACATAAAAATTCTGACTGCACCAATTAGTATTCTTTCAAAAGATCAGGGGGAGAGGGATACATCTATAAACCAAGAATCAAATGCTATAGAAAAGATCACTCCAAGGATAAGAAATAGTTATTAGAAGTTAAAAATATGATTTGCTGAAATGAAAACGAAATAACAGAAGGTTTGGAAAACATCATTGAGGAAATCTCTCAGAAAGTAGAATAAAGGGACAAATGGAAAATTTCAGAAAGCTAGAAGCCTACAGGAGTGATTCAGAAGGTTCACCAACATGAGTTTCAGAATAAGAGAATAGAAAAAAAAAATAGAGAGAAGAAAAGTTTTCAAAGAAATTAAACAGGAAATGTTCTCAACAGCAGAAAGTCAGTCTTTAGATTTAAAAAGCCCAGAGAGTATGCAACAAAAGAGAAAGAAAAAGAAAAAAGAAAGAAAGAGAGAGAGGAAGGGAGGGGAGGGGAGGGGAGGGGAGAGGAGAGGAGGGGAGAGAGAGAAAGAAAGAAAGAAAATCAGCAGTCCTTTTCCTGACAATATATTCCTGGAATTTAAAAACACCAAGGCTAAGGAGAACATTGTGAAAATGCCAAGAAAATGAAAGTAAAATAAAAATACAGGTCAATCCTATTAAGGATGAGACTGAGACTTCTTATCATGAATAGTGGACACTAAAACAAACCACCATATCTAAACTCTGAGTGCAATGGTCCTCAACCTAAAATTGTATACCCAGACCAAATAGCTAAATTTCTATACCCAGGCCAATTAGCACATCTGCTGCACATTTATCTACCACGTACCATTTCTCAGGCAGTTATTTCAGTATGTGTTTCATACTGAGAATGGACTTGCATTCATTTAATTTAATTTTTTTTTTTTTGGCACATGCCTGTAGTCCCAGCTACTTGGGAAGCTGAGACGGCAGGATTGTTTGACCCAGAAGTTGGAGGCTGCAGTGAGATATAATTGTGCCACTGCACTCCAGCTTGGGTTACAGAGCAGAGCCCTGTCTTTAAAAAGAAAACGTGTGTGTGTGTGTATGTGTGTGTGTGTGTGTGTGTGTGTGTGTGTATTTAATTGCAAAGCAGATGGCAAAGTAAAAAATAAGGTAAATCAAATCATATATATTATGAAAAGAATCATCAGCAAAGTAATGTCAAACTGAAAATAAAGTGCCATTTACAATTTTTAGCCTTTCATTGGCAGTATTAAGATTTCTTTGTGATCTCCAATGTATAGATTATTGAAATCTGAGGAACCATGTTTAAGGACCCTGTGAATTAAAGAATAGAAAGGAAAAGGAGTGCATCCTTTAGGAACTACAATGACAAAGGTAAGAGAACTCCCGAGGAGGGGCGTTGTTTTGAGATTTCCTCCTGAGCTGACTGTTCTGTCCACCTTCGAGATGCTCAGAGGGATTGGCTCCCCTCTGAACTTCACCACTGAATCTGAGAATGAGGGCTAAATCACACTCCAAAGGCCATGCTTTGGGATTTTCCTCCAGAAACAGATGACTGAGGTTAGACCTTACTATTTAGATGCTTGGTCCTGCAAGAGCAAGCTTTGCAGAATATTTAGCGTGCCAACTCCTATACCCCAGTAAGGAAGAGTCCACTGTTTCCAACCCCACTTACTGACCTGCGCTCTTAAGGAGCAGAGAAGAAGAACAGAGAATGTATAAAATGAAACTTGGCATCATCTGACCTGGGTCATGAGCTCCACCGTGTAGATTCAGATCCCTATTACCCACCTCCTAGGTCTCCCCAAGAGTCCCAGAAGCCTCGTCTGTGCAGAGCATTTATGACATGAATTCTGGGGTAAGGAGAAGTCCACTTGCCTCCAATCCCACATTCTACTCTTGCATAACTAACCTGAGATCTTAACCGAGAGGCACAACAGAAAATGTTGGGGTTGTTCATTACGTTGTGGTGGTGGTGGTTTTTGAGAGAAGGTCTCCGTCTGTTGCTCAGGCTGGAGCGCAGTGATATGATTTCAGCTCACTGCAGCCTCGACTTCCTGAGAGCAAGCAATCCTCCCACCTCAGCCTCCTGAGTAGCAGGGACCGCAAGTGCACACCACTACATCCAGCTATTTTTTATATTTTTGGTAGAGACAGGTTATGTTGCCCAAGCTGGTCTCGAACTCCTGGGCTCAGGCAATCTACCCGCCTCAGCCTCCCAAAGTGCTGGGACTACAGGTGTCCTTCTGTGCCTGGCTTTTTTTTTTTTTTTTTTTTGACAGGGTCTTGCTCTGTCTGCCACCAGGGCTGGAGTGCAGCAGCAGCATCACAGCTCACTGAAGCCCGGAACTCCTGGGCTCAAGCTATCCTCCTGCCTTGGCCTCCTGAGTAGCTGGGACTACAGATGCTCACCACACCTGGCTAATTTATTTTTAACTTTTCTGTAGAGATGGGGTCTCTTGCTCTGTCACCCAGGCTGGTCTCAAACTCCTGGCCTCAAGCAATCCTCCCGTCCTGGCCTCCCAAAGTGCTAGGATTACAGGTGTGAGCCAGCCACCGCACCAGACTAGAAAACATTTAAAATGGGTCTCTGCATCAACCACCCTGAGCCACAGCTTCCCTCCTTTGCATTCTCTGCTCCACCCTGTAGATTCTGGTCCCTGTTATCTGTCTCCTCGGTCCTTAAAAACCACATTTTCTCCCCCAACACACAGTGAAAGCCATCAGCTGCCCTGAAAGCCAACCCAACGCCAATGGTTTTCTCATTGTCTGCAAATGTAAGCTGGGTCCAGACTGCTGGTCATCTCATCCCCCACACTCAGTCCCCACGTCCAGCTCAACCCCTCTGGGTCTTCAAGCACATCCTATGATGTGTGCTACTACCATGGGGCTACTACCACTCCCTTAACTCACCTGGAACTTGCTCTCCTCCCAGCACATGGTGGCCATGGAAAAAACCACCCATCCCTCAGAGATCTTCCTGCAAACCCTGCTCCCCAAGACGACCCTTCTCATCACAGTCCCTCACCTCCTATGACACAGGACCCTTCATCTCTTGTGCCATCTTACCTGCTGTGCTCATTTTGCTTACTGGTGGGCTCATCGCTGACTCCTTTCCCTAGCAAACCCATGAATGAGCTTCCTGGGGCTGCTGTGAGAAAGTACCACACGCTGGGAGACTTAAACAACACACATTTACTCTCTTGCAGTTCTGAAGGCCAGGATTCCAAAACCAAACTCTAGAGAAGGGTCCTTCCTGCCTCTTCCAGCTCCTGGTGGCTCCAGATGTCCCTGGGCTTGTGGCCACATTACTCCAATCTCTGCCTCCAACTCCACATGGCCTCCTCTGTGTCTGTGTCTCTTCTTCTATCTCTTAGAAGGACACCTGCCATTGGATTTAGGGCCCACCCAAATATTCCAGGATAATCTTATCTTGAGATGCTTAACTAATTACATCTGCAAAGACCCTATTTCCCAATAAGGTCTGTAAACCTAAACTAAAATTCTAGGCCTCGCAACTACCTAATTGGCCAAGGGCATTCCAAAGTTAACCTGAAAAACGAGTTCAGGCCATAATGAGGAGAGGGTCAGACATGCCTCATCATAACCTCCTCCATTTTGGAATTCAGGAAAAGCTGACCACCATAAACATCCACACAGACCTCAAGTCTGATGAGAAACCTTTACAATCTATTCTCTCTGAAGCCTGCTACCTGGAAGTTTCATCTGCGTGATAAAACCTTGGTCTCTACAACCTCTTATCATAACCCAGACATTCTCTTCTATTGATAATAACTCTTTCGACTAATCAGAACATTTAAAAATCTACCTATGACCTGGCACCACCCCCCGCAACCCCCTTGCTTCAAGTAGTCCCACCCTTTCAGATCAAAGCAATGTGTATCTTACATGTATTGACTGATGTCTCATGTCTCTGAAATGTGTAAAAGCAAGCTGTACCCCGACCACCTTTGGCCCATGTTGTCGGGACCTCCTGAAGCTGTGTCACGGGCATGTCCTTAACCTTGGCAAAATAAACTTTCTAAATGGATTGAGACCTGTCTCAGATACTTTTGGGTTCACAGGTCCCATTCACAGCTTCTGGGGGGACATGAGTTTTATGGGGGACACTGCTTATCCCAGTCCACAGTGCTATGCCATAAGCTGCACACATAAGGGCATCTGCTTAGAGAAAGAGTGAAGGATTGAAGCTGGAGGCAGAAGACAAAGAAGGTGAAGGGGCAGAAGATGTCTGTGTGGGCCTAATGACGTGCTCTCAGTGCATTACACGTTCACTGTGGGTTCACGTCCCAGGCAATTCCCAGGCACGAGAATCTGCTAGGTGCTGGGCCCAGCAGCTGACAAGGTACAAGCTCTGTCCTCAGACACCCACAGCTCCATGAGAAACATTAGCCCTAAGAAATGGGTGTTTCGATACTGCAAGGCAAGTCCTATGGCTGGCAGCAGTTTTTGAAAGGGCACCATCCAAGCTCAGGGATAAATGGCCAGGAAGAACTTATCCATCAAGAAATCAGTGGAGCAACAAACAAGAATGAATATGGCTCCCATCCCTCCAGGAGTGTGTAGATAGGGCATACCTCTGCGCTCTCATTAATTCCCTTTCCAACACAGACATGTGCTTCAAAAACAAGTAAACCGGGGCTTCAACGAGTAATTAAATGTCCGAGGTCACCTCTGACTCCAACACCAACAAAAGCCCTCAAAATAGCTACTGTCTCCTGCCTCCAATAAGAAACTGAACCAAAAATAATAAGGCAAAGAAGGAAGAGGCAGAAAAAATCCACCAGCCAAGGCCAGAGGTGGAGATGATAGGTTGCATGCTGCATCCTGCATTCCTCACAGCGTAGCAACAGCAGCTGGAGAACAAGGACCCACAGGAAGAGATGGGGTCAGAGGGCCCGGATTACAAAGGTGATATGCAGCCTTTTCTATTATCCTGAGGCTTATGAGGAGCTATTTGAGGGTTCCAAAACCTGTAAGAAGGTCTCATCTCCATTGCCAGGGAGGGCCCTCTGGCTGTCTAGAGAAAAGGATGATGCAAGTGAATTGGCCCAAAGCAAGGTGCAGAGGACAACACACAGGAATGGCAAAGTGATCAGTGATTGATCGCCACCTGTGCTGGTTTTATAGTTCTTCATGAGGGCATCAGTGACAACTAAGAGAAATGGCAAAGCAATCAGTGACTGATAACCACAGGCTCTGGTTTTTTACCCCTTCATGAGGATCTCAGTGACAACTGAAAGAAATGACAGAGTGATCAATGATTGATAACCATGCGCATGGGCTTTTTATCTCTTCATCAGGACGTGAGTGACAACTATGCGAACTGGCAAAGTGATCAATGATTGATAACGATGTGCGCTGGTTTTTTTAATCTCTTCATGAGGATCTCAGTGACAACTAAGAGAAATGGCAGAGTGATCATTGATTGATAACCACATGCGCTGGCTTTATAGCTCTTCATGGGGACCTCAGGGAAAACATGAGGATTAATGGGTGTTATAGACGGATGATAACCCATCCTGAAACGCCTAGGATGAAACCCTACCCCACAGAACCTCTGAATGTGTCTGCATTTGAAGATGGGGTCTTTAAAGAGGTGATTATGGTAAAATGAGGTCACTAGGGTGGGCCCTAATACAGTAGCACTGCTGGCCTCACTACAAGAGGAGATGAGGACACAGACACACACACACACAGAAGGATGACCTTGTGGAGATACAGAGAAAGACAACATCTACAAGCCAAGGAGAGAGGCGTCAGGAGGAAACAGCCCTGCCCACACCCTGATCTCAGATTTCCAGCCTCCAAGACTGTGGGAGAGTAAATGTGTGTTGTTTAAGCCGCCCAGTCTGTGGGACTTTGTTATGGCAGCCCCAGCAGAAAAACACAGTAGTATTCAAATAAATGAGTTATCCTATTATGGGCTGACTTGTGCACCTCCAAAATTCATATATGAATATCATAACCTGCAGGACCTCAGAATGTGACTGTATTTGGAGATGGGGTCTTTAAAGAAGAGATTAAGATAAAATTAAGTCACTAGGGTGGGCTCTGATCCAATAGGATTGGTGTCCTTATAAGAAAGGAGATTAGGCCAAGCGTGGTGGCTCACGCCTGTAATCCCAACACTTTGGGAGGCCAAGGCAGGTGGATCACCTGAGGTCAGGAGTTCAAAACCAGCCTGACCAACATGGAGAAACCCCATCTGTACTAAAAATACAAAAGTGAGCCGGGCATGGGGGCGGGCACCTGTAATCCCAGCTACTCAGGAGGCTGAGGCAGGAGAATCGCTTGAACCCAAGAGGCGGAAGCTGCAGTGAGCCGATATTGCACCATCGCACTCCAGCCTGGGCGACAAGAGCAAAATTCCATCTCAAAAAAAAAGAGGCGATTAGGACACAGACACACACAAAGGGAAGACCCTGTGAGGACCAAGCCCAGGAGAGAGGCCTCAGGAGGAACCAGCCCTGCCCACACCCACCTTGATCTCAAACACAAAAGAGAATGCAGACAGGGCTGCATTTAGAGTGAGAGTTTTATGGAACTACTGGATACCCTGTTTCTCTCTTTGGTTTAGAGTGGAGGGAATATTGACCACAGTCACACAATGACAAGACAACACCAGTTGGCACACGAGCTCTCTCCAGCAACAAGGGATCCGAGACTCAGACTTTTGCTTTGGAACAAAAATGTGCACCTCCTGAAGGTTAGCCGCTTCCCATCCAGGACACTGTAAAACCCATCTAAAGTGCAAAGACAGACCAGCAGATTGAAATAGAACAGAAGATGAAACATTGATTGACAGGGCTTAGCTTCCACATCGCCTTGCCTTGAAGAAACAACTGGTGATCAAGTCCTGGTGCGGCGCCAGACGCCAGAGAACATCCACAATTATCCAATGCTACTGCATTCAAAGAGGGAGTTTCCACTCCAAGTGCCACTGCGGCGGACACTTTCAGCAACGGCATGGAGTGGAAAAACAGCAAGAAAACCTGTCACTGCACCACAGCCCACAAAAAGGAGACATTGTCACAAAATCAAGTCCAGTCTGGAGATTACAGTGGCTGAGAATTTTATGAATCTGTGACAACAGTTTCTTTCTACCCCTTGCCTGCCCCCCTGCACTCAAGGAATCTTCTGATCACCCCCCAAAATAACCTTAGCAGCTTCCTTCTCAGCCCTTTTCTACTCAAAGGTGGTTTTTGTTTTCTGCAAAGAGTTGAGTCTTCTCTTCTGGCACGAGGCTGACCAAGATGTATGCGAATGTCCGTCTTGAATGCTGCTATTATACAGACCCTAGCAGGCTTGGGGAAATGTGTGGCTTTCACTTTAGAGAGCTCCAAACGCGTCCCTAGAACAGAGAATCTTTTCTGCCATTCCTTGGAACAGACTCTTCCAGTACACCTCATGAAAACAGCCCTTAAGATCCCTGCCCCGACAATTTTCATCTCTAAGTCCAGAGTGGGAACAAACAGGAGAGAAGCAGCTCTGTGATTTACCAAATCTCTCCTCTGAATAAAAAAGTCATCTGTTCTGTTTGTGTGTTTTAAATTGCACTCATGGCCAGGCGTGGTGGCTCGTGCCTGTAATCCCAGCACTTTGAGAGGCCAAAGGAGGAGGACTGCTTGAGCCTAGAAGTTCAAGACCAGCCTGGGCAACATAGCAAGACCCTGTCTCTACAAAATTTAAAAAATATACATTTAAAAATAAATACATAAAATGCACTCATAGAATGATCCAGTGTGGTCTGGTACAAGAAGGAGGTGTCTTAATGATTTAATGATAGAAAATAGAACCAGCATCTTTCTTATGGGAAGAGGTTACACTCTGTTCACATATCTAGGCCTCTTAAGTCAACCAGTCTATCTGATGTCCACAAAACCCAAGGGCAGGGAGATGGGGCTCACCGGTCCTTGGCGGGGGCAGGCCTTTCCTGCCATTCTTGCCAGCCAGCCCTCTGCCTGCAGGAGGATTAACCTGGATTCTTATTTTGTTGTTGTTTTTTAGAGACAGGGTCTCACTCTGTCACCCAAGCTGGAGTGCAGTGGTGCACTCATAGCTCACTGCAGCCTGGAACTCCTGGGCTCAGGACCCTCCCACCTCAGCTTCCCTAGTAGCTGGGACTACAGGCAGGTGCCGCAATGCCCAGCTGATTTTTAAATTTTTTTCCTAGAGATGTGGTCTCCCTATGTTGCCCAGGATGGTCTCAAACTCCTGGCCTCAAGCAATCCTCCCGCCTCAGCTTCCCAAAGTGCTGGGATTACAGGCCTGAGCCACCAAGCCGGGCCATCCCTGTATCTGTACTGGAAACAGAAATTAAAACCGTGGTCTGAGTTCTAAGAACTCAAGGCAGCCTCTTCCCAGAGCTTTAGGGCCATTTCAGGAGAACAGACTTCTTCCCATCGGCCTTCCAGGCAGTGACAGTCTCAGGCAGTTCAATGCTATTCCCAAGAAACAAGCCCATTGAAAGTTTCAGGACTATATTTTACAAAAGGAAACTGGTGAAATCCCAAGGCCCCCTTCACTTGCTGTAAATCACCCCCTCCCAGCAGCTGAGGCTGGTATCTCCATTCCCTCCAGCCCCAGAGAGACCTGGGCGAGGCAGTAAGGGGGAGACTCGGGGTTTGGGGCAATCCTGCGGTCAAAGTGGGGTTCTCCCCAGTGCAGACCAATCTGTCACCCAAGCCAGTAGGAACAGGCAGGCTGAACTGAAGCAGCTTGAGCTACTCACCCGACATGGTCAGTGGCGCCGCGGGCAGTGGGCGCGGACCTGCAGACCTGCGCCCGGGAGCAGTGGGTGGACTTCCTCGCCACGAACCCGCAGAGCAGAGGCGCCGTCTCCGGGAATCCGCGTGGATTTCCAGGCCTGGGGGCGACAGCGTGGCAGTCTCGACACCCTCGGCTGCAGGCCCCGCCAGTGTCACCCCCGGCCTCCTACCCACTCCATGTCACCTGCGCCCCACGGGGCCCCTGCCTCCCCCGATGCCCCTGCGACCTCCACGCCCCGCACTTCCTCCTTGGCGCTCCAGGTCAGCCTCGTGCCCTCTGGCCAGGGGCCCCTTGACCCCCTGTCCTCCCCACAGTCACCTGCGACCCCGCTGCGTCTTAACACCCATGCGCCCAGCAACGACAACGCCCCCGGGACACCACCCGACCTCAGCGGTGTCAGCAGCTGCCCCGCCGCCCCGCGCACCTGCTTGGAGTTCTGGGCATCCTCTTCCTCCACCCCAGCTGGCGCCCCCCGGTCACCCCTCTCCACTCCCTGGACCACCCCTGCGCTCCCGGACGCCAGTATCTGCACCTCCTCCGAGCTTGGGCTGCCTCTGCCCGCGCCCCCCGGCCAGGTGCCCCCTCCCTCGTCACTCCAGTGCAGCCCCCCGGCCTACCCCTGCGCCTCTCGCCGCCCCTCCTCCCCGACCCGGCCTGCCGCCCATCCTCCCCAAGCGCCCCCGAGCCCCCTCCACGCTCTGCACCTCTCCCTTGCCCCGCGCTCCCGCAGCCTCTGCCTTGGGCCCGCGCCCCCCTCCCCAAGCCTCCCAGCCCTACGCCCGCGCCCCGTCTGTCCTCCGTACTCCGGCAGCCTCCGTCTCCCCGCGCCCCGCCGCGCCTGGACGGCCTGTATTCCCCAGCACTCGGTGCCCTGGCTCGGCGCACTCACCCCTAAGCGCTCCTGGCCTACTCCCGCGCCCCGCACCCCTCCCCTCCTTCGCGCTTGGGCAACCTCTGACCTCCAGCCCCCTGCGCCCCTCGCCCCTCCTTTGCACTCCAGTCCGGCGCCCCTCCCCCAGCCCCCAGCCTCGGCCTCTGGGTTGCGCCCCCGCCCCGCTGTACGCCACCCACCCTCGAGACCTCCTAGGCGTTCGGGCAGCCTCTGCGCCCCCCGGCCCCCCGCCGCGCCCAGGCCTCCTCCACTGCCCACGGTCCCCTGCAGCCCCCTACAGCCCCCCGCACCTCTTCCGCGCTCTGGCTGCCTCGGCCCAGAGCCGGCGCTGGAGGCCCCGAGGGCAGCGATTGGCCTCTGTCCGGAAGCCCGGCCCCGCCTCCGCCAGCCCCCGCGGGCGCGGGTCCTCTCCTCCTCCCTGCAGCCCCTGCCCGCAAGCCCGCGCGCCGCCTGGTGCCCAGCCCCGGCTGCCGGGAAGAGAGACCCGGGAACCGCCGGGGGCTGCGATCCACGCCCGCGCCCCGCCCCTCGCCCGCCGCGGCCCCTTCGGCAGTCGGCGGTTTCTAGGTTTGGACATTTAACCTTTAATCAGCCAGCCCCAAAGTAAACGTTTGCGATGACTTAAGGCCCTGGGCCCAAGGCCAGCGCGCAGCAAGAGTGGAGGCCGCTCTGGAAGCCTCCCAGAGGGAGAAGGCAGGGCTTATACGCGATCTTGTCGAATGCATGAAAAATGCACGTGCGCGTACTTACACGCATAAACTGAATGAATGAATGAGTGCACGAAAGAAAGAATAAATGAGGGTTTCAGGCTTCAGCTGTTGAATGCATAGCGAGCGAGTGGCTGTACGCACGCGGTGAGTGCATGTATGCGTGAGTGCATGTATGCGTGAATGCATGTGAGGCGTGAATGAACAAACAACTACTCATGAATGAGCAGGCCAGGAAATGAATGAACCATTGAATCAATGTTTGCGCCAAGGAGGGAATGAATGCATTCACACATGAATGCATGAGTTGAAGGCATGAACGAGCCAATGCATGTATGAATGAATTTAGAGATAGATGCGTGAATGGAGGTGTGACTGTGTGGAAAATATAGGTGAATGCATGCATGCATGCGTGAAGGCATGAATCTATGAATGAGTGAATGAATGAGTTGAATGCATGAATGATTGAGTGAACAAGTGAATTCATGCATGCATAGTGCATGAATGGGTGAAAGGTGAATTCATGCATACATGAGTGAGTGCATGAATAAGTGAACAAGTGAACTTATGCATGCATGAGTGACTGCATGAGTGAATAAACAAGCGAATTCATGCCTGCATGAGTGAGTGCATGAATGAGTGAACAAGCGAATTCATACGTGATTGAGTGCATGAATGACTTAAGAAGTGAATTCATGCATGTATAAGTGCATGTATGAGTGAGTAAACAAGTGAATTCATGCATGCATGAGTGCACGAATGAGTGAACAAGTGAGTTCATGCCTGCATGAGTGTATGAATGAGTAAATAAGCGAATTCGTACAAGCATGAGTGAGTGCATGAATGAGTGAGTGAACAAGTGAGTTCATGCCTGCATGAGTGAGTGAATTCATGCATGCAGGATTGATTGAGCACGTGAAGGCATGCATTTATACAGGAATGGATGTGTGTGTGAGTGAATGAAGAGAATACATGACAAGTGAATACGTGGCCGAATGACTGAGTGAATAAATATGTATGAGTACAGGAATGAGCTGAACAAACTAGCATGTGTGTTAATGCACACACACGAGTGAATGAGTGAAGACTGCATACACTTCAGGAATTAATGTATTATGTATGAGTGAATGAATGAATTGAATGCATGGACAAGTTAATGGATGCATGAATGAATAAGTGAAAGTGTGAATGCATGCATGCATGCATGAGTGAATTAAGTGAATGAATCAATGAATGTGTGAATGCAAGCATGTATGAGTTCATGAGTTGAATGAGTGATGACTGTGAGTGCATGCATGTATGAGTTGAATGAGTGATGACTGTGTGAGTGCATGCATGTATGAGTTGAATGAGTGATGACTGTGTGAGGGCATGCATGTATGAGTTGAATGAGTGATGACTGTGTGAGGGCATGCATGTATGAGTTGAATGAGTGATGACTGTGTGAGGGCATGCATGTATGAGTTGAATGAGTGATGATGGTGTGAGTGCATGCATGTATGAGTGCATGAGTCGAATGAGTGAACTTACTTGGAGAAGAGCCTTCACGTGTCCATCCGAAAGAGACAGCAAAGGAACCCAGATTCTTGCCGAAACTGTCAATGGCAATCAACGCAAGCTACAGTCAGGCCTTCCTGATCTAGATGAATACCTAGGATGATCGATGGTCTGTGGATACCAGGCACTGTGCTGAGGGCTGTTCCTGCATCAGCTCAGCCTTGGGGACAGGTATCGGTGGTGTTTTTAGCTCTACTTCATAGATGGGGCCAGAGCTGTACATAAACAGTGGAGGCTATCTCTGACCTCCAGCAGGCTACAGGCAAGAATTTAACTCGTGACTACTGGGGCTTTGTAAGATATCTGCAGGGCATATTAAACATCAAGAAGCCATCTTTATTTATTTTTATATGTTATTACAACATGTTTTTTTTCTGCATTCGTTTGTTTTAAACAGGTTGACATATCCAATTTTACTGATTTATTTTATTTTATTTGTGTAAATTTATGGGGTAAAGTGCAATTTTGTTACATAGATATACTGAGTTGTGGTGAAGTCTGGGTTTCCAGGGTAAGCATCACCTGAATAGTGTACATGGTACCTATTAAGTAATTTCTCATTCTCCACCATCCTCCCACTCTCTCACCCTTTTGTATCTCCAGTGTCTATTAATCCACTCTCTATGTCCATGTGGACATATTATTTAGCTCCCACTTATGAGTGAGAACACGTGGTAATTGACGTTCTTTTTCTCAGTTATTTGACTTAAGATAATGGCCTCCAGTTTCATCCATGTTGCTGCAAAAGATAGAATTTCATTCTTTTGCATGGCTGAATATGATTCCATTGTACACATAAATCACATTTTCTGTATCCAATCACCTGTCGATGAGCACCTGGGTTGACTCCGTATCTTTGCTATTGTGAATGGTGCTGTAATAAACATATGAGTGCAGGTGTGTTTTTGATATAATGACTTGTTTTCCTTTGGGTGAATACCTTGTAGTGGAATTGTTAGATCAACTGGTAGATAAAATTTTAGTTCTTTGAGAAATCTCTGTATCATTTTCCATAGGGGGTCCACTTTCAAATCCGTCCAGCCCCTGAGGCATTGGGGAAATCCTTAGGAGCCAAGAAGTGCCCCGGCGGAGCCCCCTTTGCCAGTACGACCTCAGTTTTCTATCCTCTGGATGCCAGCCCCAAAGAAGAGAAATGCCAGGATGAAGCTGGCCCCTCCAAGGAAGTCTCAGTTCTTGTGCAAGGAAGGGGAGACTCTCCCAGCTTCTATGCTTTCTCCTTGTTGGCTCCAATAGTCGCCAGATGTCTGCACAGCCTTGTGCTGCCAACTCGTTCCATGGGGCCTGTGTTGGCTTCTCATTGCTCCAGCAGGGAAACCGTGGAGTGCTGTGCTCTTGCTCTGGGTAAGGGAGGATCCTCCTACGGGAAAGGGTCTTATGAGTGTTCTAACAAGAGGGGCATTTACAAAAGACTCAGACAGCTCCTGCCTCCTGGACTGTTCAGAATGATGTGACTGTCAACCTGATCCCTTTCCCAAGGTTAGATGGAAGTTACTACTGGAGTTTTTCACCAAGGCGTTTGTGGCATTCAGGGCTGGATTCTCTGAGGTGGGCCCATCCTGTGCACTGTAGGGTGTTGAGCAGTATCCCTGGGCTCCATCTGCCGGGTGCCATTGGCACACTTTCCAGTAGTGACAATTAAAACTGACCTCAAACATTGCACAGTGTCCCCTGGTAGGAGCAGGGGCAGAATCATTCTTAGGCTGTAAGCCACTGTTTAGATAGATGATAAATAAATAGATAGATAATGGATAGATAAATAGATCAGTAGATGCATGATAGATGATACATAGGTAGATGATAGATGAGATAGGATGAATGGACAGATAGATGATAGATAGGATAGAGAGATAGATAGGTGATAAATAGATGATACATAGATATAGAGATACATAGATACATACATATATGGAGATAGATGATAAATAGATAAGAGATTGATGATGATGATGATGATGATGATGAAGATAGACAGGAAGACAGATATTAGATAAATGATAGATAATAAATAATGATGATGGATGATGGATGGCTAGATGTATAGACATAATAGATAAATGATACATAGGTAATAGATAAATGATGATAGATGAATGGGTGGATAGATGGATACATAGATAGACAATAGATAGAGTCTTTCTCAACTTTATCACTAATAACATTTAAGTTGAATGACTGTGGGGGGCGTCCTGTGCACTGCAGGGTGTTGAGCAGCGTCCCTGGGCCCCACCCACCAAGTGTCAGGAGCACTGCTCTTCTCTCTGGAACAGGGGTCTCCAAAATAGAATCTCAGGCTGCGTTTTGCCGAGAACCCTCACCCCATCTTTTGATTTTGAATTCAGGGTGAGATGTGCAGGCTCAGTCCTAGTCCGGCAGCATCAGCGTCACCTGGGAAACTGTGTCATGCACATTCTTAGGCATCCGAACTCTGAAATCAGAACCCTGCGTCTCGGGGCTTCCTCCAACCCCGCTATGTGAACCAGGCCTCCAGGAGTTCCTAATGCGCAGGCTTGAGAGGCACTGCTTGCATTTCTGAGATTTGAGGGTGTTGGGGAGGGGTAGCTGGAGCCAGGAGGGCCGGAGACAGTGGAGCATGGATTTGGCAGAGATAGAAAAGGGTTGAGGCAGCCAGAGAGAAAGAGACGTTGGCGAAATTGCAGGGATGTTTAAACAGCATGTTTAGGGCATGGAGGAGGCCTCGGTCTCCCAACACAAACAAGGGTAGGTGTTGCACCATTCTCTGCCCCATAAATCACCCCACCCCTCCTCACCCGCCTGTTTCTCCCGTTCCACTGAGAATTGGTGCTCCGAAAGCAGAGTATAAGGCACTAAGTCACAAGGCAACCCTCATGATCCCCGGGCAAAAGGGTAGCTCTGTTTTTAAACCCGGAGGAGGCATCTTCCCCCGGGGGTTGCCGGGCTTCTGTTCCTGTGTGTGTTGGTCTCCAGGAAGCCATGGAGAGCTTGGCAGCAGGTAAGCTTTGTCATGGGTGCATTCAGAGTAAACCTTTCTCTCCTCCCTGTTGCCGGGAATAGGTGTGTGCCAATTTTCCTAGGGAGGCATTTGAAGAAAACGTCAAGACATTTATATGCCTGGGACAACTTTATTGGAGAGTTAGTTACAAGACCTTTTTAAAATTACATGTGTGCTGGGAAAGGAAGGATTGAAACCCGGCAGGCAGCTGGGCATGGTGGCTCATGCCTGCCATCCCAGCACTTTGGGAGGTAAAGGCAGGAGGATCACGTGAGCTCAGGAGTTCAAGAACAGCCTGGCCAATATAGTGAGATCCCTCTGACTTTACAAAAAATTTTTAAAAAATTAGCCGAGAGTGTTGGCACACGCCTGTTGTCCCAGCTACTCAGGAGGCTAAAGTGGGAGGATCGCCTCAGCTCAGGAATTCAAGACCGGCCTGGCCAATATAGTGAGATTCCCCTCATCTTTACAAAAAATAAAAATAAAAAAATTAGCTGAGAGTGTTGGCACACGCCTGTAGTCCCAGCTACTCAGGAGGCTAAGGTGGGAGGATTGCTTGAGCCTGCGAGTTCAAGGCTGCAGTGAGCCATGATCGGCACTCCAGCCTGGGTGACAGAGCAAGACTCTGTCTCAAACAACAACAACAAAAAATCAAACTCAGAAGGCACAGAACAGATGTTTGTGCCAAGCTACTTGATTGCACGACATGATTGTGACAAAGGTTCTAAGAATTGAAGACAAATACAGAATGAGAGAACACATTTGCAATACATGCATTTACATGTATGTGTGTGGGTCACAACTACAATTACATCTCAATATTTTATATTTTGGTAAAGAGTAACATAATAATATATAATATATAAAGAGCTACATTGGCAAACAACTTGACACAAAATAAGCAAATGATTTGCAGCACATGCTACTGGCTACCCAGTCAACCATCATTTTTCCTTATTGTTGGTGGAGCCTGTATTTTTTCCCAGGGTTCCTTCATGCTTTCTCAGGCTTTTTTTTTTTTTTTTTTTTTTTGAGAGGGAGTCTCACTCTGTTGCCCAGGCTGGAGTGAAATGGCACGATCTTGGCTCACTGCAACCTCCACCTCCCAGGTTCAAGCGATTCTCCTGCCTCAGCCTCCCAAGTAGCTGGGATTACAGGCGCCCACCACCATGCCTGGCTAATTTTGTATTTTTAGTAGAGACGAGGTTTCACCATGTTGGCCAGGTTGGTCTTGAACTCCTGACCTTAGGTGATCCTCCTGACTCAGCCTCTCAAAGTGTTGGAATTACAAGTGTGAGCTGCCATGCCTGGCCTACACCTGATTACTTTTAGTTAGGGGCTGTGTGTAAATCAGGGATGAGGAATTGGGCTTGATCCCTGAAAGAATGTCTTTGCTCTTAAAAGAGAAAATCTGGGAGGAAATGATCCTAATTGGGCCTCCAGATATTAGTAGATGAGGCTGTGATGGCTGGAGGTACAGCAGCCATCTTCTGCCATGAGTGAAATGGGCCGATGACTTATGAAACACAGGACTGCAAGACACAGAGAACCTGGCTACTGGAGGACATTGTTAAGCCCTCAAACTGACCCAGCCCAGAGGTCCTGAATCTAAGTACATCTTGTTACAGATGCTGTCTTTATTGCTTCAACCATTTTGAGTCAGCAGAGATAGAAAAGGATTGAGGTGGTCAGACAGGGAGGGAGACTGATAAAACTGCAGAGATTTCCGGGGGAAAGTGCCATCATTTATAACATCAAGCAGAAATTGTGAAACATGTTGGTCACAGGATTCCTTTGCCTTCTTTTTTTGTTTTGTTTTGAGACAGAGTCTCTCTCTGTCTTGCCCAGGCTGGAGTGTAGTGGCGTGATCTCAGCTCACTGCAGCCTCCACCTCCCGGGTTCAAGCAATTTTCCTATCTCAGCCTCCCGAGTAGCTGGGACTACAGGCACGTGCCACCACACACGGCTAATTTTTGTATTTTTAGTAGAGACGGGTTTTCACCATGTTGGCCAGGCTGGTCTCGAACTCCTGACTTCAGGTGATCCGCCCGCCTCGGCCTCACAAAGTGCTGGGATTACAGGCATGAGCCGTCGCGCCCTGCCTCTTTTGCCCTCTTAACAATGATTAAGGGCCTAGAGGAACTTTTGTTTTTGTGCATTGTAAATGTCTACATGTTCTGTAATTAAATTATATTGCATTAAATTTAACGCTGTAATAAATTAAAATTAATATTTCTATATTTTCTAAAATTAAAATGAAGTTTTTGACTATTTAATAATTTTAAAGATAAATCCACTACATTTTACATAAATAACATAATTTTATGAAAAATGGGATATATTTTTTCAAACAGAAAAATTTTCATAGGGGAAGAGTGTACTGTTTTACATGTTTACAAATCTTGTTAATATCTGACTTATGAGGAGACAACCAGTTTCTCAGATCAGCATTCCTTATGTTGTTCAGGTTAAAGTAGATGAAGAAAATCTAGCCTCACAAAGATACATAGTTAGAAAAAGTATTTTAGTAATCTTTTCAAATAACTGTGAATGTTCTCCTTTGATGACAAAACTTGATCATCAATAGCTTCTCAAAGATAAGGTAGTGTGGAATCTGAAATCCTATCACTGAATTTTTAAAGTCTACACATTTAAAACCCACAGGTTTATCTTAAGCTTCAGACAAACCTTTTATCCATTCATGATTCTGCCACTTCACACATGGGTCATTTGTAGAATATTGGTTCATTGAGTTATGGAGGTCTTCCAGATGTTTTATTTCATAATATGTATATTTTTTAAAAACACACACATTTGTTAATATCCCTATCCATCTCATCCCAAAAGTCTTTAGCTAGAATACCAAAAGAAAATATCTCCTCTTTAATATTATTAAAGTTGTGGCCTGAACGAGGGCTTCATTCATTCATTTTCCCGTGTGTTTAATAAGTCTTTAGGGCCAGGCGTGGTGGCTCAAGTCTGTAATCCCAGCAATTTGGGAGGCCAAGGTGGGAAAATCACTAGAGCCCAGGAGTTCGAGACCAGCCTGGGAAGCACAGTGAGACCCCGTCTCTACAAAAACAATAAATAAATTAGCCAGGCATGGTAGGACATGCCTGTTGTGCCAGCTACACAGGAAGCTGAGGTGACAAGATCGTTGGAGCCCAGGAGTTTGAGGCTGCAGTGAACCAGGATCACACTGCAGCGCTCCAGCCTGGGCGGCAGAGCAAGACATTGTCTCAATAAATAAATAAATAAGTCTTTAATGAGCATCTACTACATGCCAGTCATGTTTCTGGAAACTGGGGACAAATCCATGCCTTTGTAGCAGTTGCATTCTAGTGGGGATGGAGCCGGGAGAGAAACAATAAAAGGTGATACGTTATCATATGTTGGAAGTTGATAAGAGATAGACAGAAAAGATTAGAACAGAGGATGTGGGTGAGGAAGTGCTCGTAGTGGGTGGGGACCTGCGATTGAAATGATCTCACCTCCCTGCGGCCTCCCTTTGGTCTGCAGCCTCCCTTTGGTCTACAGCCAATGGTGGACAGTGTCAGATTTTGCCCCCAGCCTTCCCACCAGCTCTGCTATGGGATCAAACATTCTATGCTTGTTAGGTCCAAGCACTGTTTTCACTTTTGGTTGGGGAAAAATTGGCAGCTTCTCTTTCCGTATGTCATGTCTACATCCCAGCTATTCATAAACAAGCAGTCATGTTTCATGAATACCTGTCTAGCAAGGGGCAGATGAATAGGACGGGGAGCAGGGAGGAGACAGCTGTGAAGCAAAAACGTGACAATGGCTGGCAGGAACCCAGGGAATGCATTGCATTTATATTTGGAACTATGGGGGAAGATGCAGCTTAGATGGAGGCCATTCCAAGTCACCCAAGTGCTCAATGTTCAGAACCAGAATAGCACGTGGCGTGAAACTCTCTCATGGGCTGAGACTGGACAAGCTAGTTCCATTCTCTGACAAGTCTGGTCTTCCGGACTCGGCCCCTGGAAAGCTGCCTTTCTTCCTCATTACCCCTTCTCCTCTCCCCTTACCATGGGATCTTGTGAGCCTTTCTTCAACAGACACAGGCTCCTCCCTGCAGCTTTGTATGAAGTTCATAACTGGGCTCAGATCAAAGTTGTGGTGGAAGCCTTTAGAATTCTGAAGGAAGCAGAAAAGGCATTGAATGACACCCCCAAGACCAACTTTTATGTTTAATGAAAAAAATGTTGCAGCCAGTGGTAACATTTTTTTGAATGTACAATTTAGAAATGTCCACTGGGTGTCGCATGGCCCTGCTGGGAAACTAAATGCTACAAGATAGTGAAGCGTACACACTTTTTACCGTGATAAGCTAGTTTCATAGCTATGCACAAACTGACCATCGCTGAACTAATAACTGAGCACTATTTGAGAGACTATCTTTGTACACCTCTCAAATTCTGCAGTTACTGTTTTGACTTTTAAGTACCAGTCCCTGACGGGCACATGGTAGGGGTTATAATACACTATACCTCTCCAGTCATCCCTGGAACTCTAATTCTATCTTTATAAACAACTCATTATCACTGACATCCTTTTTTTTTGACAGGGTCTTGCTCTGTCACCTGGGCTTCAGTGCAATTGTGCAATCAGAGCTCACTGCTGCTTCAACCTCCCAGGCTCAAGCAATTCTCCTGTCTCAGCCTCCGAAGTAGCTAGGACCATAGGCATGTACTACCACGCCCAGCTAATTTTTTAATTTTTTTGTAGAGACAGAGTCTCGATATGTCGCCAAGCTTGGTCTCAAACTCCAAGGCTCAAGTGCTCAAGTGATCCACCCACCTCGACCTCCCAAAGTGCTGGGATTACAGGTATGAGCCACCACATCCAACCAACATCCATTTTTATGTGTACATGTGTAAAGTATGTAAATTATTTTAAAAGGCTGGGCGCAGTGGCTCACGCCTGTAATCCCAGCACTTTGGGAGGCTGAGGCGGGCAGATCACCTGAGGTCAGGAGTTCAAGACCAGCCTGGCCAACATGGCAAAACCCCGTCTCTACTAAAAATACAAAAATTAGCTGGGCATGATGGTGGGTGCCTGTAATCCCAGCTGCTCAGGAGGCTGAGGCAGGGAGAATCGCCTGAACCCGGGAGGCGGAGGTTGCAGTGAGCCGAGGTCGTGCCACTGCACTCCAGCCTGGGCGACAGAGTGAGCCTCCATCTCAAAAATAAATAAATAAGTAAATAAATTACTTTGAAAGCTTATTTTTCTACTAAAATAAAATGATTCAGCAAATAGTATTGTTATTATCTATTACTCCTACTGGCAGTAGGTCTCCCTAATTAGAACATTATTTATTAGCTTTCTAGATTGCTATATTTTGATTGATTGATTTATCATTCTCTGGGTGAAATAATAAATTATTCTCCATTTTCCAGATGTAAAAGGATTACTTCTAAAATCACATTAAATGGAGAAGAATTTAACTAAAGTAATCAATATTAAAAAGATTGTAGGCTTTTGCAATGTTCAAAATATCTATTTTTTTTCTTTTTTAGAGACAAGCTCTCACTCTGTTCCTCAGGCTGGAATGCAGTGGCACAATCATAACTCACTACAGCCTTGAACTCCTGGGCTCAAGTGATCTTCCTGCCTCAACCTCCTAAGTAGCTATAACTACAGGCACACACCACTGCATCCAGCTAATTTTTACAAAATTTTTGTACAGATGGGGTCTTGCTCTGTTGCCCAGGCTGGTCTCCAACCTCTGGCCTCAAGTGATCCCCCCATCTTGGCCTCCCAAAGTGCTGGGATTACAGACATGAGCCACTGCACCCAGCCTGAAAAATCTAATTTTTAAGAGATCTTTGGGGATATATGAATTTTAGTGTGGTCACCCCTTTGTAAAATTTTTAGTATTTTAATTATTAAATTTAGTGACAATTAATATCCAAACACTCCCTCTTTTTTATTTTGAATATTTTGTGAAATTGTTGTACAGTTTATTTTAAAAGAACTTTCATACTACAGACCTAAGAATAATATATTGAAAAAAATAAAATTTCTGAAGCTATAAGGACAACAGCTGCAAGGCCTCCTTAATACAATATATTGTTTTTATTTTACAGGAGATACACACACACGTATATAATATATGTATTTTTCCTTTTGCACGAAAATGTTGTGATTAAAGCTTGAACGTCATTAGAATCACAAGATAACACAAGTGTCCTCCTTAGCTAAACTGAGCCTATTTCCATTTGGATTTGTGCATCCCAATAATTTTGTTCTCTGCAGCCTCAAGGTCTCATTTGCATAGAAAGGTTAAGAAATGAAATAAAATCCATGGTCCTCACCACACAACATGACTTCTGCACAGAAAACATACAGTAGGAAAAGTCTGAACTCTTTAGCAAGTCCTCAAAGGCAAAAAGTGGCATCTGTGGAATCAAGAAGCAAGTATCACCTTGACTCAAATGCCTCATATAACTGCAGAATCCCTCACTGTATCCATGTGAAGGAAAATTGTCAACCCTGTGGTTTGGATCAATGAAGCCAAGCAAACAGGACAGCTGCCACTTTTGCATAGTACTCTTAGAAGATGTATTTTAGATCTGTCAGATGGCATTAAAAAATCTCCTCTAGGTCTCAGTCCGATGTCAGAATGATAAATTTCAGAAAAACCAAGCTGCCCACTTCTGACTGCTTTGAACTTCATAGTAGAAGATATCAGAATCTTGCCATCTGCTATTTCTACCAAAGCAGGGAAGCTTTCCAAAACTGGTGCTTCATCACAAATTTATGGGCGAAAAGAATCAAATTTATTTCCTTCCTTCCTTCCTTCCTTCCTTCCTTCCTTCCCTTCCTCCCTCCCTCCTTCTCTGTCTCTCCTTCCTTCCTTCCTTTCTTCCTTCCTTCCTCCCTCTCTCCCTCCCTCCCTTCCTTCCTTCCTTCTTTCTTTGAGAGTCTCACTCTGTTGCCCAAGCTGGAGTGCAGTGGTGCTATCGCAGCTCACTATGGTCTTGAATTTCTGTGTTCAAGTGATCCTCCCACGTAGCTGGGACTACAGGTGTGCACTACGACGCCCAGCTAATTTTTAAATCGTTACTAGAGATGGGGGTCTCACTATGTTGCCCAGCCTGGTCTTGAACTCCTAGGCTCAAGCAATCCCCTCACCTAGGCCTCCCAAAGTGCTGGGATTACAGGTGTGAGCCACTACGCCCAGCCTAACTTTTTGGAAAACTATACCCAAGCCACTAGTTTTTCAAGGTTAGTTATTACCTTCAAATGACGCTTAACTGACATTTCTGACCATCTAAATGAACTTAATTGAAAAAAAAAAAAAAATCAAGGGCTGTATGAATTGACTCTCCAAAAACTTAACTACTCATAGCATACTGGTTGACTGAAAGCCTTACTGGTAACAGTTGAACACGTATTTTGTATATGTATTACATACCATATTATTACAATAAAGTAAGCTAGAGGAAAGAAAATGTTATGAAGAAAATCATAAGGAAGATAAAATTAATGAATTTACTATTTATTAAGTGGAAGCGGATCACCATAAAGGTCTTCATCCTTATCATCTTCCCATTGAGTAGATGGAGGGTTGGTCCTGCTGTCTCAGTAATGGCAGAGCCAGAAGCAAACTCACATACAGGTGGACATGTGCAGTTCAGCCCTGTGTTGTTCAAGGGTCAGCTGTACAGTCAAGGTTATCCTTCTCTAAATTACATGGAGATGACGTTTTATCAAGGCTTTTCTCATCTGTTCAATTCTCACCTTCTCAGCATGAAAACAGAATGCCCAGCAGGTGGTCCTCATGACCCCTCAAAGAGAGGTTCCCCCAAGCAATCATGATTCAAATATTTTCATCTTAAGTAGCTTGAACGTTAGCCTTGTCACCCAGGTGAATTTAGTCTCATGATTAGGTAACTATGTATTTCATATGTTCATAGTCTATCTTGAGCTTTAAAAGAGATTTATGGCATCATATTCACAGCTACGAAGGTTCATAATTTTGGGGCCACTTCTACAGTCATTTCATACAATTTATTTGTGAAATATAGAAAAAAACTATTCAATAATCAAATCCAGTTATTTTTCTTTTACATTTATTTAAAATGATTAAAAATAGTTTATGACAGTTTTAGAAAATGGAATGGATTAAAGGCTAAAAATGTTTAGATTCCATTTAAGTAGGTGTGTGTGTGTGTGTGTGTGTAACTAAAAACACAGGTTTTTTCACAAGAATTTAATTAAGCTCATGCTGAAACTCTTATAGGGAAAATAGTAATTGAGCATCAGACATCACCACTCCTGAAAAAAACCTTCTACAAGAATTGAAAAGTGTTGCAGGACCTAATACTGAAATAGGAAATATGGACTATCTTCAAACTGCACAAATGATGCATGAATCCACATTTGAGACCCGCAACTCCGAGGTACCTAATGTGAATGATTAAAGATATTTTACAAACCGGGGAGCCCTTTCAAGTGCTTTCCACTTTCAACCTTCTCTCTTTGAAGACCCCAATTCATAATGGTGAGCATAAAACATGCATACTGGGAATTTTTATGGGCCCCATATATACATTCCAGACTGTACATGAATGTCTTGATCTTTGGTTCTGATATTTATGGCAAAGTCTAAATGTTATATGAACATTAACCTTAGTTTACTCAAACTATACCAATATGCCCAAACCATCCTTTTTTCTCTCCCCACAAGTATTTCTAAAAGAGAAGCAAAAAGCTAGTATACTTCTTGGATGCCTAAGGATTTAAGACTTCCTACCCTGATGAATAGAAAAAGTATAAACCAAGGAATGCAATGTTGGTGCCTTAGGAACTAGCACTTACAGAGTATCAAAGACTAAAAATACTACAAAAAGGCTCAACGCCTGATAATCACTATTTCTGTCTCCTATGCGCCAAAACATATCACAACCATATGATTTCCTAGGAAAAAGCATCCCAAGATTTCCCCCAGATGGTTTTAACATCAGTCATTTTGCACTTAACATTTCAAAATGCAGCCTTATTTTCTTCAGGTAATAATAATTTTATGTGCAGATATCTCAAAGCTGAAAGGATGATCAAACCCTGCTTGTGGGTGTCAGAAATAATGCATCCCCACTTCATTCGCAATAATGAATGCTCAATGATTTTTTCATATCACTGAAGAATTTAGCACAGGTCCAGCATCTTTGGAACCTCAACAATATTCTTCATCTCCCAGAAGCTGATAACATCCCCTCCCCACCAAGATATTCTACCTCCCTACTGCTCACCGCTTTGTGCCATCAACATGGTTAAGCGTGTGTGTGTTATTGCACCATGAGGTAGCTGAAGATCTCACAACAGAGAGCCACAGTCTCTTTGTGCAAATGAATAGCCAAACCAACATTGCAAGCAATCCTTTTTTAGAACGCAGGGTCTAGCTGCCTAACTTATCTTTATAACCACATCACATTCAATGAGTTGGGAATGCTTAGTGAGGCAGCTCATGTACTTTACACAGAAGAAAACACACTTTAGGTCATCAAATTGTGTCAAGAATAAAAGGAAATCTCCACAACAGTGATAAACACGGTTCTTGTTTTAGTTGTTTTTCTCAAAGTAATCAGGGGATCTTAACATCTTCAGACATTTTCTGGTTCTGAAAGGAAGATTAGAAACAAATGTCATTGTGGGGGCAAAAAAAAAAGTCTTATTAAACAGAGAAAAAGAAAACCAAGATCCAATTCTATGCTGTTACAAGAGACTCTTGCTCTAGATTTAGGAGAAGGAAGATTAGAACAGAAAAAAATGAAGCAGAAATGAAGTTGCACATCTTAAATATATACAATGTTTGTCTATCATACTTTAATAAAGCTAGAAGAATGAAAAATCTATTTTAAAAAAAAGAAAACCAAGATCAGACTATGTGCTGTCTACATGACACCTGCTTTACATTCGGCAGAAGGAGATAGATTAGAACAAATAAATGATGCAGAAATGAAGTTGTACATCTTAAATATATACAATGTTTATTTGTCAACTATACCTCAATAAAGCAGGAAAAATTAAAAATAGAAAATATTTAAAAACTGTTAAAATCATATCTGGAAACAAATATTCGTTTTGAAAACATTGTTTTTGACATTTTGCCATTTGTTAAGGATTTTGATGATCTTAAATGAATTGAGTAACTTCCTTTTTGGTTAAAACTAATATTTGTAGGAACTTCTTTTTTCGAATATGGCCTTGTTGGTCTTTATAACTTCTGAAGTGATGTTGTCATTTGCTCCACTTTATAAAATAAAAGCAAAGTATGATTCTTAAAAGTCCACATCAAGTGACAGACATCTGCTTCTATCTGTGTAGCTCTGTTACTACAACTCTTTCTCTACAAAGTGTGCAAGCTTCAGTGTATGGCCTCAGCAGGTACACAGTTCCACAGGTTGTGCACTGCACCACATCACCATGGATATGGTTAGTATACCATGTACGTCATCCTTTAGGAGACAGAGAAAATTAATGACCTAACTAAGGAGAGGTGGACAGCTGGGTACCATTAGCAGCAGCCTGGAACTTTAGAGTCAAGTTCGCAGAGCTCTGAGCCCCATTTGATACCAAACCCATACGTATTTGCTGTCATGCACATATTTCCTAGATAGTATAAAGGCTTTACAGCCAGCGAGGTGATATAGGCCCAGGATCCACATAAATGTCACTGCTCACCCTTGAAGAGATCTCCCTAACATCAGCTCACTCTGTCTACATCCTCCTTTCTGATCTCAGGAACTTTAAGGGAGGGGAAGATAAACTTGGTGCTTGGGAATACCTGGTGAGGGTATCATCGAAGTACAATGGAGAAAGTAGACAAAAATACTTACCAGGCAGCCAAAAGGCATGAAAGAGCTTCAAGACATTATACCTCTTTAGCAAAAACGTGCTTCCTTCCACCTCAGATAAATGGGGCAGGCATCATCCACGTTTTTAAAACTACACCTATTTCAGAAACTCAACTGGCCCCCATTCCAATGATTTTCCTTCTAAAATATTGCACTAAAATATATTTGCCTTGATTATTGAGTTTGTGGGGGACCCCTGTACCCCGCCCTTACATTTTGTGCTTGTGGAGATGGGTGCCTCTCTCTGCTTACTCAGTTTCAGCCCTTGGTTAACAAAGGCTTACAAATCACTGCCACAAAAGCTACTGAAGTTAACACGTGGTGTTCGTTAATGATGGCTGCCATGTTGGGTGAAAGAGTGTTGTCACTGAACCCAAGAATCTGCTCTCAGGTTGCCAGGAAAATAAGGCAGTTTTTCAGAAACTCAGTTTCCTCCTAAAATTTCAGGACGGGGCGTAATGTAGACGGAGGCTCACCCCAAACGGAGGTTCATTAGCTAACGGTTGATACTGCCCATTCACCAGCAGAGGGAGCGCATGGGAAGGTTTTAGGATTTTTGAGGCCAAATGCAAATCCTAAAGCAAACACCGTAGGAATGGGCACCCCTTTCTGGTTTCCTTCGGGGACACAAAGAAGGTATGAGTTAGAGGGCCCTGGGCAAACTCCAGACAGATTCTGACGTGGGTGGCCTGAGGTTTAAACCAAGCCTCCAGAGACACCCAGTTAAAGATCTGAGTCACTCTTTAGGCTATAAAACAATCCCTGACTGTTGTTTCAGAGATTTCTTTAGGGCATCCTCTGCTCTCAAATCCCAAGTGATTCTTCAAACCCAGGAGTGTGGAGCCGGCATTGAACCAGGAAGCCACAGCAGATCTTTCCTCTCCCCTATGGTCTGAGCGCACCTTCGGAATTTCAGAGAGGCTTATAATTCAGTGTTTCGGTAGTTTTCTTTGCGGGTGGGGTTCTGGGCAAAACATTCACATTCAACCCAGGTATTTTTCCTGACTCGCCTGTGACGAAAATTTCACTGAATACAAAACAGAACAGGTAGTTAAACCAACCGTCATGCTTATAGTCTTGCAATGTAGGTTGGTAATTTTTGTTTGTTTGTTTCTTTTTCTTTCCTTTTTTTCTCCTCCTCTTTTACATTAGACAGATAATGTGCCAGCCTCATTGTAACAAGGTTTAGAGGAAGGTACAGCTCACACCTGACCATGAAAACCCAATTGTTGGCCAGGCACGGTGGCTCACGCCTGTAATCTCAGAACTTTGGGAGGCCAAGGCGGGCAGCTCACTTGAGGTCAGGAGTTCAAGACCAGCCTGGCCAACATGGTGAAACCCCATCTCTACTAAAAATACAAAAATTAGCCAGGCGTGGTGGTGCATGCCTGTAGTCCCAGCTGTTCGGGAGGCTGAGGCAAGAGAATCTCTTGAACCCAGGAGGTAGAGGTTGCAGTGAGCCGAGGTCCTGCCACTGCAGTCCAGCCTGGGCAACACAGTGTAACTCTGTCTCAAAAAGAATAAAAATAAATTTTAAAAAATCACATTATTAGGCAAGTTATGTATATTGAACTTAACCAGAAATAACCTTGCTAGTGACAGACATCTGAAAGTAATTTTTTTTTTTAAATCAGGCTTAGTAACAAGCAAAACAATGTTTAGAGCCAAACTTACCATGGGTCCTGAAACAATTTCTCCTATTGTTTAGTTTGAAATAACTGGCTGCTGCTCCCAGCAGTGTCACCACCACCACGGATACGATGGGAGACACGATTTTTGCTACCATATTGCCTGCAGGAGTGGAGAAAAAGCAAGCTCATCCGAGAAAAAAACATGGCTGCAGGAAAACTGCTTAAATATTAGGTTGGTCCAAAAGTTATTGCGGTTTTTGCCATTGAAAGTAATGACAAAAACTGCAATAACTTTTGCATCTATCTAGTAACTTCTCCATCACGTCCCTTCCCACCCTTGTATTCACAGAAAAAAAAGAGAAACTTAATTTAAAAAAAAAGAAAAAAAAACCTTAGGAAGTAATTCTGTTTTCACAAAGAGCCAAGCTTGTCAACCACATTTTACCACTGAAGACATCCAAGGCCAGGATTTGCACAGACGAGGCACTTGGCATTTTTGTTTGTTTGTTGAAGTCAATTCATGTATGCCTTTTAATTAATTTTATTTATTTATTTATTTATTTATTTCTTATTATTTTTTGAGACGGAATGTTGCTCTGTCGCCCAGTCTGGAATACAGTGGCGTGATCTCAGTTCACTGCAACCTCCTTCTCCCGGGTTCAAGCGATTCTCCTGCCTCAGCCTCCCGAATAGCTGGGACTACAGGTGTATGCCACCATGCCCAACTAATTTTTGCATTTTTAGTAGAGATGGGGTTTCACCATGTTGGCCAGGCTGGTCTCGAACTCTTGACCTCAGGTGATCCACTCGCCTCAGCCTCCCAAAGTGTTGGGATTACAGAGGGGAGCCACCGCGCCTGGCCTGATTTATTTTTTTAGAGATGGGGTCTCACTATGCCGCCTAAGCTCGTCCTGAACTCCTGGGCTCAAGTGATCCTCCTGCCTCCGCCTCCTGAGTAGTTGGGATGACAGGCACATGTCAAAACTATTTTGTGCCTTTTTAGATGTAGAATGCCCACTCATGCAAAAATATTGTTCCACTAAAAACTGCCAGATAGGCTTGCTTTCAAAGGCATGCTGGAACTCTAGACCCAAGCACACACTAGACACAAGCATCCTCAATGCCTCGATGGCAAATTGCTCCAGAGCTTTGGCACTCCTGCACAAAGAACAAGAAGGAGCTTGATGTGACAAAAATCAACACTTCCAAAGGGAAAAAAGGAAGAAATCACCGTTTCCATTTGAAATAGCCACCCTTTCCATGCATGGCTTTCTTCAGACAGGGTTGAACACCTGGGCCAATACATGGCATGGCATAGGTGAGGGACACAAGACTGCTCCACGAATGAGGCTGCCATGCTGGGGGGAAGAGTGTTGTCACTGAACGCAAGAACCTGCTCTACGGCTGATGCTGCCGCCCGCCACACCCTGCCTCCTGGGAGAGACAGCCCTCTATTCTTCCCCTCCCTACATGAACACGCTCCACAGTATGATTTCACAGTGTTCCCCATCCAGAGGTGGAGCTGCATCTTCATTCTGAAAATCCAGGCTTTAGCCAACAGAATGTCACACAAGTGAAGGCATGGTGGCTCTAAGCCCAGGCACGCTTCTCTTCATGCTCTTGGTACCCTGTCTGGTCACCATGTGATGAAGCCTGGCCTGGCTTCCTGGAGGGATGTGAGAGCCCACATGAAGCTGAGATGAGCCATTCCACCTAAAGTCCCAGATACATAAGAAGACCCAGGAAACATGGTCAAAGCGCTGGCCACACCTACAGTTGACTGCACACAAGAGAGGGAGTTCAGAAGAGACCAGGAGGACCACTAGAATGGTGTCAGCCCAAATTGCTGACTCACATAATCACGAACATAATAAATGGTTGTTATTTCCAGCTACTAAGTTTTGGGGTTTTTTGTGACACAGCATAGCTGACTGATACATACCTTTTCCTCTCTCTCATCTCTTACAAATCAATCAAGTACAATCAATTGTCATTACCAAGTGGTCATCCAAGCTGACTGCTTCTCTTTGCCTCCTTTGCCCAGGCTTTAATTCAGCCTGTCATCATTTCCAGGGAGTACTGAACTGGTCTGAAAGGGTGTCTCCCTGGGTCTTAGTGAGCCCCCTCAGGTCCATTCTTCACCTACATATCAACAGGGGCAGGCTCCTTCCCATGAAGGTTCTATGAAGTGCAGACTCCACCTCTGCTAACCTGGAGGTCTTTCCTGGTCACCATTGCATCCTTCCCTGGTTCCCGTTGCATTCCACATCCTGGCTACACAATTTCCGGTGTCCCCACGTGTGTATCCAGCTCTACCTAGTGCACCATCTTCCCTGACACCTCACTCTTCTCCTGGGCACCTCCCACCCATATTTTGGGGGATTGGCTTGGATATTGTTCTCTCCAGGAAACCCTACCTCCCTCACCTAACCTAGTCTAGGAGTATCCCTTCTGCCTTGCTACAGGATCCCATATGTTCCAGGAAATTATTCATCAGATTTGACTGCAATTACTTGTTTATTTGCCTTGCCCTTTCCATCTCTGGACCTCACTTTACACCACAGAGGGAAAAAGGTGAAACCATAAATTTTTCTAAGGATGCCAACATACCCCAAAAATATTGATACTAGTACTCTGCATGATCATTGAAAGGTAGAGGTCACCTTCAATCACTTTCTCCTCCCCCATAATTGAAAACTCACAAGAGCCTTGGGGTTGAGTGCGTTTACTCTCAACTTAAACTCAAGCAGGTGTCAGCCCAAATCTCTAAGAATATGACCCTTAGGGAATGGGGAACCTGTTCTCCCAACAATACAGGACACAAAGTCAGCCTTCTGGGCTTCAAGTTCTCCCTCCTTTGACCTGAGACGGGATTGACAGTGCACTCTGATGGCTTCTTTGGGCAGAGTGTTCATACCTTCCTTTCTCCTGTCCTTCTTGGGTTTCAAGTTAGTGCTGGTCAAAGAAAGGGGAGTAATGGTGGTACTGGGAGAAATGTAATAGTCTCAGCACTCATTCACAGCCTTGCTTTGAGAGCTAAGGGGCATCTTCTGCAGTGAAAACCAATGCTTGCCTCTCCTTTCTCTGAACTCTGATTGGTCCTGTGCTGAAGGTCAGATATTTTTATTCAGGAGCTACTTTATATACATACAAAGTATGAGTGCTCCGTGAAAGTCATGAGGTTGGGAAACAGAAGCCCACACAGCTCCTCCCAGCACTGATCTAGGAGAGTGTGCTCTTATTAAAGGTTGGGACCGGGTGAGTCAATCAGTTACCTTCTGGATTGCCATACGTTGAATGGTGATCTCCACCTGTAAGCGGAAAAGGATGTTCGTGTTTATTCAGCAGAGCTTATGGAGGGCCTTATATTGCCGGGCACTGTTGAGGATGCGACTGTGAACACAGCACACAGATCCCTGTTTTCAGGGAATTTACATTCTTGTGGGGGGAGGGGGACAGCCAAGCAGCATAAGGAGGAGGAATGTGAATGTGTATGCCATGTCTAATGGTCATTAGCAGAATGGGGATAATACCAGGGAGAGGGAGATGCAGCTTTAATTTCAGGATTGGAGAGTCTACATACATGCGCATGCAAAACACACACAGGCTGACAACCCCATGGACACACATGCACACACGCACGCCATTCATACACAAGCACATGCAACACACACTGACATGCACAAATGTGTGTGCACATGCATACACACATGCAGCATGCAACAAACGTGCAACACACAGGCAGACAAGCACGCATACACACGTGCACACACACATGCATTTACACACATGTGCAACATGTAAATACAAATGCAACACAGAAGCACAATGCAATGTGCACATCCACACACATGCACATCCCACACATCCCCACATACACACACATGCACATACCACACACACAGGCAACAAAAGCACATATAAAGCACAATTCGCCTAAACATACACATGTACACATGTGTGCACATGCACACACCGATGTGTGCACATGTTTACACCTGTATGCATAAACACATGCATGTACACACAAATATGCACACACAAACACATTCATGTGTGTGTGTGCATGCCTGTACACACGCATGTATACACACAATCCACATGCACAGATGCACATGATATATTCGTGCAGTATGCACATACCACACGAGCACACCCAGATGCACACTCCTGCATCTATCCACATGCACACATGTGCTTGCACACCCCTAAATGTATGCATGTGAATGGACACACATGGGAAACATGCAATGCACATGCAACCCAAGCACAAGCATGCACACATGCAAAATCCACAAGTACATGCCAACACATCTGTGCACATACACAAACATGCATGTGCTCAATCCACATGTGTGCACAGACACTTGCACACATGCACATGAAATCCACATGCACTTATGCACATGATTACAAAATCCACATGCACATGTACACATGCATGCACACACAATACACACAAGCATACCTGTGTGTGAACACATATGTATACACACACACGTGCACACACATGCACCCAGTAACACCTGTAAGTGGGCCATAGTTCCTTTGAAGAAATGAAGTCCTCAGGGCATGCACAACATCTCCCCCCAGCATGGATGACCAAGGAAAATGCAAATGAGAGACTCGAACGGCCAGTTGGTTGTGCACTGGATGAAAGCATCAGCTTCCCATCAGTGCAGACAGTGTGTTAGTTATTTGCAAATGGACAGTTTTGCCTCACATATTCTGTAAGACATAATTCCTTTACCATAAGTATTTCCATAACGAGAGTTGAGTCTATAGCCCCCTCTTCCTGCAGGATAGAAAAGAGACCATGAAATGCTAGATATTGCTCAGGAAGTCTGCATGATCTTACAGAAGCAAGCAGGTCAGCAAACCTGAAGCAAGATGCTCTTAAAAGCTGCAGAGATTCCAATGCTCTCCCAAGGCCAGGGAAGGTGCACAGGCGCCATCTGGCCCCTGTTTACTGTTTACACCGGTGGCTGAAGGTGCATTAGATGTACATCCCTGAGGGTCTGGAGGCCTGACATAGATGGGCAAAGGTGTTTTCTTCGGCATAAAAAAAAATGCCAGCAAATGTTGGTTAAAAAAAAAGAGAATAGGATGAAAACGCAGGCCACAAATAGTAATTTATTTAAAATTTTAAAAAAAAAGAGTTCCTCCAGGTTGGGTGTGGTGGCTCCCACCTGTAATCCTACCACTTTGGGAGGCTAAGGCGGTAAGACCACTTGAGCTCATTTGGAGCCCAGCCTGAGAAACATAGTGAGACCCCGTTTCTACTTAAAAAAAAAAAATAGCTGGGTGTGGTGATGTGCACCTGTAGTCTCAGCTACTACTTGGGAGACGACTGAGGCAAAAGATTGCTTGAGCCCAGGAGGTGGAGGCTGCAATGATCTATGATCACGTCCCTGCACTCCAGGCTGGGCTACAGAGTGAGATTTTGTCTCAGAAAAACAGCAAAAAAAGTTTTTCTATATTTTTCTAATGTGTTAAGAGCAATTTTTAAAAATACAGATTTGAGATTTTTAAAACTAATGCTTTGTGCTGATTTTGAAGTGGAATGACTTATGTGGATAGTGGGTTCTATGGGCTGAACTATATCCCCCTCCAAATTCACAGGTCGCAGTCCTAACCCCCAGGGCATCAGACTGTGACTGTATTTGAACACAACGTCCTTAGAGAGGTGATTAAAATAAAACGAGATCACTAGGGTGGGCCCTAATCCAATAGGACTACAGACCTTATAAGAAGAGGAGATGAGGACACAGACACACACAGAGGGACGACCCTGTGAGGACACAGGGAGAAGATGGTGTCTACAAGCCAAGGAGGGAGGCCTCAGGAGGAACCAGCCCTGCTCACACCTTGATCTTGGACCTCCAGCCTCTAGGACGGTGAGAGAATCAATGTCTGCTGTTTCTAAGCCACCCAGTCTATAGTATTCTGTGATAGCAGCCTGAAATGGACTAAGACACCTCATAAGGAGAGGAGATTGGAACACAGACACACACAGAGGGACGACCCTGTGAGGACACAGGGAGATGATGATGTCGACGAGCCAAGGAGAGAGGCTTCAGGAGGAACCAGCCCTGCTCACACCTTGATCTCAGACTTCCAGCCTCCAGGACTGTGGGAGAAGAAATCCCTTTTGCTTCAGCCCTCCTGACTCTTGTAATTTACAATGGCAGCCTTAGCAGACAAGGGAAACTTGTCCCCCAGTATTTAAAAACGACGAGCGCAACATTTTCTCCCCAGTCTCCGCAGGGAGGCCAGACTTTGGGCTTCCCTCCGCGGCCAGCCACGGTCAGCCCTCACCCCTCAGTGCTCTGCATGAAGCCAGAACAAGCCTAACACGCTCTGCCTCCTTTGGGGATTCGGGGAGAAGCCGCGTGACTCATCCCATGGCGGCGGCTTGCATCCCAGCCGGCACCTCCATGCTGATGCTAATCCGAGCGCTGACTCACAGCCTCGCTCTGCCGGGGCTGGAGAGCAGGGGTCCAGGCAGGAAGGGGAGCACAGGCATCCTCGAAAACAAGCGTCATGCTCCCAAAACTGGGCTGTGCCTCATGCACGCCTGATGTTCTTGGCCCAGCTGCTGCTTCCACCGGGCCCTGGCCCTGCCAAGGACCACAGGGCTACCTGCTATTTTCTGGCAGTTTTGCCCCAGGGATACAGCAGCCCCCTGACCAGTAAGCTTTGATCCATTCGGGAGCCAGATAATGGTCCCCCAAAAATGGCACAGCGCAGACCTCCCGAGACTAACTTCACAGGAAAACAGGAAACGATCAGGGCTCTCAGGGGAGCCGCTTGCTGAATCACTTCTTTCTACCTGATGAGTATGCCAGAGAACAAAAGAACGTGTCCCGAATAGCTCCTTACAGAGAGCAGTTTCAGAGAATCGTGCATGGGGTGAAAAGGCTCATTCGTAGGCTGTAGGGGTGTGGGGACGGCTCGCTTTATATAACACGCTCCAAGGTGGGCCGGATGTGGTGGTGCAGGCCTGTAATCCCAGCACTTATGGAGGCCAAGGTAGGAGGATCGCTTGAGCCCAGTTCAAGACCAGCCTGGGCAACGTGGCGAAACCACCTTTGCAAAAATTGTAACTGAGGAAATGATGACAGTGAAAGAGGCCAGACCTAACCGACTCTATCTTGCTTCTAACCCTTAAGCTGTCCTTGTTCATTCCTGGGCATAGGCCCAACTAACTTTGGGAAGGAATTCAGTTCATGGTTTCACTCTGAAACAAAACTGATCACAGCCTTTTCCTGAAAACACCTCCTTCTTGCCTGGGGACCAGTTGGACTTTGTAGGACTAACAAATTAGCTACAAGATTAAAAATTATAGTTTAGGGCTGGGCGCAGTGGCTCAAGCCTATAATCCCAGCACTTTGGGAGGCCGATGAGGGTGGATCGCCTCAGGTCAGGAGTTCGAGACCGGCCGGAACAATATGGTGAAACCCCGTCTCTGGTAAAAATATGAAAATTAGCCGGGCATGGTGACATGTGCCCGTAGTCCCAGTTACTGGGGAGGCTGAGGCAGGAGAATTGCTTGAACCAGGGAGGCAGAGGATGCAGTGAGCCGAGATCACACCACTGCACTCAAGCCTGGGCAACAGAGTGATACTCTGTCTCGAAAAAAACAAAAAAAGAAGAAAAGAAAAGAAAAATTATGGTTTAGGGGTCGTGCAGCCTCTGGCTCAAGAGTCTGAACCTCTGCAAATTGCTCCTGGGGGTAACATCACTATTGTAAAACGTAAGCGCGGTGTTTGAGACATTTTGCAGCCTCTGCACTGGATGGATCAGCTGACACCAGCCAGCCCGGTAATCTGGCTCAACCAGTTCCGCCATCCACCCAGGAACAGAAAACAGCAAGAAAACCTCACTTCACCCCCCTATGGTTCCCTCTGCAACCTGACCAATCAGCCCTCCCCACTTCCCAAGCCCCTACCCGCCAAATTATCTTTAAAAACTCTGGACCCTGAATGCCTGGGGAGACTGATTTGAGTAATAATAAAACTCTGGTCTCGGGCACAGCTGGCTCTGCATGAATTACTCTTTCTCCATTACAATTCCTCTGTCTTGATAAATCGGCCCTGTTTAGGCAGGGGGCAAGGTAAACCCATTGGGCAGTTACAACGGTGAGACCCCATCTCTACAAAAAATTTCTTAAAAATTTAGCTGGGTATGATGGTGTGTGCCTGTAGCCCCAGCTCCTCGGGAGGCTGAGGTGGGAGGATCGCTTGAGCCCAGGAGTTTGAGGCTGCAGTGAGCTATGATTGCACCACTGCACTCCAGCCTGGGCAACAGAGTGAGACTCTGTCTCTAAATAAATAAATAATAAAACAATAAAAAACTACTCCCAGTGGCTTTCTGTAAAAATATTAAATTTGGTCTTTGCCTGACATTTTCAGTTAAATTGAAACCGCCTTTGCAAAAATTATAACAGTGAGAAAATTACGACAGTGAAAGAGATCTGACCTAACCGACTGCATCGTGCCTGTAGCCCTCGAACAGCCCTAGTTCATTCCTGAACACAGACTCAGATAACCATAGGAGGAAGTTCCAGCTTAACATTCAAACAAAGATAACAGCCCTTTTCTGAAACAAACTCCCTTCTTCCCCGGGGATCAGACTGCCTTTGAAAGACTAACAAATTAGTCACAAGATTAGAAATTATATTAATAGGTTAGGAGCCATGCAGCCGGAGGCCACAAGATTCCAAACCTCTTCAGTTGCTCCTAGGGATGGCATCACTATTGTAAAACCTAAGGTTGAAGTTGAGACATTTTTTAAACCCTTCATTGAGATGCACCAGCCGGCGCCACCCAGACTGGTAATGCGGCTCAGCGAGCTCTGCCGTCCCACACAAGAACAGAAGACAACAAAAAGAACCCATGTCCGTCCTCTGTCATTCCACCTCCAACCAACCACTCAGCACTCCCCACGCCCGGGTCTCCTACCAGCCAAATTACACGTTAAAAAGCCCAGTGTCCAAATTTTGGGGGAAGCTGATTTGAGTCATAAAACTCCAGTCTTGGCTAGGTGCAGTGGCTCATGCCCGTAATCCCAGCTCTTTGGGAGGCTGAGGTCGGAGAAACACTTGAGGCCAGGAGTTGAAGACCAGCCTGAGCAATATAGTGAGACCCCATCTCTACAAAAATTTTTTAAAAATTAGGCAGGTGTGGTGGCATACACCTGTGGTCCTAGCTACACAGGAGGCTGAGGCGGGAGGATCGCTTGAGCCCAAGAGGTTGAGGCTGCAGTGAGCTATGATTTCACCACTGCAGTCCAGCCTGGGTAACAAAATGAAACCCTGTTTAAAGAAAAAAAAGCAAAACCTCCAGTTGATATAGGAGTTAAGAAGGAATTAGTTAATTACTTAGGCACATAGCAAGGGTATGGGAGTCCTTGGTAAGGCTTTTCTTTTTAATGAAAAGCAGCCCCAAATCATTTTCTAACAAAGAGCAGCCTGTAAAGTTGAGCTGTGGCCGGGCGCGGTGGCTCACGCCTGTAATCCCAGCACTTTGGGAGGCCGAGGCGGGCGGATCACGAGGTCAGGAGATCGAGATCATCCTGGCTAACACGGTGAAACCCCGTCTCTACTAAAAATAGAAAAAATTGCCAGGCGTGGTGGCGGGCGCCTGTAGTCCCAGCTACTCGGGAGGCTGAGGCAGGAGAATGGCGTGAACCCGGGAGGCGGAGCTTGCAGTGAGCCGAGATGACGCCACTGCACTCCAGCCTGGGCGACAGAGCGAGACTCCGTCTCAAAAAAAAATAAAAAATAAAAAATAAAGTTGAGCTGCAGACATAGACAAGCCAGCTAGGAGCTTACATGGGTGAATGCCGGCAGGAACTAGGGCCTAGACACGTTCAAGATGGCAGCTTCATCTTCCCTCCTCTTTGTCAGCCCCATGTACAGTAAGTAGCAGACAAGATGGCACTGACCAACTGGAAAGCCCATTTACATAACAAAATTAGGGTGGGGCCACCAGCCTTCCCCACGCACTATGTAGAAGTCATACCTGATCGAACCAGTCTGTAAGCCCTATGTAAATCAGACACCACCTCCTCCAGCCTGCCTACAAAAGCTGCTGCGGTCCACAACCTCCCAACTTTTTCAGATGCTTCTCTTTCTCTCTCTCTCTTTCTCTCTCTCCCTCTCTCTCTTGCAAGGAGCTGCTCTCCTCTCTCCTTTCTTCTATTAAACTTTCAACTCCTTAACCCAACCACATGTGTCTGTGTCCTGAATTCTTTCTCAGCGTGCAACAATGAACCCCAGGTATGTACCCCAGACAGCATAGCTGCTTCACATGCTCCCGTTCAGTCAGCTCTGTGTGAATTAAACTCTTTCTCTATTGCGATTCCCGTCTTAATAAATCAGGTCTACCTAGGTAGTAGGTAAGGGGAACCCCTTAGCTAGTTCCAGAAAGATGGTGGAAGGAACTCATCTCATAGTACGTTGAGTTGAAGGTGGTCAATTCTTTTTTAGTGTCCTTTTTTTTTTTTTTTTTTTTTTTGAGACAGGGTCTCACTCCATGGCCCAGGCTGGAAGGTAGTGGTGCTATCACGGTTCACTGCAGCCTCAAACTTCCAGGGTCACTTACACCTCCCGAGTAGCTGGGACCACAGGCGCACACTTCCATGCCCAGCTAATTTTTGTATTTTCTTGTAGAGACAGGGTTTCACTATTTTGCCCAGGCTGGTCTTGAACTCCTGAACTCAAGGGATCCACCCACCTTGGCCTCCTAAAGTGCTGGGATTACAGGCGTGGGCCACCATGCCCGGCCAAAAGTAGACAGTTCTTGACCCCAGGTAATGAGCACTTTGTCATGAGCCCCCTCCCATCCTGAAGCTTGTCTGTGTCATAGGGAGTGAGTTCTGAGGATGGGCTACCTATAGGGCCACAGCTATTGCTCCTTTGAAGTGGACAGTCGAGCGTCATGCATTGCTTTCATTTTGTTAAATGGATCTGATGACAACACTCGCTTCCGAGGTAACGAAGATGACGGACATCAAAATATTTTACTCCAAAATATATTGCTTTGCCTTATTTTGAAATTGCCGCTCCAGGGCCAGCAGACTGAGGTGGGGAAATTGGCATCTGTAGAGGATCTTTGCTGTTGCAGCCAGGCCTTCCCTTTCTAAGCTTTTCCTGGATGTAGGAGAGAGAAACGGAGACTCTGACACCTTTACAGGTCTGAAAAGAAACATTTACCATGGTCGTCTCTGAGCGCTGCTACCTGGGAACCTTCATCTGCATAACAAGGACCCCCTTGCTAAGCAGGCCTCTTCCTGTCTCCCTCTCATCACCTGGCTTGCCACCCGTTAAACCTGCTTTACCAACGTCACCTATTTGGGGCCATGCTCTGAGCCCACATTCTTCCTGCAAAGAACAACAAATAGCAAACTCAAATAGTAAAGACATGGAATCAGCCTAGGTTCCCATCAATGGTAGACTGGATAAGGGAAATGTGGCCCATATACAATGTGGCCCATATACACAGCCATAAAAAAGAACAAGATCATGTCCTTTGCAGCAACATGGATCGAGCTGGTGGCCATTCTCCTGAGCAAACTAATGCAGGAACAGAAAACCAAATACCATGTGTTCTCATTTACAAGTGGGAGCTAAACACGGAGTACGCATTGTGAAAGGAAATTAAATTTTGTGATCCTGAACTCATTTAGTCAAAGGGAAAAGTCAAGCTGGGAACTGGGTCACACAAACCTGCCTCCCCCTTTTGGTTCCTAAATAAAATGGCTACAAGATGAAAAGCTACACGTCTCCCCCATATTTTGCCCACAAGGAAAATCCTAGTGAGCTGTGAAGATTTCACCATGACAATATGCAAATCGACAGCTTTGCAGTCACCCCCGCCCAGCAGACACAAATCATATGTGATTGCTCCCCTGCCCCATTTTGTCCAGATTATCTTATGCAACATGCAGATTCCCTGCATTTTCCCTCTGCCCCATTTGTCTATGCCATCTTATGTAAAAAAACACAGATTCACTGAGCCAGACAAAAGCATGAATAACTCTTTTTCCCTACCCCCACCCTTTCCCCTTTAAATTTGCAGCCTTCAAAATCATCTTCGGAGAAGGCCACAGACCTGTCTCCTGGGGCGCGCCCTTAACCTTAACTTTGGCAAATAAATCTTTTACGCTCGTCTCGTCATTTTTCTCGATTGACAACATGGACACAAAGAAGGGAACACCAGACACCAGGGCCTACTTGAGGGCAGAGGGTGGGAGTAGAGTGAGGATGGAAAAACTACCTATCAGGTACTATGCTTATTGCCTGGGTGATGACATAATGTGTACACCAAACCCCGGTGACAAACAATTTACCTATGTAACAACCCTACACAAGGACCCCTGAACCTAACATCAAAGTTAAAAAAGATGGTCTATAAGCTTTTGCATCCCATTGGTGGTTGAGTCTTGGTTCTGAAGGTTTGCGTGTATATCCACTCAATAAATTTATACGCTTTTTCTCCTGTTAATTAAGCTGCCTCATGTCAGTGATTCAGAGAAAACTTAGGGGGCCAACAGCCTTGGCTCTCACAAAGCCTAATGAGACCATATCTTAAAAAAAAAAAAAGAAAGAAAAAGAAAAAAAAGTACTTCCCACATTACCAGAGCTCTTGGCACATATTAGTTTTAACCAAAAAGATGGTTACTCAAGGCCGGGCATGGTGGCTCACGTCTGTAATCCCAGCACTATGGGAGGCTGAAGAGGGCGGATCACCTGAGGTCAGGAGTTCAAGACCAGCCTGACCAACAAGGTGAAACCCCATCTGTACTAAAAATACAAAAATTAGCCAGGTGTAGTGGCTCATGCCTGTAATCCCAGCACTTTGGGAGGCTGAGGCAGATGGATCACCTGAGGTCAAGAGTTCAAGACCAATCTGACCAACATGGTGAAACCCTGTCTCTACTAAAAAAACAAAAATTAGCCCTGTGTAGTGGCACATGCTTGTAATCCCAGCTACTTGGGAGGCTGAGGCAGGAGAATCACTTGAACCCGGGAGGCCAAGGTTGCAGTGAGCAGAGATCACACCACTGCACTCCAGCCTGGGCAACAAGTGAAACTCTGTCTCAAAAAAAAAAAAAAAAAAAAGAAAAGATGGTTACTCAATTCATTGAAGGTGTACAAAACTCTTAACAAAGGGAAAATGTTAAAACGGAGATGATGGTTTAAAATCAACCTACAGAGTGTTTTGTTATTGTTTTCTTTCTCAGTGATGACATTTTGCTTCAGTCGTTTTCCAAACCGGAGAGGATCTGAGGGTTTCAAGGTCCCCTGGTCTCCATGAGAAAAACTCAACCAAGCCAAGAGCCTGTTTATGGCTTCTGTAGAACACGGCTTTCACTCTGGGCATAAGCACCGACCAAAAGAGTTCTCTTGCTTTTTTTCTTTTCTTTTCTTTTCTTTTTCTTTGAGACAGGATCTCAGTCTGTCACCCAAGCTGGAGTGCAGTGGCACGATCTTATCTCTGTCTGCTCACTGAAGCCTCGACCTCCTGGGCTCAAGTGATCCTCCTACCTCTGCCTCCTGAGTAGCTGGAACTACAGGCACATGCCACCACGCCTGGCTAATTTTTGCATATATGTATTTTTTGTAGAGACAGGGTTTTTCCATGTTGTCCAGGCTGGTCTCAAACTCCTGGGCTCAAGCAATCCTCCCACCTCAGCCTCCCAAAGTGCTGGGATTACAGGCATGAGCCACCGCGCCCAGCCATTGAAAGTGTTTTCTATTCTGCTTGAAGTAAGCGAGCTGCGCCCCTAAAGAATTTGTTGGATGCTCTCCAGTTTGTTGGATGCTCTCTTTCTCTAATTAGTTGTATAGTTCTTTGCTCTGTTTACTTTTACCTAAAGGGGTGTGTGTGTGTGTGTGTGTGTGCATGTGTGTATGCGTGTGTGTATGTGTGGCTGCACCCACCCTCCTGGGGAACAGAAGCAGAACAGCCCAGCACAGACAGGTTCTCAGAAGACCAGGCACCAGCACACAGCACCCTACTCACCAAAGACTCCAGGTAGAAGGCCCAGGGCAGAGTGCAAGCGGGAGCCCTAGAAAGATGACCCCTCCCACCCTCCACCCACCATCGCATGCCCAGATGTAGGGGTACCGTGCGTGTTGTCGGAGTTGCCATAACTGGAGTAGCCACCGCCGCCACCTCCTGTTAGACAGAGAAGGTAGAGTTGAGGGATGTTCAGGTGTCTGAGCGTGGGGTTTCCTGCAGGTGTTGGTCTGTCCAGCTCATTGGGAATGGCAACAAGTCGTGTGAACGTGTCACTGCCAAGAGAGCTCCAAAGAGTGACCAGCAGGGGAGAGTCAAGGGTGGCCCCACCAAAGCTTCCTCTTCCCCGTGGGAAAACTCATGCCAACACTGAGCTCTAGCTATCAAAAACACTTTGCCGTCACGGGACTAACATTTACCCTGGGGACTCCAAATTCACGCAGGCGCACCCGCTTCCTGCCGAGAAACTGATATGAGATCAGCCACGCCGACGCCGGATTAGGAGGACCTTCCAGCAGATGGTCTCAATCGTAAATGTTCTCAGCTTCTCCTTTCAAAAATAACTAGTAATTTTTAGTTTATTCCTGATTGTTATTGTAATAAATCCTAAGACAGCGCTCTTTATTTATTGCAAGTAAACACGGCAGAAAAGATGACTGGATGCAATCTGGTTGTCCGAAAGATGCAGGTCCAGCTTTGCAAAATATCTGGGACAAGTCCTTTATGTCTTCTAAAATAAAATTGCAGAACTAAACAGGCCAGAAACCTCACATGCTTGAAAATAAAGCCTCAAACATCACACTCTTCAGCCCAATGTTGTATGCATCTCTGTCTCCTATAGTCTGTACTTGTATTTCTATATGAAAGATTATTGATAGACATTCACCTCCAATTACAGAGAAAACTTTATATTAGAAGTGTTTATATATGTCTGTGTGTATAAAGATAAATGTACATATATAAAGGTGTATATATATATACACACACACACACACACACATATACCTAAATGTATATACATATATACATGAAGGGACCTATATACACATATATAAAACAGTATGCATACATATGTAAAGGTATACACCTATATATAACAGTATAGAAACATATGTAAGCTATATATGCATATATATGGAAAGACATTTACAAATATGTGTTTATACAAATAATGCATATATACACATAAAATATATATTTATATAAGATATTTATACATATATAAAGGTTATGTATAGATATATAAATATATTTATGAAGATATTTATACACATAAAGACATATACATATGCATATATAAAAGTGTATATATAAATGTACACATACATATATAAAAGCATATATAGGTATATATGTACATATAAAGATATATAAATAAAGGTATATAATTATATATGTATAAATGTATATATTTATATAACATACATAAAATATAAAAATGTATATAAAATGTACATGTATATAAAGATATATTAAAGATATATATAAAGATACATTAGAAGATATACATATAGACCAGGTACAGTGGCTCACGCCTGTAATCCCAACGCTTTGAGAGGCTGAGGCAGGTGGATCACGAGGTCAGGAGTTCAGGACCAGCCTGGCCAAAATGGTGAAACCCCGTCTCTACTAAAAATACAAAAGTTAGCCAGGCGTGCTGGCAGGCGCCTGTAATCCCAGCTACTCAGGAGGCTGAGGCAGAACATCACTTGAACCCGGGAGGCAGAGGTTGCAGTGAGCCAAAATTGTGCCACTGCTCTCCAGCCTGGGCGACAGAGCGAGACTCCGTCTCAAAAAAAAATAAATAAATACAAAAGATATGTATATACATATTTAAAGACATTTATATACCTATATAAAGATATATACACATGTATATATAAAGTTGTGTGTACATACATAACACATATAAAAGTATATACACATAAAGGTATATGTGTACGTATATAAAGGCATTTATACACACATATAAAGATATACACATATGTATATATAAAAGTGTATATATAAATATATACATATATAAATAAAGGCACATACATGTAAAGGTATATATGTACATATATAAAGATGTATATAAATAAAGGCATATATTTAATTATATATGTAAAGATATATATTTATATAACATACACATAAAATATTAAAATGTATATAAAATGTATATGTATTTAAAGATATACATGAAGATATATTTTTAAAAAGATATATTAAACGATATACATATACATAAATATATATAAAAAGCATATATCTGCATATAAATATAAAGATATATATACACATATAAAACATGTACCTATGTAAAGATATATATAAGGATATATATAAAGTCAGGATATACATATATAAAAACAGAGAAAGGTATCCACGTACTGTATATATACAAAAGCATGTATATACACACATGAAAAAAACCATATACCTACATATGTAGATGCATTTATATATATTTAAAAGCATATATACACACAAATATAAAGATACATAAACATCTATATACACACAAATGAAGATTGATAAGCATGCAGATATATAAAGGTGTGTCTGGACATGTACACCCACACTTACACATATACAAGTCTAAACAGAAATGACCGCAAGTGTTTCAGTGGACCCTCCAGTTCTGCCTGTTCATTTTGTTTCCATCCAGTCCCCCAGCCTGGAGAGGCGGACAGATGCCCAGACCGCAAACCCCACTGATGCGGCCATGGGGCCTTCTCTGTCATCCCCTGCACCAGCTTATCGTCTGCTCGTCACCAACTCTGCCCCAACCTCAGCTCTCTCATCCCCAACTTCAGGCCTCTCATCCCACCCTCTCTGTGCAAATTCAATGTGTCGCATCTGGGGAGGCTCGGCACCTACCTGCAGGCGGCCGTGGCCTGGGCCTGGGCGGGTAGCGTCCGTCATCACGGTCCACATCATTGAAGTAACCTGTGGGGCAGAGCACGCGGCATTGCTCATGAGACCTCTCCAAAGGTCCCCTTCACACCAGGTCTGCGCTGGGGGCACTGGCACAGGTTTTGGAGAAGAGCGTTCCGACGCCAACTGGCTCTTTGCAGGACGCCCACAGGCACCAGGAATTAAATTACCTTGTGGGCTGGCCGCCTTGCCTGCAAGGAGGCGTGTGCAGGGCCCAGAACGTCTGCAGTGTGGCCTCATATTGCTGATGTTTGCCCCTCTTCTGCTCAAAGCCCTCCCAGGGCCAACCGTGAGCTGGGGTGAAGCTCAGGCTGTCGTGTCTGCCTGCTGCCTGGATCCCTCTCTCAGGGTGCCCCATCTCCAAATCCCCTGCCCTTCCCTCCTTCCCTGGATGTTCCCCGTTGCTCCTGCCTCTGGACCTTTGCATGCCCCTTTCCCTCTGCTTCCTCCTGGCCGTCCTTCCTGGATGAGCCAACATCACCTCTCACCATGTCCTCGTCCAGCTCTCCTTCTGCCCCACCTCCCACCTAGGCCCATCCCCTGCTCAGAATCCTCCAACATCATCTCATGTCCTGCCCCTCCCTAGTCCTTAAGCAAGCCCGGAAGGAGACTCCAGGCTTTTCCTTCTCTCCAGATGGCTCCTCTTGCCCCATCAACCAGGCACCTCCCCCAGGCTTCTCCATCACCATAGGCATGCTCCTAACCCCAGCCCTCACGTTGGCAGTGGCCGATTCCCCAGGGAGAATTCCAGCTTCTCAGGTCCCCACGATCCACTCTCCTTTTCTCTTTCAAGTTCCTGCTCAACTATCTTGTCTGAAACCAGCACCATCCCCCTGTCTCTCTCTTGGCTCCCCAGAGCACAGCCGCTACCCACCCCAACAGATTTGTTTCATCCATTCATTCCTGCTCCTTACTGCCCTGACACATGAGACCCACCTGCTTCCTCCCAAAAAACAAAGAGGCACCTGCAAGGCAGAGAAGATCCCAGAGCCCTGAGAATCCACGCTGAGAGAGCTTTCTCAATAACCCAAGGCTGCTTTGCAAGCCTCATTTCCTAAGATGTCCTTTGCTGCTCTGACAAAGTTCCGACTGCTGCGTTCACCTGTGCCTCTGCCCTCTGATGGTGTCTGTCATAGACTGAGCTACTTCAGGCTCAAACGAGATCCAAGGAGACCTTCCTTCTGTGGTTCCTGGACCCCGAATTAACCCTTGGAGTCTGCCTTTCCTCTCCAAGATTGGTCTATAGATAAGTAATTAGGTCTTTGGTCTCGATCTATAAGAAATCCATGCTAATGTGCACCATTGTCACTCTAGGGGGTAGGAAACATGCTGATTGAGTTTATTAAACGTGTGAAATGCAAGCCGGGTGCAACCCAGCACTTTGGGAGGTGGAGGCGGGAGGATTGCTTGAGGCCAGGAGTTGGAGACCAGTCTGGGCAACATAGTGAGACCCCCTGTCTCTACAAAAAAATACAAAAAATTATCTGGGCTTGGTGGTGTGCGCCTGTAGTCCCATCTGCCAGGAGGATCACTTGAGCCCAGGAACTGGAGGCTGCAGTTAGCTATGATCACACCACTGCATTCCAGCCTGAGTGACACAGAGAGACCCTGTTTCAAAAAAAAAACAAGTATAAAATACAAAAGGCAGAGTGGTTGTTCTGCTTTGCTTTAACATGGACCATTCCCTCAGCACAGACTCTCCAGAGCTTTGGGACTGCCGGTAAGTGAGTGCCCCTAACCTGATCCCGCAGTTGCATACATCTGTGAAGCTGAAGTCGAGGTAGCATGCACAGAGGCTCTGGGGAGTTCAAGAGTCATTGCACTTGGCTTAAGAGGCTGTTTCCTAGGGCTGGGCTCAGTGGCTCACATCTGTAATCCCAGCACTTTGAGAGGTCAAGGCAGGAGGGTCACTTAAGGCCAGGAGTTTGTGACCAGCCTGGGCAACAGAGGGAAACCCTGTCCCAACACACACACATACACACACACACACACACACACACAAAGAAAAAGAAAAAGAAAGAAAAAGAAAAAGAAAAAAGAAAAAATTAGCCAGGTGGAGTGCTGTGTGTCTGTAGTCCCAGCTATTCAGGAGGCTAAAGTCGGAGGATTGCTTGAGCCCAGGAGGTGGAGGCTGCAGTGAGCTGTGATCCCGCCACTGCATTTCAGCCTAGGCAACCAAGCAAGTCCCTGACTCAAAGAAAAAATAATAAAAAAGGGATGTTTCCTAAAACAGCTTTTTTATTTTTACTGTTTTTGAGATGGAGTCTCGTTCTGTCACCCAGGCTGGAGTGCAATGGCATGATCTCGGCTCACTGCAACTCCAACTGAACTCCGCCTCCCAGGTTCAAGTGATTCTCCTGCCTCAGCCTCTCAAGTAGTTGTGATTACAGGTACATGCCACCATGCCTGGCTAATTTTTGTATTTTAATGGAGATGGGGTTTCACCATGTTGGCCAGGCTGGTCTCGAACTCCTGACCTCAAGTGGTCTTCCCACTTCGGCCTCCCAAAGTGCTGGGATTACCTGAATGAGCCACCACGCCTGGCCTCTAAAACAGCTTTGAACAGGGAACCTCTGACATAAAGATCCCTTGTTCATGTCTTGGTGGACGAATGCTATGAATCACAAGACCAGAGCCTTTTGAGGAGGAAGAACTATTGTAGAGCTTTCCAGGAAATGGAGTTGAAGCTATACACCCTGATGAAGGGATGTAGCGGTAAGTCTTTCATTCATGAATCCAGCTGTTTGCCTGTTGGGACTCAAGCATTAATGACTTCACTGACCTTCACCTAGGACTCATTGTGTGCCAGGCACAGCTTTCCAGACTAGGGAATGCAGCAGTGAATGAAAGGCAAAAATCCATGCCCATGTAGAGTTCTCATTCTAATTCACAGGAATCAACTAAACACAATTGCACGGTGTTGCATGTAAGAACATATCAAGCAGTATGGAGTACGGGAATGCAGAGGGAGGAACCACCTCCTGGGGGAACATAGTCTAGGATACAACGCTGTGGTTTTGGAGACTTGCAGGAGGTGGGTGAGTGGGCAAAAGTGTGTTCGTTTTTCTAGGGAAGAAACACAATTCTTCAGTTGCAAGACCCAAGGGAAAAGGCACTGGGACATACCCAAAGCTTGTTTCCTTGGATTTCACGGAGTGCCTTGAACCCTAGGAATATGACAACATCCAAGCAACGTCCTGAAACAATCACAATCAGGGGAACTCCCAATGGTTAAAGCAGGTGGAGAGAGGAAGACACCCAGTGTATCTTAGCTTCCTCAATCTGCACACATTTGCCCCACCAATGGAATCGCTGAGACTCTTCCAACTTTACAGACCAGCATCTCTTTCCTGAGTGTCTCACGTTCGTGAGACACAATTGCCAAGGCGGAGATGGGAAGTGCTGTAGGAACACAGGCAAAGTGGCCGCAGATAACTCTTGCAGAGGGAAGAATAAGTGAGTAGAACACAGACCAACAAAAAAAAAAACAAGAAAAAATTGCCTTCCTCCATCATAACTTGAAATGTCTTAGTGTGCATGGTATTTTTCAGTCAATGTCATCAAAAACATTTAAATTTATTTACTATCAACTAAATGTAATCCCCAGGTGCTGGTGGATAGTAGAACTGAACTCCTCGCAAAACAATGTCTGTGCATTTCAAAAGCAATTGGTCTTTCACCATGGAGATGAGAATTTTTAAGTCATTAAATAATACTTGTATCCAACCACCCCCCCGCCTTTTTTTGAGACAGAGTCTCACTCTATCACCTAGATAGATTGTGCATTGGCACAATCTTGGCTCAAGGCAACCTCCGCCTCCTGGGTTCAAGCGATTCTCCTGCCTCAGCCTCCCCAGTAGCTGGGATTACAGGCACGCGTCACTCTGCCCAGCTAATTTTGTATTTTTAGTAGAAACAGGGGTTCACCATGTTGGCCGCTGGTTTCAAACTCCTGACCTCAGGTGATCTGCCTGAGGAGACCTCGGCCTCCCAAAGTGCTGGGATTACAGGCGTGAAGCACTTCTTTTTTTTTTTTTTTTTCCTTTTGAGACAGGGGCTCGCTCTGTCTCCCAGGCTGGAGTGCTGTGGCGTGATCTCAACTCACAGCAGCCTCCGCTTTGCGGGTTCAAGCGATTCTCCTGCTTCATCCTCCTGAGTAGCTGGATTACAGGCATGTACCACCACGCCCGGCGAATTTTTGTATTTTTAGTAGAGACAGGGTTTCATCATATTGCTCAGGCTGGTGTCAAACTCCTGACCTCAAGTGATCCGCCCACCTCGGCTTCCCAAAGTGCTGGGATTACAGGCATGAGCCACTGTGCCTGGCCCCAAACACTTCTAAAATGGACTTTAATACTGATTATCAGGCTGGGCCACAATAGCTGGTGCCTGTAATCCCAGCATTTTGGGAGGCTGAGGCAGAGGATTGCTTGAGGCCGGGAGTTCAAGAATAGCCTGAACAACACAGCAAGATCCTGTCTCTGCAAAAAATTTGAAATATAGCCAATATAGGTGGTGAAATATAGGTGGTGCAATGTAGGTGGTACACATCTGTAGTCCTAACTACTTGAAAGGCTGAGGGAGGAAGATTGCTTGAGCCCAGGAGTTCAAGGCTGCAATTACATCACTTCACTCTGGCCAGGGCAACAGAGCGAGACCCTGTCTCCAAAATAAATAATAAAATAAAATAGTAAAATAACATAGAATCAAATAAAATAAAGTAAAATAACATAGAATCAAATAAAATGGTAAAATAAAGTAAAATAACATAGAATCAAATAAAATAGTAAAATAAAATAAAATAAAATAAAATAAAAATAAATAAATAAATACTCATTACCTCCACTGTTGCCGGAATTGCCAGGCTGGGGTTGAGGGCGTGGCTTTGGCCTTGGGTAGATATCTGTTGGAAAACAACAGTATGATTTCAGAAAAATAATGACATCTTTCAGGTAGATACCATCTATAAATAAGAATGCCAAAGTACAGAAAAGATGTTACTGCCCATTGCTTTTACGGAGCTTATTAATCATGTAGACAATATTCATAATACCACCTCAGAGCTTACAATGAAAAAACAAAAACTTACACCACTGGTGCTTTCGCAAGAAGTCCAGGGCTCTCTGAAATTAACAGGGCAGAAAGTGCGTTGTTGACCTTTCCCTGTTTAGGGCTACTACAGATGCCAGCACCATTTACAGAAGTCAGTCACTTCTATAAATGTTAGGATGAAACATCTGACCTTTTGATAGTGTGTTGTATTTCCATCTTGCTTGAGTTACACCGTTTCATTTGAATTTGTGTTGTTGTTGTTTTGAGACAGAGTCTTGCTCTGTTGCCCAGGCTGCAGTGCAGTGGTGCAATCATAGCTCCCCGCAGCCTCGAGTTCCTAGGCTCAAACAATCCTCCCACCTCAGCCACCCATGTAGCTCAGTCTACAGGTGCATACCACCATAGTTGGCTAATTTTTAAAATTTGTGTAGAGACAAGGTCTTGCTATGTTGCCCAGGTTGGTCTCAAATTCCTGTTCTTAAGCAATCGTCCTGTCTTGCCTTCCCAAAGAGCTGGAATCATCATAGGCATTAGCCACACTGAGCCTGGCTTCATTTGAATTTCTTAAAACTTTTTGCAATGACTTTTGCATGTTCCTCAAGTTTACCATGAGCTTTCTGCCCTAGGACTTTTTTTTTTAAGACGGAGTTTCGCTTTTGTCGCCCAGGCTGGAGTGCAGTGGTGTGATCTCAGCTCACGGCAACCTCTGCCTCCTGGGTTCAAACAATTCTCCTGCCTCAGCCTCCCGAGTAGCTGAGATTACAGGTGTGTGCCACCACGCCTGGCCAATTTTTGTATTTTTAGTAGAGATGGGATTTCACTATGTTGCCCAGGCTGGTCTCGAACTTCTGACCTCAGGTGATCTGCCCACCTTGGCCTCCCAAAGTGTTGGGATTACACGCATGAGCCACCGTGCCCAGCCCTGCCCCAGGACTTTTGCAGGTGGCATTCCTTCTGTCATGACCCCTCCTGTTCCCTGTCCATCACTTTACACTCTCCCTAAATATTTGAAGAATCCATTTGTCATCTGGAAAAGCATTAATTAGCTCGTCCCTCCTGTCTCAGCTTAAATGTCCTTTGACCCTATTCAAGAAGCCGAAATGAAATAATCAGTGCAAGCTCTTTGCACGACATGAGTCTGTATCTTCAGCACCTTTTTGTCGCTGGACTAGAAACTTTATTTTCTGTACCCATTCTATATTCCTGGTACCTGGCACTGCCAGTACCTGTCAAGTGCTTATCCACATTGGCTCAAGAGTGAAATTACTTTAATTCACAAAAAAGGCAAGGATGCTGTTCTCAAAGTCCTTCCTCAGGACAGACGTCTCAGAACACTGGAAATCTGGGCTGAGAATGACTGGTTTTTCACTTCTCAAAATAGTCTCTCTCTCTTTCCCTTTCTCTCTCTCTTGAGACAGGGTGTTGCTCTGTTGCCCAGGCTGGAGTGCAGTGGTGAATCATAGCTCACTGCAGCCTCCACCTCCTGGGCTCAAGTGATCCTCCTACCTCAGCCTCCTGAGTATAGCTAGGACTACAGGCATGGACCACCATGCCCTGCCTAGACTCTCTTTTTTTTTTTTTTTTTTTGAGAAGGAGTTTTGCTGTTGTTGCCCAGGCTGGAGTGCAGTGGCACAATCTCGGCTCCCTGCAACCTCCGCCTCCTGGGTTCAAGCGATTCTCTGGCCCCAGCCTCCCAAGTAGCTGGGATTACAGGTATACACCACCATGCCCAGCTAATTTTTGTATTTTTAGTAGAGACAGGGTTTCACCATGTTGGCCAGGCTGGTCTTGAAATCCTGACTTCAGGTGATCCACCCACGTCGGCCTCTGAAAGGGCTGGGATTACAGGCATGAGCCACCACGCCCAGCCTAGACTCTCTTTTGAGGTCTCTAAAATGATACAACTGTGGGGGATTATGGAAACTTGGGGGCCAAACAGAGGAGTGGGGACTGGACACAAGGGAGCTTTGGTTTCCAGGCCAGAAGGCACTGCCCGGAGCACGAGCTGCATATTCGTGGCTTGGTTCAGGAAGTCTCTGGGTACCTCACTGTAAGGTCAGTCCTCCCTCAAAACGCCTTCATCTGTGAGCTTCCCTCCTCCATTCACACACAGAACCTCCAACTGCATTGATTCCTGGGCTTACTCCTGAGGCCTCTCTCCTTGGCTTGTAGACACCATCTTCTCCCTGTGTCCTCACAGGGTCGTCCCTCTGTGTGTGTCTGTGTCCTCATCTCCTCTTCTTATGAGATGTCTTAGTCCATTTCAGGCTGCTATCACAGAATACCAAAGACTGGGTGGCTTATAAACAACAGACATTGATTCTCCCACAGTCCTGGAGGCTGGAAGTCTGAGATCCAGGTGTGGGCTGGGCTGATTCCTCCTGAGGCCTCTCTCCTGGGCTTGCAGATGCCATCTTCTCCCTGTGTCCTCACAGGATTGTCCCTCTGTGTGTGTCTGCGTCCTCATCTCCCCTTCTTATGAGGTGTCTTAGTCCATTTCAGGTTGCTGTCACAGAACACCATAGACTGGGTGGCTTATAAACAACAGACATTGATTCTCCCACAGTCCTGGAGGCTGGGAGTGTGAGATCAAGATATGGTCTGGGCTGGTTCCTCCTAAGGCCTCTCTCCTGGGCTTGTAGATGCCGTCTTCTCCCTGTGTCTTCATATAATCTTTCCTCTGTGTGTGTCTAAGTCCTCATCTCTTCTTATTAGGATACTAGTCCTATTGGATCCGGACCCACCCTAGTGACCTCATTTTACATTAATCTCCTTCTTAAAGGCCCCATCTCCAAAGACAGTCACATTCTGAGGAAACTGGGGGTTAGGACTTCATCCTATGAATTTGCGGGGAGACATAATTCATCCCATAACAGCTTGCATCAAAAAGAATCCGTGCCTGTCTTGTTACTTTCAAGACAACATGAGGACAGGCACAGTGGCTCACACCTGTAATCCCAGCATTTTGGGAGGCCAAGGTGGGCAGATCACCTGAGGTCAGGAGTTTGAGACCAGCCTGGCCAACATGGTGAAACCCTGTCTCTGCTAAAAGTACAAAAATTAGCCAGGTGTGGTGTTGCACGCCTGTAATCCCAGTTACTCGGGAGGCTAAGGCAGGAGAATTGCTTGAACCCAGGAGGCGGAGGTTGCAGTGAGCCAAGATCATGCCATCGTGCCATTGCACTCCAGCCTGAGCAATACAGTGAGACTCTGTCTGAAAAAAAAAAAAAAAAAGACAACATGGATAGGAGCTGCTGGGGTCAGAGAAAAGAATCGGTGAGCAACGCTGACATCTCTCAAAGGGACAAGCACAGACATAGGAAGCAGAGTCAACAGTTGGCCTGAGAAATGCCACAGGAGCTCATGGAAGCCAAGAAAAATGTGCTGAATTTCAAAGGACACAGAGAGAATTTTGGGTTCCTCCAGATCAAATTCTAAGGGAAAGAGACCACTGGGCTCCAAGCATGCCTGGAGCCATCCGGAGAAAGCTGGCTGGTGTGTGGTAAATACTTATAAATCCCCCAGCCACCTATCAAGTCAATGGAGGGAGAATGAGAAAGAGAACATGGAAAGGCCTAGGACATTCCATCTCTGGGGTCTTCCCAATGTTGCCCATCAACAATTGCCTTCGTTGTCTGAGGGATTGTTCCAGAACACCCCATCTTGGAGGGACGTTACACATTGTTTTCTAGGGCTCTTCCTCGTTCTCAAGATACACACTTGGGAATCTAGGCTAGCCTGGGCTCATTTGGGCTAGCCTGGGCAAGAACACTGGTTAAGGGGAATTTCTGCTCATATACCACACTATCCATAATTAACTTCCAACCAGCTTCATTTTTCCTTTTCCTTGGGTGTGTACGTTAAATTTGCTCATTTCCTGTGTTAAATACTCCATGTTCTGATGTTCAATTGTGAAAGGAAAATAAATCTTGGGACCCCAAAATCATTAAGCCAAGGGAAAAGTCAAGCTGGAAAAAAAAAGTTAGTCAGATCTGCCTCCCATTTTCTTTCTAAATAAGATAGCTACAAAAAAATTTTTTTAAGTTTTTTAAAAGCTACATACTGTCCTCACAATCTGAGGAAAGTAAACTGTTTTGTTTACCCTAAAACAGTTCTGTGGAATTTCACCCTGGCAATGTACACCAACAGCTCATCTTCACAGGTGTGGGACAGAAAGTCATCCCCTCTGCTCCCCTGAGACAAATGCATGTCTGATTGCTTCCTCTGCCCTATTGTTGATGAAAAATGCAGATTCACTGGGCCAGACTGAGGCATAAGTACTATTCCTTTGCCCTGTCTCACATGTAAATTGAGTTTTCAGTAAAAGGCCGATCAAGGACTTAGAAGAATGCAACTAGTTGTCTCGTATCTTCCTGTGACCTGGAAGCCCCTGCTTCCAGTTGTCCCGCATTTCCAGATCAAACCAATGTACTTCTTATACATATTGATTGATATCTCCTGTCTCCCTAAAATGTGTAAAACCAAGCTGTGTCCTGACAACTTTGAGCACTTGTCATCAGGACCTCCTGAGGCTGTGTCACGGGCACGTCCTTAACCTTGGCAAAATAAACTTTGTAAACTGATTGAGACCTGTCTCAGATATTTTGGATTCACACAGTATTGATTAATAATTCAGGACTGCCATGTTAAAGGCATCAGTGTGGCTGGATTTAAGCACAACATGAAAAACCAAAGTCGGAAAGGAAGCCTCCTCTTTGTTGGGACAAGCATCAGGAGATTGAGGCTTGAGTCATGGGGGGTCACCTCCCCAGCCTGAGCCTCTCTTCCCCCACTCCTCCTCCTATTGGGGTTCATGAATCACTTTGCTGTGGGAGGGGCTGAGTGTTCACACTCTGAAGATGGCCCATCTTAAAGGATCTCGCATTTTAAGTTTTTTTTTTCTTATTCTTTTTTTTTTTTTTTTTGAGACGGAGTCTCGCTCTGTTGCCCAGCCTGGAGTGCAGTGGCGCCATCTCAGCTTGCTACAACCTCTGCCTCCCAGGTTCAAGCGATTCTTATGCCTCAGCCTCTCGAGTTGCTGGGACTACAGGCCACGACTAATTTTTGTATTTTTAGTAGAGATGGGGTTTCACCATGTTGGCCAGGCTGGCCTTGAACTCCTGACCTCAGGTGATCCACCAGCCTCGGTCTACCAAAGTACTGGGATTACAGACGTGACCCACCATGCCCAGCCACACATTTTAAGTCCTGATGAATTCTCTGGGAGGGAAGCCCACGGCAGTCTGTTTAACTGGGCGTTTCCCAAGTATGTTTCAGCAAGAAACACGTTCCCTGTGGAATTCCCATGAGTGCCTTGCAACATAGCCATGATCCGCAGGACAATGGTTTTTAAAAGACTAGGAGGAAATAGCAGGAGAAAAAGGTGGGTGGTATTTGGGATTTTCATCATGAAAGAGGGGGAAAAAAGAAAGACTAGCTGGCTTAACTAATGCAGTTAAGGGTGAGGTGGTGTTTTGGGGTTTTGTTTTGTTTGGTTTGGTTTGGTTTGGTTTGGTTTTTCGAGACAGAATCTCATTCTGTTCCCCGGCTGGAGTGCAGTGGCACAATCTTGGCTCACTGTAACCTTCCTCTCCTGGATTCAAGTAATTCTCGTGTCTTAGCCTCCCAAGTAGCTGGGATTATAGGCGCATGCCACCATGCCCAGCTAATTTTTGTATTTTTGGTAGAGACAGGGTTTCGCCATGTTGGCCAGGCTGGTCTCGAGCTCCTGACTTCAGGTGATCTGCCCGCCTCGGCCTCCCAAAGTGCTGGGATTCCAGGCGTGAGCCCCCACGCCCGGCCTGAGGTGTAGTTTTTCAAGTGGGTGTCACCTCCCTTGGGTCTTGGTCTCTGTTTTTAATGATTCCTTGTAAGAGGAGATAATTTCTGTCCATCTGGATGTGCGTGTCTGCAATGAATGGACACGCTGTTAAGCTGTGAAAGTTTAAAGCCAGAGCAAACTACCAGGAAGCTTCCAGAACCCCTCTTGATTTAGCCAGCTTCACGCTGCTCTGCCTGGCAAACATTTAAGTTTTTAAGGTTGTTGAACTGCTGATAACTTTAATGGCCAGAATCTATCTTTTCCTTTCTTCTTTCCCCTTTCTTTTCTCTTTCTCTTTCTCTCTCCATGCCCACCCCCCTCCCCACTCTTCTCTCTCTCGTTCACTCTCTTTCTTTTTTGAATTGCATATTTTTCAATGATGAGTGTAATAAATCTGTGGAAAAAAACTGTCTGCCAAATGTTAGAAAAAATGGAGAAACCAACTCTAAAACACATAAAGTGCACAGCACACGTGGGGGTTTGGGAATGGTTAAGCCAAAGGTATTTGGAGCACTGAAAACAAGTGAGAGAAAGGACTTGTCTCTCAGCCTGATTAGCTTTCTGTGATGATAATGCAAAGTGTCCTTTGAGTATCAAACGGCCTTTGCAAAAATTATGACTGAGGAAATGATGACAGTGAAAGAGGTCAGACCTAACCAACTCCATCTTGCTTCTAACCTTTAAGCTGTCCTTGTTCTTTCCTGGGTGTGAGCCAAACTAGCCTTGGGAACGAATTCAGTTCGTGGTTTCACTCTGAAACAAAATTAAGAATGCCCCTTTCCCAAAAAGACCCCCTTCTTGCCTGGGAACCAGTCTGCCTTTGCAGGACCAAAAAATTAGCTACAAGATTAGAAATTACACTTTAGGGCTCGTGCAGCCTCTGGCTGCAAGAGTCTGAACCTCCCCAAGTTTCTCCTGGGGGTAACATCACTATTGTAAAACCTAAGATCGGTGCTTGAGATATTTTGCAGCCTCTGCACTGGATGGATCAGCTGACACCACTCAGCCCGGTAATCTGGCTCAACCAGGTCCGCCATCCACCCAGGAACAGAAAACAGCAAGAAAACCTCACTTCAACCCCCTATGGTTCCCTTTCCAACCTGACCGGTCAGCACTCCCCACTTCCCAAGCCCCTACCTGCCAACTTATCCTTAACAACCCTGATCCCCAGATGTTCCAGAGACTGAATGATTAATAATAAAACTCTAGCCTCCCTTAGAGCCGGCTCTGCGTGAATTACTCTTTCTCCATTGCAGTTCCCCTATCTTGATAAATCAGCTCTGTCTAGGCAGCCAACAAAGTGAACCAGTTGGGTGGTTACAAGTACACCTTAGTGGTTTCTAGATGTCAAAGCAAAGGGAAAATAAGATTGTTTCTGTCCGTTGGACTTTCTTGCTCCCCCCAGTGAGGAAAGAAACTACATTCCCAGTAAGGGAGCTATTACACACATATTTCAAATGCAACCAGGCTAAACCTGCTAGTAAATAAAAAGGCAAACATCATCAAACCAGATTGAGAAAGAGTTTCAGGCCTGCGGATTCTTACTTCCACCGCTGTCGGGATTCTCGGGCTGTGGGTAGTAAGGTGGTTTTGGCTTTGGGTAGATATCTGTGGAGGAAACAACATTGCACTGTTAGAAAAGAAAATTGTCCTTCCCTTAGGAGCAGGCTGCAGAAACAAGCTCATCAGCGTGACTATCGACCTTGCAGTTTGTTCTGATTTGCTGCCCACGGTGTGTTTATAGATTGCCATTGTCTGGTTAAAAATCACTTTGCAGATAGAAGTAAAACCTTGAAACCTGAAACTTAAAAAAAAAGGTTTCCGTTTTGTTACTAGAAGTTCGTTTTCATGGCAAGAAGCCAGTGTAGCTGTCTGCCATGATGGAAGCAAGTAATATAAAAAAGAAACCTAGGAAGAATTGTCATGGAATAAATTTACCGACAGTCCAGTGCCTGTGATGAAGATAACACCAAACCTTCTGTTCCCGGACCCAACTGGGTTGCTATTTCTCACAGCCCAATAATGAAACACCGATGAACTGGGGAGGAAGAGAGTTTTTATTTCTGCAACCTGTTACAGGGAGAAGGCCTGGAAATTATCACCAGACTAACTCAAAATTATAGTTTTCCAGAGCTTATATACCTTCCAAGCTATGTGGAGATATGTGTGTGCATTTATCTAAAGACATAAGTGATTAACTTCTTTTAATCTATAACTAAGGTCTGAGTCCTGAGGATCTTCCTCAGGAGCCTCAGTAAATTGACTTAATCTAATGGGTCCAGGTGCCGGGGTGATTACCCTCATGTTGTCTCCTGCTAAATCCAGGAGGTTTGCAGAGTTCCTTCAAAGCCCCAATAAACTTGTTTGTGGAGGCCTGGGGAGTTTCTGCAGACCCCCAGTAAAACTTGTTTAATCCTAAATGGGTCCTGTTAAGAATTCATTCATTATTTTGTCATGCTTTAAGGCCCGGGAAAGTCCTGGGAAAAACTCTCGGTGGGCTTTTGTTACATTCCAGCCTTTGTATAACAGCACTGGCTTTTAATATTTAACCACTCAGTCAATACTGAAACAGGTGTTGTGGGGGCCTGTGTTAGTGAGACCTGGCCTGCGACACTTCCACTCTCAGTTTCCAAGTGCTCTCACTCATACACTGTGAAGGGAACATAAATCTCGGGACCCCCAAGTCACTAAGCTAAAGGGAAAAGTCCAGCTGGGAACTGCTTAGGGCCAACCTGCCTCCCATTCTATTCAAAGTCCCCCCTCTGCTCCCTGAGGCAGATTCGTATCTGATCGCCTCCTTTGGAAAGGCTAATCAGAAACTCAAAAGAAGGCAACTGTTTTGTCTCTCACCTGTTTGTGACCTGAAAACCCTCTCCCTGCTTCCAGTCTTCCTGCCTTTGCTTCAAGTGCTCCACCTTTCCAGACGGAACCAATATACTTCTTCTTTTTTTTTTTTGAGACAGAGTCTTGGTCTGTCGCCCAAGCTGGAGTGCAGTGGCATGATCTCCGCTCCCTGCAACCTCCGCCTCCTGGGTTCAAGTGATTCTCCTGCCTCAGTCTCACAGCCTCAGGCACACACCACCATGCCCAGCTAACTTTTGTATTTTTAGTAGAAACAGGGTTTCACCATGTTGGCCAGGCTGGTCTCAAACTCCTGACCTTGTGATCCACCCACCTCGGCCTCCCAAAGTGCCGGGATGACAGGTGTGAGCCACCTCGCCTGGCCTAATTGACTTTTTTTTTTTTTTAGAAAAAAAAAAAAAAGCCCAATTGTTTAAATCGGTTTAAATTTAAATAGTGGCTTAAATTGGCTTTCAATGAATATGTGTGACCCTGAGCATTTCTAACACACATCAGCTGGTCAATTGCATAATTCCCTCTTCTTTGAATTTTTCTTGTCAGCGAATGGAATGATCATATCCCTCTTCTTTTAGTCGCCTCATAGTCTCTCTCCTCCATTTTCTTTTTCTTTTCTTTTCTTTTCTTTTTTTCACCATCCGTCTGTTTTGGTAGGAGCTATCTATACACAGTTTGTGCTCTATAACCAGAATTTCTGCATCTATAGATCCAACCAGTCTTGTATTGAAAATATTTCAAAAAATAAAATATAGCAATCCAATAAAAAGTAATACAAATAAAAAATAATATAGTATAACAACTATTTGCATAGCATTTACAGCGTATCAGGAGTTATGAGTAACCTAGAGATAATTTAAAGTATACCAGAGGCTGGACACGGTGGCTCATCCCTGTAATCCCAGCACTTTGGGAGGCCAAGGTGGGCAGATTATGTGAGGTCAGGAGTTCGAAACCAGCCTGGACAACATGGTTAAAACCCGTCTCTACCAAAAATACAAAAATTAGCTGGGGGTGGTGGCGCATACCTGTAATCCCAGCTACTTGGGAGGTTGAGTCAGGAGAATCTCTTGAACCCGGGAGGTGGAGGTTACAGTGAGCCAAGATCACGCCACTGCACTCCAGCCTGGGCAACAGAGTGAGATTCTGTCTCCAAATAAATAAATAAAAATATACAGGAACATATACTTGCATTATATGCAAGTACTGCACGTTTTATATCAGAGACTTCAGCAGCTGTGGATTTTGGTGTCTGCGGGGAAGAAGGCGTCTTAAAACTAATCCCCCATGAATTCTGAAGGATGACTGCATTTTGCATATTAAACTTTCCCTGGTGGTATGAGCAGTAAGGAGCCTCTTCTAGTTGACAGCTCATCTTTTGACTTTTTTCAGAGCCTGAAGTTGGAACATTATTATTATTATTATTATTTAAATGTAGACATAGGCTAACCCATTTTTAAAGGTTATGCTTTTTTTTTTTTTTTTTTATACTCTCACTCTGTAGCCTCAGCTGGAGTGCAATGGCAGGATCTCGGCTCACTGCAACCTCCACCTCTCGAGCTCAAGTGATTCTTATGCCTCAGCCTCCTGAGTAGCTGGGACTATGGGCGTGGTTATGCTTTTTGTATTGTATCTAAGAAAAACCTCCTAACTCTGAGGTTATAAGACATTTCCCTCTATTTTTCAAAAAAAAAAGTTTTCTTTTATATTCAGGTTTGTAATCCACCTGTAGTTCATTTTTAAGTATTACATGAGGCTGGGTGTGGTGGTTCACACCTGTAATCCCAGCACTTTGGGACACCGAGGTGGACAGATCACCTGAGGTCAGGAGTTCGAGACCAGCCTGGCCAACTTGGTGAAACCCCGTCTCTACTAAAAAAATGCAAAAATTAGCCAGGCGTGGTGGCACATGCCTGTAGTCCCAGCTGAGGCACGAGAATTACTTGAACCCGGGAGGAGAAGTTTGCGGGGAGGTGAGATCACACCACTGCACTGCAGCCTGGGTGACAGAGCGAGACTCCATCTCAAAAAAAAAAAAAAAAGTATCGCATGAGGTTGAGATTTGATCACGTATCATCCACAAGAACAGCCAATTGTCTCAGTCCTGCCTATGTGGAATTTGGTTTCTTCTCTCATTGTTTTATAGCTGCGACCTCTCTCATATGCCAAGACACAATTCAGTCTGTTTCAAACCCTTCTGAACCTATGCATTGCTCAGTTTCTCTGTCTCTGAGCTACGGTTTTCATTTCTTTCTTCTTTTTTTTTCTTTTCTTTTGAGACAGGGTCTTGCTCTGTCACGCAGGCTGGAGTGCAGTGGCGTGATCATGGCTCACTGCAGCCTCAGCCTGGGCACAGGTGATCCTCCCACCTCAGCCTCCTGAGTAACTGGGACTAGAGGTGCATGCCACCATGTCCACTAATTTTTTTTAATTTTTTTGTAAAGATGGGGTCTCACTATGTTGTCCAGGCTAGTCTCAAACTCCTGGGCTCAAGAAATCAGCCAGTCTCAGCCTCCCAAAGTTCTGGGATTACAGGCGTGAGCCACCACGCCCAGCTCCACATCTTTATTCTTAATAACATTTCCATCTACAGATCCTGGTATTTCTGGGGAAATGCTTTTTAAAATCTCACACTTAGATCTTTAAATTTCCACTTTTAACTTAACCTGAGGTGCAGGCTGGGTCAAGATTCCATTATCATTCAGGGAATCATTCTTTTAGTGGGAAGAACCTCTATTTGGGCCTCAAAGTTGTTTGCACCTCGAAGGTTATTTTGTCTGATTTTGCTAGCCCAACTTGGCTTTCTTTCTATTGGTTATTTGCTTTGCGCATTTTTTTTCCAGCTATTTTCACCTTCTCTTTGGCATTTTGTTGCAAATGCTTCTCTCGTAAATAGCATGAAACATTTTATTTGTATTTTTAGTAGAGATGGGGTTTCACCGTGTTAGCCAGGATGGTCTCGATCTCCTGACCTCGTGATCCACCCGCCTCGGCTTCCTACAGTGCTGGGATTACAGGCGTGAGCCACTGCGCCCAGCCGAAACATTTTAAATTGCATCATCTCATCTCCGTCTTTTTACAGATTTATTAAATCACTGAACATCTAACATAACTAAGGATTCACTATTCCTACTATTTTATTTTACTTTTCTTCTTTTTTAATTCCTTCCTTCTTAACTTCCATTTAGTATTCAGGTTTTTAATTTATTATTTTTTTTTATTTTTGAGACAAAGCCTGGCTCTGCCACCCAGGCGGAAGTGCAGTGGCGCAATCTCAGCTCACTGCAACCTCCACCTCTGGGGCTCAAGTGATCCTCCCACCTCAGCCTCCTGAGTAGCTGGGACTACAGGCATTCACCACAACACTTGGCTAATTTTGGTATTTAATTTTACTCTTCATTTTTTTTGTATTTAATTTTATTCTTCATTCTTCATTTTCATCCACTAGTTCAGGAGTTATATGTTCAATTTTTATTTTTAGCAGGAACACTTAACCTTAAAATGTCAAAATCCAGCAATATCTAACTACTTTTACTCAGTTCTTCCTTTCTTATCCTCTCTGTGAAGGTAGCCTCATCTTCAGAAGTTAAGTTTCACTTTGTTGTTAACACCAGTTATTATTATTTTTTTAAACAGCTAACAATCACTTAGTTTTACCGGCTTGTTTGCAATGTCTTTGGCTGGCATTGCTATTCGCATCCTGCTGTGCTATTCAGGGTGTGAATTTCTTCTTATGGCAGAGCATCATTTGGAAGATTTTTCAGCAAAATTTGCAGAGCTTCTTGTTGGAAATCTTTATGCTATCATCACTCTCCAACAGCAATTTAGCTGCATTTTCAATTCTTGCTTGATAGTGAACATTTCCTGAACAACCTATAAACACCCGTCCATTGACTTCCTGACATCTCTCATGGCAGTCAAGGAGTCTGCTGGAAGTCTGGGAGTTATTTCTTTTTGTTGTTGTTGTTGTTGAGACGGAGTCTCGCTCTGTCGCCCAGGCTGGAGTGCAGTGGGAGATCTCGGCTCACTGCAAGCTCCGCCTCCCGGGTTCACGCCATTCTCCTGCCTCAGCCTCCCAAGTAGCTGAGACTACAGGCGCCCGCCACCATGCCTGGCAAATTTTTTTTGTATTTTTTAGTAGAGACGGGGTTTCACCTGTAATGCCCAACCTGGTTTTTACTAACCTGTTTTTAGACTCTCCCTTTTCCTTTACTCACCTAGCCTTCTTTCCACCTGAATGGACTCTCCCTTAGCTAAGAGAGCCAGCCAGACTCCACCTTGGCTCTTTCACTGGCAGCCCCTTCCTCAAGGACTGAACTCGTGCAGGCTGACTCCCAGCACATCCAAGAATGCAGTTAACTGATAAGATACTGTGGCGAGCTACATCCGCAGTTCCCGGGAATTCGTCTGATTAGTAACGCCCAAAGCCCCGCGTCTATCACCTTGTAATAGTCTTAAAGCCCCTGCACCTGGAACTGTTTACTTTCCTGCAACCATTTATCCTTTTAACTTTTTGCCTACTTTACTTCTGTAAAATGGTTTTCACTAGACCCCCAGCCCTCCCCTTCCTAAACCAAGATCTAAAAGTTAATCAAGCCCCTTCCTCAGGACCGAGAGACTATTAAGCATTAGCCGTCTCTCGGTCGCTGGCTTATAAAGGACTCTTAATTTGTCTCAAAGCGTTTTTCTAACTCGCTCAGGTACAACATACCGTGTTAGCCAGGATGGTCTCGATCTCCTGACCTTGTGATCCACCCGCCTTGGCCTCCCAAAGTGCTGGGATTACAGGCGTGAGCCACTGCGCCCGGCCCCGGGAATTATTTCTTTTTCTTTTCTTTTCTTTTCTTTTTTTTTTTTTTTTTGAGACGGAATCTCACTCTGTCACCCAGGTTGGAGTGCAGTGGCATGATCTCGGCTCACTGCAACCTCCACCTCCCGGGTTCAAGTGATTCTCTTGCCTCAGCCTCCCGAGTAGCTGGGATTACAGACATGTGCCATCATGCCCAGCTAATTTTTTTATATTTAGTAGAGACCAGGTTTCACCATGTTGGCCAGGTTGGTCTCGAACCCCTGACCTCAGATGATCTGCCCACCTCGGCCTTTCAAAGCGCTGGGATTACAGGTGTGAGCCACCGCCCCCAGCCAAAGGTTACCTTTTTAATTGAAAATAAATAAATAAATTGAAGTCAAATTTACATATAATTAACCATTTAAAAGTGAATAATTCAGGGGCACTTAGAATATTCACAGTGTTGTGCAGCCATCACCTCTGTGTACTTCCAGAATGCTTTCGTTCCCCCAAAAAGAAACCTGGAATTTATCAAGCAGTCACTCTCTCTTTCCCCTCCAGCCCCTGGCAGTCACGACATTGCTTCTGGTTCTAGGGATTCACCTATTCTTGAAATTTCATCTTCATAAAAATATACATTATGTGATCATTTGTGTCTGGCTTCTTTCTCTTTGCAAAATGTTTTTGAGGCTCAACCACTTTGTAGCAATTTTCAGTGCTTCATTCCTCTTCAAGGCTAAATAATATTCCATTGTGTGAATGGACCACATTTTGTTTATCCATTCCTTCCACTGATTAACATGTGAGTTATTTCTATCTTTTAGCTATAATGAATAGTGCTGCTCTGAACATTTGTGTACACATTTTTCTTGGAACCCGTGTTTTCAATTATTTTGAGTACATACCTAGGAGTGGAATTGCTGGTTCATAGAGTAATCCTGTATTTAACTTTTGGAGGATCCACCAAAGCATTTGTTCACAGTGGCTGTACCATTTTAGACTCCCACCAGCACTGTACAAACATTCCAGTTTCATCACATCCTTGCCAACACTTGTTATTTTCCATTTTAGATTTTAGCCATCTCAGTGGGGACGAAGTGGTGCTTCACTGTGGTTGTGATTTGCATTTCCCTAATCACCACATTTTGCTTTCAATATCTGCTATCTGGTACAGTTGTTGCATCTCTTTCATATACCCCACAGTTCTGTAAAACATCCTCAACCATCCCCTCCGTAAGCATCAGTTCAAGGACGTTGCCTCAGTTTTTCCCAGCTGAAGAGACACTCACCTGAGTTTGGCTTCTTGGTGGGTTCTGTGAACAAAGAGAGAAAATAAATGCAATATGCATTGAAGATTCATTGGAAGCATGAAGAAAGGCCATGAACGCCCTGATGAAAGGTGAAAAGGGAGTGACAAAGCCATACAAAGTAAATGATATAGACACAAATTCCATGTTGAATTGAGAAAAAAGACAAGAAAACACCCTTAAAATCCATTCAAAAACAATCCACCCTTGAGGCTGTGAGGATGCCCACAGGATGGCCAAAGTAGCTGAGAACATCCAAGACAAGTAAGTGAGCCACCTGCCCGTAGAGCCACCACAGGGCTGGACGGTGGAGGGTGAGGCAGGGGGAGGCAAAAGAAAAGAAGGAGAAAGACTTGCAGCTTCCAGAATGATGGCTTATCTCACTTTCTTTCATTCATTCATTTATTCATTCAGCAAATATGTATTGCATGGATGTGGATATCAGGTCAGGAGTGCTCAGGGTGCAGCCTGTGACTGCCCTGCTTAGTGAACCTGGGTGTGCAGTGTGGATGGGCAGACGAGGGCAGGAGGAGGTTTGAGGAAGATGGCTCAAAGGAGGTGGAGTCGGCCATGGCTGGGAAAATTGGAGCTTCAGGGCTGTGCAATGGCCAGACTTCTTCCAAACAGAGGAAACACCGTATTTGAAAGCATGGTTTACATAACAGCCTAGCATTGCCTTGGTAGGAGGCGGCTGGAACACGGGTTTGTGTGTGGTGCGGACATTCACTGGGGATGCAGAGACTGCAAGAAGGAGAGCTTGAACCTCCAAACGGGGCATATGGTTTCGCATGTCCTGTATTTTAATAGAAGGTTTCTCATCACCTTTTCTCCTTCCTGCCACCTCCCTCTCCCTTCCTGCCCTCCCTTCTTCCTTCCTTCCTTCTCTCCTTCCTTCCTTCTCTCCTTCCTTCCTTCTCTCCTTCCTTCCTTCTCTCCTTCCTTCCTTCGCTCCTTCCTTCCTTCGCTCCTTCCTTCCTTCTCTCCTTCCTTCCTTCTCTCCTTCCTTCCTTCTCTCCTTCCTTCCTTCTCTCCTTCCTTCCTTCTCTCCTTCCTTCCTTCTCTCCTTCCTTCCTTCGCTCCTTCCTTCCTTCTCTCCTTCCTTCCTTCTCTCCTTCCTTCCTTCTCTCCTTCCTTCCTTCTCTCCTTCCTTCCTTCTCTCCTTCCTTCCTTCTCTCCTTCCTTCCTTCTCTCCTTCCTTCCTTCTCTCCTTCCTTCCTTCTCTCCTTCCTTCCTTCCTTCCCTCTCTCCTTTTCCCCCTTCTTCTTTCCTTCCTCCCCACCCTCCTTTCTTCCTTCCTCCCCTCCAACCTTTCTCCTCTCCCTCTCTCCTTCCTTCCCTCCGTCCTTCCCTTATTCTTTTTCTTTCTTCCTTTCTTCTCCTATTTTTCTTTCTTTCCTTCCCCCCTCCTTTCTTCCCTTCCTCCTTCATTCCTCTCCTTCTTCCTTCCTCCCCTCAGTCTTTTCTTATCTCCTCTCCTTTCTTCTTCCTTCCTTCCCTCCATCGTTCCCTCTCTTCTTCCTTTTCTTCCCTCCTTGTTTCCATCCTTTTTCCTCCCTCCCTCCCTGTTTTCCTCTGTCCTTTCATTGTTTCCTTCTTTTCTTTCTTCTCTTCCTTTTCCCTTCCTTCCTCCTCCCACCCTCCCTCCCTCTCTCCCATCCTTCCTTTCTCTGTCTCCTTTTTAAAATGTAAAATTATAACTATTTTTTAAAATAGTGATACACTCACAGAGTTTCTTAAAGCCCAGGCAGTATAGACAGTGAAAAGTGAATTCCCCACAGTCGCCATGCAGGTGACTGTGGTTCCTCTGCACTGGGGCTTCCTTCCCATGAGGAAGGGCTGTGGATGAACAGGCACATGCCTGCCCATTCATGGGGGGCTCTTGGTAGCAAAACGATGCATTCAAAGATGTGTTTGCAGGCACTGGCAGCCTTCTAGGTGAGCAATGAAAAGGTAGTAGCAGGTGAGTGGAAAATAAGTTTATTTATGTGATTTTTAAAAAATTAATGTGAAACTCACATATAAAATTTGACATTTTAAAGTGTGCAATTCAATGGTGTTTCATATATTCACAATATTGTACAATCACCACCTGTATCTAGTTCCAGAACAGTTTCATCCCCCCAAAAGGAGACCCCATAGCCACGAGCAGTCCCTCCCTTTTGTCCCCTCTTCCAGCCCAACAATCGCTAATCCACTTTCTGTCTCTCTGAATTTGCCTATTCTGGACATTTCATATTAATGGGATCCTACACCCTGTGGCCTTTTGTGCCTGGCTTGTTTCACTGAGCACAGTTTCAAGGCTCATGTAGCACGCATCAGAACCCCCTTCCTTTTTACAGCCAAATCATATTCTGTTGCCTGGAGGGACCACATTCTGTTCATTCATTCATCCCCTGATGGACAGTTGGGTTGTTTCCACCTTTGGCTTATTGTGAATATTGCTGCTGCAAACATGGGTACACAAATAACTGTTTGAGTCCCTGCTCCCAATTCTCTTGGGTATCTGTCTAGAAGTGGAACTCCTGGGTCACATGTCAGTGATCTTTCAGATCAATAACATGTCTTGTTCTGTATCTGAGCCTACCAGCCAGCCCCTCCTTCACTATTGCACAGGGTTCTCTTGCAGATATGCCTCATTCTTTATCCAGACCAAACGCTGGTGCAACACACTCAGTCTGAATTTTGGAGATAATCCCCCAATGCTTCCAAAGTGGTTGCAACCACACACCTGCCTCTAACCCCCACCCCTCAATCTGCCTTGACAGGGTAGGATTCAACCTTCACCTTTTCTAACTTCATGGGAGAAATGGCATCTCCATGTTGGGGTGAGTCATTACATTTTCCTGTTGCACTGACAACAATTTTGTATCTGCCTTTTAGGATAATTATTAGCAAAAACATCACTGTGTGCAGAAAACTGGGAGAGAGATGAGTTCCTATCATCTTGTTGTTGGCTTTTTAGGATCAGATCTGGTTATCATTCTCTCTTCCTCCAACAAACACCATTATGTAACTGCACTGGTCAACCAGTTGTTCCCAATGCTAAAGCCCAATGGATTCTTCCTCTGTGTACACAAAAGTTTATTTTTCTTTCAAAATAAATGTTTGGTTCCATTGTGCCTGCATCAGAAACCAAATCTTTCCCTTTCTCCCACCCACCGCGGTCTGAATACACCTGAATCTCAATCAGACTATCTGCCTCAAGCAGGACTTTCTGCAGGGCCCAGGACACATATTTTCAGCATTCTGGTCAGCCAGAAAGGTTCTAGCTGAACTTGGACTGATGAAAACACAGAATGGGAAGATTCCAGGTCCTCAGTGCCCTGGAGAAGAAAAACTCACAGCCCCGTCAGTGAAGGTAACCAGAGAAGTTGAGGGGAGAACGGAATGAAGTGTGCTCTGGGAGGGGAGATTGGAGGCCATGGATTGGGATCGGGGTATGGGACAATGAGGGATATGAACTGAAGTGTAAGAAAAGCAGAAACTGGGGAGATTGGAGGCCATGGATTGGGATCGGGGTGTGGGACAATGAGGGATATGAACTGAAGTGTAAGAAAAGCAGAAACTGGGCCAGGCATGTTGAGGCACGTCTGTAATCCCAGTGTTTTGAGAAACCAAGGTAGAAGGATTTCTTGAGCCCAGGGGTTCAAGACCAGCCTGGGCAACATAGTGAGAATCCGTTTCTACAAAAAAGAAAAAAGAAAAAAATTAGCTTGGCATGGGGGCACACACCTGTTGTTCCAGCTACTTGGGAGGCTGAGGTGGGAGGATCACTTGAGCCAGGAAGTCGAGGCTATGTGGTAAGCTATGATTGCACCACTGCACTCCAGTCTGGGCATCAGAACGAGACTCCCATCTCAACAAAATAAAGTAAAATAAAATAATAAAATACTAGCATATTCCTAAACCACAGGTTTAGAAGCACAGACCTACCAAGAAATGAGTCTGAGACTTTTAGAGAGTGTGTAAAGGTTTGTCTCAAGGTGTCTGCAATCTCCTGCAAAGAACAGAGATCTCAAGACCAAGAAATTCCCAACACTGGCCCAATCCAACCCCAAAGTAACTATACAGCTGATGCTGTTAGATCCAAGCTGAAAAGGGAAGGCTCCCCTTGAAATATCGGCACTTACCAGGGTCATCAAGGGCATCTGCCAAATCAAAGTCTCTTTGACCTATTGGGAGCAAACAGGGCATAAGTCACCCCATGATGGAAAGGCCAGAATCCCCCTTGTTCCTCACCTCATGCTGCTCCCCTCCTCCTGCAAGCCTAGGGTCGCCCAGAGCACTAAAACTAACCTGACCATGAGCTACATGGGAGATGCAACCACCACCTCCACCTAGTCCCAGAGCATACTCATCACCCAAAAGAAGACCCCTGTCCCCATTCAGCAGTTAGTTCCCCTCCCGCCTCCCCAGCCCCTGACAACCACTATCCACTTTCTGTCTCCATGAATTGTCTGTTCTGCAAATTTCTTATAAATAGAATTCTACAATATGTGGTATTTTGTGCCTGGCTTCTTTCATTGAGCATGATGCTCTTGAGTTGCGTTCACGTTGCAACCTGTGTCAGAGCTTCATTCCTGCTCATGGCCAGGAAACTTTGAAGGAAGCCTCTCTCCAAGCACATAGACTTCTCTCCTGGACTGTCCCACTCACAGCTTAGGACAGGCATATCCCCGCCCCCCAACGCCCCCCCCACCCCTCCACACACGCACAGAGTCTAGGTTGAGAGGGGCTGCCCTAGAAGAAGGTGAAGCACAACAATGTGAGGGTCCTGGATGCCTGAGAGACTATATGGAGCATAGGACACCTTTGCCACCTCACCTGGCTGCAACACAAACAAGAGATAAACTTTTAATTCTTTGGGGGCTGTTTGTTATAGCAGCTAGCCTACACTGACAAATACAGGGTCAGGAAGCAACCTGTGTGGACAAGCTGAGGTTCCTACCTGATCCAAAAGCAGTTAATCTAATGAATGTGTCTGCAGCAGAGAGAAGAGAACATTCACATCTTTGGGACACATCATTAAAAACACACTGCAGAATTTGTGAGGGTGAAGGGTCCCTCTTGCTGACATATATGCACACCTTGATCTTGTTCCTCACTTGCCCCTGCCAGTACTAGCCTTGTAGAGAAAACACCACCAGAGAATTTATCAGGAAGTAGAGGATGCAGCCAGGAGCACATTGAGTCAGCACTTACTATGCATTGAGTTCTGTTGCAGTAATGCCAGGCACCCAAGAGTCTCATCTGCCCACCCAAGGATGTTGGTATGACCAGCATGCATATTTCCCAAAGGAAGAAACTGAGGTTCTGGGAAGTTCAGGGCAAGGCAGGAGCAGAGTCAGAATCTACAGAATTGTCCAGGGGGGACAATCTCTCACTCAAACACTAAGCCCTGGAGGAGGCTAAGCCTGGGGGAACCAGGTGAGCCCTAGGTACTGGGTCTCCCCCGCTCTGATGTCTGTCTCCCTCCCAAAAATCGGTCTGCCTCGGTGACGCTTGCTCTGGGGGAAGGTTCAAGGGCTCCAACATAGATTCGTATAGGCTGTGGCATGGCTCCAGTCAGATGCCACCCGGGCAGGCTTTGCCGCTCCTTGTGGAGGCAATTAGGGCCTCTCCGGAGCAGAAGACGCATCCCCAGACAGGAATCCCTAAGTCAGGACAAAGTCACAAACCTTGGAGGGAAGGGGAACTCTGAGCCCAGGGTGCACACAGCAGCTGCCCCTGGGCCCAGACTGGAGGCTGGGAGCTGGCGGTGCCATCACAGGTCAAATCCCACACGGCCGTTTCTCTCAAACTCTGGGAGCCCCCACGTCCCTCTCAGATGACGTTCTCTGTTACCAGCGATCACTACAGGCTCGCCTTTAAGAACAACCCAGCAAATCTTTGCTCCATCCAGCTCTCTTCTTATTTTTTCTTTATTGTTGTTTTCTTTTTGTTTGTTTTGTTTTTAGATGGCGTCTCTCTCTGTCGCCTAGGCTGGAGTGCAGTGGCACAATCTCAGCCCACTGCAACTCCCACCTCCTGGGTTCAAACGATTCTTGTGCCTCAGCCGTCTGAGTAACTGGGATTACAGGTGCATGCCATCACGCCCAGCTAACTTTTGTATTTTCAGTAGAGACAGGGTTTCACCATGTTGGCCAGGCTGGTCTCGAACTCCTGACCTCAAGTGACCCACCTGCCTTGGCCTCCCAAAGTGCTGGGATTACAGGCGTGAGCCACCGCACCTGGCCTCCTCCAGCGCTCTTGATCATCATGGTCCAAGCTGCTCAGACTGGGCTGGGGGACAGGAACCGTGTCAGCCTCTTGGATCTGTGCAACATCTCCCCTCCAAGGCTGCCAGCAGTTCCAGTCGAGACACCTGTCCAGGACGCCAAAGTTAAGCGTCCCGGCTATGCACACACCCTGAGAATTTACATTCCAATCTGTGTTCGCCGTTGACCAATATCTTTCACTGTGTTATGTCTCCGCCCATCCCAGCAATCCCAGGCATCCCCTCAGCAACCACTTAATCTCCTCCAATCTGTGCACCCGGCCACTCCCTGCTGTTGCCCTAAATAACCAAAGGCCTCGGTGTTGTCTCTCCCCTCCCAGTCCCTCCTCTCTGAAATGCTGTTGCATAAAACAGGCAGGTGGCACGGGAGGGCTGCAGACAGCTCGTCTCATCCTGCAGCAGGAGGCCAGGTTGCAGCGGAGGCTCCTTCAGCTTTGAGATGCTCCGGATGACCCTGAGAGATGACAGGAATTGGGGGTGGGGAGGGTCACAGAGGAAGTGGAGCCTGGGGGCTTTAGGCTTTGCTTGGTTTCAGGGGTTGCACTACAGCCAGAAGTTGCTGCACGCGTGACTCACACACACGAGGCCGTTGTTGGTCACATCCAGACCTCGTTACATAAACCAGGCGGACTCCGGCCAGCATCAGACGGCCTGGGCACTGAGACAGTCTCCAGTCCCGCATGCCAGGCAGCAAATCTATCTCCCAGGCAGGGCCCCCTGTCCTCTCTCCTCTCCAGGGAAGTTGCAGCAAAGCCACGCCTGGGGTCCTCACGGGTCTGGAGTAAGACCCCTGGGCTGGGAGATGTCCCAGGTAGACAACGCTAACTCTGGGGTCTCTGTCTCCAAGGTCGGGTTGCACATGACGCCATTGCTTTCACGGGGTTTATTTTCCACTGGGAACATAAGACGGGGCAGGAACAGGAGATCTATTTCTGATTTGCTTTGCTTATAGTTAGTGAACTGAGCGGCTTTTAATCAAATCCTTGTGGTCTGGGATCCCTAAACCCCCAAGAAGAAAGCAGCCTCATTTTGTGCTGGGACTATGACAACGGTCCTCGGTTGCTGGCATCCTGGAGATGTCGATTAAGTGGCTCCTGTTGGTGGATGGGTGGGCCGAGCGTTACACATGAGCCCCCGGTAAAGCTGTGCTCGGGACCCTTCGGAGCAAAGCCATGTGATACAGCACTTTGAAGCATTCTTCTGTAGCCTGCAGTCACCAAACCCCTCTGGGACCCAAATTCCACCCCTGCCGGATTCAAAGATGCTTCTTATTGGAGTTCCCCTGCCTCCCACCCAAATTCTTTATGTTGATTCAGACCTGCACGTGGTTCAGGCTTACGAAACAATACCGCCAAGTGCAGGCCTCAGCAGCAGCCTCAGAAGCAGAAGTTTCTCTCGGAACTTCTCCAGCCCCCATGTCTCTGAGTCCCATTCTCCCCTAAGGCACCGAAGGAACTAGAATCCCTCTTCCCCAAGACGGGTCCCAGAAACAAGAACGCCTTTCCCCCCGAAGCCAGCCATAAAACCTAAAAACAGGAATCTAACTTTCCCTCTATCCTATCTGTATAAAGAGTGGCACAGGCTGGGCGCGGTGGCTCACACCTGTAATCCCAGCACTTTGGGAGGCCGAGGCAGGCGGATCACGAGGTCAGGAGATCGAGACCATCCTGGCTAACACGGTGAAACCCCGTCTCTAGTAAAAATACAAAAAAATTAGCCGGGTGTGGTGGCGGGCGCCTGTAGTCCCAGCTACTCGGGAGGCTGAGGCAGGAGAATGGCGTGAACCCGGGAGGCGGAGCTTGCAGTGAGCCGAGTTCACACCAGTACACTCCAGCCTGGGTGACAGAGCAAGAATCTGTCTTGAAAAAAAAAAAAAAAAAAAAAAAAGTGGCCATAAGGAAATTCCCTGACCTGCCTTGTTTGGGCGTCCTAAGACCCCCCATCCCAGAGAAGCTCCCAGCCCCATACCCGGAAGGAAGGAGCACTGTTCAGAGAGGCCAAGAAGAGGCCGGGTGCGGTGGCTCACGCCTGTAATCCCAGCACTTTGGGAGGCCGAGGAGGGCAGATCACAAGGTCAAGAGATCGAGACCATCCTGGCCAACATGGTGAAACCCCGTCTCTACTAAAAATACAAAACTTAGCTGAGCGTGGTGGTGCGTGCCTGTAATCCCAGCTACTCAGGAGGCTGAGGCAGGAGAATTGCTTGAACCTGGGAGGTGGAGATTGCAGTGAGCCAAGACTGTGCCACTGCACTCCAGCCTGGCAACAGAGTGAGACTCCGTCTCAAAAAAAAAGAGAGAGAGAGAGGCCAAGAAGAATCTAGACACACAGGCCTGGCTGGGTTTCCCCACTCAGGCCATTAGCATTGGATCAGGCCCTTTTTGTCCAACCCTATTTCTACACAGCTGTCCAGACTTGGATGAACCAAAGCATAAATATAGACAATCTCCCCTTGTAACTTGGGGTCTTCATTCTGAATGCTCCCGTGTATACACATTAAATACATTTGTATGTCTTTTCTCCAGTTAATAAATCTGCTTCATGTCCATGATTTTCAGTAATGCTTCAGGGGCCACGACCCCAGAAAGTCAATATAACAAACAGCAATTTTGCAAAGCAAAGAACAGTACCATTGCTCGAATAATAATGCAATGTCGAGGCCACTGCCCACTGAATATTAGCTGCCACCAGCACAGCTGCCACGCAGCACAGGAGAGCAATGGACCCACAGCAAAACCTCTGCTCCCCACTGAATTATTTACCTCGCTTTAAAGAAGAAAATCAGCTCCCAGCAGGCTCTGAGCAGAAAATGAAAAGGAACACACAGAGACTATCTAAATCCCTGACCCCAATTACAGCTATTGCCAGCAGAATTTATACACCACGGAACTGAATTAGAGCCAACTGCAATCATTACGGGACGTGCAACCACATTAGTAAATTCAGACAGGCTCTTCTGTTTCATTATTCAATCCAATGTCCTTTGATCTGCGTGCCCTGGTGAAACAAAGCCCTTTCAAGCAATTGTTTCCTTCCTTCCTTCCTTCCTTCCTTCCTTCCTTCCTTCCCTCCCTCCCTCTTTCTCTCTTTCTCTCATACAGAACCTCACTATGTTGCCCAGGCTGCAGTGCAATGGCGCAATCTCTGTTCACTGCAACCTCTGCCCCCCAGGTTCAATTGATTCTCCCGCCTGCCTCAGCCTCCTGAGTAGCTGGGATTACAGGCGCCCCCTACTATGCCCAACTAATTTTTTTTATTTTTAGTAGAGATGGGGTTTCACCATGTTGGCCAGGCTGGTCTCAAACTCCTGACCTCGTGATCCACCCACCTTGGCCTCCCAAAGTGCGGAGATTACAGGCATGAGCCGCCGTGCCTAGCCTTTTTTTTTTTTTTTTTTTTTTTTGGATAAAGAATCTCACTATGTTGCCCAGGCTGCAGTGCAATGGCGCACTCTCGGCTCACTACAACCCCTGCCTCCCTGGTTCGAGCGCTTCTAGTGCCTCAGTCTCCTGAGTAGCTGGGACTACAGGTGCATGCCACTACGCCCAGGTAATTTTTGTGTTTTTAGTAATGACGGGGTTTCACCATGTTGGCCAGGATGGTCTTGAACTCCTGGCATGAAGTGATTCACCCGCCTCGGCCTCCCAAAGTGCTGTAATTACAGGCATGAGCCACCGCCCCCGGCCTATTTTTTATTTCTTTACATCGGATTGTACTGGTTTCCTCTGAAGTGTGGGTTCATTTAAATCAACTTTCTTGGGTCAGCTGCTGCAGATGAAGCCACTTAGTGGGTACTAAGCCCATAGAGCCCTCCTCAGCTTGAGGAAGCCCACAGAGGGGAAAGTTCCGAGGTTTTACAAAGCTGGCACAGGGACCCCGAGAAGGACAAATCTTGACTTCCTTCAGGCAAATCCTAAGGTTTCTCTTTGACTCCAGTTCAGCAATTAAAAAATACCTATGTGTATATATAGAAAGCATATGATAATGGTTCTTGTGACTGAACTTGTGACCGGAAAGAGGTCTGGAATCAGACCCCAGGACAGGGTTCTTGGACCTTGCACAAGAAAGAATTTGCGGCGAGTCCATAAAATGAAAGCAAGTTTATTAGAAAAGCAGAGGAATAAAGAATGGCTCCTCCATAGACGGAGCAGCCCCGAGGGCCACTGGTTGCCCATTTGTATGGTTCTTTCTTGAGGATATGCTAAACAAGGAGTGGCCCATTCATGCCTCCTCTTTTTAGACCATATAGGGTAACTTCCTGACATTGCCGTGGCATTTGTAAACTGTCATGGTGCTGGTGGGAAGACACAAGTGAGGACCACCCGAGGTCACTCTCATCGCCATCTTGGATTTGGTAAAATTTGGCCGACTTCTTTACGGCAAGCTGTTTCATCAGCAAGGTCTTTATGACTTGTTTCTTGTGTCAACCTCCTATCTCATCCTGTGCCTTAGAATGCCTTGACCATCCGGGAATGCAGCCCGGCAGCTCTCGGCCTCATTTTACACAGCCCCTACTCAACCTGGAGTTGCCCTGGTTCGAACACCTCCCACTAACTCAACTTAGGTCCACCGGCCCTGTGCAGTAAAGCCGAACACCGCCATTGGGATTGCAGCGTGAGGAAGTGAGGCGTTTATTCCGAGCTATTTAGAGGGCATCAAGCAACCTCCTTGATGCCTCAAGACCCAACCTCCTGGGTGGCCAGTAGCTGAGGGTTTTCAATGGCAAGGAGGCAGAGGTTACAGGCAAAGCCATAATACATGCAGGCTATACATTGCTTTGATCTAAAAAGGCGGGATACCTGGAAGCAGGGGCTTAATGTGGATTCAAAGTTTCTCTGATTTGTCATTGGTTAAGGAGGCCAAGTTTGTCTGAGCATTTGGGGTCAGCAGAAATCAATGTTAGTTGTGGCCATTGGTGTGACTTCCTCCAGCACGTCCCCTCACCCCCCTTCCACCCCCCTCCCACCGCCACATGCCCCAGGGAAGGAATTTAGAACAAACATTTGTAATGAGAATTCAGGCCTCAGTTTCTCTTACCCAACGTCTATGAGCCAGCAGATGGCATTTTTTATTTGGTGGGGGTCTGGGTTCCTGAAAATCAACTCAGGGCCATATAGTAAGATGTTATCTTGGCTGGGCATGGTGGCTCACACCCGCAATCCCAGCACTTTGGGAGGCCAGGGCAGGCAGATTACCTGAGGTCAGGAGTTCCAGACCAGACTGGCCAACATGGGGAAGCCCTGTGTCTACTAAAAATACAAAAATGTGGGCGTGGTGGTGTGCACCTGTAGTCCCAGCTACTTGGGAGGCTGATGCATGAGAATCACTTGAACCCAGGAGGTGCTGGAGGTTGCACTGAGCCAAGATTGCACCACTACACTGCAACCTGGGTGACAGAGCAAGACTCCATCTCAAAAAAGGATGTTATCTTTAGTCTTTACAGGAAACTAAACATATTGAGGCTCTAACTTCCTTGGCTATTGTTCTACACTACAATCACCTTCTTGCTTATCAAGCTGCTCCATGTACTTCTCAAGGCCAGCGAGGTGCCTGGAATTTCCCTTGAAGGAACTCAAGGTTTTCCTTTATTTCCATGCTAGGGAGAGTGCCTGGCAGGCCCCTAAGAGGGTTGTCCTTGCTCCATCTCACTCTCTCCCAGGACGGCATGATTCACAGAGTAAAAAAAATTAAATCATATGACTAGGTTAGGACCGTAGGTTGCAACAGAAAGTGACAAGGAAGGCTGCTGCCCCAATGGGGAATCTTATTCCCGGGGGGCTTGTTTGCCAAGGGCTGAATTCTACTTTAGCCCCATGGATAAGATGAAATCCATTCTGTTCTCTAATTGGTTAAGAAGTTTATATTTCCAGCAGGACAGGAAATCAAACACAGCTGGAGTCTCCTCCTCCACACCTCAACATGAATATCCAGGGACTCCCTAATGCTCAAGCTCACC